>NC_000021.9:40916726-41584292 GCF_000001405.40 Homo sapiens | reverse complement strand
TGTGTGGTGTGTGTAGTATGTGGTGTGTGTGTGTATGTGTGGTGTGTGGTGTGTGTGTATATGTGTGGTGTGTGTGGTATGTGGTGTGTGTGTATATGTGTGATGTGTGTGTATATGTGTGTGGTGTGTGTGGCATGTGTGTGTTGTGTGTATCAAACTCTGCCTAAAATGTGCCCACGGTGAACACCAAACACCATGTGATGTGAATGGTTTAAAAGCCTGAAGCGTTTTAAACCAAGTGCCTGAAAGATTTTAGCCTCACCAGGTATCTGTTTGCATTTAAATAACATAAAGGACCCTTTTCTTCAAAGACAAAAGTATGTCGGTATTTCAAATAGTACAAAAATTCTCAATGAAACAAACTCTGAGCGCCTACTGCATGCAGGCACTGTGCCTCTAGCCAGAGATACAAAATTAACACTTTGGCGCTGACCTCCTCGGAGTGGAAAACCCAGCAGGGCTGAGCTAGATCTGGGGGCGAAACACAGTCAATCTGGTTCTCTGTCGTTAGAGTTGCAAACCTCAGTCTCTCTGCCCTGCCTCCTGCCCCACAGCAGGAACACGAGAGCAGCCAAGGCTGTCCAGCAGAGCAGTGGCCGTGTGTCCTGCTGTTCCATCAGCTGGAATGCAGCACTAGGACTGGCCTGAGGCTGAGTGCTGGCAGAGGGAGGGCCACGGACAGAATCGCCAGTAATTTATCTGGGGCCCCGCCGAGCAGGGTCATGGGCTTTGGGCAGCCGTCCTCAGGAGCCCCAGGCCCTCTTCACCTGGGCCTGGCACTCTTTCCCGAGTACATGCTGGCACCTGAGGTGAGCCAACAGACCCGAGTGCAGGACTAATTCACCTGGAATGTCAATATTTGGGTTCAGGGTGACTGAGTTCATACAAATACCAGTTATACTGAGTGTGCATTCTTGTAAAACAGGAAGAAAAATAAAACACTTCTCTGATCAAAATAGTGTTCTATGTATGTGGAAGTCCTCCCCACAACCCCAATGATACAAGGTCATGTTATCAGAGTCAGAAAAAGTTTTCCAGTGGGATATATCTTCCTCCTCATTCCAACTCCATCTAATGGCCATCGTGCCACCCTGAGCTGGGAGTAGAGAAGTTTAGACCCGGAAGACATCCTAATGTTTAGTAAAAACAAAAGGACATCAAACAAATAAACAACAGCTGGGGTCCAGAGAAGCCGAGATTCTGCCTCCACGGTGCCCAACTCATCAGCAAACCCCACAGAACTCCATGATCATGTCACATTCATGATCAGGAATGTGGCCACAAGCGTAGGCTCTAGGGACAAGGGAAAACTCCCAGCACGGCTCTGGTCTGGAGGCCCCATTAGTGGTGGCCTTGTGGGTCCTTATCGGCAATAACAATACCAATGACAGCCAAAATATCCTCCTGACTTTAACCCAGGTCTACTTCTATTGAATTCCAAAGCCTCCAGTATAAACTTTTGTACAATCTCCAAGCATTCACCTGCAGATAGCACAAACCCCGACTAGCCTGTGCTCATGTAATAAGGAGTCACATGGCCTCACAGGGTTGGGGCAGTGGCCCAGCCATGCCATCAGGGGACAATTGCTCTTTTCCTCTCTCTGTTTTGCCATCCTTGATGTTGGCCTTCATTCCTCAGGTCATTGCTTCACAATCACAAAATGGCCGCTGCAGCTCCAGGCATTGCTTCTGTGCTTCAAGGAGGAAGAAAGAATGGGAGAAGGAAGGTGGTACCCGTTTCAGGGAAGTAAAAGTTTTCACAGAAGCCCCAGCAGATCTCTGTGTATGTCTTATTTGTTGGAAGTATCACGTGGCCGCTACTAACTTCAAGGGAGTCTGAAAAGGTGAGTATTTTTAGCTGGGCACGTCACCTGCCTGGACACAGTTGGGGTTCTATTAGTTAGGACGTGAGGAAATGGGTCTTGCATTGGCAACTAATAATGTCTGCCCCAGTGGGTGAGTGAGGACACTGGCATCTGTCTGCAGGGGTGAGATGTGAGTAAAAGTGCTCAGCATGGTGAGGGAGCTGGCACATGCCATCCAGCTGTGCTTGCTTTGTGTCTTGCAAAAATGATACAGTCTTATCACTAAGCTCTCCCACTTTTCAGGGAGTGTTAATAAAACCTTGACCTCAAAGAATTGAGAATATCAAGTGAGGACATCTTTGCACAGAGAGGTGGTCCCCCTGGTGTGGGAGGAGGGTCTGCAGTCAGTCCGCTCAGTGTGCCGAGCCTGCGCGGTCCTCCCAGAGGCCCTTGCCCTTGTGTTCCAGGCCCCACCTCACTTCCCCACTGCCACACCTGGCGCCTTCCGTTCAGACTCGCTGGCTGTCTAACCCTAGTCCATGGGAAAACCCAACAATCCTCAGGAGGTGTGGGTGGAGAGAGAGATGGAGAGAGACAGAGAGGGAGAGAGAAAGACACATAGACAGAGAGAAAGAGAGAGAGGGAGGGAGCTTGCTTGCTTCCCTCTGGTGGCCGAGTGCTAACCCAGCCCTCCTGGCCTCGGGCCTTCACCACCCTGTTTTGTGGCTGCCCACCCTGTCTCATCCAGCCCCTGCGCTGAGGTCCCTTATAGACTCGGGCGTCATTTGCTGATGATTTCAAATGGCTCCCATGAAATTCCAGGACACGAGCCATCTGCGTCCTTTCCCTGGGACTCCCTGGCTCCTGGTGGTCATTTGCCCCCCGCTGTGTCGTGGGGAACAGCCGCCGTGTGCGTAGGGTGTAGGGAGGCTCCACCTGAGAACAGAAAGCCTGGGTGACTCTTCTTAGAGCGTGATGTGCTTTCATATAAAATAAGTCTAAAGAACAACACAATGCTCACTTTTCAGAAGGGCCCTGGGTCCTGGGCGGCGGGCGGGGTGTGGAGGAAGCAGCCGCACTTTCCTGGTTCCGGGGCAGACGTCACCCAGCCTGCACATCCCTCCTGATTCATCTGGGAGGCCAGTGCTTTTGGGTCTGTCTGCTCCATCCTTCCTGCACTTCACAGGAGGCAACCATGAGCTCTGTGTCTCATCTGCACCTGGGTGAGTCACTGGGCAGGGAGAATTATTCAGAAAGGAAGGGGATTAGGTTGTTCATTGTCAGCCACAAAAAGGAGGGAGGAGAACAGTTAGAAACTAAGTCCTTTTGGCTCTTGGAAAAAACCTTTTGTGATCCTGAAATTCAAGCTCTCACTCTACAAATAAACTGAGGCCTGGCTTTGGCAGGGCTGGCCTCCCTGTCTCTCCTCTGACCTGGTGGGAGTGTCTGCCCTCCCTGCGCATCTCATGTCCTCAGCCCTGGCTCAGCATCTCCCGGAGGCCACGTCTGCTCCTCCAGTGCTCTCCTGGGCAGCGCCAGCAGAAGGCCAGGCACTCCTCAGACCCTGCATTTCCACAATGGGGCTCCATATCGCCCCCTAAACCTGTGCCTCTTCCATGTTCTTACAGTAAATTAAGGCACCATGCATCCCCTTGCTGAAGCTGAGGATCTCAGTGACAGCCTCGACCCCTTTCTGTCCCTCACATCCACAGCCAAGCACCCTTTCAATCAGAAGGCTTCTTCCTGTGGACTCTCACATCCGTCCCTCTCTGCATCCCTCCTGCCCTGCCAAATCCAAGCTTGTCACCTCTTTCAGTGATGGCCTTTCAATCACTTTCCTCTCGCCGGTCTTGACTTTTTTGATCTGTTTCTCTGCTGCAGTAGCCGAGGTCTTTACACAGTACCCTCCAGCTTACTCATTCTGCGGCACCCAAGGCTTTTAGGATGTCAAAATTCCAAATTGGGACCTTCCTACTCCTTTCCCAACGCTCATCTTCACAAGGTTTGGTATTCAGAAAACACTGGCAGATGACTAAAAGTAAACAGGAAGAAAGGAAGAAGCTCTGTATGTCTTTATACATTCTCATAAAACAGAACAAGCTATTCCATAGCACACAGAAAAACTACTTAAAATCCAAATTCTCTTTCTCCCTCTCAGTATCTGGCTCGAAGACTCCCCAAAATCCCCCCTGTCCCTCCTCCAGCTGCTGGCTGTGCTGGCCTTCTTCTAAACCTCTTCATGGAGGCACCATGTCATGGACCCCAAAAGTTAAGCAAAGGGCAAGTCGTCAGCCAAAGTCCTCAGGAAAGAGACTTGATTGATTCCTCTGTCTTCTTGTGGAAGTCTGAGCTCTCCACCTGCTCTGTGCTTCTTTCACTAGATTGGGCTTTGCTTTAGCATGAGTCCTAAAGACCCTTGAATTGAATGGCAATCCCACATTTTTATATTTTCCCTTTTAGGGCCCCACACCTTATAGATTGTAAAATGAAATGCCGTTGAATACAGGAATCTCTCCTAGCTTTGTCTGACCGCACAATCACAGCTGCTAAAGCTATTCTCCTGACATCACAGAAACAGACCGCCTCCTAATATGGCTGTTCGCCACTTCAGAAGAGCATTTACTCTGGCAGCCAAGCCCTTTTATTGTACCCCACCCCAGATCTCAGTTCCAACCTTTGACCCCCTTTAGCTTTGCATGCCATGGATTCATGCTGCCAATGGCTGGTGAAGAAAAGCTGGGTTCATGGAGCAGGCATGGGTTTTCTGTAAGCAGAGAGGAGGGAGATTAGGGAGAGGCATGGCCTGTGACCATCTCTTACCATCAGATACATCCACTTCAAGCCCTCTCTTCCCCACTCCCCACATCTGGTAAAGACTAACTGTGCCATGCTAAAAGCCAAAGACCTCCTCATGATCCTACACAACCCACATCTAACAGCAGAGCTGTGCATGAGTGTGTTCATATTACAAACCCTCTCTTAAAACTCTGAGCTGTGTCCCATCTGAATAGACACAACTGTTTATCCATCTAAGTGTTTTTCTTGTTAGGAATGAACCCCATTTCTTGTTTGAGGATGTTCAGGTTATGGGCAAGAATGTTGAATGAATGGCAAGGAAAAAAAAACTGCTGTGGTGTGAGTCCTAATTAACACTTTGGACTTTGAGTTTATTAAAGTGGGTGGTTATAGATTGTAAACTGAAGTGTAAATATTTAAAGTATGGAACATTTTAAAACTGAGGCTTGGAGAAATGTATTCATGGAAAAAGGACACATCACTCATCTTTATTCATCAGAGTTTTAAGTGATTTCCACCTCTAGTTATTTGGACTGACTAGATAATTTGGATCAATAATCCAAATGAAAACAACTCTAAAGCTGAATAAAATGTCTTTTAAAAGTGTTTAAAGGAATTGGAGCTGTAACAAGGTGGTAACACTGTCTGGATGAAGATCTAGGAAAAGAAAGAAATCTAGAGAAGTGCAGCTGGCATCGGGTGCTGGCTGTGTCTGGGGGTTTCTGCTTTTTCAGGAAGAGGAGGCTGGGAAGCCGAGCAACACTTTTGGCTCCCTCATGAGGCAGGAAGTCAAGTGCAGGAGTCCAAGTTCTGCCAAGATTAAGGCCTTCATAAAACCCTGAAACTGAGTTGGGATCCCAACTCTTTTGAGTGAGGAGTAAGGAGGAACTAAAGGTAAACCTGTTCTCCCATATACTTGTCTCAGCTTCAAGACACCTGAGTGGCCCTAAAAAATATCACCACTGAAATTGTATTAAGGTAATCCCAGATTGATGGTATCTCCAGGCACCTGGCTGAAATAAAAGAAAATAATCTCTGGAGAAAGCAACATCCTATCAAGTCTCAAATTGTTTCTAAGCAATCTCTTAAATACTTGTTTGGCATTTTATCAAAGATTGCCAGAAGCACAGGAGACGTGACAACCTAACTTAGAACTAGCAGAAAGATCTGGCACACAAGCACCCTAAATAAAATAATTATCAGACACAGTCTCCAAAATAATTGTGTTTATGGTGTTCAAGGATATGAAAAACAAGATTTAAAATATTAATAGAATACCAAACATATTCATCTGTGGAAGTTAGAGCAGCTTTGGGGGAAAAAAAGAAATTCTAGAACTGAAAAATACAATAACAAATTAAAAATGCAAGGAGCATGTTTTACAACAGAATGGAAACAGCTGAAGAGAGAATTATTAAACTGGAAGATAGACCACAAGAAAATAGCCAGATTTAAGCAAGCAGAGACTAAAGATGAGAAAGACAAGAGAGAATATTAGACTTGAAATACATGGCGAAAGGACCAGAGTTTCAGGATGAGAGAAGAAAGAAAATGGACAGAAGCAATATTTGAGGAGATAGCAGCTGAGAAAATAATTTATTTCTTCTCTTTATTTTATGGGGAGTTTAGAGTTTTTTCTGAGCTTAATTCTTAGGAAGATGAAGCACTTTTAAAGTGCTCATTAATCACTATCAAATAAGTAGAGAGTAAAAGCCTCTGTTTTTAATTAAAGATAACTTAAAGTAGTTCTAAACAGAGTTATTTTAAAATAGACTAATCAATTAATATTGGAAACAGGGTTATCTTAGCCAATATTCTATTAATATCTATTTTGGTACTTTGGGAAAATAGTGGAATGATTTCTTAACCACTTGAAAATAGTCAAACTACGATTGTTCCCTGAGAGTTAAACCTTACAATACAGAAGTAGCTGATCAGGGCAAAGATGTGCAAACCTTTCTTAATGACACAGAGTAGTGCCCAGGAAAGCTTAACTTGACAACGACCTGAATGATGTCATGTCTTAATCAATTAGGTGTGTAAATGAAGGGCCAATTTTATCAGCCAAGTAAGCAGAGTAAAAGGAGGGTCACAGAGACAAAGATTGGCTGGGCCTATAGAAACTTAGTCTAGGGGCAAGGACGATAAATATTCCCATACCCTAAACAAGACTCTTCCATCAAAAGATTCCATATATCCCATTTATCCAGCTGACTCCCTTGTTGTGAGCCCAGATCTACCATTGCAATTCTCTGATTATAGTTTGGATTCCTAGGCTCTCTATGAAGAAAAATGGTCTCTGGTGATTGTGTACTTCACTATAAATTGTAAGTTAGTGTTACGGTTTATACATCAGTCTCTGTTACATTGATTAATGTGAGTCTACTACTACAGATGCATTCATTGAAAAGCCAGGGATCTGAATCCATAGGACAGGGAGCCAAAATATAGAACAGGTTATATTTGTCAAGGTAATGCCATTCTATGGTTCTCTTAGATTTGTTTTTCATTCTTGAAGTTAAAGTCCTGGCACTGTCATTGTCTATTTTTTTTTAAAGTTAAAGCAATATAATCATATATTTAAGAACTGTATCTACTATTAAAAGATATCATAAAACAGCTTATCCTTCTCTCACTCCCACCCAATTCCTCAAAGATAATTAATCACTCCTCATTTCTTGTAGAATTTACCATCATAACTTTGAAGTCCTGCATACACTCTATTTATTTTTTATTGAATATGTTGATGAAAAAAATTAGAAACATGATGAGTCTCTACTGTCTTGGAAGTTTTCCTGTCTTTATTTATGATTGATTATTAAAATAGTTCAACTATTGGATTAACATTTTTCATATGTGCTTTCTTATTTTTGATTGCTTTTCTTTTACATCATGCTGTTTTGGTTTTAAGAATGTACAAATTCATAATAATTTTTTGACAATTTCCTCTATTCCCAGAATAATTTCTTTGTCCTTTACATGTTAAAATTCTATTTATTTGTTTTGGTTTCGCTGGTATATTATAGCCTTTCCCAGCTTTATATTTGTGGTGGACAGACTCTTCAAATGGCCTCAGTAAGCCGCCCCCATCCTGGAGTTCATGACCTTGTTCAATTCCTTCCCCATGAGTGTGGGAAGGATCTGTGACATGCATCTAACCAACTGACTACCGCAAAGGTGGCCAGATGTCCATGATTACAATAATGTAAAATTTAACATCAGTTTTGTTGGACTCTCTCTCTCTCTGCTTTGCTGGTTTTGAGAAGGCACGTGGTCATGTTGGATAACCCACGTGGCAGGAACTAAGGGCACCTCTAGGAGCTGAGGTGGTCTCTGAACAACAGGAAATTGAAGCCTTCAGTCCAACAACTGCAAAGAACTGAATCTTGCCCATAAGATGAGTGAGCTTGGAAGTGGATCTTTTCTCTGGTTAAAGCTCAATGCAAACTTAGCCAGCCAGACACCTGGATTAGAGCTTGGCTGAGACCCAAGCAGAGGACTCAGTGAAACATGCCTGTGCTCTATTTATTATGTAAGCATTAAAAAGCTGATAAGAACCTGTGTTTCTTTTTTTTTTAACTTTAATTTTAGGTTCAGAGGTACATGTGCAGGTTTTTTATATAGGTAACTCATGGCACAGGGTTTATTGTACAGATTATTTAGTCACCCAGGTACAAAAGCTTAGTACTCAATAGCTATTCTTTCTAATCTAACCTTCTCCCACCCTCCACCCTCAGGTAGGTCCCAATGTCTGTTATTCCCCTGTATGTGTCCCCATGTTTTCATCATTTAACTCCCACTTATAAGTGAGAATGGGAAGCATTTGGCTTTCTGTTCCTGCATTAATTGGTTAAGGATAATGGCCTCCATCCATGTTCCTGCAAAGGATACAATCTTGCTCTTTTTTTATGGCTGCATAGTATTGCCTGGTGCATATGTACCACAGTTTCTTTATCCACTCTATCATTGATGGACATTTAGGTTGATTCCATGTCTTTGCTATTGTGAATAGTGTTGCAATGGATATACATGTGCATGTATGTTTATGGTAGAATGATTTATATTCTTTTGAGTATATACCCAGTAATGGGATTGCTGGGTCAAATGGACAGAAACTTTGTTACTAAAATTTAAAAAGAGTAGCCACACAAAATGTTGGCAAGGATGTGGAGCCACTGCAGCTCTCAGGCATTGCTTATGGTACAGCCACTCTGGAAGACAGTTTCACAGTTCCTTAAAAAGTCAAACATTATGACAAAATGAGATATTATTACAAAAGTATTCAAGTACCCAAAATTTGAAACGCCAACACCAGCAAACACTGGTGAGGACTCTCATCAATTGCTGGTGGGATGCAAAATGCTACAACCAATTTGGAAAAAAAAATTGGCAATTTCTTGTAAAACTAAACATACTCTTACCATACAATCCAACAATCATGGTATTTACCTGCATGAGCTAAAAATTTATGATCAGCTGGGTGTGGTGTCTCACACCTGTAATCCCAGCACTTTGGGAGGCTGAGGTGGGTGGATCACTTGAGGTCAGGAATTCAAGGCCAGCCTGACCAATATGGTGTCACTCCTTCTAAAAATACAAAAATTAGCTGTGTGTGGTGGTGGGCGCCTGTAATCCCTGCTACTCTGGAGGCAGGAGAATCACTGGAACCCAGGAGGTGAAGGTTGCAGTGAGCCAAGATCATGCCATTGCACTCCAGCCTGGGCAACAAGAGCGAAACTCCATCTCAAAAATAAAAACAAAATTATGATCACACAAAACCCTGCATGCAGACATTTATAGCAGCTTCATTCCTAATTACGAAAACTTGAAAGCAATTAGGATGCCCTTCAGTGGTAAATGAATAAATAAACTGTGGTACATCCATACAATGAAATATTATTCACCACTAAAAAGAAATGAGCTATCAAGCCATAAAAAGACACGGAAGAAACTTAAATGCCTATTACTCAGTGAAAGAAGGCAGTCTGAAAGGCTGTATACTGTATGATTCCAACTACATGATGTTCTGGGAAAGGCAAAACTACAGAGACAGTAAAAATCTCAGTGGTTGCCAAGAGTTAGTGGGGAGGGAGGGATGAATCAGTGAAGCACAGAGGAGTTTTAGGGCAGTGAAACAATTCTGTATAAAGGTATCAGGGTGGACATGTCATGATCCATTTGTCAAAACTCATAAAATACAAATAGCAAGTGTGAACCCTAAACTATGGACTTTGGATGATTATGACGTATAAATGTAGGCCATAGATGGTAACAATGTGTGCTCTGCCACAGAACATCGATAGTGGGGAGGCCGTGCATGTCGGGGAGGAGAGGGGGAGGGACCATATAGGAAATCTGTGTACTTTCTGCTCAATTTTGCTGTCAACCTAAATCTGTTCCAAAAAATAAAGTCTATTAAAAAAAAGTTAAACACACATCCTATATGATCCAGCAACCTCACTCCTGAAATTTACTTCATAAACCTAAAAACTTCTGTTCACACAAAAGCCTGAAATGAAAGTTTATTATAGCAGCCCTATTCACAATTGCTAAAAACTGGAACCAACCCAAATGTCCTCCAACAGGTGATAGATAAACAATCTGTGGTCCATTCATACCGTGAAATACTACCCAGCAATAAAAAGGAACAAACTATTGGTGCACTCAACAACCAGGTTTAATATCAGAGGATTAGTGAAAGAAGTCTGTTAAATGCTACATGCTGCCCAATTCCCTTTATTTTATTTTTATTTTTTTTATTTTTGAGATGGAGTGTTGCTCTGTCACCAGGGCTGGAGTGCAGTGGTGCAATCTTGGATCACTGCAACCTCTGCCTCCCGGGTTCAAGCGATTCTCCTGCCTCAGCCTCCTGAGTAGCTGGGATTACTGGCACACACCTTTAAATAAAACTCTCTGCCTTCTGATCAGTGGTGAAAAAAATTTAAAAAGAAATTCTCAAAAAGACAAAAAGATAGTGATGGAGAACAAATCAGTGGCTGCCAGAGTTTGGGGATATGGAAAGATGTGACTATCAGGGGGTAGAATGAGGGAGTTTTGGAGTGATAGGAATGTTCTATATCCTGAATGGGGTGGCAGTTACATGAATCTATATAGCTGTTAATATTCACCCTCCAAATTCGATATTGCTGTATAATAACTTTAAAATGAAAACATACTTCATATCTAGAGTCTGTACCATATAAAAATAAACATACACTAACCATATGATCCAGCCATGCCACTCCCGGGTATCTATCCAAGAGAAATGAAAGCACGTGTCTGTGCAAAGTCTTTTTTTTTTCTTTCTTTCTTTTTTTTGACACGGAATTTTGCTCTCGTCACCCAGGCTAGAGTGCAATGGTGTGATCTCAGCTCACTGCAACCTCCGCTTCCCGGGTTCAAGCGATTCTCCTGTGTCAGCCTCCTGAATAGCTGGGATTACAGGCATGTACCACCATGCTCAGCTAATTTTTGTATTTTTAGTAGAGACGGGGTTTCATCATATTGGCCAGGCTGGTCTCGAACTCCTGACCTCGTGATCTACCCACCTCAGCCTCCCAAAGTGCTGGGATTACAGGTGTGAACCACTGGGCCTGGCCTCATGCAAACTCTTGTAGGCAAACTACAATGTTCTTAAACAAGTGGATAAAAAAATGTGGTATCTCCATTCAGTGAAATCTACTCAGAAATGAAAAAAAAAAAAAGAATGCCTGATGCAGGAGATGACATGCACAAGTCTCAAAGTCATTATGGTGAGTGAAAGGAGCCAGGCAGAAAGAGAGCACCTACTGTCTGGTTTCATTTGTACAAGATGATAGGGAATGCAAACTCACCTGCAGTGACAGGAAGTGGATGAAGGATGAGAAGGTGTGAGCAGACAGGGGGCCATGGCAAAGGGGCACAAGGAACTTCTGGGGGTGTGGATATGCTCGTTATCTTGACTATAGTGAGAGTTTTACACATGAATACATTGATATATATTTCATATAACATATATGTTTATATTTGTAAAAGTGCTGTCTTGCCCCAGTTTTGAGGCCCTGGCCAGAGGCCAGTCAGTTCCCCTTCGTAAGCAGCTGATTACACAATCACATTCAGGGGCTGCTATATACCTGTGCTAATCACCCCAGAGCCAGGTACCAGACAACTAGGGAGAGCCCCTGTGCCTTAGAGTCTGCAGAACTGTTCAAATTAGCCAATCCACAAGGAATACCCAAAACCTAGTGTGAAATTAAATAAGTAGGAGACCACTACCTGAAGCTGTTTCTGTACTTACAGTTCTTGCATAATGTATTGCAACCTAACTTACTATGTAAACAAATTGAAACCTAACTTAGGAGTACCACAGCTGAGGCTCAGCCAATCATAGGCAGCCAACTCCTGACACCATGCCCACATAAGGCAGATGCCTAGCTGTAGCCAATCAGGGGATTTCCCTACTTTGCTTCCATGTTCAGCCTATAAAAGCTCAGCCTGTAGAATCTTGCTGCTCACACTGCTGGGCAGAGTTCCCTGAACCCCTTCTGGATCTGAGTGCTGCCCAATTCATGAATTGTTCTTTGCTTATATAACTCTGCTAAGTTTAATTTGTCTGAAGGTTTTCTTTCAACACCATCTACTCCCACCTTGCTGGTAATACAGAAACTGCCCCCACAGCTCCAGCTTGCTGTTACCCTGTCCCCAGGCAACCCTCTATGTGGCCCTGCCTAACAGCTTTCTCTCATTTGGAAGTAGCAAAGACTGCTGCTTTCATCTATCTGAGTTGCACTGGGTTGCATCCTGCCATCAAAAGAACCTTTATATCAAAACATGCCTGTGTCAAAACTTACAAAACTGTGTGCTTCTAATGTGCACAGTTTATTGTAAGCTGACAATACCTCAATACAGCCATTTAAAAAATCTTATGAGGTAAAATCAACAGAATGAAAAGGTAACCTATGCAATGGGAGAAAATATTTGCAAATCACATATGCAACAAGTGGGTAATATACAGAATATATAAAGAATTGCTACAACTCAGCCACAACAAAAAGCCCCAAATAACCTGATTTAAAAATGAGCAAAGCACTTGAATAGACATTTCTTCAAAGAACATATACAAATGGCCAAGAAGCATATGAAAATATACTTAACATCGCTTCTCAAGTGAAATGCAAATCAAAACCACAATGAGATATTACCTCACACCCATTGGGATGGCTACTACCAAAACAACGATAATAGAAAATAATGAATGTTGGTGAGGATGTGGAGAAATTAGAACCCTTGTGCACTCTTGCGAATGTAAAATGGTCCAGCTACTGTGAAAAAGAGTATGGAGGTTCCTTCAAAACTTAAAAATAGAGTTACCATATGATCCAGCAATCCTACTTCTGGGACCCAGAAGAATTGAAATCAGGGTCTTGAAGAGATATTTGCACATCTGTGTTCATCACATCATTACTCACAATAGTAAGATGTGGAAGCAACCCAGGTGTCTATGGACTGATAAATAAATAGACAAAACGTGACATACACATGCAAGAGAATGTTAATCGGTCTTAAAAAAAGAAGGAAATCCTGTCCCATGTGACAGCACGGACGAAACTTGAGTGCATGATGCTAAGTGAAATAACCCAGTCACAGGAGGACAAATACTATTATGATTCTACTTCTATGAGGAGTCTAAAGTAGCCAAACCCACAGAAACAGAAAGTAGAATATGGTGGGTGTCAGCGCCGGGAAGAGGGGGAATGAGGAGTCCATGTATAATGTAGTTTCAGTTCTGCAAAATGAAAAAGTTCTAGAGAGCACAACGATATGAATAGAGTTAACACTATTAAACTGTGGGTCTAAAAATGATTAAGATGGTACATTTTATGTTGTGTGTTTATTACCACAATTTTTAAAGACTGTGAGGTGAACAGTGTGGTTATTTTATTTTTTTTGTTGAGATGGAGTTTCGCTCTTGTTGCCCAGGCTGGAGTGCAATGGCATGATCTTGGCTCACGGCAACCTCCGCCTCCTGGGTTCAAGTGATTCTCCTGCCTCAGCCTCCTGAGTAGCTGGGATTACAGGCATGCGCCACCATGCCTGGTTAATTTTGTATTTTTAGTAGAGACGGGGTTTCTCCATATTGGTCAGGCTGGTCTCAAACTCCCAACCTCAGGTGATCCACCTGCCTCGGCCTCCCAAAGTGCTGGGATTACAGGCATGAGCCACTGCGCCTGGCCTGGTGTGGTTATTTTTATCTTCACTTTGCAGATATGAAAACTGAGGCTTGGGAAGACTAAGTTACTCTTCCAAGGCCATTTTTTCACATATTGACCATTTGTGTATCTTCTTATGTGGAATATCGGCCTGTGGCCCATAGTTTCATTGGGTCATTTGTGTTTCTAAATTTTATGTTATTTCATGTTATTTTCAAGTTGTACCAGTGTTTTACATATTTTGGATACAATTCTTTTGTCAGCTATATGTATTGCACATATTTTCTCCCCAGTCTCTCTGTTGCCTGTTAATTTTCTCGTTACCTGTCTTCTTCTTGCTTTTTTTTTTTTTTTTTTTTGAGATGGAGTTTCGCTCTTGTTGCCCAGGCTGGAGTGCAGTGGCACAGTCTTGGCTCACTGCAGCCTCCGCATCCCAGGTTCAAGCAATTCGCCTGCCTCAGCCTCCCAAGTAGCTGGGATTACAGGTGCCTGCTACCATACTCGGCTAAGTTTTTGTATTTTTGGTAGAGATGGGGTTTCGCTATGTTGGCCAGGCTGGTCTTGAACTCCTGACCTCAGGTGATCTGTCCACCTCAGCCTCCCAAAGTGCTGGGATTACAGGCATGAGCCACTGCACCTGGCTGCTTTCTTCTTTTTTTTAGAGGCAGGATCTCTCTCTGTTGCCCAGGCTAGAGTACAGTGGCGTGATCACAGCTCAATGCAGCCTCAAACTCCTGAGCTCAAGTGATCCTCCTGACTCAGTCTCCCAAGTAACGGAGACTACAGGAGTGCCTGGCTAATGAAAAAATTTTTTTGTAGAGACAGGATCTTGCCATCTTGCCCAGGCGGGTCTCAAACTCCTGGCTTCAAGCAATCTTCCTGCCTTGGCTTCCCAAAGTGCTGGGATTACAGACATGAGCCACCACACCCAGCCTAATTTTCTTAATAATTTTTATTTGATAGAATCTGGTGCTTTCTGTGTGCTGCCTAAAAAATCTTTGCCTGCCCAAATGTAGGAGTTTATAGTTTTCATTATTACGTTTAAGTCAATAATTCACTTGAATTAAATTTTGTATCTGGTATAAGGGAGGGGAGGCTCATTTTTTTGGATATGGATATCTGTGTGTTCCAGCTTCATATGAGTGGCAGGGGGTGCACCTGAGGGGTGGGTGGCCATTGAGAGTGACTGGAAGATGTCCTGCAGTCTGGGTGCCTCGGATGCTTCCTGGGCAAAGGCTGAGATTTTTCCTTTCCCACTCCCAGCAGCTCTGTCAGCTCCTCTTGTTTAGCTGGGTCCCCCATTTCCTTGGGCCCCTCTGCTCATTCCCCCTTGCATCCTAGGGGGCCCGAGGGTGGGGTCTGGAAAGGAGGCGGTGACAAGCCCAAGGCCCCAGCCTGGAAGGACCCATCCTGTGGACTTTGCCAACACTGGGAAGCAGCAGCTGCAGAGTTTGCATCTCTGCTCATTCTCTAACTCTACCTGACCGGGAGCGAGTCGGCCGTGTGCTTGGCTCAGTCCATAAAATGAAAACAGTGCTCCCTGTCTGCTTTATAGGAACGTTGTGAAACAAAGCTAGAATTTTAAAGCATTGTAAAATAGTCTGACACTCTAAGCTACAATTCAAATGCGTCTAATATAATATCAGCTTGCATCTCATCTCGAGACACCCAGAAAATACCAGCGACGCCAAACTGCTTCCACTTTTCCCAAACGGCTCTGGTCCCTCCTGGCCTTTGTTAGGTTTTGGTTCTGCTCCATACCTGGACAATCTGTGCAGCACCCTGTCCAGCCCTCGTCTGGAGGAGGTGCCAGCCTCCTGTCACTTCTCTTCCTCTGGGACAGCCCACCCTCTGCTCTCCTTCTTGTTTTTTATGTTCCTCCTGTTCCAGGCCTTTCTGGCTGTCATGAGCATTTACAACTGGCTTGTGGTCCCAGGGTGTTCAAAACCAAAGAGTTCATATCCCAAATCCAGACCAATTGAGCAAAGATTAGGTCCAAGAACGAATGTGGATGTGTGCTCTTAAAGCTTTGCTTGAGGCAATCTACAGTCACATTAGGAGGATGCGGGTGGGTGGCAGCGTCTATGCGAAGCCTCACAGCCTGCTGGGCAAGGCAAAGGTGCCAGGAGGCAGAATCTGTGGTGGGGAGGATGGCGAGGGCTGGAAGGACTGGACCCACCCACTGAGCCGCGGCGAAGTCGCGGGCACAGTACATGCGCGGCAGGTGTTGGGAGAGGGCTCGCAGCGACATCCTGCTGCCCAGACAGTGCCTGGCACATAAACAATTGCTGAAGGCACGAGTGGCCCATGCTTTTGGTACTCCGTCATGAGGAAGCGGGACTTGGGGGCAAGGGTGACGGAAGCGGACTGGCCTTGGGTGACAAAGTGCAGGTGTGTTATTCTCCCTCCAGGAAGAGACCTCAGAGGAGGGCAGATCCCAGACACTCACGAAGCCCCTCCAGGTCCCCAGGAGGACCTCTCATACATGCTTACATCCGTGCCCTAGGACCTCGGTTGCATGCCGCCATCTGCCCCAGCAGAAAAGTTGATCCTGAAGCCAGGCTCGCTCCCTTCTAGGAGCCCCGCTCTTTATGGCTCTGCTCTTCCAGGTTGCTGCTCTGGGGCTTGCAAATGGGGCAGGGCTGACAGAGAAAAGTTTGGACCCTGGACACAGATTGTCTGCAGGGCCCTTCCACTTCCTCCTGGCACTTTAAACCCTCAGTCGCTAGGGACCCTTCTTTCTATGTGAAAGTCTTAGCTTTCAGGACAGGGGTGAGCTGACACTCACTGTCACTCAAGCATGAAAGACTGACAAGGATTGTAGTAACTCATGAGACAGCCCCAGTGAAGATGGAAACTAGTCTCTAAAAGTGGCATCCAAGCCATGACTGGCAAGGCTTACAATCCTTACAAGAATAGATGGAATCCATCCATCCATTCACCCATCCATCCATCCATCCTTCCATCCACCCACCCACCCATCCACCCATCCATCCATCCATCCATCCATCCATCCATCCACCCATCCACCCATCCATCCATCTACCCACCCATCCATCCATCCATCCATCCATCCATCCATCCATCCATCCATTCATCCATCCACCCACCCATCCATCCATCCATCCATTCTGTTTTGCTGGAGAAGCAAAGGAAACTCCCTCCCCTTTCCTGGCCTTCAGCTGCTGCCTTCCTGTGGCAGGACGCAGACCATGCTTTCCCTCTGAGTGGGACGGGGTCCCCCATTGCCCTACCCTCTGCAAGGCTTCCTGGTGGTGGGGGGGACCTGATTGCTGTTCTCCAACTCCCCCAACCAATCCCACCCAGGTGACTGAGGAGGAAACAGGAAGTCAGCTCTTGGGCTCCTCATCTCCAGGAGCCACCTTGAAAGACTCTGTGGCCCCTTTGCCCTCTGGATTACAAATTAGGGTTCGAGGTGCCCCTAGGGAAGCCAAGTCTGGGACAATTGTCTGGATAACTCAGTCGAAGCCAGATCTGATTTAAGGAAATATTGAAAAATATTTAGCTTGATGATAAACCTATCCTTCATCATCTGTTGGCCTTTGGACAATATATTTAATCTCCTTAAGCCTCAATTTCCTCATCCCATAAAATGAGCTGGCGGTGGTGCCTCCTCTGCAGGCTAGTTATGTAAACTCACTGTGATAAACTTGCAAAGTGCTGAGGATGGCAAGGCCTTCACTTGGCACAGCCCACGCCTGGCTCACCTGGGCTGGAGCAGGTGGACAGAGCAGGCACTGAGACAGGCTCCTAGAGGTACCAGGCAGACATCAGCTCATCCCCCAGAGCAACTGTAGGGATGTGCGGTGCTATAAAAGCATGAACTCTGGGATGTGAGCTCATCAGAGAGGTCAGGGAAAACCTCATCAAGGAAGGAGAGCTTTGAGGCCAGAGTTGAGGGGGATTCAGCAGGATTAACCAGGCAAAGAGGGGGAAAGAGCATCCAGGTAAAAGGAACAGGTGTGCCAGGTTCCCCAGGCAGGAGGCACTGCGAGAGGCGAGCTGGGTGAGCCCAGGCACGTGCTCAAGGCAGAGGGTTTATCCCATTCCAAACCACTGTTGGGTTTTAACAAGAAGGAGACTTGCTCAGATGCCAGAGTTCATCCAATTTCCCCCCATCGTGCTGTCTTCCCTCTTTCAATCTAAAAATCAATCTGAAATTGAGATTTTCCCGTTAGATTTTTTTTTTTTTTTGAGACGGAGTTTTGCTCTTGTTGGCCAGGCTGGAGTGCAATGGCACGATCTTGGCTCACTGCAACCTCCGCCTCCCAGGTTCAAGCAATTCTCCTGCCTCAGCCTCCCGAGTAGCTGGGATTACAGGTATGTGCCACCATGCCCAGCTAATTTTGTATTTTGTATTTTTTTTTTTTTGATAGAGCCGGGTTTCTCCATATTGGTCAGGCTGGTCTCGAACTCCTGACCTCAGGTGATCCACCCATCTCAGCCTCCCAGAGTGCTGTTTTTTTTGTTTGTTTGTTTGTTTTTTGAGTTGGAGTCTGAGACCCTGTAGCCTAAGCTGAAGTGCAGTGGCACGATCTCGGCTCCCGGGCTCAAGTGATTCTCATGCCTCAGCCTCCAGAGGAGCCGGGTCTACAGGCAAGCACCACCACACCCAGCTATTTTTTTTTTTCTTGTATTTTAGTAGAGACGGTGTTTCCCCACGTTTCCCAGGGTGATCTCAAACTCTTGAGCTCAGGCAATCCTCCCATGTCGGCCTCGCAAAGTGCTGGGATTACAGGCGTGAGCCACGGTGCCCAGCCTAGATTACGATCAATTGTATCACACTGCAACATTAGTAAATAACTTCTAAAGTTCAAGTAGACAAAGTGACTCCTTTCCAGAACATACACAATTTGAACAACACTGAATCTTGGTCATTTGGGTCATTTGTAGGCCATCCCCACACCCAGCAGTAAATTCTGCGAGCTAATTTTAAACACAACCTTTGGTAACCATAACTGAAAAGATGCAGTGACAATTGCTTGAAGGACTATAGTAGATATCATGTGATAAAATTCAGTTTGACTTTTTTGCAGGGGGACTCACACAGTCTTGTAAAAAGAAAGCTAGCAGTGTCATGACTGACATTTGAACTAGATTGTCAGGGGTCTTTACTGCAAAGTTTTGGGGACAGGGAGAGAATACTATTTCCTGTAATGGAAGAAATGAACACTTGGTGAAGATTCCACATGGGAACGTGTTGTGTGTTGATTGAGGGCAACTCTGGGGCACTAGGAAATCCAGGTAGCTTGTCAGGTGATCAATCACGTGAGATGAGAAGGGCGAGAGAACAGAGGGGCAGCCTGCAGGAAGTGTATGCAGCACTGAATGGCTTCCAGATGTCGGTTGAGAAGAAAGCTGTAAAAAAAAACGAAAAACAAACAAAAAAAAAGATTTAGCAACAAGGAAACAACCAGGCATATGAGAGCAACGTTTTGCTCTAGTTTTCCGGAACAAGTGACTCACAAGCCTCACTGGTCACCACAGAAACTGAACCGTCTGCTAAATGCAGCGGGAATGCAGGAAGGTGTTAACATGTGGGGCGAGTGCGATTCTAGGCATTTCCTGCACTGTTGGAACAATTAATTGTTATTATTATTTTGAGAGAGGGTCTCACTCTGTCGCCCAGGCTGGAGTGCAGTGGTGGGATCAAGGCTCACTGCAGCCTCGACCTCCCCTGGCTCAGGCGATTCTCCCACCTCAGCCTCCTGAGTAGCTGGGACTACTGATGCACCACCATGCCCAGCTAACTTTTTTGTATATTTTTGTAGAGTTGGGGTTTCACCATATTGCCCAGACTGGTCTTGAACTTCTGGGCTCAAGTGATCTTTCTGCCACGGCCTCCCAAAGTGCTGGGAATACAGGCATGAGCCACCATGCCAGGCCTGAAATGATTAACGGTGTTCAGGAAGAAACTGAGACTCAGAGAGATGAAGGCAATGGGGTCACCTGTGGGTAACGACCAGACCCCTAGTTCAAACCCAGTCTGGTCCATCTGACTGCAAACTCCACGTGCCTTTCTCTCTGCCTTGCTGCCTTCGAAAGGGCAAACGTGAACCATTCCCAGGTACACCCAAGCGCACATTTTTACATGTTTTCTTTATTACTTTTATTTTATGTTATTTTATTTTTTTGAGACAGAGTCTCACTCTGTTGCCCAGGCTGGGGTGCAGTGGTACCATCTCAGCTCACCAAAACCTCCACCTCCTGGGTTCAAGTGATTCTCCTGCCTCAGCCTCCCAAGTAGCTGGGATTACAGGCGCCTGGCACGATGCCCGGCTAATTTTTGTATTTTTAATAGAGATTAGGTTTCATGACATTGGCCAGGCCGGTCTCAAACTCCTGAGCTCAGGCAGTCTGCCCTCCTCGGCCTCCCAAAGTGCTGGGATTATAGGCATGAGCCACTGAACCCAGCCACCTTTTACTAAACAGAGAAATAAGGATTCTCAAGCTGAAAATATGTATCAAGTCTGAAATCAAAGAGAGTTTTAGTTACTATCTACTTTTTCCTGGAAGCTCCATCAAATGTAGCAGAAAGAATATCTAGAGAGGAAGAAGAAAATTCAGCATTGTCACCTTTCCCAAATCTTTCATTTCAGGAGAGAGAGAGGCACATGGCTCCAAACAATTCTGTGAAAAAGCCTCTGCGTCCTGCGTGTTGAGCCATTTGCAGGACATCCCAATGCCCAGCAGTGAACTCTGCCAGCTAATTTTAAACACAACCCTGAGCCGCTGCTGCAGCCCCTCCATGGCTCTCAATCGGATTGTGAGGGCAGCGCCTGGGACTTGCCGGACTCTCTGTCCTCCGGGCTCTTTCAGGACCCGTCCCCTTCAATCTCTCCGTGCCCCCTTCTCATACTCATGGGTCCCTCCAGTCCTCGTAGGGTCTCCTTCCTACATTTCCGTCAAACTTCTCGAAATCACATCCGCTACCTGCAGCTTCTCACCGTCCCCCTGCACTCTGCCTCTTGCCATCTGGTGTCCACCTAGAACTCAGTAGAAATTGCTGGGGAGGGAAGAGATGGGAAGGACATCTTCTTTCAAGAGCCAGTTCCTCCTCCACCATCTGGACACACCCAGGGTGCTTGACACCTGGAGGATAAACATCTTCCAGCCTGGACTCCCAGGACTCCAGGACCATGAGCTTCCTGCTGGGGCAGCCAGAGGCCCAGCTGTCCAGACCCAGGGGTCTTCTTCAGGCAGGTCAAGAAGCAAAGGGGAGGATGAAGAACAGGAGGTGGGAGGCGGGTCACCTCTGGTTGGAGCTGTGCCAAGTGGCCTAAAGGACAGACTTTTCTTCCAGCTCCCCTGAGACCCCTGTTCAGCACTGTCACCTGAAGACTTGGCTGTGCACTGCTGATGGCCCCCTGCGCCATCTTGTTTCTCTCTGAGGTGCCCCAGCAACTCTGCAAATGACCCAGCAGGACCAACTTCCTGGTCCCAAGGCTGTTGGATGGAGCTTAGGAGAGAGGGTAGATGGAGCATCGCTCATCTGGACACCTCAGAAGGGGCAGACAGCAGCACGCAGAGTGCCAAAGGGGAAGAGATGCGGAGCAAAGAACTGGAAACTTCTCAGGTGTGTGTACTTGGGGGCACGGAGGGGGAATGAGTGTCCCGGTGGGAGAGAAGGCAAAAGAAGGTGCCCATCTGAAGAAGGGGCATGTGTTGCCAAAATCTGAGGGTGAGAACAACACCAGGGCCAGTGGGTGAAAACGGGAGGGCATGGGCCTTCTTAGAGCACTGGTTGTAGAGTTCTAGGTGGACTCCAGGCTACAGGGCACTACAGATGAGGAGGTGGTGAGAAGCTTTAAGCAGCAGATGCTATTTTGAGAAGTTTGGCCAGGAAGGGGAGGAAGGAGACAGTGTGAGACAGAGTCGGAGCAGATGGAATGGCGTGGCTCCAGGGCAGCGCCCACCGCCTGCAGGTGTCGTATCCCAAGGCTGGTGACCCTCCGAGGCAGCTTGACCAAGCCAGCCCTTTAGGAGCTGGAGTGGTGGAGGGCCGCAGTGAGGATGACTTCATAATTCACTCCTCAGAGAGGCCACGTGAGAGGAGGAAGTACAGCTGGGCGAGGCCCTCGGACATTCAGGTTCCAGGCCATTCACCCCATTGCTGCCCCAACCTGGACAAACTTCCAGGCCGAAGGGGAACAGCAGCCGCAGCTCCCTGCTAGGGGATTTCCCCGGGTGACCGCAGGGCTGGGGAGCATTACACGGCCACTCAATGGCAGAACAGATGACTCCTTTAGGAGAGCTGCCTCCAGAACCTTCCAGGCCAGGATCTGCCTGCCAGCTGTCCCCCTCCGGGAGGCTGGAGGAGCCGGGCCAGGCCACATTTGTGGAGCCCGAAGGCCCGTGTGGCGCTTCTCCTATTCTGTAGAGTGGTAGTTTGTTTTGTTTTCATTTTTTTTTTTAGTTTATTTTCTTACTTTTAAGGCAAAAGTTAAAACTGCCTACATTAAATTCTGGTTAAAATTCAACATGCTGCCTGCCACGTGTCTCTGTGTCTGGGCGGCTCAAGCCACTGCTCCCTGGGCGGTCCTACTGCAGCCTTTGCCTGCTAGTGCTCCTCTGGCCCACACCTTGCAAACCCGGGTGATGAAGGCTCATTCTGGCCCCCATGGTGGTGACCCCAAAGCTGAGTCCCTGGCCCTCCCTTGTCTGTGTTATTTTGGGGGCAGTGATGATGCCTCATGGTTGATGGTGATGCTATCATGGGTCATGCTTCTTTCTCTCCTCTGACTGTGATCTTGGCCTGAGCAGACCAATCCAATGGTGCTCTTAATCTGTGAGGGTGTGTGTGTGTGTGTGTGTGTGTGTGTGTGTGTGTGTCTGTGTGTGTGTGTGTGAGAGAGAGAGAGAGAGAGCGCAACAGAGTGCGCACCAGCCGTCCATCCCCCTGCAAGTCAGGCAAGTGATCCTGCCCCAGGTGGGGAGAAAGCTGGGGTCCCCTCCACACTGCTCTAGGGCCATAGAGGCAGGCTTCAGGCACATCCAATGGTGCAGGTGTGCTGGCCTTGGGAGTCGACACACGACAGGCACTCTGTGCTGATGGAGAATCCTGCAAAATGTGGCACTCCTCAAATATCCCCAAACATGGCAGAATCTGGTAAAGCGAGGATAAAGGGGCTGGAGCAGGTTGGAGCAGAGAGGAAGGGAGCAGGAAGCCCTAGTGGAGCCCGGTTCTGCCTCAGTGCTGGGACCTAGGGAAGCACATGGCCTTTCTAAAGCCTCGGTTTCTCAGTTTCTCCACATGTAAAATGAGAGAATCAAACCAGAGGATCTCTAAAGCCCACCTACCTAGAGACTCTGCAGGGGACTAGTCACCTGACCCTGCCAGCAGGACACTGCTACCTGGGCCCCTGAGCCACTGCTGACTGCCGGGGAGGCTCTCTGCCTTGAGACTGGATGAGCCCTCATGGTGACAGCTCACTGATGACCATAAAGTGTTCCAGGAAAGAAACAATAAATGAGATGTCCCTGTTTATCAGAGCCATTACTGAGCTGTGTGGCAGATTTCAGGTCAGTAGAGAAGTGACTTTTGCCCAGAGGAGGTCGGCCAGAAGGGACCCAGAGGACACACCCGGCTGTTAGAGGAAGGAGCTGCAGGGAGAAGTGCCCACACCCACAAGGTTTAACAAAGTGTGACCCACCCCTGCAACAATTTTCCTGGGAGCTGATTTAAAATGCAGATGCCCGGGCCCTGCCTCAGACCCACTGATGCAGCGTCTGCGCAGGTAGGACCAGGGAATCAGCATTTTACACCAAGCGTGCCGGGGGTTTTCACGCATATGAAAGTGTGGAAAACCCTGAGAGGCTGGGCAGCAGTTTGATTCTAGAAGGGAGTGCTTTAATTCCTCCAAAGTTCGCCAGCTTTTATTTTAGTGATAAGGTCTCACGGAAGTCGACTTGGAGATGCCCTTGTTTAGACAGCTGGGTTAATGAGCGCCTTGCTTTTTGTGCTCACATAAATAACCCTTTTCCTGTTCACTGCCTTCTGGACTTACAGCATCACCGTCTTGTTCCCTAGGCATTCACATTGGCAACTCCTGTTCCAAGAATAATTATTTATGACAGATTTCAATTTTCGGGGCAGGGATGGTGTCTTACTCATCCTGGGCTTCAGGACATCTGTGTAACAGACGCTCCAGGTAATGCTTGTTGAAATGAACTAAAATGAAATGCTTGAATGAAGGTCACTAGGCTTTCAAGGAAGCCCCATACAATCACCTTATCGTCCAATAACCACCCAGTGCCTTGCCCAGAGCGTGGTATCAAATCGTTGTAAAACACACATACGTATAAGATTAGTTGGATTTCCCCACCATAGTTAAGGAAGTAACCGCACCAAACGATAAACTGACTCATCCAAATTCCCCCCAGAAAAAGCTTGGCTGAGATTAGATTTCTGAACCACCAACACCCTCGAATGAGCTGGCTGTTCCAGATGTGAATAGTAGAAATAGGCCAAGAAGAAATAAAAATAAGCAATTTTCTAAATTACCAACACACTCTTGATATTGCCAATTTGTTCAGAAAACAGTAATTTGTTTAATGCACTGATTCTTTACCTAAGATAGTTGTGAAAATGAGCCAGTTCTGTACCTTCTAAAGAACTCAGTGCTGTTCTTTCTAAGGGGTCTCCACAACTGCTCAGTAGACTCAATGCTCCCTTCTCCTCTTCATTTCTTCTGGTGTCCTTGACCCAGAGAACTAATTCGGTGGTTCTCAAACTTGGCTGCCCCTGGAGAGATTTGACAACTCCTGTAGGTGAGCCTCATTGCTTACAGATTAAAGTGGAACCACAGGGACTAGCTTCTAATGTGCAGCGAGATTACAGTCCATTGATGTGAATAACATTAGGCCACCAACCGGCCCTTCCCCCCAAAACAAATATAAGTTACTTGAAAAATGAACAGGAAAAACTCACTTGGGAGAGAAAAAGACAAATGAAATTCAAATTGTTCAAAAACCCTCACACCAAGCAATGAAACTGTCACACAGAGGATCCCATCCCCAAATAATAGTTCATTGTTAACTGGCAGTTGACTGATTTTGGTGCTCTTGGTAACCTCTTCTGAATAAGTTTTCTTCTTCTGGAGTAATTAGGTGAAGCAGTGATGTCAACCCTGGCTGAACACTGGAATCACCTGGGAAGATCAAAAAGCAACACCTCCTGCATCTAGGTTTGGTCTGGATATTGGAATTTTTTAATGTCCTGGTGGTTTTAATGGGCACGCAAGGTTGAGAACTACTTATTTATAGTTTTCATCAAAAGTCTGTCTGGTAAACTCTTAAGTCTTTTTCAGTCTGAAGTCTTTATTTTGAATTCAATCTTAATAAAAATTTGGTGGTTTACAGAATTCTAGATTGAAAGTCATTTTCCTCTGACTTTTGAATATTTTCATTCACCACCTTCCTCTATTTATTTATTTATTTACTTATTTATTTATTTACTTTTTTTAAGACACAGTCTCACTGTGTTGCCCAGGCTGGACTTGAACTCCTGGGGCTCAAGCCATCCTCCTGCCTCAGCCTCCTGAGTAGCCACCTTCCATTCTTAATGTTGAGATGTCAGCTCTTAGCCTAATCTTCCTAGCTTTGTGTAGGTTTTTTTTTAAATCTTTTTTGCTCTAGTAGCCTTTAGATTTTCTCTTTTTCCTTGATATCCTGCGTTTTTAATGCACTGCATCTGACTATGAATTTATCTTTATTTATTCTCCTTGTTTCCCAATGTTATCTTTCTATTTGGAAAATCATGTCTATCTTCAATTTTGGAAAATTGTCAGGTATTATAATTCGCATATGTCCTCCACCATTTCCTGTATTCTCTACTTCTGGAACGTCTATTAGATGCATGTTGGAGTGTCTTATATTATTTTCCATATTATTTTGTCTCTTTCATATGTTTTTACTTCTTTGTCTCTCTGTCCTGTTAGCATTAATTCCTTAGTACAATCTGCTGTTTCTCGCTTTAACTGCATTTACTTGTTTATTGTTTATTTCAATATTTATAGTTTTTTATTTTCAGAATCTCCAATCCTTCATTTATCTAATCCATGTCTTCATGTTGATAGCTGCTCAAGCTGTTCACAGCACCCTATTTTTGTTTTTTCCTGTGGTCGTCCCTTCTTTCGTCTCTTTGAACATCACACACAGTTAAATAAATCCTCTGATGATTGGTCTATCATTTAGATTTCCTCAGAAGCATTCTCCAATTTGTCGCATTTATTGTAAATTTTTTCAAGCCATGTATTTTTCCCCCGGCTTTGAAACACTCTTTTGCAAGCTCCCATCGCTTGGTTTGTTTAGCTCTCCTTCTTCTCTCACCTCTCTGTTGTGGCTGGTAGGCCTGCGTTTAACTCCACCTCGAACTTCATCCTCTTCCAAGGTCAGACAAGCAGTCCTTATCAAAGCAACCTGGCCTTTTACTCCTGGGAGCAAAGTCCCGCTCCTCTCTTTGTTTCCTAAAGAGGCTGACTCTAGGCTCCTGAAGCACACACCACAGATGCCCCTTCCCATTCAGGAGCTGGGATCCTGGTGGCTCTGCCCATTTCTACATCTGTGGGTTCTGCCTGCCCCTTCTGTGTATATCCATTCCCTTCCTAACCCATAACATTTTTTATTTTTTAGTATGGCTTTGTATGTAGAATATTTTCTCTATGATTGTTAAGATACTTTTGAGTGCAATAAGCAGAAATGGCAATTCAAAGTGTCTTTAAAATAAAGCAATTAACAGCCTCATGCAACTGCAAATCCAGCAGTGTCCGATTGCTCTAAGAGGCTGTGTGCCTAGCTTGCACTTGTCCTTCCAGGTTGCCTCCGCAGCCCTCTCTGTCCCAGCAAGCTGACCTTACAGACTTCCATTTGAATTCAGCAAATGGGGAGCATCAGCAGGTGATCACAGTAGAAAGCAAAGTGAGTTTGGGTATTTATTTCCCTAGCTGTCTTCCTGTAGGCACCCCCACCACCAGGCTGGTGCAGCCTCCTCCCAGAAGGCCTATCCATGAGGCTCTCGGTCTTCAGGTTCTGGGAAGGTACCTCCCAACTCCCCTTTCAGAACTTGGTGGTGGAGAACAGGATGGGGACACCTCCTCCCACATTCACTAACTTCAAGCAAGTACTTCCCTTATCCATTCTACACCTTTTAAAACAGTCACTTTATTAAACTTTCCCTAAATTTTCCCAATTTCAATGTACCATTTACTGGGACTTTGATTAGTTTAAAAGGTCACCAAATATCAAGGTATTTTTATGTCTCTAAGCTTCATCCTAAAAGTTTTTGGTTGACAGATGGCCACAGCAGTCATAGTGTATACACATGGTAACATTTAGTGACAGAGAAAGACGTCTTCCCTTTACAGAGCAAGGGATTTTTTTTCCAGCAGCTTCCAGCCAACCTCCCCGCTGTTTCATTGGCTTTAATTGGTCTCCTGTCCATTTCTGAGCCGATTCCTGGCTACCGTGGAAATGCCTTGTGTTGATTGGCTTAGACCTGGGGGCTCTGACCACTTACTCTCAAGGAAGCTGGAATTTCAATGGTTGGCTTAGATTCTCTAGAGCTGAGAACCATCCTCTAGGGAGACCTTGCCATTTCTGCTAAGTTTGGGAGGACAGAGGATGAAGTGGTGAACCTGAGAGTGTATTTGGATGATTGCTGTGCATTCCCCTTTGCTGTGCTGCTTGGCAGTCTACAGAAATTTACAGTTCAGAAGGCATTTGTTATTTGAAAGTAATGGCCCCTAAAAACCTTCGTCGGTCTCCAGACCCAAGACAATTATCCAGACCCAAAACGCCCTCAGTTCCCTTACCTGAGCCAGAACTAAAAGACAGAACACTGCTTGAAAGATTGAATGAGATGGTGTGTCATTCACACCAAGTGGGGAGGCGGCTGGCCTGGTTTAGGCACAGCTCTGTGACCAGCTCCTCCCAACCTGCTTTGTCCATGAGTCAAAGTCTGACCATTGTGAGGGCTGGGGGATTGCTCTGAATGGGTCAGATGCCAACTGAGGGTCAACCTTTCTGTGCAACGTGGCTCTCAGGCAGTATTTTTTGTTTTTTATTTGTTCGTTTGTTTGTTTTGAGATGGAGTCTCACTCCCGTCGCCCAGGCTGGAGTGCAGTGGCACGATCTTGGCTCACTGCAACCTCCATCTCCTGGGTTCAAGCAATTCTCCCACCTCAACCTCCCAAGTACCTGAGACTACAGGCACGTGCCACCACACCCAGCTAATTTTTGTATTTTTAGTAGGACAGGGTTTCACCATGTTGGTGAAACTGGTTTCAAACTCCTGACCTCAAATGATCTACCTGCCTCAGCCTCCCAAAGTGCTGGGATTACAGACATGAACCACCACGTAAAGCCTCTCAGACAGCTTATTTCAGGCTTCGTTATTAAGTCATTTTTATTTCCTGAGAAGAGAAATGAGAGAAAAGAAATGAGAAATGAGAGAACCATTTCAGATCAGTCTATATGACTACAAAAATATGATTATTTAATGGAACACATGAAACTTTCAATGATTCTTCACTCCCTTTCCTTCTCTCTTCCTCCCTTTCTACCATCAGTAGAGACTGAAGTGTCCTCACTCTTGCTGGGTGAATCTTGAACTGGAGAATGGAATTGCTGAAAAGAAAACAAAGGATGACAGGGGTGCCTGTGTGAAAGTGTGTGTCTATGTGTACATGTATGTACTTGTGCCTTCCTGCATATGTATACATGTAACTTGAGTGGGTGAGCTTGTGTGCATGAGAGTGCACAGTTGCACACACCCCACTGCATACCTCTCCTGAGTGCCTAGAAATCAAAACTAGATAGAATTTAGAGATCAACTAATTCAGAATCTTCCTTGATCACAGTGAACTAAATTAGAGCAAAAGACCTAGAGGTCTGCCAGTATCTACCCATGTTCATGCTGCATCAGAAAAAGAATTTTGTGATAACAACAAAATGGAGACAAGGAAATATTCAACTTGCCCTAGAAATGTTTATGAATGACTTATTTATGCTTCAATTAGAAGAGAATATCGACTTATATATATTACTTGAATTATGAACAACACTCTATACAGTTACAAATAATATGATAGTTTTAATATACTTACTGTGAGAAAATTTTGCCTATATTTTCATGTGTGCAGATTTACAGGCAGCAGATTGTTAATGCCTGAATAAGGCCTGTAGGGATTAGGCTGCATCCACTATGTTTATCTGGCAGAGAAAGTTCAGGTAGCACATGTGACCTCCAATGGTACAAGGCTCCAGGCTTAGTTACAGGAAAATCCTAGACAGTTCTATTAACATATTACTCCTGAGTTAACCAAACAACACAAATTGATTAACAATTTGTTAACTCAAGAGTAAAATCAAATTGATAATACTAAGACTGATATTAAGAGTAATTTATAAGCAGAAAGCATGAAGCAGCAATGGAAAACCACAGCCAACTCAAAACAACACTAATGATACCACAAATTGAAAATCTTCAGCAATCACAATCACTGAATATGTTCCTAAATATTCTTCCCCCTCAAAAAATAACCTTCTAAGAGATTAGTAGGTTGCTTTCCACTTAAATTCTCATGAAGTCTTTTATAAGGCATTCTTATACTTGCTTTTTAAACTCATGTTTTTATTGTGAAACATAACATCAATAGCTTTTCTACAAAAGGCCAGTTTCTTTTTCCAGGAGGCACAGTAGCCTGGATTGACCTCAATCTGTGCTTGCTGGGGACGTCCAGAGTAGCCAAGGGGGTGAATCACTAACAGTAGATAAAGAAGAAAAGATATTTAACACTGATTGAATTATTCCAGGAGGTATGACCTCATATTCAGAGGTGTAGGGTGTTAAAAATAAGCCTTGTTGGAGGTTGCAGTGAGCCGAGATCACGCCACTGCACTCCAGCCTGGGTGACAGAGTGAGACTCCATATATATAAAAAAAAAAAAGCCATGTAAAGACCACATTAAGAGCAATAGGTTGTCTATGTTGTGTAAATTCTCTTACAGGCCGGGCGCGGTGGCTCACGCCTGTAATCCCAGCACTTTGGGAGGCCGAGGCGGGTGGATCATGAGGTCAGGAGATCGAGACCATCCTGGCTAACAAGGTGAAACCCCGTCTCTACTAAAAATACAAAAAATTAGCCGGGCGCGGTGGCGGGCGCCTGTAGTCCCAGCTACTCGGAAGGCTGAGGCAGGAGAATGGCGTGAACCCGGGAAGCGGAGCTTGCAGTGAGCCGAGATTGCGCCACTGCAGTCCGCAGTCCGGCCTGGGCGACAGAGCGAGACTCCGTCTCAAAAAAAGAAAAAAAAAAAAAAAAAAAAAAAAAAATTCTCTTACAAAAGGAATGAAAAAGAAACAATGTTCTAATGTTGTATAAATAGTACTTATAGCTAGGGATAAAGTTTCCAGCAACAGTATCTTGAAGTCAGCAGAGCTCAAAGAAATTAGGGGAAACTGAAGACCTTATAATGTTCTCTTGGAAAAGATTAGCTCAAAAGGCACGTCTGTGACAAGAAGACTGCATGTCATAGAGGCAAGGAGAGTTAGAATGAAATGGCTTCATCAAATGAGAGCTTGGGGAAAAAAACAATGTGGCAAATTGGAATTTATATACACACAACCTCTGACCTTTCTAATGTGTGTCATGAAATTAACACATTTTATATTTTAAGTAAAGATCGGACTAATCCACATTGTTAAATTGTCTATGGATTTTCTCATAGGACGGTGTCTTTAATGGCCAGTGTGGCCTAGTTCCCGGGATATGAGGCAGCTTCATGAACAAGGGAGAAGCGGGAAGCGCTCGGGGCACCGTCGGGGCCACTTTGGAATTTTTTGTAAAGTAGCAGGCTGCTCATTTTAGCTAGGGAATACATAGCATTAGTAGTGATCTTTTTTTTTTTTTTCTTTAAGACAGAGTTTCCTTCTGTCGCCAGGCTGGATTTGCAGTGGCATGATCTCTGCTCACTGCAAGCTCCGCCTCCTGGGTTCACGCCATTCTCCTGCCTCAGCCTCCCAAGTAGCTGGGACTATGGGCGCGAGACACCACACCCAGCTAATTTTTTTTTTTTGTATTTTTAGTAGAGACGGGGTTTCACCATGTTGGGCAGGGTGGTCTCGATCGCTTGACCTCGTGATCTGCCCGCCTCGGCCTCCCAAAGTGCTGGGATTACAGGCGTGAGCCACCGCACCCGGCCTGTAATCTTTAATAATTTATTTCATAGGCTATAGGCAAATAGCTCATTGCTTTACACAAACTAAAATCAACATGGCTCTGCCTCTTTTCCAGGTGAAAACCCAAAGCAGGCTGGTTCTTCTTGCCGGCTTCCTCCCAGACCCGTGCCTGGCCGGGGAGGGGCCACACTTGGAGAATTCCTGCTATAGATGGGTCAACATCCGGGAGTGGTGTTTCTCTCAGGACAGAATGAGCTAAAGGAGAGAAACTCTACCTGAGAAAAACAGGAAAAGAGGAAACTTGAGACAACTCAGAGCTTGGGTTCCTTTAGTAGCAGTACTCTTTTGTTTCTCAGGTCGATCAGCTACAGTGTGGCAAATACAAAGCAAAAAAAAAAAATTCACTTCTGTGAATTGTGCTGTGATGAACACACCATGCATGCGTCTTTACAGTAGAACAATGAATATTCCTTTGGGTATATGCCCAATAATAGGATTGCTGGGTCGAACGGTAATTCTGCTTTAAGTTCTTTGAGAAATTGCCAAACTGCTTTCCACAATGGCTGAACTAATTTACGTTCCCTTTTCTCTACAACCTTGCCAGCATCTGTTATTTTTTTTTGACTTTTTAATAATAGCCATTCTGACTAGTGTGAGATGGTATCTCACTGTGGTTTTGATTTGCATTTATCTAATAATTAGTGATGTTGAACATTTTCATATGCTTGTTGGCCACGTGTATGTTTTCTTTTGAACAGTGTCTGTTAATCAAGCTAAATGTCCATTAACGGTAGATTGGATAAAGAAAATGTTGTGCATATACACCATGGAACATTACGCAACCATAAAAAAGGACGAGGTTGTGTCCTTTGCAGCAACATGGATGGACCTGGAGGCCATAATCCTACGAGAACTAACACAGGAACAGAAAAGCAAATACCGTGTGTTCTCACTTATAAGTGGGAGCTAAACATTGAGTATACACAGACAAAAAGAAGAGAACAACAGACACTAGAGTCTACTTGAGGGTGGAGGAAAGGAGGAGGATGAGGACAGAAAAACTATTGGGTACTATGCCTATTACCTGGGTGGTGAAATAATCTGCACACCAAACCCCTGTGACATGCAATTTACCCATGTAACAAGCCTATACATGTATCCCTGAACCTAAAATAAACGTTAAAAACAAAAACAAAGAAGGAAAAACCCTTTGCTTATTGGTGCACTGGGCCTTTTTACCAGTGGAGGCTTTCAACCTGTCTCATCTGGGAGTTACCTGGGAGTCACCTGGGAGGTGAAAATCCTGAGGCCTGGGTCCCCCAGGGATTGGGACCTGAGCAGTAAGCACTTCCATTACTAAGCCTGTCAGTCCACAGGAGTCACCTGCAGCCTCCAGGCCAGAGGGCTGACCACTAGGCTGAGGGGCACGTCTTGTCCTCCAGTTCTACTTGGACTGGGCTGCTGATGGGATCACATGCAACCACCCATGGCTAAGGCAGCCTTTGAGAATCACCTTGAAGACACACTCCCACCCACTCCTGGGGCAGCAGTCTTTAGATCTTTACTTATAGAATTTCTAAAGTGTTTTGAAAGACCACGGCCCTTTTGTACTTTTAAAGCTGATATCTAAACACTTCTATCATACATTTAATTAGTCAAGTAGGGAATCAGCGTAATTTGAATATTGACATTTTAAACAAAATTCACATCATCTTTAAAATGTATCCAATGGAATCTAACTAGCACAGCAATCTGACGTCAGCCGCTAGTCGTTTAAAAAGCGTGAAAACCAGCTCTCTGACAGAAATTTTATGGGAATGCTTTTCTCCGTGAATTTGCATTTCTATTCTATGGCCTCTACTGATTTTATCTAAATGTAATACATTAAATATTGACAACGTTGAACTTTATCTGGAGGTTAGGAAATCCTCTTACCCTTTTGTGTTCCAGAAAATGGTTTACTGCAAGGAATGACCTTCCCATGTGATGTAGATGCAAGTCACCGATGGTCCATGTTGACCTAGGACAAGGCCAGTGTGAGGCCTTCCAGGTTTCTATTCTTTGGCCATCAGTGATTGGCTGAGTTGCTCTGCCCACTGATCAATCAGAACAAAATCCTCATTAACCAAACTTTGGTTAAGCTTCTTTCCTTCCCTGGGCTCCTAAACTTGGACTGCCCTCAGCCTGCGCCTGCAGGCAGCCCCTTCTGAGAAGAGGCCGGCCTCAGGTCAAACCTTCTTTGACCATGTGCCTCCCATCCATGTCACTGCCCCAGACTCTGCTCTTCCTAGTTTTGTTTACTCCTCTCTACAAAAGAGAGGAGTGCCTACCTCTTCAGATACTTGCAGGTCTCATGGTTGGAGAATAACTGCTTCCAATTCCCAATTGTAATTCCCAATTACAATAGTTTCCTTCCCGCTTTGTAACAATATCCTACCCCATTGCAATGGCTTCCCTCCCGGTTTGCAGTAAGTCCTCCTCCTCCATTGAAATAGTCCTCCTGGGCCGGGTGCGGTAGTTCAGGCCTGTAATCCCAGCACTTTGGGAGGCCGAGGTGGGCAGATTACGAGGTGCAGAGATGGAGACCATCCTGGCTAACACGGCGAAACCCCGTCTCTACTAAAAATACAAAACAAAATTAGCCGGGCATGCTGGTGGGTGCCTGTAGTCCCAGCTACTTGGGATGCTGAGGCAGGATTATGGCTTGAACCCAGGAGGCGGACCTTGCAGTGAGCCGAGATCGTGCCACTGCAGTCCAGCCTGGGCAACAGAGCAAGGCTCCGTCTCAAAAAAAAAAAAAAAAAAAAAAAAAAAAGGAAATAGTCCTCCTCCCCCATTGAAATAGTCCCCCTGTCCCTATTGTAATAATCCCCCTTCGCATTTGCAATAGTCCTCCTTCCCCATTGCAATAGTCCTCCTCCCCCATTGCAACAGGTCGTCCTTCCCCATTGCAATAGGTCCTCCTTCTCTGTTGAAATAGTTCTCCTCTCCCATTGAAATAGTTCCCTTGTCCCTATTGTAATAATCCCCATCCCCCATTGCAATAGGTCCTCCTCCTCCATTGCAATAGTCCTCCTTCCCCATTGAAATAGTACCTCTGTCTCTACTGTAATGATCCCTGTCCCCCATTGCAATAGTCCTCCTGTCCCTATTGAAATAGTCCCCCTGTCCCTATTGTAATAATCTCCCTTCCCCATTGCAATAGTCCTCCTGTCCCTATTGAAATAGTCCCCCTGTCCCTATTGTAATAATCTCCCTTCCCCATTGCAATAGTCCTCCTGTCCCTATTGAAATAGTCCCCCTGTCCCGATTGTAATAATCTCCCTTCCCCATTGCAATGGTCCTCCTCCCCCATTGCAGCAGCTCTCTCGCCCATTGCAGTAGGTCCTCCTCCCCCACTGCAATAGTCCCCTGTCCCTATTGTAATAGTCCCTCTTCCCCATTGCAATAGTCCCTTTCTTTCTGTTTGAATATCTTATCCAGTAAAGTTTCTCCTAAGTCCAAATTTATTTAACAACATTTATTTATGTCTTTTTTGGATTAACTTGTCATACTCCCCTAGAAGAAAATGCAAATTTAAAACTATCTGAGGCATAGGGCCCTGATAACTCCTGAATTGGAGTTATCATCTCAATGATTAATGCACGGCTGGTGACAACAATAAGTATAGCATAGATATTGTTACAATTGTAACTTCTGTGTTTAATAGCATCTACCAGAAAAGGATCTGTTCATGAGGTGGCAGGATTTGAGAACTCATACCCCTCCACACAAACACACCCAGACACAGACACAGACACGGACACACACAGACACAGACACAGACACAGACATGGACACACACAGACACAGACGTGAACAGACACAGACACACACAGACACAGACATGGACAGACGCAGCTCCCAGTCTGAGAGGACTTCACCATCCTGTTGTCCTTGTCATATTTCTTGACCATTCCAGGCACCTGCGTCCTGACAAATGGTTTGATTACAGTAACTCCCTGAAAGACCCGTCAACACTGCAGTGGAAGATATCAATGGACAACGCTAAGATTCTTCCAAACACCTCGCTTCAAAATCCTCTTCTGACTTTTCCCACCAATCCTCTGAAGGCCCTAGCCAAGTTCTAATTATGTCCGCCTTCACCTGCCAGGCAGTGAATGTCCTGCCTCAGGCCACCCTTCAAATTGACCATAAATTCCAATATTCCCTTCCCCCTTTGGAGACACTCCCCGAGCTCCATGGGGCTGGGTGCCAGCTGGGCACAGCCTGAGCACAGCCAGCTACTTACCGACGTGCAGGGGTAGAAATCCAGTTGACAGGCTGAGCATCCGTGCATGGCAGGGGCAGAAATCCAGTCCACAGGCTGTTCTGAGGTTCCCATTTTGTTTATGCATCCGTGCGTGAATGAGACAGCTCAGCACCAATTTGGCCTCTGTTCTCTGATGTATCAGTGTAAGTGCTGAGGAAACAAGCTTGCCTTGGACAAGTGGATGGGAACACGGGGACTTTGCAGTCATCCTACTCACTCTGTGAAGTCCTCCCAGGTTACACCCCAGAATTCACGATGAAAGCCACACTTTTAAGTTCCCAGCCCTGCTCCATCATTTACTAGGTGTGCAACCTCAGGCAGGCTATTACAGCCTCCTGTGCCTCAGTTTCCCCATCTGTCATCTGGCAATGCCTGCCTTATGGGATGGGGAGGATTCGTGGGTCCTATGGTCAGTAACGATCAATGTGATTTTAATGGTCTCTCAGGGGGCAACGAATGTAGGGCTTTCATCTGCCCTGCTTAAAGCCAAGAACTGGAAACTTTCTGGTTTGCAGGATCAATACCTAGTCATGGGGTGCTTGCTGTCTCCACACCCCAATCACCTCCTCCCGCTTTTGGGGAGGGGGAGCTGGGTGAGGTCAGGAGGTGGAAGTGGAGGGGGGCTGTGTCCTCAGATGCCTCTCTGGCAGGGTGCTTTGGGTTGGGAGGCCCATTTGTAAAATGAAGATCTAACTATTGATTACCTTAAAACTATCCTCACTCACTGCAAGTACCCTCTCCCCGCCCCCACCTGCTTTAGGGGCTCACCCAAGGATGTTAGAAGCCCCCTATTTCAGAAGCCTATCTTTCCAGCCCCACCTGCAAACTTTTACTAAGAAATCTTCCTTCACTTCTGGGAGAGCCCTGTCTCAGCTTCGGGTGTGTCTTCTCTGACGGCAACAATAGGACATCTGCATTTAGATACAGTTCTTCTCCCAGGAGCTTGGCCTCCTCCAAGTTCCCTTTGCCCCTCTTCGCAAGGATCTGGGAGATGTGCCTAAAGGATCCTTTCTCTGCTGCAACTTCTAACAGAAGTGCTGGTGGCCTCTTAAAGAGGGTATGGTGGGAGATGTTTCTTGACCTGTGTTGTCAGAAACTCATGCATTCAAATCCCAGCCAAGCTGCTTTAAAAAGCATGTGGGGCCAGGCATGTTGAATCACACCTGTAATCCCAGCATTAGCGAGACCAAGGCGGGTGGATCACTTGAGGCTAGAAGTTCGAGACCAGCCCGGCCAACACGGCAAAATTCTGGCTCTACAAAAAATATAAAAATTAGCTGGGCATAATGGTGCGCACCTGTAGTCCCAGCTACTTGGGAGGCTGAGGTGGGAGAATCCCTTTGAACCGGGGAAGTGGAGGTTGTAGTGAGGCCAGATCGTGCCCTTGCACTCCAGCCTGGGTGACAGAACAAGACTCCATTAAAAAAAAAAAAAAGCCAGTTACTTAGCCTCTTTGAGCACCTTTGCTGCTTTCTATAAAATAGAGATTCCACAAACCTTGAAGGCTGTAAGGATTCCTTAGGTAAGAGCAGAACCTAGGCTACAATGGATGCTCAGATAGGTCTCAGGTTGGGAGCTGGGCCACCCACAGAGGAAACAGCTCAGCAACTGTGCACCCATGCCAAAATAAGTCAGCTGCCACTCTCAGGGCCTCTGCTTATTCCTGTCCATCACCGGCCAGGACTCCTGGCACCCCAGAAAAGGAGACAGGTGTCTCCTGTCTGTGCACCCCCAAGAGCCTCTACCCAGCCCTGAGTTCTTGCCAGCCTCCCTGCCAGCAGCCTCCCAGCATGGCCCAGTTCTAACTGCAACTGTTTTTATAGAGCAAATCTGTCGCTCTAGAATAGAAGTGGTCCCCAGGCTCGGGAGTGTTGGGGATGGGGGCCAGGTAGAAAGCAAGTCAGCTTTCCTCTGCCTCAGGCCAGTTTGGTATTCCCCACTCTCAAAACCCCCTGCCTCACAAAGCTGGGCCTCAGTAGCATTTACCAAATATTCCCCCACTGTTTTGTCACGCTACCTGGCCTCAGGACCAATTTGCCACCAATTGAAAGTCTGTTTCTTGGATTTCTGTTTTATGCCATTGGTCTGTCTGTTGTTCTCTGAACAGTTCCATACTGTTTTAATTTATGTATTTATGATGAATTATGATACCTAGGAAGATGAATTTTCCCTCTTTAAAACTCTTGGACTTCTAATTTTCATATGAATTTTATAATCAGCTTGGCAAGACACTTGGAAAGCCCTTAGAAACTTTGCTCAAAATGGCATTGCATTTGCAGATTCATTTGGAAAGAACAGAATTGACATCATTATGATATTGAGTCTTTCTGTTTATTAGCGTGGTATGTTTTTATTTAAATCAGCTTTAAGTTTTCTCTTGCAGATTTTTTGTTAGATTTAGGGATCAAATAATTTTTGCTGCAATTATATGGAATCCTTTTTTGGATTACATTGTGGGGTGTAAACACCTGCTGCTAATTTTTATATGCTGGTTGTGTATCCAAAACCTTGCTAGACTCTCTTGTTAGTGCTAGTAGTTGTACATTCTCTTGCATTTTCTAGTAGCCAGTTATATCTACTGCATATAATGACAGCTTTTCGTATTCCTTTCTAATTCCTTCCTCCTTTCCTTTCTTCTAAAAAAAAAAAACCTTAGCCACTAAAGTTAACAGAGTTTAATTGAGCAAAGTTTAATTGAGCTTGCAAATGGGGCAGCCTCCCAAGCCAGAGTAGGCTCGGAGACTCCGGCACAGCCAAGTGGTGGAAGACAATTTAAGGACAGGAAAAGGAAAGTGACATACAGAAAACAGAAGCGAGGTACAGAAATAGCCACCTTGGTTACAGCTCGGCATTTGCCTTATTTGAACATGGTTCGAACAGTTGGCCACCTTTGATCGGCCAAAACTCAGTGACTGGCACTAGAGTAGGCTATGGTCTGCTTACAACTCCATTTAGGTTATAGTCACCAGGTACAGAGAAACCTTTGGGCTGAACTTAAAATACGTAAGGAGCAGCTTGAGGCTAAACTTGATTTAACCCTTCCTTCCTCCTTTCCTTTCCTTTCCTTTCCTTTCCTTTCTTTTCCTTCCTTCCTTTCTTTCTTTTTCTTTTTCTTCTTTCTTTCCTTTCCTTTTCTTTCCCTCTCTCTCTCCTTCCTTCCTTCTTTCTTTCCCTTCCTTCCCTCCTTTCCCTCCCTCCCTCCCTCCCTTCCTTCCTCTCCTCCAGTTTTTCTCTTTCTTTCTTTTTTCTTTCCTTTCCTTTCTTTCCCTTTCTTTCTTTTTTCTTTCTTTTCTTTCCTTTCTTTCCCTTTTCTTTCTTTCTTTCCTCTTTCTTTCTTTTTCTCTCTCTCTCTTTCTTTCCTTCTTTCTTTTTTCCCTCCCTCCCTCTCTCTCTCCTTTCTTCCTTCTCTTTCTTTCTTTCCCTTCCTTCCTTCCTTCCCTCCTTTCCCTTCCTCCCTGCCTCCCTTTCTTCCTTCCCTCCAGTTTCTTTTCTTTCTTGCTTGCTTGCTTGCTTGCTTGCTAGAATCTAGCACAATATTGACTAGAACTGGCAATAGAGAGCATCTGTAAAGATAGTTTATAAAATTAATAGACTTTTGCATTGCTATGATAAATCCTACTTGGTCTTAAGTTTTTTAAATATATACTGCTGGATCTAGTTTGCTGATATTTTATTTATGTATGTAAATAAAATATTTGCATCTAAGTTCATAATTGAAATTAGTATCTAACTTACACTGCTTTCATTTGGTTTTGGTGTTCAGACCCAAAATGCTTCAACTTTCTTTTCTAGTCTATGTAACTGTTTGCATAAGATAAGCGTTCTTTGAATTCTTGATAAAAGAAAAAAAATTCTGTAAATTTGGGCTTAGTATCTTTTTAGGCTGTAAGGAGGTATTTGATGCAGATTCAATTTCTTTAGTGGTTGCATTGATTTACTCAGGCTTTTACTTTCTTCTTGAGTTAATTCTGGCGATTTGGTTTTTTTTTTAGAAGTGTACACATTTTGTGCAAGTTTTAAAATGTACAAATATAAAGTCATGTATATATTTTGTTAAAATGTTTAATCTCTCTTTTTATCTTCCCTATTATTCTTACGTAGTTTGTGCCTTTCCTCTTGTTTCTTTGGTCAGTCTTGATGGGAAATTATCTATTTTATGCTTTTTGTTCATTTTAAGAACCAGTTTGATTGATTCTCTTTATTGTTTTGTAGGTTTCTATTACATTTACTAGCTTGTATAGGGAACTCTATTAATTGTTTCCTTACAAAGTACTTACATACTTTGTAACATGTTATGTAATCAATTTTAATATATGTTACATGTATCCTTTAAAAGATCGTAGATTGCCATTTTATTCTTATATGGAGTTCTTTATCCCTGCTTATGCCTTTTCCTTTAAAATCTAATAGGGGAGAAAAAGTAATATATTTTTCTCACCCATCGCTAGGTTCACGGCCCAAACCCCTATAACGAAAGACAGATGTAAGAAGAGAAAAGCATACAAAATTATTTAGTGTCAGGTTTATGTCACACGAGAGCCTTCAGAAATAAAGACCCACAGAAGCAGGGAAATGGTGTATTTTTTGTTTTGTTTTGTTTAGAGACGATGTCTTGCACTGTCGCTCAGGCTGGAGTGCATTGGTGCCATCATAGCCCACTGCAGCCTCAGCCTCAAATGCTGGGGCTCAAGTGATCCACCTCAGCTTGCCCAGTAGCTAGGACCACAGGCATGCACCAGCACACCCAGCTTTTTTTTTTTTTTTTTTTTCCTGTAGAGACAGGATTTCACTATATCGCCCAGGCTAGTTTCAAACTCCGGGGCTCAAGCAATCCTCCTGCCTCATCCTCCCAAAGTGCTGGGACTACAAGTGTGAGGCACCATGCCTGGCTGAAACTGTGTATTTCTATAAACAGTTGTGGAAAAGTATGACAGTGGACAAACGGGCTTTGATCTAATGGTAATACAGTGAAGGTTTATGAAGTTTTTACATACGTTTAATGAAGGTTAAGGGAGCTTAGCCAGACCTGTTTGTTCAGATTCTTCTTGGCATCTCTGTGTCTTCCTTCCTTTCTTCCGGGTAGAGGAGGACTCCTCTGGGATGAGGGTCTTATGACCTATTCCAGGAGAGAAGGAAGGAGGAAGCTCAGAGAGCGAACTCCCTGCTTCTGCGAGATTCTCAGTTTCCTTCACCTTAAAATACTCAGTGTGCCAGGGTGTCCTATTCTGGGGCAGCATATTCTGAGCCCTGGAATTTTATTTGTCTAATTTTCATATGACTACAGCATATTTCTTTAGGTTATTGTTCACAAACACATTACCTGGGCTTACATCTTTTAAACAGCATATGGCTGGATTTTGTTTTTCTATTCAATCTGATCATTCCCATCTTTTGTATGTGATTTACATTTTTTTGTGGTTGCTAATATATTTGGGATTCCTCTAGTTCACCTTTTGATTTCTGACTGAATTTTTTCTTCATTCCCTTTTTCTCTCCTCTTCTACTTTCTGTTGAAGTAATAAAATTTTTGCATTCCCTTTTCTCCCTTCTCCTGCTTTGGAGCTTTATAAGTTTCAATTCCTTTTGAGATGGTCCTTCTTTAATATGCTTAAGTCACCACAAATTTTCTTTAAACTATTAAGAAAATCTGGCTGGGTATGGTGGCTCACGCCTGTAATCCTGGCACTTTGGGAGGCCAAGGCGGGCAGATCAGCTGAGGTCAGGAGTTTGAGACCAGCCTGGCCAACATGGTGAACCCCATCTCTACTAAAAATACAAAAATTAGCCAGGCATGGTGGCACACACCTGTAATCCCAGCTACTCGGGAGGCTGAGGCAGGAGAATCGCTTGAACCTGGGAGGTGAAGGTTGCAGTGGGCCAAGATTGCGCCACTGCACTCCGGCCTGGGCAACAAAAGCGAAACTCCATCTCAAAAAAAAAAAAAAAAAAAAAAAAAGAGAAAAGATTAAGAAAATCAGCATTTCTATTCTCCTTCTCAAGGAGACACTCTGACACTCTTAGCCATGCCTCTGCGGACTCCTACTGCTGCTGTCCCCTGCCGCTTAGGTTTAACCACTCTTAGCCATGCCTCTGCGGACTCCTACTGCTACTGTCCCCTGCCGCTTGGGTTTAACCATTCTTAACACACTAAATAGGTGTGCGTGGGGGGTGGGGATTGGGCGGGTGAGTGGATGTATTAGTTTTGTTTTTCCTATTGCTTCTGCAATAAATTACTACAGATGGAGTGAGCTAAACAATACAGACTTATTATCTTGTAGTGTTGCAGGCCAGAAGTCTGACATGGGTCTTGCTGGGCCCAAACCAAGATGCCAATGGGGTTACGTTTCTTTCCAGAGATTCCAAAGGGGACTCTGTTTCCTTGTCTTTTCCATCTTCTACAGGCTGCCCCATCCTCTTTCCTCAAAGCCAGCCGCATCGTGTGTCTCTGACCATTCTTCCGTAGTCACACCTCTCTTCTCCTGACCCTGGAAAGGTTAATTTCTGATTATGTTAGACTCACCTGAAAACCCCAGAATAGTCTCCTGTCTCAAAATTCTTAACCTTAATCACATTTGCAAAGTGCTTTTTGCTAAGTAAGGGAACATACTCACAGGTTTTGGGATTTAGGACCTGGGTGTCTTTTGGGGGCCATTTTTCTGCCTACCACTCTTTCTGCCAAGAGGAAATTTAATTTCCCATTATTTTATCCATTTCTATGTTTACCTTCATTTCTTCAATCACTGGTCTTTTCCTAGCTTTCTTTCTTTCTCTCTCTTTTTTTTTTTTTTTTTTTTTTTTGAGACGAAGTCTTGCTCTCTCGCCTGGGCTGGAGTGCAGTGGCGTGATCTCCACTCACTGCAACCTCCACCTCTGAGGTTCAAGCGATTCTCCTGCCTCAGCCTCCTGAGTAGCTGGGATTACGGGCATGCACCACAACGCCCAGCTAATTTTGTATTTTTAGTAGAGACAGGGTTTCGCCATGTTGGCCAGGCTGGTCTCGAACTCCTGATCTCAGGTGATCTGCCTACCTCGGCCACCCAGAGTGCTGGGATTACAGGCCTGAGCCACTGCGATCAGCCCTTCCTAGTTTCAATTTGCTTCTTACTCAACGACTTATATTAATATCCCTTTAATGGGAGACAGTAAGTGGGAAAACGACTAATTTTTTATTATCTGAAAATACTTTTATTTCCACTCCACTCTTGAATCAACTATTGCTGGGTATAAGATTCCACTGGGTGGGTTTTTTTGCTCAGTGCTTTGAAGCTCTTCCTCTTTCCGGTGTCTGCTTCTGGTGATCCAAGTTCGCTGACTGCTAACGTTTGTTCCTGAATCCATCTGCTCCCTCTGGTGGTCTTGGGATTTCCCCACCGTCCATAATGTTCTGAAGAATCACTGCAGCATCCCTCATCAGACCTCGGTTTGTTTCAGGTGGTTAGCACTTGGAGGCCCCTTGGGTGTCACAGACAGAGTGAGAGCCCTCACTGATGGACTGTGAGGACAGTGACAACGTGGCCTGGGTGGATCACCACCGCTTGCTTTGAATATGAAATTGTTTTACTTGATAGGTAAGTGATTTTTAACCCCGGGAAAGTCTTTGAAGAAACATAGAAATTGTAGTTGAATTTACCATGAAATCAATGAAGTTGAAGCTTCAGGCCCTTTAACAGCGTGTGCCCCTTTGGAGTCCCTGGAGCTCGCTTCATAGTCATGAATGTGTGTTCTTTCTCTTAAAGAGAGCCCCGAAATTGTACAAGCTGCAGGCCCCAAAAAGGGTGAATTTTATCAAATCCCCAACAAAGACAATGAAAAAACAAGAGAACCAACACTTAAAAAATTAAGTTAAGGAATAACCTGTGTAAATTAGGGGTTTAAAATGTTTGTAATATTTCAGACAGTTTGGATTACTTGAGAATATAGCAAATTGGACTTGTGATTGCAACCTAGTGTGTTTTTGAGGCATTAATTTAGATCTTTGCTATCAAGCTGAAAACAGACCTCTTCTGTTTCTTGAAACAATACTAAACTATTTAAGACAGCTTACAAATAACCACATTTATAAATGAATGCTATTAAAATTACACATGTACTTGAAAAAGTTTTGTTAGACAACTGAAGTACTTAAAATGAAACTAAAAATATTTAAAAATGATAAATGCAATTCAAAACATTTGAGAACATTTAATAAACAAAAATTGTAAAGCCCCTTTTCTGAGTAATTATCAAAATTCTCCAGATTTCTAAGTAGAACAAGAGGAATTAAACATGAAAGCCTAAGGAAAAACCATGTTTTAAAATTTGTAGCTGTTGAAACATCAAATATATTTTTTTAAAAAGTCATTGCAAATCGTCTTTCCTATGCATAAAAGATACTCCGGGGCATCATGAAATCCAAACAGAGAAATTGAAGTTATCTCTGTGAGCGGACTTCACATACCTATTTTAAAGTCTATGTCAGATTTTCTGTAAAATTAATTTTCCTGGAAAGAATGCCTATTTTTTTTTAATTGAAGTCAAGCATGGTGGCTCATGCCTGTAATCCCTGCACTTTGGGAGGCTGAAGTGTGAGGACTGCTTGAGCCTAAGGGTTTGAGACTAGCCTGGGCAACATAGTGAGACCTCATTTCTATAAAAAAATAACAAATTGGCCAGGTGCAGTGGCTCAAGCCTGTAATCCCAGCACTTTGGGAGGCCAAGGTGGGCAGATCACGAGGTCAAGAGATGGAGACCATCCTGGCCAACATGGTGAAACCCTGTCTCTACTACAAATACAAAAATTGGTATTTGTATTGAGGCAGGAGGATCCCTTGAGCCAAGGGGTTGGGATCCAGCCTAGGCAATATAGTGAGAACCCATCTCAATTATTTACTTATTTATTTATTGAGATGGAGTCTCACTCGTTGCCAGGCGGGAGTGAAGTGGCGCGATCTCGGCTCACTGCAACCTCTGCCTCCTGGGTTCAAGCGATTCTCCTGCCTCAGCCTCCCGAGTAGCTGGGACTACAGGTGCGTGCCACCACACCCAGCTAAGATGCATATTCTAATGATGGCTTTTCTCATCTGTGCCCTGCATTGGCATTTGTTCTGGAGTTGTGGTGCCCCACCCCATTTGAGGAGTGCCATCTCCTTATGCAATTTCTTTTCTCTCTGTGGATTTCCGTGACTGCCTCCTCCTGCCTGCTGGTCTCCGTCCAGGACCAGGTCTCACCGTGACATTTGCAACCCCTGCCTAGAAGTCAGCGGAGTGTCCCTGGCCCAGCATCTCAGTTTTTCCCATCCTGCTGAGACACCTTCTTGTCCCCAGGCCTGCTGGGGACCAGTTTGCTACAAACATTTCAGGAGGGAGGTCTGCAGCAGTCTCATTTCAACCTGCACTCCCAGAGTCTGATTCTGACCCTGACTCCTTGTCTCTCTGGATGCCCTCTTGGCCCCATGACCCCTAGACCCAAACCACGCCGGACCCCTGGGGCAGGAGCCCTTCTTCAGCTGGTGGCTGCAATGTCCCTCGCTGCTGCTGCTAAGCGTTTCTGTTCCATTTCTGCCCCCACAAAAGGTGTCCATCTGGATTTTCAGTAGTTTGTTTTTTTTTCTAGCTTGCATTGTGTTCATTGGACAGTGATTATCTAGGCAATGGAAGTAAAACTAATAAAAGTTTAATAAGGGGTTAATAAAATGTTCCCAGTGGGCTGATCGCTAGCAAGGTGGCAGACAGAAAACCGAGTGAGGAATTCTCTTCTCGTCGTGTCCACAGCAAATGAGAAATTGCATGCTAAATGCCTTGGTAACAACCAGATCTGTTTTCCAGTCTGTGTCTTCTTGTTTTCTCTTTATATAGATTACCTATCTGTGTGTTTTGAGACAAACAAATATGTGAAGCACCAGTCACAGTACCAGATTTTAAACTATTTCCAAACATATCTGTTCCGTTATTATCAGAAAACAATTCAGAACGCTCATGGGGAAGGAGGGACATTCCCAGCCTTACTCTCACTTGACCCCCAGCAGCAGTGGCCTCCTGGGCCCCACTCTGCGATGCACGATTTTCCCAAGTTCCCAGGCCCCGACCTGTATGAGTCCAGGTTCCCAGGCCCCCACCTGTATGGAGCGGCAATAACAAATCCCACAGGTGGGGAGCTTCAACGTACATTTATTGGTTCAAAGTCCTGGAGGCTGAAAATCCAAGATGAAGTTATTGGCAGGGCTGGTTCCTCTGAATCCTCTCTCCTCGGCTTGCAGATGGCATCTCCTCCCTGTGTCCTCACAGGGTCATCCCTCTGTGTGCATCTGTGTCCTCATCTCCTCGTCTTACAGGACATAGTCAGATCGGACCAGGCCCACCCTAATGCCGTCATTCGAACTCAATCACCTCCACAAAGACCCTGTTTCCAAATAAGGTCACATTCTGAGGTACGGGGGTTAGGACTTCAACATATGGATTTTGGGGGCCACAATTTAGCCCAAGCACCTCCTTCACCTTGTTTTCCTCCTGTCCCTCCTTAGAGCTTTCTGCTGTGCCCCAGGGAACTGCATGGGGCTCTTGTCTCCAGCTTCATTTCCTGGGAGATCCCAGCCAGCATTACGGCATTAAAGATTGTCTTGATACCCACATGGGAAAGACTCCTGTGTTCCTGCCCCCAGCCCGGGCCTCTCTGCAACTCCAGACTCGGATATTCAGTTGCCTCCTTGGTGTCTCCCTTTGGGGATCCAGAATTCATATCAGATCTAACTTGTCTGAACCCCAGTGATCATTTCACCACCAATTTACCCCTGTCTGCTCGGGGATGGCTCCTCCATGCTTCCTGGACTAGAAACACCAAGTGCTATCTCTTCACTAATAAGGAGAGAAAGGCAATGAGCTACCTGTGCCTCTTCTGAACTAATCAAATGAGGTGGCTGACAAGTAAAGACACGGAAAGGAAGAGAAAGGGTGGGGACCGTGCACTGGTGCAGGGCGGGTGGGCTGCGCTGGCCTTGGTCTCCTCCTCCCGCTTCACCTGCAGAAGCAGAGACAGACGGGTTTGCAGGGGTCCAGGTTGGAGAAGTCCAGGTAAAGGGCCCGCCCGGGTCTCACTGGCTTGAGAACAGTGGGTTCAGACCTCCCAAGCACTACAGAGAAGCTAGGTTGGTTCCAGAACTTTCCTGTTGAGCTCAAATGGGAGATTTCCTGGAAAGCTGGAGCCTAGAAGTCCTGGGAGAAAGCTGCATGGCTGTGGCATTTTGCGAACATTGCAAGAGTAAGCTATTTTCGTGGCAATCCTGAGGATCGCTGTCTGTTTCTGTTCATGCTCTCTCTCCTCTCTGGGTGTCCTGGCCGTAGTGCAGTGGTCAGGCATACTGGAGCAGTGCTAAGGGAGTGGGAGGTGCACCAAAGTTGGGACCAGTGAGTAGTTCTTATGTTGTCAGCAGTCATGTGCAGGTAATTTGTGGTTAACTCTGAGCCGTGGGAATGGCTTCCAGGAATACACGTAACACACACAGTGACTGCTGGGTGGCAAAGTGCAGGGCCAGGTGTCTCCCCACCGTAGAGGTACAGTATGCCCCATGGTGCCCAGCACTTTAAGTTTTCGGGAAACGGAGTAGAGAAGGGGGTTTTAGAATTCCAGAGCCAGAAGCTACCATGTCAAGAGAAGGCTGAAGTATCCTTCCAAGTGCTCAGCAGGAATGCTATTTTTATAGTTATTGTCCTAAGAAGTAAGCAAAGAGTATGCACCTCAAAGCTGTAATTTAAAAGGAATTATAAAATTAATAAAATTATATTATTTTTGTGGATTTGTGATATTATGATACTGTTAGCTTTTTAGAATTTGTAATCCATTATATTTTCATTTCTCATTTTAAACCAATATAATCTGCTTTGGATCTGCTCTTGTATTTATAATTTTGTATACTATTCCTTAGGGAAGTTCCCCCACATTGTATAAACTTCATCCTCTACAAAACTAGCATGGGCCCCTTGTAGGCTTCTTGCAAATATGCCGCATCCTCCCTCCAGCAGCACTGAGCGCCCAGAGTTTGTGCAGAGTGGGTGCGTCTTGCCAGTGTTGACACAGAGAATGAGCCGGAATGAGCCGAGACCAGAGAAACCCCGGCCCACCCAGCCAGCTGTGGACTACTTTGGTGCTTCCTTCTCTCTTCAAAGCATTCTCAGATCTATTATTTCACGTGGCCACTGGTTGGGCAGATCACCAAATCCCCACGTTACAGAGGTGAGGCTGAGGCCGAGGGCTCGGTGGCTGGCAGACAGCCATCTCGCTGGAAACTGGGGGCCTGGAGCCTGAATGCAAACATCCTGGGCTCTGGACCCTGCCTGGATGTGCACATGAGTCCATATAACGCCCGGCGAGGCTGACATTTCTGGTGGCAGCCAAGATGTGCCTAAGGAAACATTCTCTCCTCCAGGCCCAGAGGCTGATGCAGCTCCGATGGGTGCATCTGGTCCAACTGGAAAAACCAGCAAGCCAATCCCCCGGGGTGACCGCAGGCTGACCAGGGAAGAGAAGTATTTTCAGATGCAGGTAGTGAGAAAAGTAGCAGAAAAAAAAAACGCTGAATCGTTCAACAAGTGGACAAATCATTGCAATCCCAGCTGGTAGAATGACAGAAGCGGATCCTGGGGCCAGTACGGGGCCATCACCTCGACTCCCAGGGCAGTGGATGCACAGCATGCAGGCATGGGCAGAGGACAGGTCAGGACTCACTTCCGTCTCTGTCCTGCCACTTCCTCGCTGTTCCTGCCAGCTCTCCCAGCTTCTCAGCTTGCCCCTGGCTACCAACCCAACTCCCACGTGGAACAGGGAATGCTCTTCCAACAACCTTACCCCTGGCCAGTGCTTCCTTCTGGACCCAAAAATAAAGCTGGAGTTTTGGGAAACCTCCCCCACCACCATGCTGGGTTGTCTGGGTGCAGATGGATCGCCCCTAGGGTTCATGCCCAGGCACAAGTCTGCTGGCACCCACTCAGGGTGGCACTGTCCTGGCTGGTGACTTCTCCGCATCCCTACCCATCTTGACTGCACCGTCCCTGGCTACACAGTGTCCAGCCTGACTATACTGAAGGTAGACACAGCCCCGTCCCCCTCTCCTCTCCAAATCCAGCCCAGCTCCCAAATACCAGGCAACATTGAACAACAAGCTCAGACCCTGTGCTTCCTCTGGAAAACAGGGCTACTAACCCCTCCTCCCAGTGTTATTCCAAGGATGGAATGAGAGAATATTCAGGAAGTATTTATCAAAATACTGGACCTATGACACATCACTTAAAATCAAACCTATTTGATTACAGTTCTATTATGAATGATGAAAATTTTAAATTAGAATATTTATTGTAATTACTTTTTACAGTAGGTATCACAGGTTCTACATATCAAAAATATTGACCATAAACTCTCCCTTCTATGGCTTTGCTCCTGCTGCTCTGGGTGTCTTTTATCGATTGCCACAAAACCAGAGCTGATGTGGCACCATGAAATCCACTCACACTCCCAGCTCCTCCCGATAAAATGGTACTCAGCTAATAATGTCTTTCTTAAGGAAGTTACATGACTCTAGGATTTGTAAAAACAGTAGTGCATGTGGTTCTTCTGTCATTTTCTCTTTATTGAATTTCAGGACAGGGAAGGCATTTTCCATATACAGATCAAGCTATGGCTGGGTGGGGGTCCAGCTTCATGTCTCCATCATCGATGCCATGGGTGAAATTATGAGTTTAAAACATTTATTTATTTATTTATTTTTGAGAGAGTCTCTGTCGCCCAGGCTGGAGTGCGATGGCATGATCTCGGCTCACTGCAACCTCTGCAACCTGGGCTCAAGTGATTCTCCTGCCTCAGCCTCCTGAGTAGCTGGAATTACAGGCATACTCCACCACGTCTGGCTAATTTTTGAATTTTTAGTAGAGACAGGGTTTTACCATGTTGGCCAGGCTTTTCTTGATCTTCTGACCTCAAGTGATCCACCCACCTTGGCCTCCCAAAGTGCTGGGATTATAGGCGTGAGCCACCGTGTCTGGCCAATGAGTTTAAAATTTAGAAACAGGGCTGGGTGCAGTGGCTCACACCTGTAATCCCAGCACTTTGGGAAGCTGAGGCAGGAGGATTGTTTGAGCCCAGGAGTTCAAGAACAGCCTGAGGAACATAGCAAGACCCTGTCTCTACAAAAAATAATTTTAAAAAACCTAGCTGGGTGTGGTGGTGCGTGCCCATAGTCCCAGCTACTCAGGAGGCTGAGGTGGGAGGATCACTTAAGCCCAGGAGTTCGAGGCTGCAGTGAGCTATGATCGCTCCACTGCATCTAGCCTGGGTGGACAGAGCAAGACTCTGTCTCTAAAAAAACACAAAGGTTTAGGGAAAAAAAACAGACAGAAATGCTCAGGATCGAGCCACAGGCTTCTTTCCTAAGTCCTGGCCCTTGGCATTTTAATTCCTCCAGCTGGTTCCATTCTCTCCCACCCCTTGGTTTTACATCAAGCTATCATCACGGGTATTCTCTAAAAGTAGAAACACTTTTTCTTTGTCTCTTTATCTTGGGGTTGACCTGGGGTCTGAAAAACACACGTGAAAGAATTTTGACCATTGTCAGATGCTGCCCAAGTATGACAAGGAGAGGCTGTGCTTCCTCAGAATCCAGTGAGCACCATGCTGGTGCCTTAGGTACCTCGTGGCTTTCGTCTTTTCAATCAACCTACAGCATACACAGTCTTTGTCCCATCTCATGGATGAGGTAACTGAGGCTTAGGGAATTTAAGCAACTTTTCTAGACTACACATCTCAGGAATGACGGTTCTAAGGGTTAAGACCACTTGTCTGATGTCAAAATCAATGTTGTAACCAACTTGAGCAGAACACACTGGTCAGCCAGTCCCTCTTTATAGAGCACATAATCGTCCCAAGCACAGAGTGAATTCCTGGAATCAAGAGGTGTCAAGGGGGTTATAGTGTCTGGACTCCAGGAGCTTTTATCCCCAACAAAACTGTCTCCCAAGTAAAGAACTGTGGCGTTGATTACCAGAAATCCTCCTGGTCACTGACTGCATTTCTCCCTGCTCTCCTACTACCTTATACCCCAGCAGCCAGCACAGTCCCTGCTACTGAGCTGGGAGCGCCCTGATGGATTCTGCTCCCCATCCCTTCTCCAAGCATCCTTCAGGTGCTGTCCTCTGCCCCTCACCCCCACCATGCCCAGCAGCCCCCTCCAGCTGGCCACAGCCACCCCCCTATGCCAGCCAGCCGCCTGGTCAGGTGATGCCTCTCTGGCTGCTTCTCATTGCTCCCATGCAGCATCGGAAAGGGACATCCCATTGGCTTTCACTGACTTGTGAAATAAATGCAAGAGTGCTCAGGACTTGTGGATGTGGACCCGTTGACTCTTTGCCCTTGGGGTGGGATCTATATTCTCTCCCTTTTAAGCTTCATGCTGAGGGCGGTGCAGGGGCAGTGGCTGAGGGAGAAGTGGGGGGCTTTGTCAGAAAATTGCCTACGACCCGAAATTCAAGCTTACAATCACAGTGTCAGTGTAACAGCCATGAAGCAAAGGACAGGGCTGGAATACATCGTTTCTTTTCCTGTGTTTTTTTAAATTATTATTATTAAAAGTAATACAAGAAATCCAGGAAGGGCCAAGTGCAGTGGCTCCTGCCTGTAATCCCAGCACTGTGGGAGACCGAGCTGGGTGGATCACCTGAGTTAGGAGTTCGAGACCAGCCTGGTCAACATGGCGAAACCCCATCTCCACTAAAAATACAAACATTAGCCGGACATGGTGGCACACACCTGTAATTCCAGCTATTCAGGAGGCTGAGGCAGGAGAATTGCTTGAGCCCGGGAGATGAAGGCTGTAGCGAGCTGAGATAGTGCCATTACACGGTAGCCTGGCCGACAGAGTGAGACTCTGTCTCAAAAACAAAAAAAACAAAAACAAAACAAAACAGAAATCCAGGAAGACAGTAAGCTCTGGGTGCATGCACTATGCAAAAATAAAATAAAATAAAATAAACCGTAATGTTTAGAAGCAGAGGCAGATTCCAGGGTCTTTCCTAATGAAAGAGGTGATATTTTTTCCCTGATGGTAGAGAAGATACTGAGGAAATGACCAAGACTTTCTTCCCCGGTGGCAGCATGGACACCCTCTTTATTTTTCACCTCTGGATTAAGAGTGGCAGGGCCTAGACTCCGGGATGCCTACAGCTTCCTAGCAACAGCAGGAGAGAAAGACAGATGTGTCTGGGGGAAGTCAGTCCCCAGGCGCCCCGGGAGTTTGTCCATGGATGTGCACCCCTCAGAGAGGTTCCTTCCAAATCTAGGTGGGGTTCTGAGAAGCCCAGGACCCCTCCCTGCATTTCAGCGGACTCAGTAGCTGTCACTGGAATCCCTGTCTTACCTTAAAGTCCTGTTTCTAAACCTTTTCAGCCTTGGACATCGGGCACTGTGTCCAGGTCTAAGAAGAGAAGGAGCCAATAGCCAGTGGTGTAAGGTTATTTTTACAGCCAATCTAACTCAGATGACTTAAGAAAGGAAATGTACCATTAAATTATAAACTCTTCATCTTTGGTGAACTAAGGACTAAACTCTGATTTTTTATCTTGCCCAAATTCCTATCTAAGGGGTCTGGGAAGTCATTTCCTACAAACCATAAATTTTCGTCAGATGGGTTTTATTTAACCCTATATATCGTGACTGACTTTCCAATCTGACTCTGGCATAACATTATGTGACAAATAAGAAAATCAAAGTATTTTACCCTGAAACGTGTTTCTTGGCCATATTTTGAAATGCCCTGCAAAGATGTCCCTTGTGGGAAAAAATTTGCGTCTGTAAAGAATCTCTATTAACACAGCTAGATCTTGTTTCTTCCAGGCCCTCACAATCCTGAAAAGATTAAGAGCCTAGCACCTTTTAAAGGTCTGAACAGGAAGCATTTGTCATTGATTGTCTCTAAGGGCAGCCACTGTGAGACTTTGGAAGAACCCTGGTCTCCACAGTCTTTTATCTTAACCTGAGCATTTCCTTTCTATGGATCCCAGGTCTTTAGACAAACACAACCAGTTGTCAACCAGAAAATGTTTAATTTGGCCAGGCGCAGTGGCTCACACCTGTAATCTCAGCACTTTTGGAGGCCAAGGTGGGCGGATCACCTGAGGTCAGGAGTTTGAGACCAGCCTGACCAACATGGAGAAACCCCATCTCTACTAAAAACACAAAATTAGCCCGGCGTGGTGGTGCATGCCTGTAATCCCAGCTACATGGGAGGCTGAGGCAGGAGAATCGCTTGACCCTGGGAGGTGGAGGTTGCCGTGAGCTGAGATCATGCCATTGCACTCCAGCCTGGGCAACAAGAGCAAAACTCCGTCTCAAAAAAAAAAAAAGAAGTGTAAATTCACCTATAGCCTGGAAGCACACTCCACCCATCCCCCACCCCCCCAATTTTGAGTTGTCCTGCCTTTCTAGACCAAACCAATGTATTTCTTAAATGCATTTGATTGATGTCTCATGCCTCCCTAAAATGTATAAAACCAGACTGCACCCCAACCACCTTGGACATATGTTCTCAGGACCTCCTGAGGGCTGTGTCATGGGCCATGGTCACTCAGATTTGGCTCAGAATAAAATTCTTCAAATATTTTATAGCGTTTCACTTTTTTTGTTGACACATGGCTGTGTTTTTATGTATTTATCAACAATGGAAGCAAAAGAAGAGGGTACAGGGGGCTCACAGACCATCTCACAGCGGGTGACCTTCAGGCAGAGGCACCTAGGGCTGGGTGTGTAGGGAGGGGTGGCCTGGGCCCACCCCCTAGGTAAGGCTGTCATAGACAACAGGGGATGCCCCCTAGAAGTCACAATGCAGAGCTGCTTCTCACTCTTCCAGGCTGAGATCTGACTTCTCAGCCCACCAGAGGCAAAAAGAGGACAGTCTCACGGTCCCCAAGCCCAGAGACCACTGGGAGGGGAGCAAGTGGGGTCTGGACCACCGACCTTAGCTTCACCTCAACCCCCAAGAACACCTGCCCCGTTGGAGGTAAGGCCTGGAAATTTGCATTTTTTTTTAAAAAGTCTGGCTTTCTCAATAACTCTTATATGGAATGACATTTGAGAATCACTGGAGATATTACCTATACACCCCCAACACACACACATACACACACACACACGCACACGCATACACACACACATGTGATTGTTCTGACCAGAACCTTGAGCATTCTGTCCCTTATATGAGGTGCTTCTGTCTCTAATCACAGCCTCCCTGGCCAGGAGACCCCTGCTTCCCATCTGGGTCCCCTTTCCCTCACTGACAGCAGGCCCGACTAGCACTGATCCCCGTGATGGCATTTTGTAAACTCCTGTGGCCAGCCAACCCTGCTCGTTAGTGGCACATTCTTCTGTTTTTGTTTGTATGTTTAGTTGTATGCCGTACTTTTGATTCATGAAGATAAGATCTCACTGGCATTAAGCTATTTTTATCTTTTAAACATGACCTTGAATACCTATGCTCTGATCCTGTGTGAGCTGCCTTTGCAGTTTTATTGTCAGAAAGTAATTATGTCATTACTTTCAACTTTTGGGGCAACAGCCTTGTCAGTCACTTCATCTAGAACAACAAATACTTTATTATTATTATTAATTCTATTATTTTGCTTAATCTCATGCTATAGGCAAGATCATGGCCTATGATCCTGTCTGGTCCTATGCTGTGACATTAGTAGTGGTTTTGTATGTGCCCAGTTATTTTTGGATATTAATTTATGTATTTTTCTTTTGTTTTTCCCTTTTCTCTCCCTCAGGCAGACTGGAGCTGGCTGTGGATTTTATTTCTCAGGAGAAGGAGGTGGGAGCTGGAGAGAGTGACCCGTGCATCTTTCCAGCTTTTCCTTGGCCACCTGGGTGGCATGGGAGCTGGGAGTCAGAGTTCTGCTGAGCTGTAGGACCAAAGGCCACTGGCTCCGCTGCACCTGCGGACTGAGACACCCACCTGCTGAGTGAGACCCAGCCTCTGCGTGCTTAGGGGTCCCCTGCTACAGGGCATTGAGGTGAGGTCCGCCTTTGCCCAGTGTGAGAGCGCTGCTTTCAGAGCTTTGAGAAGGCTGTTATCATTTGTTTCTTTTTGAACTTGCCACCTCCCCACTTAGAGAATATTTCTGGGGACAGAGTTTCGTAACTCCTGCCGCATAGTTGGTGCCTGCTCTCGACTACATTAAATCTATTTTCAGTGCCCCTCTGGCAACAAAATAATGCTTTTATTTCTCACATCCCTGGCAACACTGGGTTTATTTTTATTTATCGTTACTGTCTCAAGTACGTGGGATTTTAATACTTTAATATCATCCTCATTCCTTTCCTTCCACGTCTGTGCCGTGTACATTTTTCAGGTGGACAGAAATTGTTTTCACAGCTTCTTGCTCATTCATATCTTTCCTGGAATCCCCCCATTCTGCCTCTCACAGGCAGCCCCAGAGCTCTGTCCACCGGCTGACCCTCCCTCCCTGGGGAGCTCCTCTGGGCCCCGGCTCCAAGTAGCACTTCCCTGCTGGCGCCCCCCAAGTTCACATCTCCATCCCCTCAACTCCAACTGCCTGCCACCACCTGCTCTTCCCAGTTTAATTAGCACCTCAAGTTGAACGTGTCCAAGGCCAAGTTCTTGATGTCATCTTGCACATCCGCTTTCCCCATCTCCGTCAGTGGCGGCTCCATTCCTTCAGCTGTTCAGACTAAAATCCCTGGGGTCACCTCTGACTGCCCAGTTCCCCTCAGTCCCCACATTCCATTTGCTAGTCCTCCATTCCCACTCCCCGCTCTAGGATGTCTTGAGCACTATTGTACAAGCCTTCTTCTAGGATCTCCCCTCCTTGGCACTGCTCCTGGCACGTCGTTTGTAACACAGCAGATAGGCCGGGTGCGGTGGCTCACGCCTGTAATCCCAGCACTTTGGAAGGCCAAGGTGGGCGGATCACTTAAGGTCAGGTGTTCAAGACCAGCCTGGCCAACATGGTGAAACCCCATCTCTACTAAAAAAAAAATGTAACACAGCAAAGAGCAGACTGTTTCTTCTGAAGTGTTAACCAGGGTATGTGATTTCTCTGGTCCCAGCCATCCAGAATACAATTCTGAATCCTTCCTGCAGTGTTCAGGGCCTTCCATAATGCACTCTCACTGCCCTCATGAAGGCTCCTCCCCCAGCAGAGGCACCTGCTGCTTCTCCTGCGTATGGACACCCTCCCAGACTCCTGCCGGAGATGGAGCCCCTTCGATGGTCAGGCTGGCCTCTTATCCTGGCTTTACATTTTTTTTTTTTTTTGGCACTGGCACTGCACATTCATTATGTGTTAGTTTGTGCCTTCCCTGCTGGGACACAAGCTTCAGGAAGCTGCATGTTCTGCTCTCTTTGAACTTCCCAGCACAGGTGGGCAGTAAATGTGTGCAGCCATCCTGCAGAGCAGATGCAGGGGGTGCAGGTGTGGGGCCTCCATCGTTTTCCTCATTGTTTCTTTTCTTTTTCTTTTTCTTTTTTTTTGAGACAGAGTCTCTCTCCATCACCCAGGCTGGAGTGCAATGGTATGATCTCGGCTCACTGCAACTTCTGCCTCCCGGGTTCAAGTGATTCTCCTGCCTCAGCCTCCCGAGCAGCTGGGATTACAAGCGCCCACCACCACAACCAGATAATTTTTGTATTTTTAGTAGAGATGGGGTTTCACCATGTTGGCCAGGCTGGTCTCGAACTCCTGATCTCAGGTGATCCACCAACCTCGGCCTCCCAAAGTGCTGGGATTACAGGCGTGAGCCACTGCGCCCAGCGTTTTCCTCATTGTTTCTAAGCTAGGGAAGTTAGGAAGCGGAGAGAGTGCACAGAGGGAAGCCAAGATGTTTCATGTGCTTGGCGGCAGCTTCTGACCTCCATTCTGTGGGGAGACGGGGTCTCTGGAGCTCGCTGCTGGGCTTCGGGGGTTGACCGGACCCCAGCGCCTCCTGGAACAGCTTAGGACAGTGGAATTTCAGTTGCCTGCAGGGCTGCCACTCAGATGCCCGCAGGGCTGAGGAGCTCCTTCCTGCTCCTCTAAAAGGTGGCCCAGTGAGCCAGGTCTTCCATGTTTTAAAGAGAAGCTGGAAAGCTGAATTTTATGTGAAGTCTCCTAGTTTTAAGATGTCAGTTCAAATGTTTGTAAACTTCTGTGTTTCTAGTAAGACACATCGTACCTGGTTTGGCCCACTACAATCAACTGACAGCTTTGTTCTGGATCAATCTAAAGTTGATTGATGCATTTTTAAAAGCTGATGCTTTTATTTCTGCCCTCCAGCTGTATATGTAAGTCAAAGAACAATTAAGATACAAAACTGTGATTCAGTGTTGCAACCCACGTAGAAGAGAGTTCAGCCTTAAGGTTTAATTTCTTTCATCTTACAAAATAGGGCATGGACAGATAACCTCACCATGAGTTTGTTCAACGTTTTCTTATGAATATGAATACATCATCCTTTCCATAAGACATTTTAAGGCATCCGCAGGAAAATGTCATGTTAAATATACATATCCTTCATGACTACAAATGTGAAAGTCATCCCTACGTTTGTACCGTATACAACCTGAACAACTACACATGGCAACCCTAGGTATGGGTGTCTCTGTCCAGCCCAGTCCAGCCCTAGGCTGCTTTGCAAGTTACCTGAATTATCTACTTCTTGGAAAATATACCTTGTATTTGCCCAGCTCTTTGTAGTCCACAAGTCTCTCTCTATTCATTGGTTAATTTAATTCTTCATGACCCAGCAATACGTTATTATGCCTATTTTATGGATAAAGCAACTAATTCTCAGGGAAGCTGAGCAATCTGTGTATGAGATTACAGAAGTAGTTACAGGTACCGTGAAAGGCAAATCTGTGCTCTGACCTAAGGGGTCCCTGGAGCTGATACGCTCCACCCTGCATGATTTGGTGCATCTTCCTTATCCTTTGGGCAGGTGGGTATCCTCACCCCTACCCCAGCACCTACAGTCCACCCTGGGGGTAAGCTCCAGTCCCTCCCAGTGTGCTGCCTGGGGTGACCAGGAATCAGTGTTCCAGCGAGCAGTTAAAGGCCTGGCTGAGCCAGCTCACAGGCGCTGAGCACAGGTGCTTTCGCCTTCCACGTGCATCTCACACACGGGGCTGGGTGACACCCAGGAGGCGAGCATAATCACTACACACATGCCTGTGACCTCCTGTCGCCTGTGACCTCCTGTCACCTGTGACGACCTCATCATCTAAAAGCTCTAACTCAAACTTGTGCAGGAATCTTGAAATTCTTGACCATTTTTTTAGGATCTCAGATATTAAAACAATTTTCAAACTGCCATTAGCCTAAGGGGTTGCAGGTGATTTTTGAAGGACAGAGTAGGTAAAGAAGGAAGTACCTTCCCCACGCCCCGCTTTCTTTTTATAGTAGAATTCTTTACTATTTTACAGCAGACATTTTGTTCCCATGATTGGAAGACTTTTACAACCAGGAACATAGCCAGTTTTATTTTCTTTGTTAGTTTTATTGAGTAGTTTATCACTGTATATTTACATATGACATTGGTTATTGGCAGATATAGGCTCTCCAGATCCCTAACACACCAACACAAAATGAGCTTATTAGTCACGGTGATAACGGAAGCCACGCAGTGCCTGGGAGGCAGGAGGGCAAGGTTGGAACCCCCTGAAGATTGGAGTTGGGATAAAGTGGAACATTCCCTGTCGAGGGGTCGAGGGGTCGAGGGGTTGATGAGGAGTGAGTGTGGACCATGTTGCACCAGCCCAAGCTTGGTGGAAACAGCCAGGCAAGGGGTTTAAGTGAGAGATTCAAAGAATCTTAGAGCACAAAGTTGCTGCTTTCCATTGAAGAGCTGATGGGTCTTTCTGGAGGTTTCCATGAGAAATTTGCCCCATTCCATTTACTGGGGCTGGAGTCTCCTGGAACGACTTTGCCAGTCACGTGAATGGAAACGGTGGAAGAGCAAAGTCTCTCCTTAATTACACAGGGAGCTGTTTGCGGTGTGAGGCACAGGTGGTTTAAGCTTTCATTTCTGGTTTTGTTTTTTTTTTTTTTGAGACAGAGTCTCACTCTGTCACCCAGGCTGGAGTGCAGTGGCGCAATCTCTGCTCACTGCAACCTCTGCCTGCAAGGTTTAAGGATTCTCCTCCCTCAGCCTCCCGAGTAGCTGGGATTACAGGTGTGTACCACCATGCTTGGCTAATTTTTGTATTTTTAGTAGACAGGGTGTCACCATGTTGGCCAGGCTGGTCTCAAGCTCCTGACCTCAAGTGATCAACCCACTTTGGCCCCCCATAAGTGTTAGGATTACAGGCCTGAGCCACTGCACCTGGCCGAAGTTCTTGTTTCTTAAAGGACAGATTGGCTAAAGCAGCTACAGTTTCCAAAAACCAATGGGAAAAATGGGCACTTGTGTATTTGAATCTTTAACTATATATTTATAAATATAAATATATATTTAACTATATTTATATTTATGTATACATACTGTATATATGCCTGTTTGTACACGTATGTGTATACACATGCATACACACATACACATATATGTGCATAGATAATTAACTTGTTCTCAGCATGTTACATATCCCAAAATCTGGAAGTAGAGGTGCTCAAGTAGGATGAACTATGTTGCTCCTTGATCAGTTGGTTTGCTTCCTGACCAGATGTTGGGAGTGATAACAGCAGGCTCACAGTGTAGTGCTTCTTTGTCCCTGAAGAAATGAAAGAGGAGTGACCTAGCCATCTGCGACGGGCAGCCACCCCAGGGTCGCTCCTGTTCAGCACGGAAGCTTGTCGCCCCCATCCCTATGGATCTGCGTGTTTCACGGACCCTTTGCTCAGTCCCTCTTTAGCTACACTTCATATTTGTTTCTCTGCAAACACAGAGATTCAAGGGTTTTATGAGCCTTCCTTTGGGCCAGCCATTTTCAGGAAAAAACAAAACAAACAGAAAACAGGTGCAGTTCCCTAAGTGGACTCTCTGACTGGGCAGCGGGGTTTTGGGACTGGGAGGAGATGGAAGGGGCAGGGGCTGGGTAAGTGCAGCAGCAGAAGCAGTGCCTGGCCGTCAAGGCTTTGGTAGCCCCAGAGTGACCCAGAGCCTCAAAGGCGTTTAAGCGTGAGCACCGTGGGAGCATCCGAGATTGCCCGGTTGGCTTAACTTATTATTATTATTTTTTTTTGAGACGGAGTCTTGCTCTGTTCCCCAGGCTGGAGTGCAGTGGCACAATCTCGGCTCACTGCAAGCTCCGCCTCCCAGGTTCAAGCCATTCTCCTGCCTCAGCCTCCCGAGTAGCTGGGACTACAGGCGCCCGCCACCACACCGGGCTAATTTTTTTGTATTTTTAGTAGAGATGGGGTTTCACCATGTTAGCCAGGATGGTCTCGATCTCCTGACCTCGTGATCCTCCTGCCTCGGCCTCCCAAAGTGCTGGGATTACAGGCGTGAGCCACCACGCCCAGCCGGCTTAACCTATTTTTAAAAAGTTACTTGCATGTATTTTAGCTGGAAAAAAGAAATGTACAAGGATCAAAAAGCTTATTTTATGATTATAAAGACTTGTGAACGGCCGGGCGCAATGGCTCACGCCTGTAATCCCAGCACTTTGGGAGGCCGAGGCGGCCGGATCACAAGGAGATTGAGACCATCCTGGCTAACACGGTGAAACCCCGTCTATACTAAAAATACAAAAAATTAGCCTGGCGTGGTGGCAGGCGCCTGTAGTCCCAGCTACTCGGGAGGCTGAGGCAGGAGAATGGCTTGAGCCTGGGAGGCGGAGCTTGCAGTGAGCTGAGATCGCGCCACTGCACTCCAGCCTGTGCAACAGAGCAAGACTCCGTCTCAAAAAAAAAAAAAAAAAAAAAAAAAAAAAAAAAGACTTGTGAACAAAACCTTGAATTTTAGGTCTTCAAAAACTTATTCTAAGTGGAATAATGTTTCTCACTTTTCTCCTTTTCAAAGCAATGAAAAAAAATATGATCCTGATTATCTTCACCCCTGAAGAGACTCCTCTTTGTTGGGTGGGAGTGGAGGAGGGCAAAGTCCTAGCCTTAGGGGAGGGCTTCAGTGAGGTCCATTCTATCAGAGCCACCTTTCTGGAAATAAAATTGCATTTGGCAACAGATATACTTTATTTTCTCTTGACAGACAGTAGGTAATGTGTTCTGAAACACATAATAAAAACTGTACTACTCATTTAGAAACAAATTTTAGTAAAATGTTAAAAATATAGGAGAGGTAGATTATTTTCTATGCAAATGAAGCTTTAAAACTAGTTTCCTGGGCTTCCAACCACACTGACGTCTTATCCCCCAGAACACAGGCATGTGCCCCTTCCTACTCTGGACCTGGCTGGGGTGGGCAGAAGATGGGAGGGGGCAGGAGAAATCAGAGGTGCACATTCAACATCCATACATTGAGGAAGGAAGTCACTCCCCTCTTGAACCCTTGCAGGATGCCCTTGCCCTGAGGTCAAACTAAGCTCTTTGGATGAGTCTGCGATGCCTCCAGGGTCTCATCTATCCCTGCCTTCTCCTCAAACAGCAGGGACTTTCAAACCTTTGAAAGCAGCAGCCTCCATTTTGCAGATGAAATCTTGCACACCCTCTTCAAAATGGGCCCCAGCCGAGGTGGATAACAGAGGGTGTTCAGATTGCTGGTGCCTGCCCTCCCTTGGCCTCCACCCTGGCCATCCCCTCCCCACTGCTATGGGACTGCCCTGCCCCATGCCACAGGCAGAGCCAGGTACCAGGGCTCCTGTCCTGGGGAGGGAGAAGCGGCTCCTCCAAGCTCCCTCTGCCCCACACTGGAGCCCCTGGCTGCCTTTCCTCATCCCTTCCTAGTGCAGGGAACTCCCAGGCCGTGGAGAACTCCCAAGGGACGAGATGATGACAAAGATGCTCTGCTTGATTTAACCCAGCAATCCCATTACTGGGTATAAACCCAAAGGAATATCAGTCATTCTATAACAAAGATACATGCACGTGTACGTTCATTGCAGCACTATTCACAATAGCAAAGACATGGAATCAACCCAAATGCCCATCAATGACAGACTGGATAAAGAAAATGTGACACATATACACCATGGAATACTATGCAGCCATAAAAAGGAACAAGATCATGTCCTTTGCAGGGACATAGATGGAGCTGGAAGCCATTATCCTTAGCAAACTGATGCAGGAAGAGAAAACCAAATACTGCATGTTCTCACTTATAAGTGGGAGCTGGACAATGAGAACACATGGACACAGGGAGAGGAACAACACACACTGGGGCCTGTTGTGAGGTGGGATGTGGGGAGGGAGAGCATCAGGATAAATAGCTAATGCATGCTGGGCTTAATACCTAGGTGGTAGATTGACAGGTGCGGCAAACCACCATGACACATTTACCTATGTAACAAATCTTCACATCCTGCACAGGTACCCCAGAACTTAAAATAAAAATGAAAATTAAAAAAAAAAGATTCTCTGCTTGATGGAACTTTAGTCAAGCTCCTGAGCTTTTCTTAGGGCCCATATGTGCACTTCCTTCTAAAATCCAGCTCCAGCAAAGAACCCTGTTAAGTCAGTTTGATGAGAACTCCACCCTCGATATCTGATGGGGTTCCTCACCCTCCACCATCCCTCGGATGATGTTTGATCACCTCAGCCTGTTCTCAGCAAGGGCAGTTTAGCCAGAATCCCCCTCACCCCTGATGTTTCCCCTTAGTGATTTTCTATCCACGGACCCCACTCTGCTCCTGGGCTATCAGTCCCCACTTGCCTGGGCTGTAGTTAGAGTGGAGCCCAATCTCTCCCACCCCAGAAAGTCCCATTGCCATGGTGCCTGGACCTATTGCGATGGTCCTGAGTAGTCCACCTTTCCATCTTTAACAAGGGTCTTTGAATAACTTTTTCAACCATGGAAAGCAGGTGCTGCCTTTCTGGGAAGGATTTGGGGCACTGATCTTATCTTGTAGGCCCTTTTTAAAAAAGCCTTGTGACACTTCACCCATCTTTGACATATACAGCCTTTCATTCAAAATGGTGCTTTTTCAAAAAGCCCAGGATGTGAGCTTGAAATGTAATTCTGGAAGCTGACCTTTAATGAAGTTTGTTTAATCATAAACTCTTATTGTTGGAGCTAGTGCTGCATGTCTTAAAAGCTTTAAAGGGTACGGCAGGTACTCATATCTGATTAGCATCTGCACTTCACCAGGTGGCCATTTGTTGTCTAAAAATGTTGACATTCAACAATGTAATGAAAATGTTGGTCCTGGATGATAAAAAAAGTTTTTCACACAGCAAGGCAGAGGACAGTGCACTCTGTTGTGGGGCGTATGTCTCCCTGCACCACTAACTAGGGCAGGGGTGAGGAAGTGGTGGGCCACACCTCTGCCTGGAAGACGTGGTTTTTCCCAGGTACTTCAGAGGCTCTTTTCAATGTTTGCAATTGTAGGGGGCTCAGAATTCGCCAGGATTTAACAGGACTGGAGGAGGCCAAATTCACTAGGATTTAATAGGACTGGAGGAGACCAGAATGGGCTCCCCAGAGGCCTCAAACCCCCATTCCTTTCTGTCACCCAGAGTGACATATAAGCCTCCTCCCCACCTTTTTCACGGGGGAAGTTCTTATTGCAATGATCCTGTGTCTCCCCATCATTGTGAATGGCCTGTGTTCGGACCTGTTAGAGTTATGACAGAGGCCCCAGAGCCACCTCCAGAAGACCTGCCTACCCAGTGAGAGGACTTCTCAGCAGCTGGTGACCCATCCTAGACACAGGGGATTCCCCGTGGAGTTGACAGCAGTGAGGTGGGAGGAGAAGGAGGCCTACAGACAGGGAAGCAGGAGACGAAGCAGACCAGGTGTCTCACCCTCAGCTGCTGCTGCACTCCCCATGCTCTTCCAAACACCCTTCCCCCTGCAACTGCCTCCCTCTGGGTTCTGGAGCTAAGAGAGCCTGCAGGACTTGGGGCCCCTGGGGACAGAATGGGAGCAGAACAGCCCCACAAACAGGGTTCCCTTCCCAAATCCTGACCCCAGGAACCCCAGCTCCTGATTCCAACTCAGCTGCCCATCTCCTAGGGGCTGTGTGGTGCAGCCAAGTCAAGTGCCCTCTCTGAACCCCAGCATTCTCAGCTGTAAAAAGGGGAAATCAGTGTGTCCATCTTGCACTGAGGTAATGTAAACTCGAGTGTGGTGACTGGCAAAGCAAATATTCAGTAAAAGGTAATTGTTTTTATAGCATACACAGTGAGCCTTGGGGCTGAGCCTTATAACTTGGTTCAACCATGAAAAACAACAAATATTAAACAACCTTTTCCTTGTTTGAACAACTGGCATCTGGAATTCATCTGAAGAATTTGCTGAAAGCTTGGTGGTTGTATGAAGAGAGCCATGAAAGTCTTTGCTATGATATGAATGTGTCCCCCTAAAAGCATGTGTTGGAAACGTAATCCCTGATGGAACAATATTGGGAGATGGGGCCTAATGGGAGGTGTTTAGGTCATGAGGCTTAACTCTTAGGAATGGATTAATGATGATTAGAGGGCTTGAGGGTTTGAGGCTATGTGTTCCAGCTCTTGCTGTCTCGCCTCGTGATGCCTTCTGCCATGTTATGATGCAGCAAGGAGACCCTCGCCAGATGCAGCCCCTCGTCTTGGACTTCCCAGCCTCTAGAACCATGAGCCTAATAAACTTCTATTGTTAATAAGTTACCCAGTCTGTGGTATTCTGTAACAGCAGCACGAAACAGACTAAGACAGTCTTTATGTTTTTCTAAACAAGGGATCTCATTCATCCCTTGAGGACATGGCCAAAGGTCCTCAGCACACCAGAGATTTGCTTCACCTGGCTCTTAAAAGTGCTGATCATTCCATCTATAGCATTCTACACACCCTGTCTTTACAAGGAACTCGTGAATTCTCTGTCTTGCCTTCTGACTACGAGTACTTGTGGGAATCTTAGAGCTGGTTCACATCAAAACTAAAGTACAGACACTGGGACAAACACTGGGACAAATATTGTTTTATTGCTGACATCATGAATAGCTGCATTATTCCTTTTCAGGTACACACATTTTAAAATCCATTAATGATGAATCAAATGTCACTTTTTTTTTTTTTGAGGCAGAGTTTCACTCTTGTTGCCCAGGTGGGAGTGCAATGATGTGATCTCGGCTCACTGCAATCTCCCACCTCCTGGGTTCAAGCGATTCTCCGGCCTCAGCCTTCCAAGTAGCTGGGATTACAGGCACCCATCACCATGCCCAGCTAATTTTTTGTATTTTTAGTAGAAACGGGGTTTCACTATGTTGGCCTGGCTGGTCTTGAACTCCTGACCTCAGGCAATCTACCGGCCTTGGCCTCTCAAAGTGCTGCGATTACAGGCGTGAGCCACCATGCCTGGTCAAATGTCTGTTAAGAAACAGATTATTGCCAATACTATTTTGCCCAGTTCCCCAGTTTGTACCCCCACGCCCATTGAATCTCCATTCATTCCCACTAGGGGAAATCACCCTACTGAATTTTATGTTTATTAATTTCTTTCCCTTTTTCACAGATTTAGTATCTAGGCATATATTTCTAACTATACATAATTTAGCTTTGGTTGTTTATGAGCTTTATGCAAATGAGATCTGCAACTGGTTTTCTTGCCTAGTACTTTGCTTCTGAGAGTTATCCGTGATGGATACAATGGTAGTTCACCATCTTTCATTGTTGGAGGGCATTGTGTCACATGCACACACCACTGCACATTTATCTTTCCTCTTGTCAGTAGGAACTGACAGAATTTCCTATCAGTATTTGTTTTCTTTTTCTCCAGGTTTTGCAGTAGAAATAGTGCTTCTCTGAACATGTGAAGGTTTTTGGTGTGTTGCAAGAGTTTCTTTAGGGTGCATACTTAGCAGCGGGATTTCCGGGTGAAAGATTTTCACATCTTCAACATTACAGCATGATGCTGAAAAGGTTTTCAAAGTGGTTGTATCAATTTATATGCTCATCTCATTCCCTCTGCCCCCAGCAGATCCCCAATTTTGGCCATACCTAATATTGCGCAATTTTAATTTTTGCCAGTTTGGTGTGTATAAAATGGTAACTCATTTCTAAAATTTTGGTAAAATATACATAACATAAAATTTATGATTTTACCATTTTTCAGTGAGTGGCATTAAGTACATTCACACTGTCATGCAATCATCTATTTTCACCGCCATCTATTTTCAGAATGTTCTCATCTTCCCAAACTGAAATTCTCTACCCATTAAACACTAACTCCCAACCCTTCACCTTCGCCCCTTAGCCCCTGGCACCTGCCATTCTACTTTGCGTCTTTATGACTACTTTGGACTTCTCTAGGGACCTCATATCAGTGGAATCATACAGTACTTGTCTTTTTGTAACTGGCATATTTCACTGAGCATAGTGTCCTCAAGGTTCCTCCATGCTGAGCACTCATTTGGTTTTGTGTTCCACTTGCTATAATGATGTGGTGTGTGCGTGTTTGTGTGTGTGTGTGTGTGTGTGTGTGTGTGTTTAAAAGGGATTGCTTAGAGGATTTGGCCTTTTGGGTCAAACTGTGGGATCTGACTAAGAGGTCTCTCAATGGCTCTTATCTTTGCATCTGATGGCATTTGGGAAGGGAAGGAGGTTATAAAATGAGGAAGAACAAGGACAAGCTGGAACCAATGAGCATGAGCTGGAGCCCACAAGGCCAGACCATTGCCTATAACAGTGACAAGAGGGTCAAGTTGGGGCTGGGGCATGGGCTCATCATCTTGAACATACACACCTGGCCCTGGAATCAGACGCGCTGATGGAAGATCCAGGGGAAGGCAGAGCAGTTGCAGATTTAGGCATTCTTCTTTGCTTTATTTTGCTTGGTTTCATTAAGTCATCTCCTTCTCGCTCCTCTCATCCCATTTTTTAATTATTTGGGTATGGATGCTAATCATATTATATATATATATATGTGTGTGTGTGTATATATATATATATATGTATGTATATATATATATAGTCTTTTTTCCACCAGAAGAATACAATGATTAAAAGGCTTTAATTGTGTTCACTTTAATTGTGTTCATCGCACTACTGGCTTTCATGGTATGGTTTTCCAATACTTCAGTTCCATCTTTGTGTTGTTTTTGTTGTTGCTCTTTTACAAGTTAAATATTACTACTGGAGTTTCTCTATGCTGTAAATATTAGCTTAGATTTACCCACATTGTCAGGATTTTATTGGTTCACCATTTTCTCTTGCATGTCAGACTTTCTCCTGGGATTATTTTCCTGCTTCCTGAGCAATATCCTTTAGAAGTTTTTTTGTTGTGGTCAACACTGTTTTGTTTTGCCTATAAATGTATTTTCCCTCTCTCAAAGGATATTTTGCAGGATATAAAATTCTATGTAGCCTGGTGTGGTGGCTCACGCCTGTAATCCAAACATTTGGGAGGCTGAGGTGGGCAGATCATGGAGGTCAGGAGTTCGAGACCAGCCTGGCCAATATGGTGAAACCCTGTCTCCACTAAAAATACAAAAATAAGCCGGGCGTGGTGGCAGGCACCTGTAATCTCAGCTACTAAGCAGGCTGAGGCAGGAGAATGCCTTGAACCGAGGAGGCAGAGGCTGCAGTGAGCTGAGATCAAGCCACTGCACTTGAGCCTGGGTGACAGAGCGAGACTCTGTCTCAAACAACCAAACAAAATTCTATGTTGACAGCCACTTTTCCTGAAGACTTTAAATATTTTATTCCACTATATTCTAGCTTCAATCTGGATGTTGTCTTTTGTTTTATAATGCTTTTTATTTCTATTTATTTATTTATTTTAAGATGGAGTATCGCCGTGTTGCCCAGGATGGAGTGCAGTGGCATGATCTCAGCTCATTGTAGCCTCCGCCTCCTGGGTTCAAGTGATTCTTGTGCCTCAGCCTCCTGAGTAGCTGGGATTACAGGTGTTCACCATCACGCCAGGCCCATAATGCTTTTTAGGTCTTCTCTTCACTTCAGGGATTCTGAAATTTCACTAGGATGTGTTTCTACAGGTTCCTCTTTTTTTCTGCTTGGGATTTGTTGTGCTTCAATAATCTCAGACTTTCTGACTTTTATCAATTTTGGAAAATTCCTGACTATTTATTATTTTAAATATTGATTCTGCCCTATTATCTCAATGATCACTTTCCAAAAAACTAATCAGACACATTTTAGATTTTTTTACTCTATTTTCTATACCACTTAGTTTTTCTCATATTAAAAAAAAAAACAACTTTGTCTTCCTAGGTGAATTTTGAATAATTTCTTCTGGTCTATATTCCATGTCACTGATTCCATCTTCAGCTATCGAAAACTTTCAGCTTTTTACTTCTAGAAGTCCTCTTTAGTTTTTTTCTCTGCAATTCTGCCAGGTAATTTTAAACAATCCTGATTCCCCTGAGGACCCATCCTACCACCCTTTGCTCTAGACCTGTAACTAAACTCAAGTTATAACAGGCTCCTAAAGGTGAGGTCCAAAGTGTGACCCATAAAGAAATGTGCTGCATTCCAAAAGAACTACTTGAGTTTTCTAATTTATACAAACAGGAATCCAGGGAACATGTGTGGAAATGGATATTAAAGGTATGGATAATGGTGGAAGGAACACAACTTTGGATCAAACCAAATTCATTGAAATGGGCTTGTTAAGCAAGGACTCTGCAGTGAATGTTGCAGCTCAGGGAGTTAGAGAGGGCTCTAACAGTTTGGTCGGTTGGCTGAAACATGGATCAAAAGGTGACCCACAGCCAGCGAACTGGAAATGCTGGACTTGCCTTGGTTTAACATAGAGAAAAGGATTCAAATACTTAGGAAGATTGAAATGTGAGGGTGGATTTGTTATTTAACACCTGCTTACCCACTGTGGGAGGGGCCAGTGTATCTTACTTTTCACCAGTACTTTGATAAATAAGTTTGTAAGAGGAGCCTCAGCATCGTAAAGAGCTCTGTGATTACTCTTTGGTCTAGGCCAGACTTTACGTGAGAAATGCAATCACTAAATTGGGAAACCTCAGTGCAATAAGAGTAGATGGATCCCAAGGTAGCAGGGGCCAAGTGGAAGCACTCAACTGCCAAAGGCAAGGTGGGCATGGTTACTCTAATGGACAGTGGGTATAAAACAAAAATCAGAATAGTCCGACTCATGTGGATCTATGGCATGAACTATTCATGGTGTCTTGAGACATGAACTAGATGGGAAGCCTACTAAACCCTTACTTGATTTGTATGAGCAGACAAGTTCTAGGGCAAGTGAGCAGGCCTAACCTGAATCATCAAAACGGAGACTCATGCCCCTCAATCAATTCCCAGGCTTGAGCCAGTTTACAACCCAGAACCCTTTGAGTGAAGGGAAGACTGGGTCCCCTTGAGGAAGGATCCCAGGACACTATTGAAAATGGATCCTGTTAGCCTTTCTCCCATCCTTTCCCAAAGGAAAGGGACCTCTGGCCTTTTACCAGAGTGACTGTGCATTGTGGGAAAGGTAAGAATCAGACCTTTTGGAGATGACTGGACACTGCGTCTAAACTGGCATTGATTCCAGGAGACTAAAAATGTCTGTGTGGCCCTTCAATCAGAGTAGGGGCTTATGGAGGACAGGTGATGAAAGGAGTTTTAGCCCATGTCCAGCTTACAGTGGGTCCATTGGTTCTCAAACCCATCCTATGGTTATTTCCTTGTTCCAGATGCATAATTGGAATAGATATCCACAGCAGCTGGCAGAATCCCCATTTGGGTCCTCGACTCATGGAATGAGGGCCATCATAGCTGGAAACACCAAGTGGAAGTCACCAGAACTGCCTCTACCTAGGAAAATAGTAAATCTAAAACAATATTGCATCCCTGCAGGGATTGCAGAGATTAGTGCCACCATCAAGAACCTGAAAGACACAAGTGTGGTGATTCCCACCACATCCCCATTCAACCCTCCTGTTTGGCCTGTGCAGAAGACAGATGGATCTTGGAAAATGACAGTGGATTATTGTAGGCTTAACCAGCTGGTGACTCCAATGGCAGCTGCTGTATCAGTTTGAGCCAATGAACACATCTACTGGTACCTGGCATGCAGCTGTTCACCTGGCAAACACCATTTTCCTGTCCATGAGACCCACCAGAAGCAGTTGGCTTTCAGCTGGCAAGGCTGGCAATACGCCTTCGCTGTCCTACCTCAAGGGTCTATCATCTCTCCAGTCCTATGCCATGATTTTGTTTGCAGGGAACTTCATTGCATTTCTTTTCCACAAGGTATTGAATGGTGTATTACCCTGATGACATTATGGTGATTGGCCCTAGTGAGTGAGAAGTAGCAACTACTCTAGATTTATTGGTAAGATGTTTGCATGTCAGAGGGTGGGAAATAAATCTGAAAAATTTCAGGGGCCTTCTACCTTAGTGAAATTTCTAGGGGTCCAGTGGTGTGGGGCCTATTGAGTTGCCTTTTCTAAGGTGAAGGATAAGTTGCTGCATCCGGCCCCTCCTACAACCAAAACAGAGGCACAATGCTTAGAGGGCGTCTTTGGATTTTGGAGGCAACACAGTTGGATGTGTTACTCTGGGCCACTTACTGAGTGACCTGAAAAGATGCTAGTTTTGAGTGGGCCCCAGAACAGGAAAAGGCTTTACAACACGCCAGGCTGCTGTGCAAGCTGCTCTGACACCTGGGCCATAGGACCCAGCAGATCCAATGGTGCCTGAAGTTTCAGTGACAGAGAGAGATGTGATATGGAGCTGTTTGCAGGCCCTGGAGGTGAATTGTAGCACAGGCCCTGAGGATTTGAAGCAAAGCCTTGCCATCCTCCACAGATAAATACTTTCCTTTTGAGAAATAGCTCTTAGCCAGCTACCAGGCCTTAGTAGAGATGGAAGACTTGACCATGGGCCAACAAGTTACCATGTGACCTGAGCTCCCGTCGTGGACTGGATGTTACCTGCCCCACCACGTCATAAAGCTGAGGATGCACAGCAGCACTCCATCGTCAAATGGAAGTGTCTATATGTGGTCAGGCCTGATCAGGTCCTGAAAGCTTAAGTAGATTACATAAAGAAGTGACCCAATGTTCATGGTCTCCACTCCTGCTACACTGCCTTCTCTGCCCCCCTGCCTGCACCCATGGCCACATGGGAAGTTCCCTATGATCAGGTGACAGAGAAAGAGAAGACCCAGGCCTGGTTTACAGACGGTTCAGCACCATGTGCTGGCACCACCCAGAAGTACCCAGCTGCAGCACCACAGCCCTTTTCTGGGACACCCCAGTAGGATTGTGGTGAAGGGAAATCTTCCCAGTGGGAAGAACGTAGGGCAGTGCACCTGCTTGTGCACTTTGCTTCGAAGGAGAAATGGCCAGACATGCAATTATATATGGATTCATGGGCTGTAATCAATGTTGTGGCTGGATAGTCAGGGACTTGGAAGAAACATGATAGGAAAATTGGTGGTAAATTTGGGACAGAGGTATGTAGACAGACTTCTCTGAGTGGGCAAAGGATGTGAGGATATTTCTGTCCCATGTGAATGGCCACCAAAGGATGACCTCAGCAGGAGAGGACTTTTTTTTTTTTTTTGAGATGGAGTCTTGCTCTATCGCCCAGGCTGGAGTGCAATGGCATGATCTCAGCTCACTGCAACCTCCACCTCGCAGGTTCAAGTGATTCTTCCGGCTCAGCCTCCCGAGTAACTGGGATTATAGGCACGTGCCACCATGCCTGGCTAATTTTTGTATTTTTAGTAGAGACGGGGTTTCACCATGTCAGTCAGGCTGGTCTTGAACTCCTGACCTTGTGATCCACCGACCTTGGACTCCCAAAGTGCTGGGATTACAGGTGTGAGCCACTGCACCCGGCCAGGAGAAGACTTTAGTCATAAAGTGGGGCCGGGGTGGATTGCCTGAGCTCAGAAGTTCGAGACCAGCCTTGGCAACACAGTGAAACCCCGTCTCTACTATAATACAAAAAATTAGCTGAGCATGGCAGCAGGTGCCCGTAATCCCAGCTACTCAGGAGGCTGAGACAGGAGAATCACTTGAACCTGGGAGGCGGAGGTTGCAGTGAGCCGAGATTGTGCCACTGCACTCCAGCCTGGGTGACAGAGTGAGACTCCGTCTCCAAAAACAAACAAAAAAATCAAGTGGATGAGATGACCCATTCTGTAGATACCAGTCAGCCTTTCCCCAGCCACTCCTGTCATCACCCAATGGGCTCATGGACAAAGTGGCCTCGGTGGCAGGGATGGAGATTATGCATGGGCTCAGCAACATGGACTCCTACTGAACAAGGCCAAACTGGCTACAGCCACAACTGAGTGCCCATCTGCCAGCAGCAGAGACCAGCACCAAGGCTCTGATATGGCACGGTTCCCCAGATGATCAGGCAGCAACCTGGTGTCAGGTGGATTACATTGGACCACCTTCAGTATGGAAGGGGCAGCATTTTGTCCTTACTGGAATAGGCAGTCTGGATACAGATTTGTCTTCCCTGCACACAGCGCTTCTGGTGGAACTCACAGAATGCCTCATCCACCATCATGGTATTCCACATAGCATTGCTTTTGACCAAGGAACTGACTTCTCAAAGAAGCATGGCAATGGGCTTATGCTCATGGAATCGACTGATCTTCCCATATTCCCCACCCCCATGAAGCAGCTGACTTGATAGAATAGTGGAATCGCCTTTTGAAGATGCAGTTACAGTGCTGGCTAGGGGACAATGCTCTGCAGGCTGGGGCAAGGTTCTCCAGAAAGCTGTGTATGCTCCAAATCAGCATCCAATATGCGGTGCTGTTTCTCCCATAGCCAGGATTCACTGGTCCAGGAATCAAGGGGTGGAAATGGGAGTGGCACCACGCACTATTACTCCAAGTGGCCCACTAGCAAAATTTTCGCTTGCTGTTTCTGTGACTTTACGCTCTGCTGACCTAGAGGTCTTAGTTCCGGAGGGAGGAATGCTGCCACCAGGAGACACAACAATGATTCAATTAAACTAGAATTTACGACTGCCACCTGGCCACGCTGAGCTCCACATGCCTCTGAATCAAAAGGCAAAGAGAGAGTTATGCATTGGCTGGGGAGACCCATCTGGACTACCAAGGAGAAGCTATAGACTACTTCTACTCCACCAGGAAGGTAAGGAAGAGTGTGTCTGGAATACAACGATTCCTTAGGGCATCTTTTAGTTTTACCATGCTTGTGATTAAGGTCAATGGAAAACTACAACACAATCCAGGCAGGGCTATTAATGGCCCAGACCCTTGAGGAATGAAGGTTTGTATCACTCCATCAGGTTAAGAACCATGACCAGCTGTCATGCTTCCCGAAGGCAGAGGGAACGCAGAGTGGGTAGTGGAAGAAGACAGTTACAAACACCAGCTATTGCCCATGCAACCTGTTATAAAGCATTAGATTGTCACGAGTATTTTCTCATTATTTTTTTCTAAATACATTTGTGCACATATTTGTATATACAGTATATATCTCTGTTGTCTTTTCTCTCATATTCCTTTATTACATAACTTAAGGCATATTGACTTTATATCATTGTATTAAGTATTGTTAATTTTACATTATGGTATTTAAGTTATGGAATACCAAGGAGAAGTGTAAACACTGGAGAATTTTACATCCACTTCTGGGGAAGGGCTTAGTGCATTTTTTGGTTGTATGCAGAAGAGTTTTATCACATTAGGCAAAATTATTACTTTGCTATTGTCTTTAGAGATAAAGTATGGTGTAAGGAGATGTGTAGGTGTGAAGTCGACAAGGGGTCAACTTATGGTGGCATATATATTCATGCTTAGATAAAACTAAGGTCACATTCTGTCATACAAGCTGGAGTACAGTGGCACAATCAAAGCTCACTGCAGCCTCAAACTCCTGGGCTCAACTGATCCTCTCACTTTAGCCTCCCAAGTACCTTGGGCTACGGGTGCGCACCACCACACTTGGCTAATTTTTAATAAACTTTTTGTAGAGGCAGGATCTTGCTATGGTGTCCAGGCTAGTCTCAAACTCCTGGGCTCAAGAGATCCTCCCACTTCAGCCTTCTAAATGGTGGGATTACAGGTGGGAGCCACTGCATCCAGCCATGGTTAATTTTATGTGTCAAGCTGACTTGGTCATGGGATGCCCAGGTAACTGGTTAAACATTATTTCTGGGTGTCTGCGTGTGAGGGTGTTTTTGGAAGAGATTAATGTTTGAAAAGACTGTGTAATGCTGATTGCCTTCAATTTGGGCAATCGGTTGAGAGCCTGAATAGAACAGAAAAGGGGAGGAAGGTTGAATTTGCTCTCTGCCTGACTGTGTGAGCTGGACTTTGATCCTCTCCTGCCCTCAGCACTCCTGGTTCTCAGGCCTTCAGACCTGGACTGGAATCTGTTCCATCTGCTCTCTAGTTCTCTGGCTCTCAGGACTTTGAAAGCTACAACACCAGCTTTCCTGGGTCTCCAGTCTGTAGATGGCAGATTGTAGAGCTTCTCACCCTCCATAATTGTATGAGTCAATTTCTTATAGTAAATCTTTATATATATTATAAATAATATTTATTACATATAAGCTGTGTATAATATATATCATATCTGTATTATATTATGCATATAAAATACATGTTTATGTATATATTTATATGTATTTATAATATATAAGATATTTATAATATTTATAAATAATATATAGAAATATAGATGTGTGTATATACATGTGTGTGCATATGTATATGTGTGTATATATTTGTATTTCTCCTATTGTTTCTGTTTCTCTGGAGAACCCTGATTATTAATATAAAAGGAAAAATAAATGGTGAATGAACAACCACTCCAAGAGGCCTGAGTCTGCGGCAGCACTTACTCCCTGGTTTCTGGGTGGAATTAGTAGGCACCAAACACACTGTCAAGACAGAAATAAGTGAGTTGCCGCTGAAAGACAACTGCACCTGCCCTATGTGCTGGAGAGGGTCTTTGAGGGTTTCCCACTGGGGCAGAGCGCAGGGCAGTGTGGGGGATGGGGAGGGCTGGGGCATATTGGGGACAATCCCTGTTGTGGGTGCCACCAGCAGACCACAAAAGGTGCCAAAGGAGGGAGTGAGAGGGAAGGGTTTACTAGGAAAGTCCTGCCCCACAGGAGGCTTCCGGGAGAGCTTCCCAGGAAGGGAGCAGTGAGCCAAGGCAGCCTGGGATGGGACTGAATGGGGCTTTTTTCTGCTTCCACCTCATTTTAAAGCAAATCATGTTGATTTGTATATTATGCAGGGGAGGAGAAAACATGCTTCCCCTCTACCCTTCTAGTTCGTTCAGCTAGTCTACAAATTAAATTGGCATCAAATAGATGAACAGGAGAAAAGCTGTTTTAATGTATGTACTCACAGATGGGAATCCCACAAGAATATGAGACTTAAAGAACAGGCCAGGTGAGTGAGGGGTCCAGTGCGAGGGCTCACACCTGTAATCCCAGCACTTTGGGAGGCCAAGGCAGGTGGATCGCTTGAGCCCAGATTGGAGACCAGTCTGGGCAACATAGGGAGACCCCCATCTCTACAAAAAATTAAATTAGCTGGGCGTGGTGGCACACGCCTCTAGTCCCAGCTACTCGGGAGGCTGAGGTGGGAGGATTACTTGTGCCCTGGGAGGTTGAAGCTGCCATGAGCCATGATTGAGCCACTGCACTCCAACCTGGGCAACAGAGTGAGACCCCTTCTGGGGGAAAAAAAAACACACGAAAAAAAAAAGGTGCAGCAGCCCGATGATTGAGGCTTATCTGTCACTCTGAGTGACAGAAAGAAATGGGGGTTTGAGGCTTCTGGGGAGCGGTGGAGGAGTGAGGGGAGCGTGAGGAGAGGAGGTGTCTGGTGAACGCAGGTTGCCGTGTGAGGCAGATAAAAGTTTCCCAGGTGATAAAAGTTGTCCGGGAACAGCTCTCTTCCTGGTACAGATCTGCTGACTAACAAACATTTCCTTTATAGGTGCAAATTTCCTTTACAAAAGGGCATTTTCTCAGAGGTACTCTGGTGTCTGCAGTTCCTCAACATAACCAGTTCCAAATCATCAATGTGCCAAAGAGGACTATGTTGGGGTAGCAGATTCTGGTCTCCTCCAGTCCTACTTGGGGTGATGAATTCTGGTCTACGGTCCTATTAAATTCTGGTGAATTCTGAGCCCCCACAATTGCAAACATTAGAAAGAACCTCTCAAGTGCCCGGGAACAGCCACGTCTTCCTGGCTGAGGTGTGTCCCACCACTTCCTCACTCCCGCCCTGGCCGGTGGTGCCGAGAGACCTGGGACCATCCGGGGGAGCACTTTCCACCGGACGCTGGTGGGGGCCAAGAAATGCCAGCCTAGGCGGACTGGGGAGGGTCTTGGGCGTCCGGCGCTGTGTCCCCGCCACTCGTGCTTGGGCCAGCAGTCCCCAAGGCCTACCCTGGGTCCTTGCCCAGAGGCTACAGTGGGTTCCCCGGAGGCCAAGACGGGGCCGGCCGCCTACAGGAGCTCGTGAGGTAGCAGCTCCGGGGGCTCACCCAGGACTCCAGGAGCGCTCCCCAGAATCCCCTTCCTTAACCCAAACTCGAGCCCTCGGGCAGCGCTGCGCCGCGGACCGGAGAGGGGCAGGTTGGCCGCTGTGGCCGGGCCCGGGAAGCGCCCCAGAGTCCCTTATGGGTCCCTCCGCAGCCGGGGTTGAGCCAGGCAGGGAACCCGTCCCGGACTTCCCTTGGGAAACGCCTCCTCCCGCCGCCCCCGCCCCCGCCCGCCCAGGGTGACCCGCGACCCGCTTGGGGGTGTCGCCCTGGACCCTGGGACACCGCCTCCTGAGATTAAAGCGAGAGCCAGGGCGGGCCGGGCCGAGTAGGCGCGAGCTAAGCAGGAGGCGGAGGCGGAGGCGGAGGGCGAGGGGCGGGGAGCGCCGCCTGGAGCGCGGCAGGTGAGCGGCGCCGGTACCAGGGTCCCGGCTCGGGGTCCGGGCTGGGGAGGGGAACCTGGGCGCCTGGGACCCGCCGATGCCCCCTGCCCCGCCCGGAGGTGAAAGCGGGTGTGAGGAGCGCGGCGCGGCAGGTGAGTGCGCCCGAGGGTCGAGCGCTGGGGCCAGCCGGGCAGGGCGCCTCCCGGGGTGCTGGGAGAGTGCTGGGCGCCTGGGACCCCTTGCGCACGGCCGAGAGCCCTCGCCGCCCCTGTTGGCTTGGCATCGCGAGGTTGGGGCAGGTGGTCCTGCGAGTCCCTAGCCAGTTGGTGGAAGAGAGTCCCCCGGGGTCCCCAAAGCTGGCTCCTAGTCCGCCTGCCCTCCACGGCCCCCGCCTGGGAGCACCGGTGCGCCTTTTCTCTTTGGGGAGGAGGACTGGGAGTGCTGTCGGTTGGCTTCTTTGTTTGGGGGAAATCTCTGCAGTCCCGCAGTGTTACCTGAACTCCTTCTGCTTCTTGGTTCCCTACTGAGGTAGGGAGAAACTGGAAACTCGCTGAGATGCCGGGAACGATACGGCCGGCGCGGCGGGGACCGCTGGGCCAGGCTGCTGGAGGGCCCCCGGGCGAGGTGCGAACGGCCAGTCAGTCTCGGGGAGGGACTGCTCGCGACTCAGGCCCCGTTGCGGCGACCCGCTGGCGGCGATCAGGGCCGGGGCCTCCTGGACACCCGGCACCGGCAGGAACCCGCCCGGGAGGAGCCGGTCTGGCTCCTCCGCTTGCGCTCCGTGCCGGGTTGGGGGGAAGGCGGGGCACCTGGGCGCTTCGGTCCACCTCATCCTGTCCTGCCCGGCTCGGCACAGTGGCACCCTGAGTGGTCAAGTGCTCCAGTCTGGCAGTGGGCGCTCTGCTCGAGCACGGGTCCAGCTGAAAAACTGCCCCATGTCCAGAAAGTTTGTGCGCCGAGAGCCCTGAGCGCTTGTGGCAGAGGAGGGCCTTCGCCCGCTCCGCCGTAGAGCACAGCGCGGTGGCCCTGAATCCTGTTCAGAACGCCCTGGTGGCAGCCCTAATCACGAGGAATCCTGGTGGCTTGTTTGGGAAGGAAAGGATAGCACGGCGGCCCGAGGTGAGCCCTGTGGGCAGGGAGCACCCAGGGCTCGCCTTCGAGGCTGCGCAGCCCTTCCCTCCGTGCGAACCTGTGCAGTGGTCCCGCGGGAAAGATGAGCGCATCGCGCCCAAGGCAATGCCTGACCTCACGGAGCTCCCAGCCGCGAGAACCTCCCGAATCATGGAAAATTACAAAGGCTACGCAGCCCAGTTACAAGGCATTTGGAAAACCTAAAGTGAGACTAAGTTTGTTGACCTGTCCCAGGAGATCTGGGAAGGTACTCCAGGAAGTGGGGATGCAGCCAGCCTCCCCTGAAGGAAGGATGGGGGTTGGGAGTGTGGCAGGGAGAGTTTACCAGCGCAAAGGGCCTTGGGGACGCAAGTAGCTAAGTCAGTCCTGGCTCCTGAGCTGCTGCTGTGAAGGGAGGACCTGGTGGGCTAGGTAACCGGGAGCTCCCCCAGAAAGTCACTGGAGGTTGCTCAGGACTTCCCCACCTTTACTGAGTGCTTTTGAAGAAGTAGGACCTGCCCTGCTCCGCTACAGAACTACTGGACAGGTGAGGTTAGAATGAAACCTAGCAACACCCTCGGGTAAGGACACACTAGGCTGGAGAGTTCGGGGTGCAACCTACGGGCTGAGACCTCTGCCTGGAGATGGCCATCTACACCTCGGCCTCTGGTTATTTTTAATTATCAGCTGGTGAGCTGGCTGGGCTTTTGTTCTCTGCTTGGACATTTGTTTGGTCCCCAGCAGCTTCCCTTATTCCCACCAGCCAAGGACAACCTTCTAACAACAAGCTTGTGCTGTTGCTGGAGCCTCAGGCAGGGCCTCCCAGGTTGCTAGGTGCTGGCCTGCCTGGCACCGTTGGCCACTCTATCTTGAACTCAAGTCACCTTAATTGTAGGAGTATATTTGGCTGCACTGGCATTATAATAATAACCACAGACATTGATGTGGCACTTTTTTCAGCCAGGCATCATTGCAAACCCTTTATAATGTACTTAACTCAATTGTAAGGAAACTGGGGAAGAGAGGTTGGGAAGCTTGTCCAAGATCTTGTAACCTGTAAGGGGCAGAACTGGGGATAAACATGGCCTGTCTGGCTCCATAGGTCAGTGCTTCCAGTGTCGGGCTCTGAGTTGGAGACACAGGATGCTTAGAAGGGGCTTTAGTGACAATCGGCACAGTACGGATTCCTTTTGATCCTTCCCTGGGTTCTCCCTCCAGGATGTTGGAATGTTACCAGCAAGTGGAGGAAAGGAGGGAAGGAAGCTGGAAACAAGGCGCCCGGAATCCTGATTGAAAAGGGCTTGTTCCTGGGCCAGGCTCTGGTTCTCCCCGACCTGAAAGAGCCCAGCCCCTGCCCACAGCCCTACCTGGGCTCCGTGCTGCTCCCTCTAGCAGTATGACATGGCCAGAGTGCCTGGAACTCTGAAAGGGGGCCTGCGGAGGGCTGACCTCCTAGGCCATGGGGGCATTGAGTGACAAGACGCTGGTGCAAATGTCCTGTAGGTGAAAAGGTAGATGCGTGCAGTACCTTATGCCAGTAACCACCACCACCACGATCATCATCATCCGAGTGTGTTGTCCCCCTACCAGGAAATGTAAACCAAAAGTCTGGCTGATAACTCTTACCCTTTTCCACCTGAATCTGCGGCAAGATTCCCTAGGGGATCTTCGTAATAATATGGGATCATTGCCTTGGTCCCAATTATTACATCAGACTCTGAGAATGGGGCCCAGGCATCTTATTTATTTATTTATTTTTCTAAGCCCTCTTGAAAATTCTGGGTTTGGGGAGCACTGATCAGATCTAAGCCTTGGACATTGAGGTAGAAAGGAAAGGTGAATGGTCAATGGAGTGCTTGTTCAGTTTTGGTTGCTGAAGACTTGGAAAGTGGCCTTGCTAGTGGGGAGAGTGAGGGCAGGGAGAGCTCCCTGTGGGGAACCAGAGAGCCCAGGAGCATTGAAGGCCCAGGTGCATTTCTGCTCTCTGGTCCCTCCTGCTCTGCACTCCCTGAGTGTCCCTCATCCCACAGTCACCAGGCCTTTGCTACTCTTCCCCGCCCCTCCTTACTTTCCAGGACACCTGCCAGGGGATCCTCCAATATGGGATGCACTGCGTGGCCTCAGGATTGGGGTGCAGGAGCATTATGTACCTGAGAGCTGAGGCCTGTATGGAGTCAGCCTTTGTGGGGCCCCTCCTGGCCCTAAGGGTGATTTGGGAAGCCCTGACTTGCAAGCACCAGGGGTATGGGCCTGGGTGTGAAGAAGGGGGCTTATGATGTCCCCATGGCCATTGACCACCTTGGCCCCACCGAGCCTGTGGACACCCAAGGAGGAGCAAAAGGGGGATCTGTGACAGGGTAGCAGCTTGGTTGAGCACACAGGCAGCTCTTCAGCATGACCTAGAACAGAGGCTGGGCTCCAGGAGGAGGCAGAGCCTGATCTGGGACTTGGTTATTCCTGGTTGCTGAGCAATGGTCAGGAGAGAGGAACTGAATGAGTGGAAATGCGCTGGTTGGGAGTCGAGGCTGGTTTTCTGGCAGGGGTGTGGGTGGTTACTTTTGTTGTAAACAGAGTGAAGTTTGAGAGGGCAGGAAACTCGAAGACAGGCTTTTCATCCTCCTGGAGGTGAGTCTGGGAGAGGGAGGTGAGGGCTCTGACATCTATGTGTGGATGGCGCTGAGCCATTGGGCATCCATGGCAGGAGGGCAGGAGGAGTTTAGGGCACAGAGTTGTGGTAAGAAAGCAGGAAGTGTTTGAAGGGCACCTTGGCTTGTGGTTGTGGCAGCAGAAGTCTGGAAGTTCACTCAAGGGCAGACTAGGTGGAAAAATCGGGGCTGTCAAGTGGGACTCAGAATGAGAGGTTGTGACAATTGGATTTGTTAGAAAAATATTTTCAAGCGAGGTCTGACTTGGCAGATGGAACTAAGCTGAGGCTTTTTATTATTGCTTGTTTGTACGAGGTGCACAATGCAGTGTCAAATTCCCTTTAAGGCCATTGCTTTCCAAGGGGCTGTCCTGGCGGGGCACTCAGCCTGACCCCACTGCAGTATAGCCCAGGGGTCATGGGAGACCATGCTTTCTAGGGACGATGGGCTTGGAGTTCTTTGTGCAAGATACTGATAACAGAGAATTTGCTGACATTTTCAAGTTCACTGGTGATGATGCATTTATAAGGAGTTGGGAGTAATATGAAAGATCACTATGTCTGGTCTTGATGCTCAAGCCTAATTCTGTTCTGGAATATGTTGGAGAAATGATCCTCCAGTCTTGAAACATACATTTTTAGGTTTGAGGAATTCGGTACATTCTAAGGTAGCTCCAGGCCATATGTGAACTTTCTAATTGTTGGAACCTTGATTTCCCCAGATAGAATCCAAGCCTGCTCTTCTGGAAATTCTGATCATGATTCTGGTATTGTCCTTTGGATGTATGCAGAATAAACTGAATTCCTTTTCCACATAGCCGGCTCTTACGTGTTGGAAGATAAACCTTATCTGCCATCATTATGTTATTATTGAGTGCTCACCATGGGTTGGGCACTGAGCTACGGCCTTGCTTTCTCACTTAATCCCTGCAACAACCCTATTTCTGTATCATCCCCATTTTACAGATTGACTTGGACAAGTTCTTTAAGCCTCAGCCAGTGGCTTGTGTGTGGTGTTGAAGTCTCCGCCTGGAGTGACCTGAGGGCCTCTGCCGCCTGCCTGCCTGTCATGCCAGGTTGCACTCAGCTTGAGGCACCTGGACTCCTGGGAGGTCACCCACTGTCCTGACTTGGGCTGCTGGTGTTGTCTGGGTGTGGGCATCTTATCGCCCTCTGCTAAATTTCATCTTACTCATTTGGCCTTTGGAACTCAAAAAATATATATTTTTTCCTGCAAATTGCATTGTATTTCAAATTTACATTTCCGATCGTCTGTTGTTGGTATATAAAAACACATAGATTTTTATATTGATCTTGTATCCCTCAACTTTGCCAAACATGCTTATTAATTTTTCCCCAATAGTTTTTGGGGTACAGGTGGTAAGAACTCCATAAAAACATTTAAATACTGTCTTTGTAAGCTACAAAGTGAGATTTAAAAAACAAACAGAAAGAGAGAGAACCAGACCTGATATCTGCCCTAAAAAGTTTGTAATCTCTTTGGGACAATGAGTCATTCACAGGAAAAGAAACTTGGATGATGCAGGCAATACCTCTCCTAAGGTGATCTTTCTGTTTCTCGCTCAACCTTTCTCTCTCAGTAGAACTCTTGTGCCAATCATTGTGTATGCAATTTACCTGATTATACATAAACAAGTTTCTGCTGAACAGCCACTGAAATCCACTGTTGGCTAACTCATTTAGTCATGCATTCTATCCTTAGGAGGATAGAACATCTCGTTGTATAATGTGATATTAGTGCGGTTATTTTGGCATAAAGGGCTCTTTTTGATGATTTGGTCATTGGCTGGGATGTGTCCGTGGATGGTGGTGGTGGTGCTGTCTGGATTTTGAAGAAGGGGCACTGAGTCTGAGGCTGTCTGTTCCCTCTCACACCTCCAGCAACTCGAACCGTACCAGTCACAGGTGGGGGCTTCGAGAAGGAGAAGGTGTGTGCACAATGGTGCACGGTGAGGTCAGTGGAGACTTCATTGCAGAGAATACCCCTGGATCTTGGGTGGGAGTCAGTGTCTACAAGCCTAACTTCATTCGCGTTGGCTTGGTTGTTTGGAAAGTAAGTCTCCAGTAAACGTGTCCTGAGATCTCCAGAGGAGAGAAACTAGGAGAAAAGATTCTTGTTTTGGCAGTAACTTCATCATGTCATGGGATGCGGATACGATGCCACAGCATCGTCCTGCTGCATGGTGGCCAGGCAGGTGACTCATGGGCTGACTCAGCTCTCAGTCCAGGATGGACCAAAACAGTGCGAGGACAGCTGTGTGCCATTGTGAGATTCAAGTGGGTGACACTGTCTGTATTGAAGGAAGAGCTCCCTGCCAGCCAGGAATGGAGCCTGAGTGCCACCCACTGTTGCTCTTTCACACTTAAAGGAAAATTTCCCCAAGTGCTCATGGTGGCTGGCTTTCCAGAATTGAGAGCCATCATCCCGGTCCTTTAAATGACAGGAGCAAGCATTCGCTAAACAGCATTGTCTCTCGCCATCTACTTTACGTCTTGCTCCTTTCAGAAATGAGTTAATGCGATGTACAAGCTTGTGTGAATGAGGAAATGCCTGTTTTGAAGATGAACAGGACTGAATGTGATTTCCTGGTCTTTTCGGGACAGCAGTGCTTCCCCTTGCAGATCTAATGTCAGAGCGGGACATTCCCCCCCTTGTTTTATTTTCAATTGGAGAATGTTGTTGTTGTTTCTTTTTTTTTTTTTTTTTTTTTTTTTTTTGAGACAGAGTCTCTCTCTGTCACCCAGGCTGGAGTGCAGTGGCCTAATCTTGGCTGACTGCAACCTCTGCCTCCCAGGTTCAAGTGATTCTCCTGCCTCAGCCTCCCAAGTAGCTGGGATTACAGGCACCCACCATCATACCCAGCTAATTTTTGTATTTTTAGTAGAGATGGGGTTTCACTATGTTGGCCAGGCTGGTCTTGAACTCCTGACCTCAGGTGATCTGCCCGCCTTGGCCTCCCAAAGTGCTGGAATTATAGGCAGGAGCCGCCGTGCCCGGCCCAGCTGGAGAATGTTACTGGCAGCATCACTCTGGTCTTCCATTCCAAAGTCCATGGTAACTGACTTGGGCACACGGAATATTTTTGTTTATCATGTTCTGATTGCTGGAAGAGATAGGATTATCCTGTGACTGCCTCTGGGTCCCATGGCTTTTATTTGACAATTAATGGTGGTGGCTCCCGGTGTTCCTTCCTTCCCTGGCTTCCTTGTTAGGGATCGTGAATGAATAGCAAGTGTGGGTTTTGAGTATTGATTCTTCACTCCTTTCAGAGGGCTTCTGAGCTGGGAGAGCTGCCAATGGGATCGAATTTTCACTTCCTGAAACTTCAACCAAACCTGTAACTGGGGAGATAGGACAGCCGAGAAACCAGAGGCATGAGGATGTGTTTGGTTAGGCAGGACTCTTTGAAAGCAATCTTAGGATGGTACTGAGTTCTGTCCTGCTTATGAGACAAGAATGCGGGATTTATTGTGTTGTCAAGCCTGAGGATCCTCTCTCTTCACAAAGCAGACATAGGCAAGGTCTGTTAAGATGTGGCTAAAAGGCTTAAACGTTTTTGATACATTTTAAATGGTGATCCTTCCCACCTGTACATTAGTCACTTTCCTTTCCTTATACCCAGGAAGGTGTGAACTTTAGTTTTAATCCTAGAAAAAGTCCCAAAGCTACAACATGACCTGGTTCTTGTATTTTTATCTGTAATTGAAGAGTAAATAAATGATTGGTGCATGTTTGTTGTAACCTGTTGGGTGAGGTTTCTCGAGACTAAAAAGCCATATACTCATTTTCATTCATGGCAGGCTGTTGGGGTTTTATAGTTTAATGATTCAGCAACCAGTTCTGCTTAGGACACAGGAAAGCGATGGTGTACTGAAGCCGGCCCCACTCTACTTGGCTCCGTGGTGGGCTTCATGTTGGTAGCCTGGGAATACTTACCGAAGGCAAACCTGCGAATCAAGACAGCCCTCTTTTCCTTCAGCAGGTTGTTAAATGTTTATCAGCTTTATAATTCCTCTTATTTAATGGAAAGTTATATAGCACTCATTTTATGCTAAGCATGAAGCACTTCATTAGTATTAACTCATGGAATGCCCTGGAGGTAGGTGTTACTATTATCTGCATTTGCAGATGGGGAAACTGAGGCACAGAACCTTCAATAGCTTCCTCCAGGTCATGGAGAGTGAGTGGCTGAGCCTGAGTTTGGATCTAGAGTCTAGTCTCAGAGGTCAGGGGCTGAACCGCTGCCCAGTGCTGCCTGCTGCTGTTTGAGCACCTGCTTTGTGCCAGCAACTGGGAAATATTCTTCTGTGGCCATGTCACAGACAGTGGACACTGGTCTGGCCAGGTCCGAAGCCCAGAGCCTCCTCCAGGTTCTTGTTCCCTCATTGGGAACATGGTCTTGTGGACGGATAATCTTGAACCCCGTTTCTTAAAATATTCTTTGGTCATTTAAAGCCAAGCGGGAAGGGGTGGAAAAAAGCCCTTTATTTGCTCAGGAAGGTGCATGTTAAAGAAAAAAAAATCGTCCAATGAGACTTGTTAAAATGGTGAAGCGAACTTTATTCAGGACCACGGAGGCAGGTACAGGGACCACAGCCAGCAGATTTTGCAGTGGGAAGAAGAGACTGGGATCCGCTTGAGTACAGTATGGGCAAGTGGGAGTTAATTTATAACCAAGGATCAGGGTGGGGTTGGTGGGTGGAAAAATCACAAAGAGAAAACATCAAGGGTAAGGGGGATTCTGGCTAAACCAACCAAACAGGATTCTTGCTGAAGACAGGCTGGGTGATCAGACATCACCTGTGGCACGGTGGAGGCTGAGGAACCCGATCAGATATCCAGAGTGATCAGATACCGAGGGTGGGAGGTTCTGGCTAAACTGACTGAGCAAGGTTTTTTGCTAAAACTGGATTTTACAAGGAAATGCACAGATGGCCTAGAAGGTTCAGGAGCTTGATATAAGTTTGATCAAGCGAAGAATCTTTGTCCATGGAGAGTGATGTCAGAATGCGGCTTTACTATACAGCATTTCGTGTTGACGGCATCTCTAGCTATTATTGTTAACTGTTCACAAAGGACAACAAGCAAAATGGCCCACAGCTTTCTTTTCATTACTGCTAATCTTAGCAGTGGTCAAAATGGTTGGCTCTGAATTTCTTTCTTTTTTGGGTTTGGGGTAGTAAATGGAGTGACTGTGGACATGTTTTATGGATTATTTTAAGCGTATGTATCTATTAAAAATTGAGAGGGCCCACATGGCCTGCTTTAAAAAGTCAACTGTGAGCTGTATTTGGTGCTGAGCCCTGAACCACCCGCTGGGCAGTGGGTGGCTACTGGCAGTGCCTGTGGACGTTCTCGGGGAAAGACGGTCTGATTGCACCTGCTCTTCCTCAGTTCCTAGTACTGTGAGGCACTCTTTCCCCACTCTCCCACAACCCTCAGCTTAACACAACTGTGGTGATTGCTTTGTCCGTTTTCCCATGAGGACCCTGAGATTTCAACAAGGTTCAGTAACTCACACATCGACACTTCCAGGGAGCTGTGTTGCCAGGAACTGGCCCAGGTCTTTCCCTCCTGGGCCCATCTTGTCCTTAATCTCTGCTGACATTGATGGGTTTAGTTACCTTGTCGTGTTTCTTCAGTGTTTTATGCCATACAGTCTCCCTTGAGTAGATGTTCTGTATAGGGGATATCACAGCTTCCTGGTGAGAACTGGGTTAAGTCCAGCAGGATGCCTGGGCTTAGTGGCACTGGAGTTGTGGGTGGCCTTGAGCCCCAGGCAGTCCCCTGAGAGCCCTTCCCGATGGATGTTTGAGTCACTGAGTGTGTTCCTTCTTCTTTCTGGTCAGGCTGTCCTGGCCGCTGCACTTACAATTGCACCCCATCCTCCTACCCACTCTGATCCCAGAGGAGAGTGCTTCTGCTGTAACCTCTAAGGCACAAGTGGGTCCCAAAGTCCTTAAATATGGAGGGATGTGGGGAAGCAGTGGTGAAGATGCAGGCCAAAGGTCAGCAGGCAACACTGGTCTTTGTTGTAGGTAACCTTCATCTAGAGATTCTTCTAGTTCTTTCCAGATTTATCTTCTAAAAACTAACTGGTATGGAAATATTACAGTCCTGTAATTCTTTCTTCTAGGTCATATTGAACATTCCAGATACCTATCATTACTCGATGCTGTTGATAACAGCAAGATGGCTTTGAACTCAGTAAGTGGTTAATTATTACCTTCCTGGCCTTTTCTTTGTTCCCTTGTCCCTTCTGTTATTCCCAACATTGTTTGGGGTCAGCAATTGCAAGGGCTATTTGTAGGGAACGCCGGGCCACGCTGATGCTGTTCAAGGCACCCTCTAGAAAGAGTGAGTCAGGTGCGCAGCCACACAGCTGCCCAGGTGAGTCGCAAGAGCCATGGCTGTTGGGTACACGTGGGTGATATGCATTCTCACCTTGACCTCATCCCTTCCTGCTTTGCAGGGCAGGGGGCAGGGACAAGGAGTGGGGACAGATGAGGCAGGATGGCGATAACAGGGGTATGTTCCAGGGAAGAGACCCACGTGGGATCCCATCGATGCCCAACTGAAGGACTAGGAAAAGTCATAACTGCATGAGGCATGGGCGGGCCTTCCCTCTCCCTGGAGCCCACTCCCTTTGGAGACAAATGTGGCTAATCTCTGCTCCCCATTGTAACTGGCCCGTTTGCCTTATACCTAAAATAAGTGCATTTAGTAAAGAGTTTTAAACACTTCCTAGATTCTATATCTGGAAAATAGACCTTGTTTTCCCCTTTATTTGTTACTGATATTCATTTTTTACTGGGTCTGTGTTTAATTTCAAGTCCACTGCTCAGGAATTTTCAGGGACAAACCTGCTTGCTAGTGGATGGCAAGTTCTTAGATGGCTGAGATTGCAGCCTCTGACTCCCTCATTTAGATGAGAGATTACCTTGTGTTTTCCCTCTGTGTGCTGCTCTGGTTCAGAGCTGTAATCTTCGGACTTTTGAAGGACAGCATTAGTGAGTTATTAAGTGGAGGTGAACTCTGCGGGCCTTGTTTGGCTCATTCCATTGTAATCAACTTCCCTGGAGGCCTCATTTAAAGTTCTAAGAGCTATGCTGCCTCTGCTCAGAACACCTGTCCATTGAGTACAAACTTGCTGTCATTCTCTGAGGTCAATAAGAGACAAGGGGCAGGCTGGGCGTGGTGGCTCATGCCTGTCATCCAGCCCTTTGGGAGGCCGAGGCAGGCAGATCACCTGAGGTTGGGAGTTCGAGACCAGCCTGACAAATATGGAGAAACCCCGTCTCTACTAAAAATACAAAAATTAGCCGGGTGTGGTGGTGCATGCCTGTAATCCCAGCTACTCGGGCGGCTGAGGCAGACGAATCACTTGAACCTGGGAGGCAGAGGTTGCGGTGAGCCAAGATCGCACCACTGCACTCCAGCCTGGGCAACGAGAGGGAAACACTGTCTCAAAAAAAAAAAAAAAAAAAAAAAAAAAAGGAGAGAGAGACAAGAGGCAGAAATTAATGAATAGGAAAAAGTTTTGCATGGGGGCCCTTAGATACAGATAAGAGGAAAACGTGGCCTCCCAGAGTGGCCCAGCCAACAGGTAACCGGGGAGAGCTGAAAGAAGGGGAAGATGTGGGCTGGTGGGGCCCAGAGTGGCCTGTTTGGGGCGAGTCTTGACAGGGTAGGTCTCGGGAAGGCAATTTTTAAGTAGGCTGAGGAAGGGGAGGTGGGCATTCTAAGAAGATAGGCACCAGCTGAAGGATGGAGCTGAGAATAAAATGCTACTTCTAGGCAGTTCCTTTCACATTTATGTATGGCCACACTCTGACCCAGAAATTTCATTTAAAGGGATTTAGCTACACCTTTCTACCCTCTGCACAAAAATGCATGTAATGTGTCAGAATGTTTATTGCAGCAGAGCTGCTAACAGCCCATGTTGTGAACCACTCAAATTTCCATTAATAGCAGATGGTGAGTGAATGACGATACATTCCTTATATGAGAGAAGAGGATGTAGAAGAGGTATTTGCAGGATAACACAGAGACTATGCTCCTTTAGGAACATTTCTTCACTCAGTTTTTTTCTCTGCAAAATGTTTGTATTAATTCATACCTGTGCCAGTCTCGCTGGCAGCGGGAGGGATTATGGTGAGCGCTCAAGGAGATTATGAGTACAGGAGCCTGGCGGCAGCTGAGTTCTCCAATGTTAGCTATTATTCTTCTCATTATAATTATGATATTGCTAGTTTACAGTTTTGTATATCAATATTCAAGGAAAAGACTGGAGGAACTAAAAGTACAGGATTTTGGCTTAATGGATTCTAACTCCAAACCTCTACACAACTTTTTAAAATTATTACTATATTTTACTAAATCCCAATGTCTGCCACTTTTTTTTTTTTTTAATTTTAAAGAATACATAGCCCATTGGGCAAACTTGGGTTTGCATGCTTGGCTTTTCAGCAGATGCAGAAGCCCTGGGGTGGGTTTGCCCTGGCTTGTGTGGTTCTCGAGTTTGAGTCTGTACGTCTTGAGTGGGTCAGGGGCCCCAGAGCTTTGCTGCCATTGATTTCTCCCCAACAGCAGACAAAGTCTCACAATGACCTCAATTTTCCCTCTTTCTTTCTTTTGAAGGACCCATTTTTCATGGTACTTGTCTTGACTGTTTTCATAGTGGTTTTTTTTTTTTTTTTGAGACGGGAGTTTCGCTCTTGTCGCCCAGGCTGGAGTGTAGTGACGTGATCTCCATTCACTGCAACTTCCGCCTCCCGGGTTCAAGCAATTCTCCCGCCTCGGCCTCCCAAGCAGCTGGAACTATAGGCGTGCACCACCATATCCGGCTAATTTTTTGTATTTTTAGTACAGATGGGGTTTCACCATGTTGGCCAGGCTGGTCTCAAACTCCTGACCTCAGGTGATCCACCTGCTTTAGCCACCCAAAGTGCTGGGATTACAGGAGTGACCCACTGCGCCCAGCCAAATCTGTATTTTTGTATGTAGAGGGAAATAATTTTCTCAACTGTAATCGTGAATAAATATTGTATTAAATTGTCATGAAGGAACTCCTGTTTAATAAATAGACATGTAAGAAAAAAAGAATGAATAGTAAAACCAAACCAAAACAAAAAACTTTGGTAATTGAAAGTTCTGGTTAGTTTTTATTCTAAATAAGTTCAATGTTTGACATAGTTGTAGACACCTAGGGAGAATCTGTAGTACCTCTTCTTTTCTATTACTTTTTTTTTTTTTTTTGAGACATAGTCTTGCTCTGTCGCCAGGCTGGAGTACAGTGGTGAGATCTCAGCTCACTGCAATCTCTGCCTCCCAGGTTCAAGCCATTCTCCTGCCTCAGCCTCCCGAGTACCTGGGATTATAGGCGCCCACCATCATACCCAGCTAATTTTTGTATTTTTAGTAGAGACAGGGATCCACCATGTTGGCCACGATGGTCTCGATCTCCTGACCTCATGATCCGCCCGCCTCGGCCTCCCAAAGTGCTGGGATTACAGGCATGAGCCACCGCACCCAGCCTTGTAGTACCTTTTTAATATCTTGTCACTTTCTTATTAATCTCTAACTGTACAAGTTGTATAGACAGGATGCATATTTCACAAAATAAAATAAAAACATTATCAATTTAAAAGATCATTGGTATAGCTGTGGTATGATGTGATAGTTTGTATGTAACCCTTTAGTGCAAATAAGAGTTTTATATTATTCATCTTCTTTTCAACTGTTTAGGGGTCACCACCAGCTATTGGACCTTACTATGAAAACCATGGATACCAACCGGAAAACCCCTATCCCGCACAGCCCACTGTGGTCCCCACTGTCTACGAGGTGCATCCGGCTCAGTACTACCCGTCCCCCGTGCCCCAGTACGCCCCGAGGGTCCTGACGCAGGCTTCCAACCCCGTCGTCTGCACGCAGCCCAAATCCCCATCCGGGACAGTGTGCACCTCAAGTAGGATTCTCTTTGTGTTTATTTCCTGTAATAAACCCGGGGTCCCGGGTCTACCTCCCCAGTGGGCTCTCTGCTCCCAACACCACTGTCGCCACCTCTCCTGGTCTGACCCTTCTCCTCCGTCTTCCGGAGCCAGCCTGTCTTCATGCCTTTCCACTCTCTTCCTGCTGGGTCAAAGCTGTCGCTGCCAGGCCTAGCCTCTTGCCCAGGGCCTGCAGATACCTCCCTCTTCCGTTAACTCTCCTGTACAGCTTTGCCTGTTCTACTCAGCGTAGGCTTCGAGATCACCTTCTCTGGGTTTCTTGGCTGTGTGGTTTATTGGTGGCTGCTCTTGAATAAATGGTAAGCTTCCAAGAGCAGAAATCAACTATCTTACCTTTGTCATACAGTCCCCTGGATATGACAGGTCATGTTTAAGATGCTCTCTGTTACTTTGTGTTTAGTAGATGACCTGGCTGGTGCGGTTGTCACACAGAAGTATCTGAGCTGTCTCATTGGGCTTCAGGGTCCTGCGGGTGGCCGGAGCAGGCCAGAGCGAGCGTGGGAGGACTGGAGGTTAAATTTTATTTGCTGTCACTTCAGTCCCTCCTCTTCCTCACCCTACCATTCATCTCCTTTCTTTGCCATTTCGTTTGGTCTCATGTCTTTCCAGTCCGCCCCTCTTGCACTGCCTCCCAGCTGTTAATTCAGGCTAGTTTCAGTGCTAAGAATTGTCCAGGTGGAACCCGCACAGCAGTGGCTACGCCAAAGATCTTTTACATTGATCTTTTAATTGATAGTGCTTTTATTTTATTTTGTGAAATGTGCATCCTGTCTCTACAACTTGTACAGTTAGAGATTCGTCAGAATGTGAATTTCCATGTGTCCACATCACATAATCAGTCATCAACGTGATTAATGCCAGTGCTCTGTGAAGCCCTGTCTGTCCCCACCTCTCCCCCACTCAGGACAAGTGCTGCCGCTCCTGCGTTTCTACCCCTCCTCTCACCCCCTCACCCTTCACAAATGGCTCTTCCACCCTGTTCCTCTCCAGCCACCTCCTGTCTCTGAGTTTTCTACCCCTTCATGAGCCTTAATTCCTTTCTCTCCCTTCTCTCATTCTCTCTTTCCCTTCTTCCGATGCTCCCCACCAAGCAGATACTTGTGTTTGCACTGATGTTCTTCTGGGGGTGGTTGGGTAGGTCAAGGCCAGTGGTTCTCAGTCAGGACAATTTGGACCCCCAGAGACAATTGGCGGTGTCTGGAGACAGTGTGGGTGGTTACAAGTGGGGAGGGGGTGCTGCTCCTAGGTAGGCACCGGGGATGCTGCTCAACCTCCCGCAAGGCACAAGACAGCCCCCCGACAGCAAAGAATCCTCCAGGTAAAATATCGCTTAGTGTGGAGGTTGGGAACTCCTGATCTTTGTCCACCGTGGGGATGGAAGGAAGCCAGGGTGAAGGGGATAAGGAACTGTCTGTGTGAGCTACCCCCCTAAGAAATGGCAGTGAAGGCCCTCTCCTGAAGTCAGCATCTCCAGACGGTGGTGTTCCCACCAGTGATGGCTAAACCCAGGAAGGCAGACGAACCCCTGGCCCACATGATGGACACATTTCCACGTTTCCTGGGAAAGACTAGATGATGACAGAGTTGGACAGGGATATATCAGTCCCTTATCAGTTGCTTTTATAAGGGAAGAATATGAACCTACATGTATGATTTTTGCATTATAAAATTTATAAACTCAGAAATAATTTAGTAATTTAATTGAACTTACCCTGGTACTATTTTTAAGAAAACACTGTTGGCATCTAATATATAGAAATGTATACATTTTGAAAGTGTAATGTTTGGCTTTGAAACTCTTCTCCCAGTTATTGAGTAGCACCAATTCAGAAGCACCCATCAGGAGTATAAGGAATTTTTCTAGACTTAATGTATTTATTTGCTTTAGCAACAGCCGTAGAAGGTTGATGATTGAGTAGGAGCGAACACACAGCTTAAACCTTAGGCTTTGGAGAATCGAAGGTCCATAGTCCTCCAAATGTGCGTGTGAAACAAGCAGCTAAACGTGAGAAACCATGAGGCTGAGTTGACAACCTTAAGTTGGTCATGATTGAGGGAAATGGATAGTGGGTTTTGTGTGCGTGGGTTTTTTTTGTTGTTTGTTTGTTTGTTTGTTTTTTGAGACAAAGTCTCGCTCTGTCACCCAGGCTGGAGTGCAGTGGCACGATCTCAGCTCACTGCAACCTCTGCCTCTCAGGTTCAAGCGATTCTCCTGCCTCAGCCTCCTGAGTAGCTAGGACTACAGGTGCACTACTGCTTCTGGCTAATTTTTGTATTTTTAGTAGAGACGGGGTTTTGCCATGCTGGCCAGGCTGGTCTCGAACTCCTGACATCAGGTGATCCTCCTGCCTTGGCCTCCCAAAGTGCTGAGATCCACTCCCAAAGTGCATGGGTGGTATGAGCCACTGTGCCGGGCCAGTGAGTTGTAATTAAACTGTGCAACAGCAGCCGTGACAAGCCAAGACCCAGTGGTGTCTGTACTGACCACGCGCTGACTACAGATGCCTGTCCAGCAAAGTAAACTTGAGGGCTTCCCGCTTTACACACTCTCCTGGTGAGAACTGTACAGATTGGCACATGCTCAGTGTGAGGTTCAGGATACCTAACTGAATAGCCCTCATCTCAGCAGACCAGTTATTTTATCTTGGATAAAATGGCACTCGGGAAGCCATAGACGGAGGAAAGTGTCCTTGGTAATGGGCCAGAGAGGGCATCTGGAATTTCTCTCATGAACTACCTTGGCCCCAGCTTGCCTCCATCATATATAATCATTGCAGCCGAGTTATGAGAACATCGTGTGCCTGGGCATGGCCCTCAGACCAGTGGTGCTGGCCTCATCTGTGAGCCTGTTAGAAATTCAGATTCAGGTCGGGTGCAGTGGCTCACACCTGTAATCCCAGCACTTTGAGAGGCTGAGGCGAGTGGATCACTTGGGCCCAGGAGTTCGAGACCAGCCTGGGAAACATGGTGAAACCTCATCTACCAAAAATGGGCCAGGCATGGTGGTGCACATCTGTGGTCCCAGCTACTTGAGAGGTTGAAGTGGAAAGATGGCTTGAGCTCAGGAGGTGGAGGCTGCAGTGAGCCATGATTGTGCCACTGCATTCCAGCCCGGGCAACAAGCAAGACCCTGTCTCAAAAAAAAAAAAAAAAAAAAAAAATGCAATGCAGATTCATGCCCGACCCCCAACTGAAACAGAATCTCTGGTGATGGGAACCACCACATTCCCCAGGTAATTCTTAAGCCTGTAACAGTTTGAGAGTGATGGTAGAATTATCAGAATGTTGTCACAAAGAGAGAGGTATGGCATCGAGCCCTCAGCAGATGGGTCAGCTCTGAGCTTATCGCCCTGGCAGACCTCCGGAGGCACAGGTGTGGCCAGGTGGGGAGTTCCAGGCTGCCACACCACCTCTCCAGCCTGGGAGGGTCTGTTCAAATGCCTTCTCCTCCCCTCTCCTCCACCTCTGCACCTTTCTTCAGGGAAAGCTCCTGGGAGCTCCTGGACCTGGGGCTGCTGGGCATCACTGGGGTGATGGGGATGGATGCCCTCCCTCCTGGCCCATGAGCTGGCTGAGCCCAGCGTCTGACTCTGCCATGCCTCTCTGGCACCTGTAGCTGTCTTCTGAACTCTGTGTGACTTTTGGCTTACCCTCTGACCAATAATGCTATGTCTCACTAGAGAAAAATCAGTGACCTTTTCCAAATTCGTTTTTTTTCTGAAATGTGCCTTTCCTCTGAGTTTGGTATTTCTGCACTTGGACCAAAAGGCCTGCACTGGCGCTGTCCAGCAGGACTTAGGGACACCATGGGAAGGTTCTACAGCTGCACTGTCTGACATGGTAGCCACCAGCCACATATGATGACTGAGCACTTGAATTTACATCATTTTACTTAATTCCATGGGACATTAATTAAATAGCCACATGTAGCTTTGGTGGATGTCCGAATGGGACAGTAGCATCCATTCGCTAAATAGCCTTGGGTAAGACAATTTATTCTGCTTTGAGTACCACTAACAGAGTGATGATAGTTTTTAGGACAGTATTATTATTTTGCTTATGCTTGTAATTACCAAGATGAGGTCTTAGTTCTTTTTTTTTTTTTACATTAATCATCTGCCTATTTTAAGACCCTCTTTTAGCATACTATCTTTTTTTTTTTTTTTGACAGAGTTTTTGCTCTGTCGCCCAGGCTGGAGTGCAGTGGTGTGATCTCGGCTCACTGCAACCTCTGCCTCCTGGGTTCAAGTGATTCTCCTGCCTCAGCCTCCCAAGTAGCTAGGATTACAGGCACCTGCCACCACGCCCAGCTAATTTTTGTATTTTTAGTAGAGACGAGGTTTCACCATGTTGGCCAGGCTGGTCTTGAACTCTTGACCTCAAGTGATCCACCCACCTCAGCCTCTCAAAGTGTTAGGATTACCTGCATGAGCCACTGCGCCCAGCGAAGCATACCATACTTTTTAAAAGAGCCTAACCTCGGTGTACTTTGCTGAAGATCACAGCTTCCTCCTGTTGGTCTCCAAATTGCATAAGGTTTAGTGTTATGGAAGAAGTAGGATCGTCCATGATATTTCTTAAAATTAAAAGTCACATTTTTAAGTGTATATGAAATAATTATTTCTTAATGTGGTGTACTATAAAAATAATAGATAACATTTGAGAGCATGACTTCTAAACAACTCTGGTCTGAACGTTGCACTCTCCTCCTTCTTCCAGAGACTAAGAAAGCACTGTGCATCACCTTGACCCTGGGGACCTTCCTCGTGGGAGCTGCGCTGGCCGCTGGCCTACTCTGGAAGTTCAGTAAGTGCAGGGAGCCTCGATCCCACCATGTGCTCCTGCAGTCCCCAGTGCTCTGAGCCAGACCCTGCTCTCTGGGCTATTGAGACCTCTGGAGGCCCTCCGTGAGGTTCCTCTCTTACATAACGAGGCTGTCTCTCTTCCCTTCTCTTGTTTAGCTATGAGATTGACACATCATGGGGAAAGCATTTAGAATGTACCCAGTGCTTTGGGGTGCTTGGTGCCACCCAGCACTGTGAGCACAGGTTCTTCTACCTTGGGGCCACACCCAGTTACCTGTATCTCACTGCACAGCAGTGGCTGTTGGGGACCAGGCCCACCCCTCCATGTCCCACCTCCTGCAACTGCAGCCTGAGCCTTCCCATCAGCCTGGGGTGGTGCAGACCCATGTGCCATTGTGGATCCTTCAAGTTACCTGTGTGGCAGAGAGGACGTGTGAGTGCCGTCCAAACCCAAACACTGAGAGGGTCCTTCCCATTGCCCCCACGGAAGTAAGGTGCCCCAGTGCTAATTCCACTTATACTTGCTGGTGGCAAGGACACTTCTCCTCCTTATTAAAGTGGGGGATTGGCTGGGTGAGGTGGCTCACGCCTGTTATCCCAGCACTTTAAGAGGCCAAGGCAGGTGGACCACCTGAGGTCAGGAGTTTGAGACCACAAGCCTGGCCAACATGTTGAAACTCCATCTCTACTAAAAATACAAAAATTAGTCAGGCGTGGTGGCGTGCACCTGTAATCCCAGCTACTTAGGAGGCTGGGGCAGGAGGATCACTTGAACCCAGGAGTTGGAGGTTGCAGTGAGCCAAGATTGTGCCCCTGCACTCCAGCCTGGGTGACAGAATGAGACTTCATCTCAAAAACAAAACAAAACAAAACACAGTGGGGCCAGGAGTTGGAGGCTGCAGCGAGCTACAGTAATGCCACGGTGTTCCTCACTCCATGAGGCTCATTGCGTTTCTCAGCCTGAAGGGCACCTCTCTTCTGTTTTCTCTGCAAGTGGGCAGCAAGTGCTCCAACTCTGGGATAGAGTGCGACTCCTCAGGTACCTGCATCAACCCCTCTAACTGGTGTGATGGCGTGTCACACTGCCCCGGCGGGGAGGACGAGAATCGGTGTGGTGAGTCAGCCTTGACCTTGGGAAGGGACTCCTCTGCTCACCTTGGAGACAGCAGCCGGGTCCAGGGGCCTTTGGGTGACTGGGCCTGGCGTGCGTCCAGTACGCTGACACATGATGTCATTGAATCCCTGCTCCAGGCTGAGCCCTGGGGCTCAGAGAGGTTGTGTTTCCGGCCCAACCTCACCCAGCAGGTGGGAGATGACAGGGCCACCGAGGACTGTGTCATTGGAACCACACGTGCTCTGAACTGCCACAGGAAGTCAGTTAAGATGAGCAAACTGTTTATAAAGTTGGAGATGCAGGCTAGGAACGGTGGCTCATGCCTGTAATCCCAGCACTTTGGGAGGCCGAGGCAGATGGATCACCTGAGGTCAGGAGTTTGAGACCAGCCTGACCAATATGGTGAAACCTTATCTCCACTAAAAATACAAAAATTAGCCAAGCGCGGTGGCGGGTGCCTGTAATTCCAGCTATTCAGGAGGCTGAGGCAGGAGAATCACTTGAACCTGGGAGGCGGAGGTTGCAGTGAGCTGAGATCACGCCACTGCATTCCAGCCTGGGAGACAGAGCTGGCTCAAAAAATAAATTAATTAATTAAAAACAAAATTGGAGATGCACTATGTTATTTTCAAAACAAGCTGCCTTTAAAGATCTATCTGTTGTCACAGGGTGGGCTCATCTGTTTCATTTTATTTTCTGTGGTTTATCTATTTATTCATTTTAATGAACTAGGAAGCATTGCTCCTATTTATGGCATACCACATGATGTTTGGATACGTGTATGCCTGTGGCATGGCTAAGTCAAGCTAGAACATGGGCCTTACCTCATATACGTGTCTTATTAAGAACACATAAAACCTACTCTTGTAGTGATTTTCAAATATGCAACATATAGTTTATTAACTGCAGTCACTATGATGTACAATAGATTGCTCGAACTTATTCCTCCTGTCTAACTAAGATTTTGTGACCTCTGACCAACATCTCCCCAGTGTTGTCACCCCCCGCCCCCAGCCTCTGATAGCTGCCTTTCTACTCTCTGCTTCTGTGAGTTTGATGTTTATACATTCCACATGTAAGTGGCCTCATGCAGTGTTTCTGTCTCTGTGTCTGGCTTGTTCACTTAGCGTAATGTCCTCCAGCTTCATCTATGTTGTTGGAAATGACAGGATTTCCTTCTTTCTTGTGGCTGAATAGTATTGCCTTGTGCATATACACCACATTTTCTTTATCCCTTCATTCACTGATGGACTCTTAGGTTGATGTCATGTCTTGGCTGTTGTGAAAAATGCCGCAGTGAGCGTGGGCGTGCAGGTCCCTCTTCAACACACGGATTTCCTTTCCTTTGGATATAAACCCAGCAGTGAGATTGCTGGATCACATGGCAGTTCTGTTTCTCACCTTTTGAGGAAACTCCATACTGTTTTCCATAATGGCTGTAGCAACTTCCACTCCCACCCCCACGGTGCAAAGTCTCCATTTCTCTTCTACAACCTCACCAACTCCTGTTATTTTCCATCTTTCTGATAGTAGCCATTTGAAGAGGTATGAGATGATACCTCATTGTGGTTTTCATTTGCATTTTTATTTGTATTTTTCATGAATTTTTGAGGGTGATTTCAAGGGTAGTTAGTGACTCGAACAGGGAAACGATCCTGAGTATGAGGGTTGTGCTAATCATCCCCCTCCTGCCAGCTGCGTACGGAATGGGGCTCTGCAGATGGCAGGGAGCTGGCTCGTTTCTCTTTAAGAGCTGCCTTTTACTTTTCTTCCTCTTCCTTTAAAACTTATTTCCTGGCCGGACGCAGTGGCTCATGCCTGTAATCCCAGCACTTTGGGAGGCCGAGGTGGGCGGATCACGAGGTCAGGAATTCCAGACCAGCCTGGCCAACATGGTGAAACCCCGTCTCTACTAAAAATACAAAAATTAGCCAGACGTGGTGGTGCGGGCCTATAGTCCCAGCTACTCGGGAGGCTGAGGCAGGAGAATCACTTGAACCTGGGAGGAGGGGGTTGCAGTGAGCCGAGATTGCGCCACTGCACTCCAGCCTGGGCGACAGAGCCAGACTCCATCTCAAAAAACAAAAAAAAGTTATTTCCCAAGCACAGCCATGTATTCCAGGCTTGTGGATCAGCGTTGGTGGTGGTGTGTGCTCTCATATCTTAGTTCCAGCTAAGCACACTCTGACATGTTTACACTAGAACCATTTGTTTTTTCTAGAAATAGAAATTTCAGAATTGTAGAGTCAGAGGACTTACCAGAAATCTCTTAGGTAGTTCTCCTCCCCTCCCTCAAGTGCAGTCCTAACCTCCTGGAGTTTTCTGTAGAAACCACAAGCCTCAGAGCTGGCCGAGAATTCTAGCCAAAGATTTTTCCATGCCAAAGTAATCCCCCCTCTCCTAAGGGCCATCCTTGGTGGGGACTGGTTTCCTGTTAAGCCCTCGCTGTCAGTCCTGGCTGTGGAATTTCCTGGTGAGGAGCACTGGCCCGTGGAGCTCGGCCCTCGTGCCGGCCTTGAGCAGGCCCAAGTGTTCCGTGTTCTTGATACCTTTCCTCCAGCACAGTCTTGCTTCCCAGAAAAAGGTTTGCACTTGAAAATGATGCATTTGCTGATTAAACATAGTTCTTTTGCTTTATTTGGTTTCTAAAATAAAGTGGGAGTTTTTGAGATTGAGTAGCGTGAGGTTAAGATAGCACGTGGAATGGCTTTTTCTTTTCTTTCTATTTTTTTTTTTTTTTTCCTGGAGACAGGGTTTCACTCTGTTGCCCAGGCTGGAGTGCAGAGGCATGACCATGGCTCACTGCAACTTCGATGTCCTGGGGTTAAGCGATCCCCCAGCCTCAGCCCCCCAAGTGGCTGGGACTACAGGTGCTCGCCACCACACCTGGCTAATTTTTGTATTTTTTGTAGAAAATGGGTTTCATCAATGTTGTCCAGACTGGTCTCGAACTCCTGACCTCAAGCAATTCTCCTGCCTCAGCCTCCCAGACTGCTGGGATTACAGGCGTGAACTACCACGCCTGGCCTGGAATGGCTTTTGATGTTCTCCTATGTGCACATGTGGGTGAATAAACACCAACAAAGTCCTTATGTTACCTGAAGAGTTGCTCTCTTCTTAATATTTAAGTCGTATTTATTTAAATACTTTAATAGTTGTACACTATTAAAGTATTATTAGGTCAAAATCAAGGAAGTACAAAAGGGTATGCTGTGAAAAATCTCTTCTTCCTTGCTCTGCTTACTTACCTACCCCGCATCCCCCCATACACCCCAGACACACACACACACACACACACACACACACACACACGCATCACTCCCATACATGCCCACCTGTTTACCAGCCAATCACATTTCTTGGGGCAACTCATCTGAGTTGCTTCTCTTTCCAGAGAGTTTTTGCATAAAGAAGCACAGGTATTTCTGCGTTACCATGACCCTATTTCCCAGTGGTTCCTAGCCAGTTGACTCTCCTGCACTGGATACCATCCTGGACAGCATTCCTTAGGGAAATGAGCCCCCTGTTTTTTCCCACCATGGCACAGTTGGTCCTTTGCATGGACGCACCATTATTGCCCCTGTCTCTTCTTGGTGGACCTTAAGGTTTTCTCCATCCTTTTGCTGTAACACACACTGCTCCAAGTGTGTGAGCATATCAGTAGGAAACGCTTCCAGGAGTAGAACTGCTAGGTCAGAGGGCGTGTGGATCTGTAACCTGACAGACCTAGACCGGCTTCAGTTTGGTTTTATCCAGTTTCCATATTGATTATTCATATAAAAGGAAACAGACAAACATAACGCTGTGCATGTATTCTCTCTTAGACCAGAACAGGCATAGGGTGCACTTTTAATTTGTCCATTTCGTAGAGTAGAAATTGTTTTTGCTGAAATGAACACCTTAGGATGCTGAAGAATATGACCCGTCCCATGGAAAACATTCAAAAATGTGTGTAGCGCTTTCTTCCCAAGGGTGTGTGTGCGCATATTTTAACACTAATTCACTTTCTACTTCCGTTGCTATCCTTTCTGTGAGTCTTTCTCAGAATCTCAGAAAAGAAACTAAATTGTTCACTCTAGTTATCAATGCTGTACTCTATACCTGGAATTTGCTAAAAGGGCAGATTTTAAGTATTCTCACCACAGAAAAGAGAAAAGAAAATGGTAATTATGTGACGTGGTGGACATGTTAACTAGCTTTATTATGGTGAGCATTTCACAGCGGATATCCAGTCATCACGCTGTACACATTAAACATGTACAATTGGGTTTTTTTGAGACAAGGTCTCCTTCTGTCACCCAGTCTGGAGTGCAGTGGCTCAGTCATGGCTCATTGCAGCCTCGACCTCCTGGGCTCAATCCATCCTTCCCCCTCAGCCTCCTGAAAAGCTGGGGCCACAGGCATGTACCATCATGCCAGGCTAATGCATATATATTTATATTTTTTGGTGGAGATGGGGTTGGTCTCGAACTCTGGGCTCAAGTGATCCTCCCGCCTTGCCCTTCCAAAGTGCTGAGATTACAGGCATGAACCACAGCACCAGGCCTACATGTAAAATTTTTATTTGTCAACTATACTTTGACAAAGCTGAGAAAAAAAATCCTAATATTTAAAAAAAAAAAAAAAAGGACTAGCTTGAGACCTTTTCCAGCTCTCTGGCTTATCAGCTGCCGTCTCTTCCGGGTGCAGATAGCTGGAAGGGAAAGAAAATCCCTAAAATTACCCACAAGCCAAGAATGAAGTGTCTCCCTTTGAGCCACAGTGGCAGTTTTGTTTTTAATCATAGAAGTGTATTTTGAGCCGGGTGTGCTGGCTCACGCCTGTAATCCCCGCACTTTGGGAGGCCGAGGTGGGGGGCGGAGGGGGTGGGGATCGCCTGAGGTCAGGAGTTCGAGACCAGCCTGACCAACATGGAGAAACCCCGTCTCTACTAAAAATACAAAATTAGCCGGCGTGGTGGTGCATGCCTGTAATCCCAGCTACTCATGAGGCTGAGTCAGGAGAATCTCTTGAACCCAGGAGGTGGAGGTTGCGGTGAGCTGAGATCATGCCATTGCACTCCAGCCTGGGAACAAGAAAAAAAAAGAAGAAGAAGAAGAAGTGTATTCATTTCAGTTACTTTTAAAAAAGTGAACAGACTTTATATTTTAGAGCGGTTTTAGGTTTACAGAAAATGAAACAGACAGGGCAGCGAGCTCCTTGTACTCCTCCCCAGCACACAGTTGCCCTGTTATGAACATCCCACATCAGTGCTGTGCGTTCATTAACACCGATGAACCTGATGCATACATTATGATGAACTGAAGTCCTGGACTTCACCCTTTCTCTTGTACAGTTCTGTGGGATTTGACAAATGCATAATGCTGTACAGCCACAATGATAGTATCGTCCAGAGTAGTTCTCCTGCCTTAAAACCTCTTTTGCTGCACCTGTTTCTCTCTCCCCACTCACCCCAGCTATCTGATCTTCTTAGTGCCTCCGAAGTTTTGGTCTTTTCAGGATGTTGTAGCGTTGGAATCATGGAGTATGTAGCCTTCACCACATACACCTTCCTTCACTTTGTTGGCTTCCTTTACTTAGTAATATGCATTCAAGTTTCCTCCATGCCTTTTCATGGCTTGATAGCTCATTTCTTTTTAGCACCAAATAATATTCCGTTGTCCAGATGTAGCACAATGTTTATCCATTCATGTAACCTGTGACCGACTCACAGATAGGATGTGGAATCACTCACCACAGAGGCATTAGACAATAATCAGACCCAAGTCATTTCATGGGGGAACAAGCCCACAGGTACCAGACTGTCCAGTGAGTCAGGGCCACTCGTAGGAAGTAAGAAGAGAGGCTAGAGCATAGCCAGGTCCTCACTTTATACTTTAAGCCCATGTGTATTTCTCCCAAACCACACAGCATTGTTTCCATGCTTTCAGCTTTGCATGAATAACGTGATACTTGAACGCATCATTTATCACTTGCTCTCTTTCCCACAGCGCTGTTTTCAAGCTTCTTCCTGTTCATGATGCTCTGCTTAACCCTTAAGCTGCATGGGATTCTGTTCTGTGAATACGCCCACCCCATGTATTATCCTGCCCAGCAAAAAGTCCCCAAAACTCTGGATGGTGGTTACCTCTAGGGAGGGAGAGAAGAGATTGGGAATAGGGAGCGACTTCAACGGTGTTTGTAATGTTTTGTTTCTTTAAATAAAAGAGCTGAGATCATTTCAGCAGAATGTTGATTTAGAGTCTCCTGGACAATTTGTTGCTCAAAGTGCTCTCTTAAAGAGCACTTTAAAAAAAAAAACCTTTTATCTTATTATTTATTTATTTATTTATTGAGACGGAGTTTTGCTCTGTCACCCAGGCTGGAGTGGAGTGGTGTGATCTCAGCTCACTGCAACCTTTACCTCCTGGGTTCAAGCAATTCCCCTGCCTCAGCCTCCCAAGTAGGTGGGATTACAGATGCGTGCCACCACACTTGGCTAATTTTTGCATTTTAGTAGAGATCGGTTTCTCCATGTTGGCCAGGCTGATCTCAAACGCCTGACCTCAGGTGATCTGCCCGCCTTGGCCTCCCAAAGTGCTGGTATTACAGGCGTGAGCTACCATGCCTGGCTTATCTTATATATTTTTAAAAACAGCTTATTGAGATCTAATTTATGTACCATAAAATTCAAGTATATAATTCAGTGCTTTTATATATAAAACATATATATGAAATAGCTTATTGAGATATAATTTTTTATATAAAACAGCTTATTGATATGTAATGTATGTACCATAAAATTTAAATATATAATTCACTGGCTTTTATATATTCACGAATATGTGCAACTATCACCACAGTCAATTTTAGCATATTTTCATCAGCTCATAAAGAAACCCCAAGCCCTTGAACTATCACCCCATATCCCTCCTCCCAGCCCGTCCCTCCTACTCATAAGCAACCACTAATCTACTTAGTGTCTATAGATTTCCTACTCTAGGCATTCCATGTGAGCGGGATCATGCAATACGTGGGCTCACACAATATAAGTGGCATTCCATGTGAGTCGGCTCATGCAGTATGTCCGGCTCCTTTCACTGAGCATAAGGTCTTCAGCACTCATCCAGGTTGCAGCCTGTGTCTGAATTTCATTCCCTCTTCTGGCTGAATCGTATTCCATTGTGTATCTTGGACATATCCTATTCTGCTCACCCAGCCGTTGGTGGGCGTTTGGAGTGTTTTCGCCTTTCAGCTGTTTTAAGAGGGTTGCAGTGAACATTTGTACAAGTTTTGGACCCAATGCCTGTTTTCAATTCTCTTGTGTAGAGAGCACTTTTTAGCAGAAAAAGAATAGATTTGTGGCCTCCCTTTGTGTGCGGTCAGTGCCTTGAGAAGAGTGAACTGTGCTGCCACCTCCGGAGCCGTGGAGAGCGCGGGGCTTGGGTAGCAGCTAGGACGATACAAGTTGGGACAAGGCCAGGTGCAATGGCTCACGCCTGTAATTCCAACACTTTGGGAGACCGAGGCAGGGGGATCACCTGAGGTCAGGAGTTCAAGACCAGCCTGGCCAACATGGTGAAACCCCATCTCTAATAAAACAGAAAAATTAACTGGACGGGGTGGTGGACGCCTGTAATCCCAGCTACTCGGGAGGCTGAGGCAGGAGAATCACTTGAACCTGGGAGGCGGAGGCTGCAGTGAGTGGAGATCAGACCACTGCACTTCAGCCTAGGTGACAGAGCGAGACTCCGTCTCAAAAAAAAGAAAAAAAAAGAAAGAAACTCATGGATAATCCTCCCTCTCGTGCAGTTCGCCTCTACGGACCAAACTTCATCCTTCAGGTGTACTCATCTCAGAGGAAGTCCTGGCACCCTGTGTGCCAAGACGACTGGAACGAGAACTACGGGCGGGCGGCCTGCAGGGACATGGGCTATAAGTGAGTATGGGGCAGCACCCGCCGAGTGACAGTAACAGACAGCAGAAACACGAGAAGACCCTCTCTCTGCCTCCCTGTGAAAGCACCGGCACATGAGTGCTGGGGACAATTGTCACCTTCCAAAAGCTGAGCCCTATAACCAGCAGGTGGAATTTGTCCTGCTAGGGCTGTGCCCAGCACACAGACCTTGGCTCACTGCCACCTTGCCCTGCCTCCTCCTTGGCCTCTATAGACTCCTGGTTGCTCGGGAGTGCCCAGTGCTGTGGTCATCTGGTCAGAGGGGTAGGCTGAGGGCGTTAGGTGCCTCTTTTTCCAAGGTGCCTCTCAGCCAGGGTCCATTCACCTCCCTGGGTAGAGGTTGGACCAGAACAGCTGGCGAGGAGGGTTGGGCTGGGGAGAGCAGCAGAGACAAATCCTGTGCCAGTTTCACTTCATTCGGGAGCCATGGAAGCCTTTTGAGCTGGGGAGAGAATCAATCAATCAGACTGATACTTAAAAAATGTCATTCCTGCTCGTAGCTCTGAGGGAAGGTGGGAAGGCTTAACAGGGTGTGTGTCGCCTGACAGTGATTCCTAACGGGGGTGGGGCGGTGGTTACCATTTACCAGCACTGCCTGGGGAGATGCGGCAGCCCTCAGGCATCGGGGGAGAGGGTGGTAGGATGCTACTGCCACTTTGTTTTCCATGGGAGGGTCCCCAGGTGATTTCTATGCAACTTTAGGGTATTCAATATGCCAGTTTTCAGAATGAATTACCACTCGGTGAGAAAGTTGGCATCTTAGCTAGTCACTGTGACATCCCTAAACAGCAGGGGTGAATTACACAGCAAAGCCCCCCCATCACAGTCCAGGAACCTGGTGGAATTGATAACTGGGGCCATGTTAACATCTGTACCTTTTATTAGATTAAATGTGTGTATGATTATACAATCCTATGTCCTTCTCATAGTTTCTTGATCCTAACCTGGATAAGAAACACGACCAATGAAGGAATTTTGTCTGACACTTTAGGGTTATTGAATCGAAAAATCGTTACAATATTCTAGCACTTGGTTAGAACGTGTGATTTTTTTTCCTAAATGCTAAGGTTTTTCCCTCTTATTCTGAATGTCGTATGAGCGGTATTATGACATAGTATAGGATTTGTGTTTGCTTATGCCTTAACCATTATCACAAATAAGGTTTTCTTTTTTAGGAATAATTTTTACTCTAGCCAAGGAATAGTGGATGACAGCGGATCCACCAGCTTTATGAAACTGAACACAAGTGCCGGCAATGTCGATATCTATAAAAAACTGTACCACAGGTATGCAGCAATTTCTTCTTGAAAAATTTTGGAATGAAATCAACTAGGAGACACCATGGGGAATCGTTGTCCTGAGTCTGATTTCTCTGAGCTGCAATACTCGGTCTGGATGGGTTTTGCATTGGGAGGAGATTAGAGTCTGACCAGGCCTGGTTACTCTAAGCAGCCCTTGGTTTATTCATAGGAAGTGGCTGAGGTTTCTCTGCTATTTCATTTTCAGCCTCTACCGTCTGCCCTTGTTGGTAGCGGCTCACACTTGCAACATCGACATTCAACTCTATTTAGTTTTCTTTCCTCTTCAGACATTTAGAGGTGTACCTATTTTGTCAGGGCGTGGTTCTAGGAATCCAAGATAATGTCTCAGTGTCCCAGCCAGGGTGACCGGCTCATTCCAGTTTGCCAGGGACTTCACTGGCTTGAGCAAGGGAAGTCCTGCTCCATTCCAGGCAGCTGGGCTGGCTGGTCCCGTTAGCCCCAACCCCGGGACAGCAGTGCCAGAGGGTGCTCTGTGAGGGATGGGCAGCATTCTGGCGGCCTGGGAATGAGTTGTGGTGTTTCCAGGGGGTAGAAGTGGGTACAAGCCACAGGTCACATGATGAGTGGCTGACCTGGCTGGGAGGGCAGAAGAGGGGATGGACTTAGGCTCTTCCTTTTGCTTTGCACATATTTAGGATGTTTGCAGACTTGCTATGATTGTTGCTGTTATGTGTTTTCTGATGTGAAAGATACACAGTGTCCTTTGCCCATGAGCTCTCCTTGCCTCCCAGGTCCCCAGGGCTTATGCCTGGTGTCTAGGCATCACCTCCCTGCCTGCCAGGTGCCAGGTGCTGCATTTCGGGGGAGGATGAACTAATCACCCCGCGCCACCTTTCCTCTGAGTGGGAGCCTGGGGCAGGTTTGCATTCCTGGAGGCCGCTGGTGGAGGGGTCTGGGGGCCTGACTTCCACTGCAGCCTGCTGTCCTGGGGAATGTGGCAGGGCAAGCCCAGTGGGGAGGGCTGTGCACGGCCAGGTGCACCCATCAAAACAGCAGGGCTGCGGTTTGTCCCTGTGGAGAAGCTAAACACAGCTGCCTGGGCACTTTGTAAATGCTGAGTGGTTCTTTGTCTTTCTGGGTTACACACGGAATCAGGGAGCCAAGTCCAGCCGGGCAGGGACGGGGGGAGGGGAGGAGGTGCTGCCGTCCCTTGGCAAGAGCCTTGGGAACTCACAAGGAGGCTGGAGGGCTTGGAAGAAAGAAGAGAAGGCCATTGTCTGGTAGGCTCTATTCTATCTCGGTGGTGGTGGTGGGGGGAGGCGCACTTCTTTTCCTCTTTCTGTGCAGCAGTTGCCCTTTGATGCCTGAGTTCTTGGCTTGTTTTCTGTCGGGCTTCTGTGAATAACCACATGTGCCCTGGCGCTGTGACCACACAGGGCTATCCCTACCGACCTTAGGATTCTTAGGAAATGTCTTCTCTTAAAGGGGACATGTCTTCACTTGGCCGTGTCAGTGCCCCAGAGCCAGAGTCCACCTGGAATGCACCTGTAGTCACTGAGAACCCGGGGGGTGTGCCTTAGTAAGAAGGTGTCAGGAAGGACCTATTATTGTAGGGCCTGGGCTCCTGCAAGGTGGTTTGGGGGTGGTTGGAGGAAGCAGAGATTTGCTCTGGATTGGATGCTGTCAGGAAGCAGGGGTAATTCTGTGAGGCTGCTTTATTATTTTTTTTCTAGGAGGAGGTTGGAATGAGGCTAGGCTAAAGCTGTGATTGGTAAAGAAACGTCCGTCGCTCAAGTTAGCCAGGACAGGAGGAGACATCAGATCGTGATTTTGTGGTTGTGAGCACAAGGTTCCTGTTCTGTCTGTTCAGACATCATTTCGGAGGAGGCTCCTTGTGTCTTGCCCCATCTCAGGCATGGAGGGGCCTAGTCCGATATTGACGCTCAGTGAAATAATTCAGGTTCCGCAGAGCACACGGCCCAGCTATCAGGGCGGGCCAGCTCTGCATGCCAGGGGCCGCGTCTTCCCTTCTCAGCATAGCCTGGGAAATTCACTGCAGGACAAAATGCATCAGTTACTTCCTCTTCATCCATAACCTGGGATGTTTGACTCCCAAATGAGTAACTCTTACGTTTCTTCTAATCCTAGGGAAACTATTGGTTATATTGCTTTCAACACTACAAATTTAAAGCAGTTATAGGAGCCCAGAGGTTTCCAAATGGCTTCCTTAAAAATTAGAAGATGATTTTAAATTCCAAGAGGAAAAACAAAACTAGCATTATTGTATACTTACCCTCACAACCGTCCTAGGAGCTGGTACAATTTTAAGAGAGGTTAAGTAACTTGCCCAAGGTCACACTGTGGGGATGTGAGCCGCGTACCTTGGCTCAGTGTCTGGTCTTTGCCACTGTCCCTATATGGATTTACTTACCTTATTGGAGTTGTAACTAGCAGACCCTTCTATGTCTCAGAAGACAGGAGAGGGAACATCGGAAGAAATGACTGATTTCTAAGCATGTGAGAGGCAGGTGACTCCGCACTATCGTGACCAGAATTTCCCCTGTTCTTTTTGCAGTGATGCCTGTTCTTCAAAAGCAGTGGTTTCTTTACGCTGTATAGGTAAGTTCATCTGGAGTCCCCCTTTTGATACTTCTAACTAGGAAAAGCTCTCTACTTTCAGAACAGTACTCCCTGTGTCTCTGGGGGCGTGGGAGGGAAGAAGGTGGGGTCACGGGTTGGAATGTGCCCAGCGGCGTCTCGCTCTTTCCAAGGAGCTCCTGGTTTAGATTTCCATGGCCTGTAGACACCTTCAGCCTTGGGTCCAAGGGACACCCCCTGAGATCAGGCACGCTCAAGAAGCTGACAAAGCCCTACACTTTATGCCACCCATGAGCTGGAGGCCCGGCAGGTCTCTTTCTCCAGAAAGCAAAGGGGGGTGGCGTTAGTGAGCCCTGGCAGCCACCTAACGTGGACTTGGAGCATCTGCGGGGCTGTGGTCCAGCACCACCGTGTGGCCACCAGGTGCTCATCAGCCAGTGGGACCCGGGAGGAGGGACAAGACCAGAGAACAACAGTGCTCTTGCCTCTTCTCTCCTGAATTTTGGACGGTGGCTTAGACTTGGGTGTCCCCATCTCTGTGTTTAGAGTGCTTACAGTTTCCAAACTGTTTGCAAATGTGGAAGCCACCGTCCCTCTCCTCTGGGATGGCCCAGTGCTGTCGTGGGGCCGTGGTCCTGAGCTCAGCTTTTCATTTGAAGAGGTGGAAGGAGCTGACACCGTCCCATCCCGGCAGGGCTGGCTCAGGTCTTCTTTAGGTCCTGAGTGGGGGTCCAGCACAGCCCCAAGGGTGCGTGGCACCCGCCCTGCCCTCTGCCCATGCACTCATCTCCTGGTGGAGAAGACACTCACACACAGGAAGCAGGGAAGGCAGCAGACCTCACTCACCCCTCACCCCCTCACTCACCCCCTACTCACCCCCTCAACCTCTCATTCACCACCCACCCCCTCGCCCCCTCACTCACCCCCTCACTCCCTCAACCCTCACTCACCTCCTCACTCCCTCAACCCTCACTCACCTCCTCACCTCCTCACTCTCCCCCTCATCCCTCCCTCACCCCACCCCGTCACCTCCTCACTCACCTCCTCACCCCCTCACTCACCCTTCACCCCCTCACTCACCACCTCACCTCCTCACTCACCCCCTACTCAACCCCTCATTCACCCCTCACCCCCTCACTCACCCCTGCACCCCCTCACTCACCCCTTCATCCACTCACCCACCTGCTCACCTCCTCACTCAACCCCTCACCCCCTCACTAATCCCTCACTCCCTCACCCCCTCACGCCCTCACTCACACCTTCACCTCCTCACTCACCCCCTCACCCCCTCAACCCCTTACTTACCCCCTCACTCATCCCTTCACCCCTCACTCACCCCCTCTCTCACCCATTCACCCCCTCACTCATGCCTTCACCCCCTCACTCACCTCCTCACTCACACCTTCACCCCTCAGTCACCCCCTCACTCACCCCTTCACCCCCTCAATCATGCCTTCACTCCCTCACTCACCCCTTCACCCTCTGAATTACTCCCTCATCCCCTCACTCACCCCCTCACTCACCCCTTCACCCCCTCACCCACCACCTCACCCACCCCTCACCCACCCCCTCACCTCCTTACCCCTCACCCCCCTCACTCACCCCTCACCCCCTCACTCACCACCTCACCCACCCCTCACCCACCCCCTCACTCACTCCCTCATCCCCTCACTCACCCCCTCACCCCCTCACTCACCCCCTCACCCACCCCTCACCCACCCCCTCACCCCCTCACTCACCCCTTCACCCCCTCACTCACCCCCTCACTCACCCCTTCACCCCCTCACTCACCACCTCACCCACCCCTCACCCACCCCCTCACTCACTCCCTCACCCCCTCACTCACCCCCTCACCCCCTCACTCACCCCCTCATCTCCTCACTCACCCCCTCACCTCCTCACTCACCCGCTCACCTCCTCACTCACCCCCTCGCCCCCTCACTCACCCCTCACCCCCTCACCCCCTCACTCACCCCTCACCCCCTCGCCCCCTCACTCACCCCCTCGCCCCCTCACTCACCCCTCACCCCCTCACCCCCTCACTCATCCCCTCACCTCCTCACTCACCCCCTCACCTCCTCACTCACCCCCTCACCTCCTCACTCACCCCCTCACCTCCTCACCCACCCCCTCACTCACTCCCTCACCCCCTCACCCCCTCACTCACCCCCTCACCTCCTCACTCACCCCCTCACCTCCTCACCCACCCCCTCACTCACTCCCTCACCCCCTCACCCCCTCACTCACCCCCTCACCTCCTCACTCACCCCCTCACCTCCTCACTCACCCCCTCACCTCCTCACTCATGCCCTCACCCCCTCACTCACCCTTTCACCTCCTTGCTCATCCCCTCACTTACCCCCTCACTTCGTCAATCACCCCCCCACCTCGTCAATCACCCCCTCACCTTTTCACTCACCCCCTCACTCACCCCCTTACTTCCTCACTTACCTCCTCACCCCCCACTCACCCCCTCACCCCCCACTCACCCCCTCACCCCACACTCACCCCCTCACCCCCCACTCACCCCCTCACCCCTCTCACCTCCTCACTCACCCCCTCACCTCCTCACTTATCCCCTCACCCCCTCAATTACCCCCTCACCCCCTCAATTACTCCCTCATCCTTTCAATTACCCACTCACCCCCTCACCTCCTCACTCCTCACTCACTCCCTCACTCACCCCTTCACCTTCTCACTCACCTCCTCGTCTCCTCACCCCCTCACTCACTTCCAGCCCTGCCCCTCCCATCTTCCTTTTCTTTGTGTGAGAATCTGGGGTCCCTGAGTGGTGTCAGTCCCTCCAAGACTCAAGGAGTCCCCAGGGCCTTGTTATCCAGAACACCCCCACCTGGGTCCCGGGAGACCCCATGGGATCACAGGAGTGTTCAGGGAAGTGGTGCTTCCTGGGTCTGGGTGGGCTGGAGGGGCATCCTCCCTTCCCCAAGAGGAGACCCCCAGGAGCCCCCTAAGTCCATCCCCAGCAGTGGTGCCCCTGCCCTGTCCTTGCAGCCTGGGAGACCCTTGGGAGGGGCGGGCGCTGGGTGGCTGGGCGGCTTCTGCTGGTCTCACCCCACTGGCCTCCTGTTTGTCATCCTCAGCCTGCGGGGTCAACTTGAACTCAAGCCGCCAGAGCAGGATTGTGGGCGGCGAGAGCGCGCTCCCGGGGGCCTGGCCCTGGCAGGTCAGCCTGCACGTCCAGAACGTCCACGTGTGCGGAGGCTCCATCATCACCCCCGAGTGGATCGTGACAGCCGCCCACTGCGTGGAAAAGTATGCCAGGGGCGGCGCGGGCCGGGTGGGGGCTCAGGGCTGGCCTACAGCCACCCTGTGACCTTGAGCAGGTCTCAACCCTTGCAGCCCCGGCATCCTTGTGTTTAAATGGGGAGAGTATTGCACCTGCTTCCTAGGGCTGTGAGACATCAAGTGCGCTCATGCCAGGCAGTGCATGGCTGTATGCACTGAGTGTCCCCTGCACGCAGGGCACAGGGTGCAGGTGGAACATTCTCCACGATGTCGCCGTGACCAGCGTTCCTTCCAGCCACTGTCCTCTGAGCTCTGTCCTGCCCTTGAGCAAAGCCCCTGCCCCCTGAGGTATCCTGTCTCCGGGACGCTAGTCCCAGGAGAGGGCACACTCAGACAGGCTTCAGGCTGCCCTGCTGGAAGGTCCCTGGGGTTAAGCGTTCTTGGCCACAGCATTGCTCATGCAGAGGGTTAGGTAGGGGTGAGGCTAGCCGTGACAGTATTAGCATTTATGGACGCTACCACCCCCTCCCCTTTTCCTTAAACACATAGTGCTTTTGGTCACATGCTGCTTTGGAGGAGGCCTCACTTGGCGGATGTATTTTTCTGCCTTAGAGAGAGGCTGAACTGGGTTTGACTGTTGGCCCAGCCCTCTCTTGCTGCGTGCCCTTAGACGATTCACTCAACGTCTCTGATCCATGGCATGTACAACTATAAGATGGGCATGCCCTTCTCCTCTCGGGCTGTTATGAAGGTCAAGGAAGCAAGGGCTGTTACCCAAGGGTGCTCCCTTCTCTCCCCCTCTTCACACCCCCAGGTGCTCTGGGCCCTCTAGGAACTGGGTTTCTCTCAAGGGCTGTTACCCAAGGGTGCTCCCTTCTCTCCCCCTCTTCACACCACTGGGTGCTCTGGGCCCACTAGGAGCTGGGATTCTCTTAAGAGGGAAACTCTTGGATAAAGGAAATGGTTTGATTGATATCGGACAAGTCTGTTCATTAGTATCCATTTATTAAGCACCTACCATGTGCCAGGAAATGCTTTGGCGTACAAAGGAAAATAAGGGCCAGTCCTGCTAGAAATGGCCTTGAAACCCCAGGGAGGGATGTCGGCCCATTGTGGGTGCTGCAGATTCCTTGAAGGTGATGCAAGAGCCAGAAAGAAGGATGATGTGGGGGGCTGAGGCAGGGAGTCGGGGTTGGGGGAGTGTGGGGGAGAAGGGGAGACCGAGCACCTCTTCCACTATCTCCCTGTGTGGTTTTTGGTGAACCATCCTGCCTCTGGGTGTCTTGCCTCCAGCTTCTGACGTTGGAAGTTCATCCACTGAGAGCTCTGTGTTTATGGCTCTGAGATACTGAGTCCTTCTTCTCTCCCAGACCTCTTAACAATCCATGGCATTGGACGGCATTTGCGGGGATTTTGAGACAATCTTTCATGTTCTATGGAGCCGGATACCAAGTAGAAAAAGTGATTTCTCATCCAAATTATGACTCCAAGACCAAGAACAATGACATTGCGCTGATGAAGCTGCAGAAGCCTCTGACTTTCAACGGTACGTGTGGCTCAGGCTTGGCAAGCAGGTTGGCAGAATCTTAAAGAGATGTTGATTGGAAATGACACTTGTGCTATGCCAAATGGAAGGGAGGCATTTGCGTTGAGCGAGGGTAGCGTGCAGCGGGTGGCCAATGGGAGAGGCTCACAGAGGCTAAGAGCACCTGCCGCATTTTGGGGGAGGCAGCAGCCACCACATCTGTTCTGTACTGTACTGAGTGGTGGTGATTCAAGCCAGGCATGGAAAAGGCTAGAACAGGGCTTTCCCACTGCAGCACCCTTGACATCTGGGTGGTTCTCTGTTGTAGGGCTCTCTTGTGCCTTGTAGGATGTTTAACAGCGTCCCCAGCCTCTACCCACTGGAGGCCAGTAGCTACCAAGCTGTGACAACCAGTGTTGCCTGCTGACATTGCCAAACATCCGCTTTGAGGCAAAGTCACTTCCAGTTGAGAACTACTGGCCTAAAATGTGTAAAGATCCTTGATTTTTAAAGATACATTCTAAAACCAAGTTGCTTAATTCAGGACAAACATGCTTTCTCTTAGCCTCTTATTCGGTCCCACTCTGGTCCATCCAAGGGTCTGGAATGTTCTAGCCCCATGTGGATACAGAAGAAGCAAAACCTCAGCCCTCCCTACAGCATGTCTGTATTCACATTGGGAAATGGTTCACATATAGAAGAGCGAATGCCTGAGCAATGGCGTGGTGCCTCTGGGGCGAAAGCTGACTCCATTGACTCCATCGGCTTTTTGGCTGTTGCCTCCTGTGTGTCTTTCCCGTCTTGATCACCTGGAGATATGTAATTTTGGAAGCAGAGCTAGCAAATAATTCCTCTTATAAGCAGAGCTAGCAAATAATTCTACTTATAAGTAGCATAACGTCTTGCCTGCCAGAAGGAGAGGTCTGGCAGGGGGAGAAAGTGAGAATGTGGGACTTGTTGGGATGCAGGGTCCTCTGGGCAGGGTGGCCAGGGTGCCAGGCCCAGCAGCCTGCATGTGGGAAGGCCAGGTGGAGACATAGGTGATACCCGCCTGGCTCACTGTGTTTTCTCTTCTTGAAACAGACCTAGTGAAACCAGTGTGTCTGCCCAACCCAGGCATGATGCTGCAGCCAGAACAGCTCTGCTGGATTTCCGGGTGGGGGGCCACCGAGGAGAAAGGTGAGGCTGCTCCTGGGCACACAGGACTGCAGGGCCCACAGATGGAGCATTGGGTTCGGAAGTGGGAGGTCCAGGTTTTAATCCCAGTTCTACTACTCAATGACTGGATGACTTTGGTTGATTCCCCCAGTCCTTGTGCCTCAGTTTCTCCATCTGCTAAGTGGGAGAAATCCTGCCCAGCCTACCTAATACACTGTGTTCTTATCGTGATCACACAGAGCAGCATGTGGAATGGCTTTTGAAGTATCTGGGCCATACGAGTTTAGAGGTGCAGGATCTCCTGTGTTGCACTCATTGTGAGTTTAGAGCTGCCCTGGAGATCCCACCAAGGCCTGCGTGGCTGAGTGACAGGGGGCTTGGTGAGGACGGGCATCCTGGACCCATGGTGGCCACATCTAAGCCTGTCCTCTGCCCTGATAACCACAGAGAGAGGCTCTCTCCACCCACTTCCTTTGCAATCTGCATTTCTCTCTGACAGTCTTTCAAATGAAGGGAGCCTGGCTGCTTCATTTTTATGGAGGGTTGGAAGTGCTTAGTGGCAGGCACAAAGGTTCATTTTACATATTGTTTATATCCTTCTCAAAAGCGTCTAGGCCATACAGACAACAAATCCTTTCAAACAAGGGGAAAAGTACAAAGGTTGGGTGATTTCTGGGGAGCGTCAGGGAAGGTAGTGGGGGGCATCCTGGCTCCTCATCAGCAGAAACTTACTACAGTAGAGCCACAGGCTGGGCAAAAGACCTCATGGAATCCAAGATGAAGGGAATATCGACAAATATTTGTGCGCACCTGCACCTAGTACAGGCTGGGTGCTACTCAGGTGCTGGGAATGCAGAAGTGAACAGAGTAAGACAAATGTCTCTGCTGTCAGGAGCTTTACCTCTCTTCTGGATGTCGGTGGTGGGGACGGGGCAGGTGTGGTCAGACAGATGGGAGACAAACAACTGAGCGAGGTACTTCCAAACATCTGAGGGTGGGGATCACAAGGTCCCGGCTATTTTGAAGGGGTGGTCAGGAAAGGCTTCTCGGAAGAGGTGGCATTTGAGCTGAGACTCAAATGGCAAAAATGTGTACACATCAAAAAGGCTAGTGCATGTATCTTCAGGTGTGGTCAAGGGGCCAAGGAGGTGGGCTGGGGCCAGATTGCATAGGTCCTTGTGGATTATGGTGAAGACACCAGCTTCTCATCTGCTTGAGGTGGGGAGATCGTGAGCCGGGGAGTGCCATGATCTGGCAGCTGCGTGGGGAGTGGGGATGAATGGATGGAGACGAGGATGATGGTGACAAGTCCATTGCTGTGGTTCCTTGAGACAGGAAGCCAGCTCATAGCAGAGTGCGGGCGTGGATGTGAAGAGATGAGGGTACACTAGGGCTAGAGCCACCAGACTTACTGATGGGTTGCATGTCTGTGGGAGAGAGAGTGAGAAGTCAGGGACGATGGCTTTCCACTCTGTGGCTGAAGCCCCAGGGTGGCGGGTGGTGCCATTTTTCAAGCCAGGAAATATTGGTTGGTGAGAATTTGGGGTGGGAGAAGGTGTGACGGAGGGTTCTGGTTTTGCACACTAAGCCCACGGTGCCCAGAAGATGCCCGAGGGGAGGCAGCAAAGCGAGAGTGGGAAATGCAGAGGTGGCAAGTGCAGGCCGTGTCTTGAGAAGCTCTAATGTGCAGGGGAGCCGAGAAGCAGGCGGCCTAGGGAGGGTCACGTGTGCTCCAGAAGAGTGTGTGCATGCCAGAGGGGAAACAGGCGCCTGTGTGTCCTGGGTGGGGTTCAGTGAGGAGTGGGAAATTGGTTCAGCAGAACCAAGCCGTTGGGTGAATAAGAGGGGGATTCCATGGCACTGATAGAGCCCTATAGTTTCAGAGCTGGGAATTTCTTTCCCTGAAGCTGAACTCCAGAGCTGCATTCAGCACAGGCACCGCCAGTTGTAAGGAGAATCCAGGTTTCCCAGGAGAGGGGTTGGTGCTGGGATGAGCTGACCGGGGCAGGGCTGGAAAATAGGGCTGTGACCATCTGTGTAGTGCGTGTGGAGGTCTCAGGGAGGGAAGTGTGCTCTCCCTGCGAGAGCTGCAGGCAACACTGGGAGCTCAACAAGTCTCCCTGTCCTTAGGGAAGACCTCAGAAGTGCTGAACGCTGCCAAGGTGCTTCTCATTGAGACACAGAGATGCAACAGCAGATATGTCTATGACAACCTGATCACACCAGCCATGATCTGTGCCGGCTTCCTGCAGGGGAACGTCGATTCTTGCCAGGTAATTCAACATTTTTATTCTACCTTTGGTCCTTACCAGATCCTACTGAACCCCCCATGAGAGAGAGGGCATTCTTGGGGTCAGCAGAGCCTCCTCAGTGACACGGAGCCAGCTCGGGGCAGTCATGGGAAGTGACGGCCACAAACAGTGCGAACGCTTCTGGTGGCAGAAGGAAGTACAGTCAACAAATCACACACACCCTCTGAAAAACCGGTATTTGGTAAAAGTGCCAGTGGAACAGAAACAAGTATTTAGACTATTTTAAATTATGAACGGCAATTTATTTAGTAACTTTTAGCTTGAACAGATTAAAATTCAGGATGGGGGCTATCTCTTTGGGGGTTACATCTCTGTTACCATCACCCCTTGATGGTGGAGATTCGAAGCCCACACAGTCACTCGTAACTCACACTGCGACCCCCGCCCCCCAACTCCTCTAGGCCTGGTCAGTGGTGTGCGGCAGATTGTGACTTGATTTTCTGCTCTCTGTACCTTGCTGTGTCCCACAGGGTGACAGTGGAGGGCCTCTGGTCACTTCGAAGAACAATATCTGGTGGCTGATAGGGGATACAAGCTGGGGTTCTGGCTGTGCCAAAGCTTACAGACCAGGAGTGTACGGGAATGTGATGGTATTCACGGACTGGATTTATCGACAAATGAGGGTAACTATCCTGTCCTCCTTCTGACTGTGTTCTCCGATTCCTCGAGCCAAAGCCAGACATCTGTTAGGCGTGGTTCTGCTGCTGGAAGCTGACTGGTGACCACTGGTCAGCATGAAGCAAACTCTGCTTCCTCCAGCCACAGCCCCATCCCCCCAGTGTCCACCCATTGCCCATTGCCTCTCACTGGCTTCACTTGCATATTTCCCCTGGTGTTTGGATGAAAAGCGCTGGGGCTCAGCTTGTGTGAAATTCCTTGGTGCTCTGCCAACCACACTTCGTTCTGGCTCAGCTGACTCAGCTGTTCCACCCAGGCCACCTCACATCAAACTTTTTTTTTTTTTTTTTGAGATGGAGTCTCACTGTGTCGCCCAGGCTGGAGTGCAGTGGCACAATCTCGACTCACTGCAACCTTTGCCTCCTGGGTTCAAGTGATTCTCCTGCCTCAGCCTCCCAAGTAGCTGGGACTACAGGCATGCGCCACCACGCCCAGCTACTTTTTGTATTTTTAGTAGAGATGGGGTTTCTCCATGTTGGCCAGGCTGGTCTCGAAGCCCTGACCTCAGGTGATTCACCCACCTCAGCCTCCCACAGTGCTGGGATTACAAGTGTGAACCACGGTGCCCGGCCTCACATGAAACTTTTGATTTATAGAGAGCAGAGGGAAGAGCCGGCTGTGCCCATCCTTTTCTGGGGCCATCGAGTGGCTCCTGGGCAGCCCCCAAGGTTAGGAAGGGCAGGAGCAGCCAGGGTTCTCTGATGCCCCAGACTCAAGCACGAGGGAAGGTCTCAGGGGTTCCATGTGAGCCTCATGGATGTCTCTGCTTAGCAGAGCCCTGGCTTTGGGCATTGTCCAGATAGGGGGTGAGAACCAGATCTTCTCATCTCCAGGACCTCAGACGTATAGTTTTCTCAGATTTCTGTGCTTTCTGGGGCTGGGCTACTAGTGGAAGAAAGCAGTCTATTCTGTCTTCTCCCAAATCTCCCAGATGCCCAGTCTGTTGAAGGAGGAGCAGAACCAGGGGGCCTTTCCCGCTGAGGCCCGACCTGTGTCTCCTTCAAATGACACGCGGGACTCAGGGCCTTCCCATGACCATGGGGCCCAGGGGGCGTCACCTGGCCCAGGGCCCAGTGCTAGAAACAGATGACCCCAGGAGGAGGAGGCAGGGCAGGAGGGAAGCTGGCAGGGCTGGGATGGTCAGCCAGGCTGAGGGGCGGACTCGCACCAGGATGGAGCTAGGAAATGATCCAGGTGTGTTTGGCGGCTGCAGGTGGGTCCGCATGGCTGTGCAGGGAGGGAAGGGCTGCGTGGCAGGAGAGCAGCCGGGGGAGGCCCAGACTCTGCTGAAGAGATGCCTGTTGTGCCGGCCTCCACATCCGCTGCCCGCTCCTTCCGGAGCTCCTGCCCCGCCATGCTCAGCCTGACTCTGACCAACACGTTGGAGAGAAGAATGATCCCTTTGTGCTATTAAGCTTGCTTATTTGGTTTCTAAGTGCTTCATGCGAACCTAGAGGAAAAAATTATTTTCCACCTTTGTTTGTCTTAAGAAAATAACACACTTTTTTTTTTCCTATTTGAACAGGCAGACGGCTAATCCACATGGTCTTCGTCCTTGACGTCGTTTTACAAGAAAACAATGGGGCTGGTTTTGCTTCCCCGTGCATGATTTACTCTTAGAGATGATTCAGAGGTCACTTCATTTTTATTAAACAGTGAACTTGTCTGGCTTTGGCACTCTCTGCCATTCTGTGCAGGCTGCAGTGGCTCCCCTGCCCAGCCTGCTCTCCCTAACCCCTTGTCCGCAAGGGGTGATGGCCGGCTGGTTGTGGGCACTGGCGGTCAAGTGTGGAGGAGAGGGGTGGAGGCTGCCCCATTGAGATCTTCCTGCTGAGTCCTTTCCAGGGGCCAATTTTGGATGAGCATGGAGCTGTCACCTCTCAGCTGCTGGATGACTTGAGATGAAAAAGGAGAGACATGGAAAGGGAGACAGCCAGGTGGCACCTGCAGCGGCTGCCCTCTGGGGCCACTTGGTAGTGTCCCCAGCCTACCTCTCCACAAGGGGATTTTGCTGATGGGTTCTTAGAGCCTTAGCAGCCCTGGATGGTGGCCAGAAATAAAGGGACCAGCCCTTCATGGGTGGTGACGTGGTAGTCACTTGTAAGGGGAACAGAAACATTTTTGTTCTTATGGGGTGAGAATATAGACAGTGCCCTTGGTGCGAGGGAAGCAATTGAAAAGGAACTTGCCCTGAGCACTCCTGGTGCAGGTCTCCACCTGCACATTGGGTGGGGCTCCTGGGAGGGAGACTCAGCCTTCCTCCTCATCCTCCCTGACCCTGCTCCTAGCACCCTGGAGAGTGCACATGCCCCTTGGTCCTGGCAGGGCGCCAAGTCTGGCACCATGTTGGCCTCTTCAGGCCTGCTAGTCACTGGAAATTGAGGTCCATGGGGGAAATCAAGGATGCTCAGTTTAAGGTACACTGTTTCCATGTTATGTTTCTACACATTGCTACCTCAGTGCTCCTGGAAACTTAGCTTTTGATGTCTCCAAGTAGTCCACCTTCATTTAACTCTTTGAAACTGTATCATCTTTGCCAAGTAAGAGTGGTGGCCTATTTCAGCTGCTTTGACAAAATGACTGGCTCCTGACTTAACGTTCTATAAATGAATGTGCTGAAGCAAAGTGCCCATGGTGGCGGCGAAGAAGAGAAAGATGTGTTTTGTTTTGGACTCTCTGTGGTCCCTTCCAATGCTGTGGGTTTCCAACCAGGGGAAGGGTCCCTTTTGCATTGCCAAGTGCCATAACCATGAGCACTACTCTACCATGGTTCTGCCTCCTGGCCAAGCAGGCTGGTTTGCAAGAATGAAATGAATGATTCTACAGCTAGGACTTAACCTTGAAATGGAAAGTCATGCAATCCCATTTGCAGGATCTGTCTGTGCACATGCCTCTGTAGAGAGCAGCATTCCCAGGGACCTTGGAAACAGTTGGCACTGTAAGGTGCTTGCTCCCCAAGACACATCCTAAAAGGTGTTGTAATGGTGAAAACGTCTTCCTTCTTTATTGCCCCTTCTTATTTATGTGAACAACTGTTTGTCTTTTTTTGTATCTTTTTTAAACTGTAAAGTTCAATTGTGAAAATGAATATCATGCAAATAAATTATGCAATTTTTTTTTCAAAGTAACTACTGCATCTTTGAAGTTCTGCCTGGTGAGTAGGACCAGCCTCCATTTCCTTATAAGGGGGTGATGTTGAGGCTGCTGGTCAGAGGACCAAAGGTGAGGCAAGGCCAGACTTGGTGCTCCTGTGGTTGGTGCCCTCAGTTCCTGCAGCCTGTCCTGTTGGAGAGGTCCCTCAAATGACTCCTTCTTATTATTCTATTAGTCTGTTTCCATGCTCCTAATAAAGACATACCCAAGACTGCAATTTACAAAAGAAAGAAGTTTATTGGATTTACAATTCCACATGGCTGGGGAGGCCTCACAATCATGGCAGAAAGCAAGGAAGAGCAAATCACATCTTACATGGATGGCAGCAGGCAGGGAGAGAGTTTGTGCACAGAAACTCCCATTTTTTAAACCATCAGATCTTGTGAGACCCATTCACTATCACAAAAACAGCACAGGAAAGACCCACCCCCATGATTCAATTATCTCCTATCAGGTCCCTCCCACAACACATGGGAATTATGGGAGCTACAAGATGAGATTTGGGTGGGGACACAGAGCCAAACCATATCATTCTGCCCCTGCACCCCCCAAATCTCGTATCTTTACATTTCAAAACCAATCAGGTCTTCCCAACAGTCCCCCAAAATCTTAACTCATTTCAGCATTAAGTCAAAAGTCTACAGTCCAAAGTCTCATCCAACACAAGGCAAGTTGCTTCCACCTATGAGCCTGTGAAATCAAGAGCAAGTTAATTACTTCCTAGATACAACGGGGGTACAGGCATTGGGTGAATACAGCCATTCCAAATGGGAGAAATTGGCCAAAATAAAGGGGCTGCAGGCCCCTTAAAAGTCCAAAATCCAGCAGGGCAGTCAAATCTTAAAGCACCAAAATGACCTCCTTTGACTCCATCTGTCATATCCAGGTCACACTGATGCAAGAGGTGGGTTCCCATGGTCTGGGGCAGCTCCACCTCTGTGACTTCGCAAGGTATAGCTTCCTTCCTGGCTGCATCATGGGCTGGTGTTGAGGGTCTGCAGCTTTTCCAGGCACATGGTGCAAGCTGTTGGTGGATCTACCATTCTGGGGTCTGGAGAATGGTGGCCCTCTTCTCACAGCTCCACTAGGCAGTGCCCCAGTAGGGACTGTGTAGGGGCTCCAACCCCACATTTCCCTTCTGCACTGCCCTAGCAGAGGTTCTCCATAAGGGCCCCACCCTGCAGCAAACTTCTGCCTGGGCATCTATGCGTTTCCATACATCTTCTGAAATCTAGGCAGAAGTTCCCAAATCTCAATCCTTGACTTCTGTGCACTGGCAGGCTCAACATCACATGGAAGCTGCCAAGGCTTAAGGCTTGCAACCTCTGAAGCCACAGCCCAAGCTCTATTTTGGCCCCTTTCAGCCATGGCTGGAGTGGCTAGGATGCAGGGCATCAAGTCTCTAGGCTGCATACAGCACAAGGACCCTGGGCCTGGCCCATGAAACCACTTTTTCTTCCTAGGCCTCTGGGCCTGTTATGGGAGGGGCTTCTGTGAAAACCTCTGACATGCCCTGGAGACACTTTCTCCATTGTCTTGGGGATTAACATTCAGCTCCTCATTACTTATGCAAATTTCTGCAGCTGACTTGAATTTCTACTCAGAAAATGGGATTTTCTTTTCTATTGCATTGTCAGGCTGCAACTTTTCCAAACTTTTATGCTGTTTCCCTTTTGAAACTGAATGCCTTTAACAGCACCCAAGTCTCTACTTGAATGATTTGCTGCTTAGAAATTTCTTACACCAAATACCCTAAATCATCTCTCTCAAGTTCAAAGTTCCACAAATCTCTAAGGCAGGAGCAAAATGCCACCAGTCTCTTTGCTAAAACATAACAAGAGTAACCTTTGCTCCGGTTACCAACAAGTTCCTCATCTCTTATCTGAGAGCACCTCAGCCTGAATTTCATTGTCCATATCATTATCAGCATTTTTGTCAAAGCCATTCAAAAGGCTGGGCGTGGTGGCTCACCCCTGTACTCCCAGCATTTTGGGAGGCCAAGGCAGGCAGATCACCTGATGTCAAAAGTTCAAGACCAGCCTGGCCAACATGGTGAAACCCCATCTCTACAAAAATACAAAAAGTAGCCAGGCATGATGGTAGGTGCCCATGATCTACTGTAAGCTACTCAGGAGGCTGAGGCAGGAGAATTGCTTGAACCAGGGAAGTGGAGGTTCCAGTGAGCTGAGATTGTGCCAGTGCACTCCAGCCTAAGCAACAGAAAGAGACTCTATCTAATTAAAAAAAAAAAAAAGACATTCAACAAGTCTCTAGGGAGTTCTAAACTTGCCCACGTTTTCCTGTTTTCTTCTGAGCCCTCCAGACTGTTCCAGCCTCTGCCTGTTACCCAGTTCCAAAGTTGCTTCCACATTTTCAGGTATCTTTACAGCAGTGCCCCACTCTACTGGTACCAATTTACTGTATTAGTCCATTTCTGCGCTGCTGATAAAGACATACCCAAGACTGGGCAATTTACAAAAGAAAGAGGTTTATTGGACTTGCAGTCTCACATGGCTGGGGAGGCCTCACAATCACGGTGGAAGGCAAGGAGGAGCAAGTCACATCTCACATGGATGGCACCACAGCATTTATTAAGCACCTGCAGCATGACAGACCCTGGGTTCCAGAAAACTGGGGCTTTCTACTTTGGTTTGTTCAATACACTCCTGGCCCTGTCATTGCTCTGCTCCTAACTCAGCCCCATCCTATGGGGTCCCCTGAGCCCCAGATGTGCCTGGAGTGAAGGTCCCTGAGCAGACATCATTATAATCCTGTCTGTTCTGCACAGGTCAATGGACCATTGAGCCAGTGCTTATGTTACTGGTGGTGAGTGTCCAGGTTCTTGGTGTCTTGAACAAAGAATTAGGCAGAACACACAAACAAAGCAAGAAAAGAATGAAGCAACAAAAGCAAAGATGTATTGAAAATGAAAGTACACACCACAGGGTGGGAGCGGCCCGAGCCTAGGGGCTCAATGGCCCCATTACAGTTTTTGGGGGGTTTAAATACCCTCTAGAGGTTTCCATTGGTTACTTTGGGGGCCCTATGTAAATGAAGAGGATAAAGTAAAGTTACAAAGTCATTTACTCGGCATACTCCCTGTGGAGGGGATAGTCCCTGTTAGAGTTGAAGTGTGAATCAGCCTTACATTCCTGCCTCCAGACTCGATTTTCCTGCCTCACTTACAGGGCAGGCCACGGAAGCCGGAGAGCAGGGTGTGATGCCAGCGCTGCCCGTCATGGCTGGGAATGGAGGGGTGGGTAGGGAGGGGCAGTTCCATTGCTTGCCTGAACTCAGGGCCCCTCTAAGTGCAGGAAGGAGTCACACAAAGTGGTCTCCAGGGCTCTCTCCCAGTTCTGGCCGCTGGGGCCACTCCCCTCTCGGCTCTGGATGACTAGTTAGGACAGGCCTGGGGGATCACCACACATGTTCATTTTGGCTGAAAGGAACATCCTTGCGGGCACCTTGGGGCATCCCCAGCAGGTTCACTCTGCTGGGGAAATTGAAATTGCTGTTCTCTGGGACACATACTGTCAACTTTCTTCCTCCATCCTCTCTGGTTATCACTAGCAAAATTCTAACAACAGCAAAATAGAATCCTGTGCAACACTTTGACACCTCTGACTCTGTTTCCCGTGCAGCAGAAACTTAAGGCAAGTGGAAGACTGATTTGGGTGGTGGTGGAAGGAAGGGACGTCTTGTAGTGGAGAAGTTTCCCAGGCCTGCCACGAGAGGGCACCTGCCTCATGGAAGGGCCGAGCTGTCTGATGCACCAACACAGCCAGAGGACCTGGGCCATGTCCACTGCGAGAACGCGTGCCTAGTATTGAATTAAGAATGTTTGGATCCACCCTGCCTTACTCTTGCAAACCTCTGTGTGTGTGTTGGTGTCGTCTCTCCCTTAAGCATGAGTCAAACTGATCACCCTCTGTTAACAGTAGATCAAGTCAACCTGCAGGTGCACTTCAGCACCTGGGGGAACCATAAAGTTGCTGCCCAGCGGCAGCTGCTGACCTGGGCTTGTGAAATGTCCACTGCTCTCCGGACATCCTCTCTTATAAATGTATTCTCAAACTTCCCGAAGAATTGAAAATTACACAGTCCCAAGAGTCAGAAGAGATCTGGGATGGGGGGGCGTGGTCCAGAGGGGAGAGGATGGTGTTGCTGGTCCAGCCCCCACCCCCAACCTGACAAGCAGCTGTGCAGCTTGGCCTGATGCCCCCACTGCCTGGGACCTCACAGCTCTTGAGGAAGCCATGCCATCCGGGGGCCCCTCTGTAGAAAGTACCCCCATTCCCCACACTGATCATCTAGAATATACCTCCCCAGAGGATGTCACACCTTGGTGCTCACACTTCATCTCTCTTGTTGCCTTTTGGCCTTCTCTTTCCTAGGCTGGGGCAATCCTGATCCTTCAACTCTCCCCTTAAGGGACAGAGTGTCCGGTCCTCTCCTGCCCCATCCATCTAGTCCACTGTTCGATTTCCTGCCCTTGAGCCTGCCCTGGCCTCATGGTGAGGAGGCCCAGCAGCAGCACTGATTGGGAGCCATGGTTCTCAGAGTCAGGGCGTAGGAGTGTGGCTCGAGTCTCCCCCAACCAGGCTAGACCAGAGAACTTCAGTCAGGTTCTCCTCCAAGGTTAGTGTTCCGCCTTCTCTGCTTCCCAGACCGCTCCCCCAGCCACAGCCTCTGCAGGTAAAGTCCCACTGGGAAACCTTTTTTTTTCCCTGAGATGGAGTCTTGCTCTGTAGCCCAGGCTGGAGTGCAGTGGCACGATCTGGGCTCACTGCAACCTCCACCTCCCGGGTTTAAGCAATTCTCATGTCTCAGCCTCCTGAGTAGCTGGGACTATAGGCACACGCCACCACACCCAGCTAATTTTTGTATTTTTAGTAGAGACAGGGTTTCACCATATTGGTCAGGCTGGTCCCGAACTCCTGACCTCAGGTGATCCACCCGCCTCGGCCTCCCAAAGTGAAGGGATTACAGCGTGAGCCATCGCACCTGGCCTGGCAACCGCTTCCTGACTGGGCCTTGTGCTTTTCAACTCCATGCCAGGTGCCCAGTGACTCAACAAATTGGACATTTGATCAATGCACATTATTAAGTTAGCACCGTTGGCTTCATATTGTTTCATTTTTTAAAGTGTGTTCCCCCATTTCCCTCCAGTCTCTAGGAAATCATCAGACCCTGTTCTTTTGCTTGCTCCTACCTGGCCCCGCCACAGAGGGCAGCTTTACGTCCACTGCTCCACTGCACCCTACCTGCTAGTTTCAGGCTTCTCGCCAAAATACAAAACATGGCAGAGCAGTGTCTGCTAGAAATGAGTTTATTACAGAGAGAGGAGACAGGGCTCCGACAGGACGCACACACACGGCACTCATGCTCCTAAAACACTGGGTTTGTGAAGGGACATTATAAAAATGAGGAAATAAGCTGTGATGTTCAGCATGTGTCAGTTTCTAGGAATACAGAGAAGGGGAGAGCTGCAAGGTGGAGCGATTCTGAGGGCTGAAAATCCCTTTCCCAGTACGAAGACAGCATCCTTCAATCCCGCCAGCTCATGTGCATCTGAGGGTGGGGCTCTGTCTTCATGCTAGAAACCAAACTGCTCTCACAGCTTCCTGCTAAATCACCACGGCTAACGGATAAGCAGAGACGGACTATCCAGTCTGACTACTGAGCACTCAAGTCGTCAGTCCAGTGGCTACCCGGGAACGGGGGCAGACAGTGTGCGTGCACGTCTACGGGGCTGGACAGAGTGTGGTTAACCGGGGAACTGGGCAAGCCGGCGCCGAGCCTGCGTCAGCCGTGCAAGCCGCTCCTTCAGGAACTTCCGCTTGTCGCTGGTGTCGCTCCGCTCCTTCAGGAGCCAGCTGTAGGTGTCCTTGTCCTGCAGGAGCTGCAGCATGGCCTTCTGAAGCTGCTGGCCGTACGTCTGGAGCATGAAGAACTGGATGATCAAAGGGATGTGGCTGGAGATGCGCTTGCTGGCCTCCTGGAAGGAAAGAACAGTTCACGGGAGGGTGGAGGGGACACTGTGAGGAGGGGACTCTGACCTCACCATGTGCACATGAGGGGATCCAGATTCTCAATGAGGGAGACCCTCGCAGGGCAATGACCTTCCCCTGGGTTTCAAACCCATCAATCTCCTCCATGGTGGTGGCAGAGAGGAACTATGCACAGTGCAGAGAATGTCCCAGCTATGAGTCATATTCCCAGCAGCTTTTCCTGACCATTAAATGGGTAATTCTGATGGAAGAGGGCAAAATATGCTCTATAAAGGTAAGCAGGCAGACAGTGCAAAAACTGCATTTCCAGACCAGCCTGGTCAACGTGGTGAAACCGCGTCTCTACTAAAAATACAAAAAATAGCCAGGTGTGGCGGCACACCATGGGAGGCTGAGGCAGGAGAATTGTTTGAACCCAGGCAGGGGGAGGCTGCAGTGAGCTGGGATCGCGCCATTGTACTCCAGGCTGGGCGACAGAGCAAGACTCTGTCTCATAATAATAAATAAATAGGCGTGAAACTCTGACACTTGCTACCACCTGGATGAGGACATCATACTGCATGAAACAAGCCAGTCACAACTCCTATGAGGTACTTAGGTTAGTTGAATTCACAGAGACAGACAGTAGGATGGTAGCTGTCAGGGATTCAGGGGCGGGGAATGGGGAATGTGTTTAATGGGGACAGAGTTTCAGTGTGGGAAGGTGATAGGGTCCTGGAGATGGCTGCTGGTGATGCTGGCACAATATGAATGTACTTAATGCCACTGAACTATGTACCCCCAAATGGTTAAGATGGCAAAATAGACATGATGAATATTTCTGCACAATTTAAAGAAAGAAAAAGTGAGGGTGATGTGGGGGTGCTGGCTGCACTAGATGGTAAAACATAAGAGAGTCTTGCAGACAAGACCCAACGCAGAGGGGAAGTGAGTGCCTGAGTGGGCGTGTGGAGTACCAGTGGGAACTAGACGACCCTTCCAGGATGGGACTGGGACCTCTGCTGCCATCTGGATCCTGCCTCATTCTTGACATCAAAGAACTCCAAATGGGCCAAAGGTATCATGTAACAGTTAAAATAAGAAATTACTTAAAGAAAATATTGTCCACCTCATTTATCATCTCAGGGAGACAAAGTCCTTTTAAAGTATGGCAATAACCACTGAGGCCCAAATCCAACTTGAGTTTCTGCTCTAGAAAACTTACGCATAGTCTAAAACCACCATAGACAAAAATGACAAAGCAAATGACAAAATGTAGATCGTCTGCAACAGAAATCGCAGAGGTCTACTATCTCACCAAGAAGCTCTTCCTGGATGAACTGTTTGCTGAGCAAGAAATAGAAATAACCCTCAACACACAAAAAGATGTACCAGCTTGTTGTCATAAGAGAATGCCAATTAAGATTGTAATGAGATGTCATTTTCACCTATTAGGCTGTCAAAAAACCCCAACAAGGCCGGGCGTGGTGGCTCACGCCTGTAAACCCAGCACTTTGGTAGACTGAGGCGGATGGATCACATGGTCAGGCGTTCAAGACCAGCCTGGCCAATATGGTGAAACCCCGTCTCTACTGAAAAAACAAAAATTAGCCGAGTGTGGTGGCACGTGCCTGTAGTCCCAGCTACTCAGGAGGCTGAGGCAGGAGAATCGCTTGATCTCAGGATGCAGAGGTTGCAGTGAGCTGAGACTGCGCCACTGCACTCCAGCCTGGGCGACAGAGTGAGACTCTGTCACCAAAAAAAAACCAAACAAACAAAAAAAACCAACAACTTTAGTGCAGACTAAAGCGGCCAGTGTGGATGGAGCAGGCCTTCTCTGGGTCATCTTTATCAGTCTAAAATAAGCCATCCTTTCCCCAGCTGTGATGGTGTGTTTCATGTGTTAGCTTGGCTAGGCTCGAGTCCCCAGTGATTCCATCAAACACGAATCTAGGTATTGCTGCGGAGGTATTCTGTAGATGTGGGTAACATGTGTAACCCACTGACTTTAAGTGAAGGAGACCATTCTCAATGATGTGGATGGGCCTCATCCAATCAGTTGAGGGTCTTAAGAAGAAAAATGAGGTTTCCCTAAAAAGAAGAAATTCCGCCTGTGGACTCAGCCTTAGCTCCTGCTGCAATTTCTGGCCTGCTCTTCCTGCTGGCCTGCCCTGGGATTTTGGACTTGCCAGCTCCCAAAATGGCAGAAGCCAATTCCTTGAAATATACATATATTTCTTTCTTTCCTTCTGTTTTTTGTTTTGTTTTGTTTTTTGTTTGTTTGTTTGTTTTGAGATGGAGTCTCGCTCTGTCACCCAGGCTGGAGTGCAGTGGTGTGATCTTGGCTCACTGCAACCTCTGCCTCCCAGGTTCGAGCAATTCTCATATCTCAGCTTCCCAAGTAGCTGGGACTATAGGCATGGGCCACCATGCACAGCTAATTTTTTTGTATTTTTAGTAGAGACCGGGTTTCGCCATGTTGGCCAGGCTGGTCTCAAACTCCTGGCCTCAAGAGATCCACCCACCTCAGCCTTCCAGAGTGCCGGGATTACAGGCATGAGCCACCATGCCTGGCTGAAATATACTTCTTTACATACATATATCTGTGGTTCTGTTTCCCTGCACAATCCTAATATACCAGGAATCTCATTTCTAGGAATTGATGCTTCCAGATACATGATATACAAACAAACCTATTCACAGCAACACACCTGCATTAGCAAAAGACTGCAAACAAACTGTTCGCTTAAAGGGAGCTGGCTCAATATACCACATCCATAAAATGGGATACTCAGCAGCCATTGAAAAGAACAAGGCAGCCCCATCAGAACTGAGGCAGAACAATCTCCCAGGTACAGCAAAAGAGGCAGGGTACAGAGCAGCACGTCCACTCCTCTGCTAACCTTTGTGTAAAAACCATTATAAAATGTATATGCATGGGAGCTTTTGAGTGCATGAGTCAGCCTCGGAGGACAGAAATGAACCCGGAGAAGGGCTGCTTCTGTCCAGGGAGCTGCTTGGCTCGGAGACTCCTCTGCCATTGTCACTCATCCTATTGTTTGGATTCTGTGCATGTATATGCCTCACCTACTCTCAAGGTAACTGTTCATTCTAGGAGGCAGTGGAAGCAGCGGACAGGTGTGAGCTTGGCTGCAGGAGAAGCTGATGTGCATGCCTGTCTTCCCCTTAACTGGCTTCACTCACGTGCATGCAGCTCCCAGTGTCTGGAGGAATGGATGTTGACCCTCGGTTTAGAGCCTTGCTCCTCCAAGTGTGGCCTCTATCCAGTAGTATGGTGACCCCTGAGAGCCCGTTAGAAATGCAGAGGCCAGGCATGGTGGCTCACGCCTGTAATCCCAGCACTTTGGGAGGCCGAGGCAGGCAGATCACTTGAGGTCAGGAGTTCAAGACCAGCCTGGCCAACATGGTAAAAGTCCATCTCTACTAAAAATAGAAAAAATAGCTAGGCATGGTGGCAAGGTAAGCCTGTAATCCCAGCTACTTGGGAGGCTGAGGCAGGTGAATTGCTTGAACCCAGGATGTAGAGGTTGCAGTGAGCTGAGATTGTGCCACTGCACTCCAGCCTGGGTAATGGAGTGAGACTCGGTTTCAAAAAAAAAAAAAAAAGAAAGGCAGAATCTCAGCTTCATCCTGACCTGCAATCAGCATCTGCATTTCCACAAGATCCCAGGAGGCCTCTGTGCTGGGTGGAGTTTGAGAGGCCCTGCTTTAAAGCATCCAAATAGTAAGGCAATGGGGACATCTGATAAACCGAGAGATTACAATTTGCTTTACCTCCTCAGGTGTTTACACATCCCAAGGGCTCTACCTGAGTTGTGTCTGTGTTCACTGCCTCCTTCCCTAGGATGAATTAGATTGTACTTCAGGTTAACTGAATCGTGCAGTATCAACCAAAGCATGTGTCTACGCGATAGCTTCCATTTAGTCTGCTACCATTGCATTCCAATGCTGCACTAAGGAAATTGTTGTAAACCAGAAATAAAATCCTATGCCTTCCAGCCAACTCAACAGACCCCCTCTTGGCCAAGTGGACCCCAGAGAAACCTGAAAATCTGAATTCCTGGCCGTAACAGGAAGAGAAGCCAGGCCCTTTTGGAGTTTAGGTTGAAATTGAGATCATAAGGTTGGCCAAAAAGACTCTGGAGTAGTAAGATACCATATTATAAAGTCATGTGAGGCAGGGGTTAAGTCACACACACCCCACAAACCATGAAATCTCCTTGGATGAGTTTCCATGAACTCAGTATAAAATGGCTTACTTTCCAACCCGACTCTGGTATAGCATCACAAGACAGATTGCAGACCCTAAAGGAAATACAAATATTTTACCTAAAAATATATTTTGTGGACATATTTTGAAACGGCTGTAACAGGACCAACAGATTGAAATGGCCCTGCCATGTTTTGTGGGGGGGGAATTTGCACCTGTAGAGAATCTCCATTAATGCAGTCAGACCTCTCCCCTTCTAGGCCTTCCCTGAATCTAGGAGAGATTAACTGAGAGCCTGCTGCCTCTAAGGCCTGAAAAGAAACATTTACCATTTATTCTCTCTGAAGGCTGCTACCCAGAGTCTTCATCTACATACCTTTGGCCTCTAACACTGCCTTAACTCAGGCATTTCTTTCTATTGATGTCAAGTTTGTAGACAAAGTTTAACTCTTTCAAGCAATCGTCAACCAGAAAATCTCTGAACCCACCTATGACCGGTAAGCTCCCCCTCCTTCAAGGTGTCCTGCCTCTTTAGGGAGGGCAAGTACACCTCCCATGTATTGATTTATGATTTTACCTACAATTCCTGCCTCTCTGAAATGTATAAAATCAAACTGCATCCTGACAGCCTCAGGCACACTTCCTCAGGACCTCCTGAGACTGTTCCCAGAGCCATGGTCCCTCATATTTGGCTCAGAATAAACCTCTTTCAAATATTTTAACAGAGTTTGGTTTTTCCATTAGCAATCCATTATCATCATCCACACTCGTCTCCTGGAATATGCACTAGAATCTATGAGGAGACACCATTTTACAAAGAAAGCTGAGGCTCAGAGAGGTTAAGTAACTTGGCCAGAGCTAGACAGCCATCAAAACCAGATGTCACTGGCTCTAAGCCACCATCTCTCTGTCTGAGGTTGAGCTGCTTCTACGAAGGCGATATGGTTTGGCTCTGTGTCCCCACCCAAATCTCATCTTGAATTGTACTCCCATAATTCCCACCTGTTGTGGGAGGGACTCAGGGGGAGATAACTGAATCATGGGGGCAGTTTCTCCAATACTGTTCTCATGGTAGTGAGTAACTCTCATGAGATCTGATGGTTTGATAAGGGGAAACCCCTTTCACTTGGCTCTCATTCTCTCTCTTGCCACCGCCGCCAGGTAAGAAGTGCCCATTGCCTTCTGCCGTGATGGTAGAAGGCCTCCCCAGCCATGTGGAACTGTAAGTCCGTTAAACCTCTTTCTTTTGTAAATTGCCCAGTCTCAGGTATGTCTTTATCAGCAGCATGAAAATGGACTAATACAGGAGGCTAACAAGGAGGTAAACGACAGAGCTGACCAACGTCACCTACAGAGAGAGCAAGACTAAAGAGAGAGGCGTTCAGAAGAAAAGGAAAGAATGGAAGCTGGCATCCTGAACCACGCGAAGACGTACCTGGTGATAGGCCATCAGGTGCTGAAAGATCTCCTCCATGGAAGAGTCTGTTGCCGAGCTGGACTGGAAAGCCCCAAAATCCCAGGATTTCTTCTTCTTTTCTTCTTCCAGCTCCTTCTCTCTGACCTTCTGCAATGCACCCCTGTATACCTGGTCCTGGCAGTAGACAATCTGTTCCATCTGGAAGTGGAGGCGGATCAGCTTCTCACCTTCTCTCTCTTGTTCTGCTCTAATGTCTTCAATTTTGGACTACAGTAAAAAATAAATAAATACAGTTTCCCTCAAGACACAAATTCCTGAGTCACAGGAAAGTAGGTAAGAAGTCCGTAAATACCAGGTTACCCAACGTGAGTGAAACAGCACGTTTCCTGGAACAGCCCTCTGGGCCGCGCCCTGGTGTATCTAAGGCAGGTTTCTAGCCCTGGCTGAGGGTCAGAGCTTCCCAGGAGGCTTGAGCCACAGATGGGCCGGACCCCCATCCCGGGGCCTGGGGACCTGCACAGGCTTGCTTTCAGGCCCCGTAACTCAGCTTCTTTCCTTTCTCTTTTAGGGGCTTCTATATCTGATGGCGAGGATTGTCATATCCATCAGATAATCCACAGGGATGAGCAGGAAAGCCATGTTTAAGTCAGAAAATTATGTTTTATGTTCCCGGGGTTTAGAGAAACTGGTTGCCAAAACCTGAGGAGGAGAAACTTCACCCCTGGACCCTCCAGGCCTTGAGGAGAGGCACAGTGCACAGTGGCAGGTGCATCCTAAACATCTTACTCCACGTCCATCTCAACCTTCTGAGGAAGGCCTTATCAGTCTTCTTTTATGAATGAGGAGTCAGGGGCACAGGCTGGAAGTGGCACATCCCAAGGCCTCCAGCTGGTGAATCATGGGGCCAGGCTCCTCATCTGTGCCGGGGACACCTATTTCTAAGAGTGGCTAAGTCTGGTCTCTTGGCCCAGTCTGTCCCCCAGGCTCATTTCCTGTAGGCTCTTTCCTCACTCTGGATGGAAAGTTTTTTTGTTTGTTTTTTTTTTTTTTTTTGAGACGGGGTCTCGCTCCATCGCCTAGGCTAGAGTGCAGTGATGCAATGTTGGCTCACTGCAACTTCCACCTCCTGGGCTCAATCAATTCTAAAGTGTCAGCCTCCCAAGTAGCTGGGATTACAGGCATGCACCACCACGTCCAGCTACTTTTTTGTATTTTTAGTAGAGATGGGGTTTTGCCATGTGGGCCAGGCTGGTCTCAAACTCCTGGCTTTAAGTCATCTACCGGCCTCAGCCTCCCAAAGTGCTGGGATTACAGGCTCATCATGCCCACTCGGGCCAGAAATATTCTATTTTTATATGTAGTTTCCTCAGTGAGTTTCTGGATTTGGAGCCATTGCCCTTAGATGTGATAATCTTCTCCGCTAACTGTGGATCTCTTGTTCTGTGCGTTTAAGCACTCCCTCCTTTATTGCTTTTAACCAGACATCACCGGTAACATCAGAAGAAGCACTAGTGAGTGATGTTATTTGCTGTTCTAAAAGTATACAATAAAGTTGAAATAATCCTCATCCAAGAAATCTATTTTCTAGTGTCAAGCTTAATTTCTTTTCTTTTTTTTTTTTAAACAACACATGGTTGGTTTTACCTTGGCGGTTCTGTGGAGGTTAAAAAACTCTTCAAAATTTTTTATCGAAACATCTGTGAAAGCAAGCCGGACCATATCTAATCAAAGAGAGAAAAATAGTTCAATATTGGTAGGATCATTTGTTCTCTTCTTAAGATGCAAAAAAATATGAGGATCAAATGGTATGAAGTAAAGTTTCCCCTCTCCCCGCTCCCTTCTTCTCTTTACCATGAAAAAGCAAGGCATGCTCTTTTTGCTTAATAATTTGCTGGAAGAATCTTAAAAGCAAATGACCCCTGGCATACATTTATTTGATATTTAAACTTTTTATCCTAAATAGCTGCAAAGAATGTAATTTCTTTTAAATTATAAATATTAATATTTTATAATACAACTCTTAATATAAGTCAAATCACTCTTAAATATATCAATGGAATTTGAGTGTCTACATTATCCATTTGAAAAAAATACAAGAACAAGCTCTTAGATTAAAAAATTTATATTATTTATCTTTTATTTTTGAAACTCATTTCTATTCTACTTCCTCACAGAATTTTATTGTAATACAAGGTATAGTATCTTTATGATTGAAAACCTCTTATTGATCTCCATGTCATACATTTCTGAAAAAGAAATAGGTATATCTATGTTGATTTTTATGACTATAAGGCTCTAAGTATTATAAACTTTCCTCTGGAATGAGTTAAGAGTCTACAATGGACCAAAACAACATGATTGCAGGTTTTGGTATATGATTATCAGGGCTAAAAGGTCAATTTTACTGGAAATACACCTCTGAATGAGCTGTTCTGAGGCTATCTCCAGCTCCTTAGTTCATGGATCCATGAGTGATTATTAATTACTGCTAAGATGAGGCAGCTGAAGTGTGAGTAAGGATACTGTCAGTCAAGGAGAGGATGAAGAATAGAGATTTAATACCTGGAAAACCAAGAAAGCAAAGCATTTCAAGAAGGGAGTGGATCCACAGTAGGATCTAGTTTCCTACCTATCCGTGACACACCTAGATTCCTACAGCACTCCAAAAGGTTCCAAACACATCTACACGTGCAGTTATGGAACCATTGGCTTTACTCCTCGGAGATTTCAAATAAACAGCCGATTTTGAGTGTGAAGCCAGCATAGCAGTGGAGCAGGGGGGAGGTGTGGTGTGATAGGAAAAATATAAATATTTTGTCTTTGTCCCCATTTCCTAACATAGAGCCCCTACATCTCTTGGAATGTCCAGCCTTAGGAGTATCTCGTGTTTTGAAGAGATGATGCCTGGTGGGCCCCTACATAGCTTCAGGATTGGGGCCGGGCACTAGAAAGACCAAGCCTTGGCTAGAAACTTAGAACTTCCAGCTCCACAGAGGAGGGAGGGCCTGGAGATTGAGTCAATCCTCCATCATGCCTTCATGATGAGGCCTCCATAAAACCTTCTCCGCGGTGAGGTTCCAAGAGCTCCCTGGTTGATGACCACATCTCTGTGCCATGAGGATGGTGCCCCCAACCCCGTGGGGACAGAAGCTTCTGTGTTCAGGCCCCTACTATGTGCCTCTCCAACAGCTTCATTTGTGCCCCTTATCAAATCCTTTCTAATAGACCAGTAAATGTCAGTGAAGTGTGTTCCAGAGTTCTTGGTTGACCTGAGGAATGGGTCGCAAGAACCTTGATTTATAAACAGTCCATCAGAAGAATAGGAGGTCTGGGACTTGTGACCGGCATTTGTAGTTGGGGCCAGTGTTGTGGAACTGAGCCCTTAAGCTATGGGGTCCACACTGACTGAGGGTAGTTAGTGTCAGAATTGAATTGAATTGTTGAATACCAACTTGGCATCTGGAGAATGAGAGGTTTGCTCGTTGGTGTGGGATGCACCCCAGGAGGAAAGTGCTGAAGTTTGGTGCTGGCTTTGGTTCGAACCTTTCCTTTCTTTAGAAATCAATGCTCAGAGGTGAAACTGAGCACTCACCCGTCACGGTGTGTAGCATATCCACAGCCGGCTCTTCCAGTGCCTTGATTTGCTGTTTCACGATTGTCTCAAATGTCCTGTAATTCACAAAGCCTGGCAGCTCTCTACCACGATACTGATTTTCAAATTTCTGGATTTTTCTACTCAAAATTTTATGGCCTATAGCAGGAAAAAAAACCCTCTAAATTATTTTACAAAAATAATCTTGCACATTTTTCTAAACACAATACCATTCTAAATTTTCTGAAAATATAAATGGCAAGAAAAAGTGGTATCAAATCAAATCTAACTGGTAAACTAAAAATATCCAGGGATTACACACACACACACACACACACACACACACACACACACACACACACACAAAACCAGATCTGAAGATAATTTTCCTTAGTCATCTCAGGAAGGGGAGTGCAGAGCCAGGTACGATGCCAGGAACCCACATACGCAGAAACTTCGAGTAAGACCCTTTTTTTTCATTTGTTTGTTTGTGACAGAGTCTCGCTCTGTCACCCAGGCTGGAGTGCAGTGGCGTGATCTCAGCTCACTGCAAGCTCTGCCTCCCGGGTTCACGCCATTCTTCTGCCTCAGCCTCCCAAGTAGCTGGGACTACAGGTACCCGCCACCACGCCCGGCTAATTTTTTTGTATTTTTAGTAGAGACGGGGTTTCACCGTGTTAGCCAGGATGGTCTCAATTTCCTGACCTCATGATCCACCTGCCTCGGCCTCCCAAAGTGCTGGGATTACAGGCGTGAGCCACCGTGCCCGGCCAAGACCCCTTCTTAAAAACGTACTCGAGTATGAAGTTTTGTGAATCCAATTTTAGTTTTACCAAAGAAATTGTACCATAATACACTCCTTGCCCTCAACTGCATGCCCATTAGAAATGAGCATGAACACTTTCTGGAATTAACAATACATCACATATTCATGTGTCGAAAGTATTGCCATGTGTAGAAAGTGTTTACAAGTCAAATGGGATAACAGAGTAAACCAGGCACATCAACTTGTATGAATGTGATACAGTAGCACTGTTCACTGTGTAAGATGCTGCATTTTTCTTTAAACTTTTGGAATGATTTGTACTCCCAACAATCCACACTAGAGAGAGTTAGCCCCATCAGAAGTTCAGAGGGTTTGAGTTCCTTTTTGAGTGGTAATCTAGAACACTTTTTTTAGTCAGGAAATATTTTCCCATAAGGATTTTTCTAATTGAGATGTCATTTACATAGTATAACATTCACTCTGTTAAAAATATATGGTTCAGGCCAGGCACAGTGGCTCACGCCCGTAATCCCAACACTCTGGGAGGCTGAGGCCAGTGATCACCTGAGGTCAGGAGGTCGAGACCAGCCTGGCCAACATGGTGAAACCCCATCTCTACTAAAAATACAAAAATTAGACAGGTGCCTATAATCCCAGCTACTAGGGAGGTGGAGGCTGAAGCAGGAGAATCGCTTGAATCTGGGAGGCAGAGGGTGCAGTGAGCCGAGACTGAGCCACTGCACCCCAGCCTGGGCAACAGAGTGAGACCCTGTCTCCAAAGAAAAAGAAAAAAAAAAGTGTATGGGTGAGTGAATTTTAGTATATTCACAAAGTTGTGCGACCATCCCCAGACATAACTCCCAAACCCCACATCCATCACCCATCAGTGATAACTTCCCACTTTTCCCTCCCCAGCCCCTGGCAGCCACTATTCTGCTTTCTGCCTGCCTGGGTTTGCCTGTTCTAGCCATTTTCTATCAATGGAATCATAGACCGTGTGGCCTTTGTGGCTGGCTTCTTTCACTCAGCATGACATTTTCAAGGTTCATCCATGGGGTGCTGTGGACCAGCACTCTGTGCCTGTCTGTGGCTGGAAATATTCCAGGACTTGGTGTTACGGGCTGAGCTTGAGTTGTGACCTCTTCAAACTCCAATGTTGAAGTCCTAACCCTCAGAAACTCAGAATCTGACTGTGTTTGGAGACAGGCAAAGAGGTAATTAAATTGAAATCAGGTCACTAGGGTGGGCCCTCATCCCATCTGCCTAGTGTCCTTGTGGGAGGAGATGAGGACACACACACTGAGGGACAACCACATGAGGACCCAATGAGAAGAGGCCATCTGCAAGGCAAGGAGAGAGGCCTTAGAAGGAACCAGCTCCACCAACATCTTGATCTTGGACTTCCAGCCTCCAGAACTGTAAGAAAATAAATTTCTACTGTTTAAGCCCCCCCAAGTCTGTGGTACTTTGTTATGACAGCCAAAGCCAACCGCTACACACAGACACAAGCCAGTTGGTTTATCAATTCATCAGTGGATGGTCATTTGGGTTCAGTGATATAGAAGAGAGCAAACATGGCTTTAGTTGTCACTAGCTCCTTATCCTGACCATCCTCCCCAACTGCCCCACTCTTCTCTGTCTTAAGCCAACGTATCAGGTTTACCACGGTATTGACTCATTGCTATGGTCTACATGTTGGTGTCCCCTAAAAATTCCTATGTTGAAACTTAATCCCCAGTGTGATGGTATCAACAGAGGAGACCTTTAGGAAGGATTGGGTTATGAGCACTCTGCCCGCATAATGGCATTCCAGGCATATCTTGTTTTATTGCACTTCACTGATACCGTATTTTTTACAAATTGAAAGTCTGTGGCAATCCCATGTCAAGCAAATCAGCACCATTTTTTTCCAGTAGCACATGCTCACTTTTTGTTTCTGTACCAGCAATTTTTTAGCAATAAGGTGTTTTAAACTAAGGTACATACATATTTTTTAGGCCTAATGCTATTACATACTTAATAGACTGCAGTAGGGCATAAATGAACTGTTTATGCACCAGGAACCAAGAAGTTTATATGACTTGCATTATTGCAATATTCTTTTTGTCTGGAACTGAACCCACAATATCTCTGAGGTATGCCTGTGGTACCCCTGTAAAAAAGAGGTCCGAGGAAGCTTGTTCGTCCCTTATCCCATGAGAGGACACAGCTAGAAGGTGCCATCTTTGAAGCAGAGAACAAGCTCTCACCAGACACCAAATTTCCTGATTCCTTAAGAATAGATTTCTCACCTCCAGAACAATGAGCAATAAGTTTCTACTGTTTATAAATGACCCAGTCTCAGGTATTCGGTTGTAGCAGCCCAAAAGAAGGGACTAAGACACTCACCTTCTTGAAAATTGTTTTCAATTATTGTACTCCATTTGTGGAACTCGTGTCGGAGTCTGGTAAACAGCCGAATGTCTTCCTCCCCTACAGTTTCCTCTCCTTGCATGAGAGCAGTGATGTCCTGATTAAAGGCATTAACTTTCTGTCAAGAAGAAAAACATCAGTATAAGTGGATAGACTTCAAATCCAAGTGTCAAGGTCATTTGGAGGCCGTGCCTATGTGGAGGGTGGGGAGTCATTCTTTGCTTTCTTATGGGACACTGTGGATCAGGGGAAAGAAGAGGTTTTGGCACTAGAAAATCCTATCCCACCCCTTACTGCCTTAGGGATCTGGGTGATGCTCGTGACAGAGTAGGCACAACGCAGCCTGAGCATCCCTCGCTGCTGACTCCACCCCCACATCTGCACTCCCTGCCCTGCCTCCCTCAGCCCTGTCCACCCTTTGAGTGCTACGGGCCAGATGTCTTTGGATCAGCCTTGGGGGAGTGAAGAAGGAAGTGCATAAGGCCCAGGGTCCCTTTTTTGACCATGACATGTGCTTCTCCAGCTCCATGCAGCTGGCAACACTCACATCTATCAGGAAGAACATTTTTTCATTTTCGTCTTCCGGTATGTCGACACCATACTTTTGTAGCTCCTCTGTTATTCTCTGGTGAGTCTCCTTGATTTGATTTTCTAACAGGGGCAGAGATTTCTGAGGAAAATGGAGAGAAAATAATGGAAATGTGTAAAGATGAACAGAGAATGAAAAGGAGGTCCCGGGCCTCCCTCTGCAGAGGAGTTGTGTGGGCCATTTGACTTCCTGGCTTCCTCTAAAAGGAAGCTTTTCCAGACCCGGGGGAGGTGCAGGGGGGCACACACTGGGGGCACTGTTTTCTGCCCAGGTCTTCCCCCTTCCCCACTCCTGCGACAGCAGCCTCATGAGCAGCACTGTGGCACCCACTGTGCATGGGTCCTAGGCCCCGGCAGAGTGACCCGGGAGCAGTTCCTCTGTGGTCATATTAGGTAAACTCTCTGGAGGGAGACTGGAGAGATCCACTTGTCTAGTAGGTTCTGAAAAAGTGGCATTTGGAGCAATTTGAGATTCAACAACTTTTATGTTGCTTGCAATCAATAAAAAGTGATCAGAGACTTATGTTTTTAACAATACGGTTGACGCCATATGCTGGCTCACCCTTCCACGGCAAACATCTAAAAATGCCAGCTGACATGTGAAAGCTGCACCTTTAAATGTATCGGTGGACTCACAAGTTAGTGAGGGGTAGTCAGAGGCCAGCCCCAGTAACAGTGGCCAGGCAGGGGCTCAAGGAGAAGGCAGCAATGAAGCCCGGCTCAGCCACAAGGGCATCTGTCTAGGTAAGAAAATTCGAACGGGAACTTATGAACCTGACTTGGTGCAGAGGCAAAAAATCAATCCCCATGGGCTTGCTCGAGGTGGGGAATCTAATAAGGAAGCATCCTCTTTCTGCATACAGTGGGACCCCAGAGAGCTCTGCACTCATCATGGTCGGCTGGAAACAACCCTGTTATGCACCCGCATTCCTGGGGACCACGTGGAAGACCTTGCACTCTGGTGCTGAGTTGAAAATTTGAAAAAGGCCAGTCTGGTCAACATGGTGAAACCCTGTCTCTACTAAAAATACAAAAATTAGCCAGGCATGGTGGTGGGCACCTGTAATCCCAGCTACTCAGGAGGCTGAGGTAGGAGAATTGCTTGAACCCAGGAGGCAGAGGTTGCAGTGAGCTGAGATCACACCACTGCACTCCAGCCTGGGCAACAGAGTGAGACTCTGTCTCAAAAAAAAAAAAAAAAAAAAAAAAAAGAAAGAAAAGAAAAGAAAAGAAAATTTGAAAAAGGAAGACACTATATTCAGGCAGACTTTTAAAAAGAACCACAGAGAGCTTTTACAAAGCTTTTAGAAGTTAAAAAATATGTTCATTAGAATGACTAAGACATTATAATAGTGGTTGTCAATGAGAAAGGAAGAGTTAGTAGCTTGTGCATAAGATTTTAATTTTTATTTTGGCCCAGTAGATATAGTCTATCAGCATTCCCCCTGACTGTGGTCCCCTGAAAAGGAATATCCACATTGTCTGGGGGCTTGCTGGAAATGCAGAATTCTAGGCCCCACTCCAGACCCACAGAATCTGAAACTGCATCTTAACAAGATCCTCAGAAGATCTGTGTGTACAGTGATGTTTAAGAAGCCAGCAAGGTTCAGCTCTGCGGTCGTAGTATTCTTTTTAGAGAACCCACAGCTCTGCCCGTGCTTACACAGATATGTGTGATGAGCTCGCTGGTAAGTTTTTCTGCCAGGCAGGGAACCGTGGCCTTTCCTTCCTCCAGCAGATCCCTAGAAGAGAACACAGGACCGATTTCCACCTTGATGTAGCCAGAACACGCATGTCTGCCTTTTTGCTGTTGGGGAAAGTCAAGGCAAATTTCAGTTGCTTACAACTGGATGGAATGTCTTGCAGTTGGTACCCAACAAATACTCAGAACTGGATTGAATAGGATTATGACTGAATTTTAGCAATCTAGGATATTTCCACAATGATATGGAATGAGCTCTTCCAGCTGATATAATAAATGTGTATCATGGTGTCTGACTATAGACTTGGTCATCACAAAAATACACAGACATGTATAGATATGTTTTTATAACACATACCCCCTTCTATGTGTAATATGTGTAGGTGATCATAATGGATACAGACATATCTTCATACAAATACATTGAAGCATATTGAGATAAATGGGTAGCAGAACACTGAGGAGAAGAGACACAAGATATCTTGTCCAAGATAAAAACTTAAACCATGGGCTGCCTGGAGGAAGGAAGTCAAGTATCTTCTCACTCGATCCAAATTTGTGCTCACAGAGTGAGTTATTACAGGGTTTCCCACATTTTATAGGACATTTTAGGATAAAGGCAGCAGTGAAGCATGAGTTTCTGTGCCTTTTTGTGAGTATACTCATACCTAAGCTTCAGTTTCTCTGTCAATTTTTCTAAATTGTGGTAAACTACATATAAAATTGACCATTTAACCATCTTTAAGAGTACACTTGAGTGGCATTAAGTACATTCACACTATTATGCAACCATCACCACTGTCTGTCTTCAGAACTTTTCATATTCCCAAACTGAAACAATGGCCCCATTAAACACTACCTGCCCATTCTCTCTCTCCCAGCCCCTGGTGCCCATCATTCTTTCTGTCTCTATGAATCTGACTACTCCAGGGACCTCAGCTAAGTGGAATCAGACAGTATCCGTCCTCTTACGACTGGGTTCTTTCACTTAGTAGAATGTTCCCAAGCTTCATCCATGTTGTAGCATGTGTCAGAATGTCTTTCCTTTCTAAGGCTGAAAGTATTCCATGTTTTTGTACAGACCACATTGCTTTCTGCATCCATCCATCAATGGACACTGAATCATCTCATCTTCTGGCAATTGTGAATGTGCAGAACAGGATGTAAGTTTCCATTTGATATTCCTGGAATTCTGAGTAATGGCTCTCTGTAGGCTTCTGGGAGAACTGAATGTAAGAATGTTTACAACTCTACATAGTCTCATCATTTTAAATCTTACCAATTTGTCAGTCTTTTCCTTTTAAAAAATGTCACTTTTGGTAGGAGGGATAGAAAAATCTTATAAACTATTCACCTACCTTTCTTCTGAGATGCTTATTGCTTCCTCTTAATATTTAACTTTAAACTTTAACTATTTTGGTATAATGAGATAAGTAAGGGCAGTATTTTAGTTTTTTCCCAAATATTAATTATCCTAACACCACTAATAGATACTCAAGCTGATATAGTCCACTATTTGATTTGAAATGCTGCATTTATCATGTGTCAAATATATATATCTAGGTCTATTTCTGGGCTTTCTACTTTTTTCCTATTCTCTTCTATTTATGTTTTTATAAAATATGGTTCCAGCACCATGCTACGTAAATTATTGTACATTGTTCTCTCCCTATTTTGATTGGTTTTTAGTTTTTTTTTTCTTGGCAGTATTTTGTAATCCCCTTCCTATTCTTCTAGGTGAATTCCATAGTCCTTGTTGGGGAACAAGCATAGTCACACACACACGCGCACACACACACACGCACACACACACACACACACTCCACACATCTGTGGGACGGCTGCCACTGTCCCCTGGAAGGCCTGACATCCTGGGCTTGGACTGATCCATGATGAAACCCAGGCAAGCGCACCTGAAATATGGGTGGTTCTCAAAGAAGATCTTCTCTCTCTGCAGGGCTTCGGACAGGCTCAGCTGGTCCTGGATCTCCTGCTGGCCCCGGCACTTGACAATCATGTAACCCTTCTTCAGGTGGAACACGAGGTTCCGCACCACGTCCACAACCTTGTCTTCAGTTCCTTTGTCCACCAGATCAGGCTTCGTCAAGATTCCTGCGAGCCAGATGTATTTGGGGAGAGAACGTGCTCAGTCACGAGGCAGAGGTGAACGAACAACTGCTCACGCCCCCGGCCTCCCAGGGTTTCCTCCCATCCTTGCTTGAGGACAGGCCATAGCCCCTGCAGAACCATGGGGGCAGTGGAGCCCCGCTCCAGAAAAGAACTCCACGACAAGCCGCGTGAAGGCAGGGATGCCTCCCAGAACAGCATGTGGCTCTCCCCAAGCTCCTTCACCCGGGTCCACTGTAGAACACGCCACGTTTTGTTTATCCCTTGAGTTATGGACATCCCATCTCAAATGCATTCTTAATGAGTACCATGTGCCTCCTGAGTTTGACCTGCTTCCGAGCCCACTGTGCCTTTCTGAGCAAGTAGATAAGGCTTACAAGGCAACCTAGCCAGTGAGAGTCAAAAGCAGCTCATTTCACTTGGCCTTGGTGGGCACCAAACCTGCTCCCTTAGCAGGTCTTAGTGGAGGCAGGTCCCCACTGAGCAAAGCCCATGGAGACTGGAGGGACGCTTGCCCACTGGCAGACCACCGAGCACAGGCGGGCTCCCCCATTCTCACCGAGCACAGGCGGGCTCCCCCATTCTCACCGAGCACAGGTGGGCTCCCCCATTCTCACCGAGCACAGGCGGGCTCCCCCATTCTCACTGAGCACAGTGGGGCTCCCCCACTCTCACCGATGGTCCTGTCTCCCTCGGGGTCCACCTCCTGGGCCATGCTGAGAGCCTCTGTGGTGGCGATGTCCACATTACTGGGGACCACCACCAGGCTGATTGTCTCCTGCCTCTGGATGTACTTCTTGATGAGTGTCTTGATCTGTAAGGAAATGAGAGGAGGTGACTCGTGAGTATGGCAAAGGCAAGTGAGAGGTGAGACAAGTCCTGACCTTGCACTTGCTTTAGGCCCTAAGAGTCCCAGGGGTATTTCCCCCAAAAGAAGTAACTTTGGAGAAATGAACCCACAAACACAACCCTGGAGGTACCAAGCTGGAATTATGAGAAAATAAATTATCTGTGGCAGAAGCAGAGCTATAGGCTCAGGGAAAACCATGAAGTTTCAGATAATTAACCCCTAAGACCTCAGATCTGATGGTCACAATGAAAAATGGTGGCCAAAAAACCCCACTTCACCCCTAAATCTTTAATCTGTAAAGTGAGATTCACTGATACTAAAATATCATTATACCTATTTCTTTCTTGCTTGTTTTGTTTTGTTTTTTGTTTTGAGACAGATTCTTGCTCTGTTGCCCAGGCTGGAGTGCAGTGGCACAATCACGGCTCATCACAGCCTCCCTGGTTCAAGCAATCCTCCTAGTAGCTGACAGGTGCACGCCACCATACCTGGCTAATTTTTTAACCTTTCTTTTATAGAGAAGGGGGTCTCACTATGTTGCTCAGGTTTCTGTCAAACTCTTGGGCTCAAGGAATCCTCCTGCCTCAGCCTCCCAAAGTGCTGGGATTATAGGACTGAGCCACTGTGTGTGGCCCATTATACTTATTTTTAATGCTCTCTTCCCACATAAGACCCCTTCCTAATACACAGCACTTTAGATATGCTGCAAAATGTATATAACCAAAAACAAGTCATTGCATAAAACATAAAACAAATACACAGAACACATTTCCAACTGTGCCCACTGGCCTCACTTTCTCCAAAGAAGCTTCCATTCAACTTGACAGAACAGACTGTGACCAACGGGCTCTCTAAATTCCCCACTCACACCTCCAAATACTAACTCCAAAACTCAGCTCTGGACTCACGGTTACTCTAATACAGTACCCTCTTTCTCCTCCCACCCCTCCACTCCCCCATCCCCACGCCACGGCCAAGGTCAGAATGGGTCTGAAGTCTGACCTTATACCCAATGTCAGCAGGCTGATTGCCCACAGCCACTCTGGTTATGCCAGGAAGGTCTATTAGAGTCAGATCCGGGACATCTCGGGAGCTGATCTCCAGGGTGATTAGCTCATGACTGATTCCCATTCCTTCCCCGGCGATGGCATTCTGGGCTAGAAAAGAGACAGGGAAAATCAAACCCAAACAGAGCTTAGGATAAACGGATCTCATGATGGTGAATACTCTGAAAGCATCTTCTCCTCTCTGCGAGTCATGGATAAAAGCATATTTGGAGCAGATTCAATTTTCTGTGATTGGGATAAAAGAGATCTCAAAGGATAACTCAGTATTTTCCCTGCTGTTGGCCAGCACTGTGTGTAGAGAGACCTTGTGAGAACGTCACCATGAGTGACACCCACTTAGACCAGTCCAAAGCTGGGCGGAGGCAAGAAGTTCTTCCTGGTAGCATTCCTAAATCCTTCTCATTGATGTCAGTAGGAAATTAGCAACCAAGCAAAATAAAAACAAATAAAAATATATGGAAATGCCTAAAATATAAACTGGAAAATTATATGGGGAAATGTGCTTATTTTAGCTAAGATAAGCACTGGCTGTTAACATCCCATTAAGAGATTTTATTTTGCTCCTTCCTCCTTAATGAATTTTAGGATATGAATTTGTTTCATCAAATTGTTGGCTAACACCACTTTACTCTTTTCTAAATCTAGAATGCCTTTTTGGGATGTTTGATATCAATTTAGAACTTAGGAAATATCAGTGGTTATGGTCCACTAATTGTTCCCCCAATATCCATGTACCTGCCATGTGGTCATGAGATCGGGTTCTGGCCAATGGGCCATGTGAAAATGTTATGTGCAACTTCCAGAAAGTGTGCTTACAAAGGCAGAGATATGCCCCTTGCCATGGTCCAGCTGGCTTCAAAGCGGACTTGCTGACTAAGTCACGGGGGGGCCTTGGAAACAGAGGCCACACCCAATGAAGAAATGGGAGAAGAATAAATCTTGGTTCCTGACATTGGAATCCCCAATCAGCTCTGGTCTGCCCGCCTTCAGACTTATATGAGAGGGACAGAAAGCCTCTACATTGTTTAGACCGCTGTCTCAGCAACTTGCTGGCACAATGGCATCCACATTCCCTTCCATCCCTGTATGCACGCTACTTTACAGGGTGCCTTCGTCACTTCCATGGAGAGAGAGAAAATCGGTCCCTTGAAATTGGGCTTGGCCACGTGACTTTCTCTGGCTAAGGGGATGTTACACAGTGCCACGTCAGGAGAGACCGAAAGGTGTTAGATGTCGGGTCTTGCCCTCTCTTGCTGCTGGGAACCCCTCCACCCACATTGATAAGTCCAGCTTAGCCTTCTGGAGGGTGAGAGACCACACAGACAGAAGGCCCGGTCACTCCAGCCAAGGGCCATCCTGGACCATCAGCCCCAGCCCAGCTAGCCCAGAGAAGAACTGCCCAGCTGGTCCATCAAATCATGAGAAATAAAAGTGGTCAAGCCATTAGTTTTAAGATGGGTTTGTTATACAGCAAGGGCTAAGGCACACAGTTATTTTGAGTTTTCTGCTGCAAGCAGCCAACCTAATCCCAACTAATTCAAAATCACGGTTTGTCAATAACATTATTTATCTTTCTTTAAACAGTCAACAAATGTGATTAATGCTCCATCTTTACAAATGCTAAACCCGTCCCTTCCTACTGCTGGGCATTAGTTCATGTCTCTTCAGTACCTTCCCAGTGTGAATGAAACTTAAACATGTGACATGCCAGAAAAACATGAAGGTCGATAGGAAGATGTTATCCATGCATCTCACAGAGGCTGTTCTTTGTCAGCTACTCTACCCTGTCTACACTGCTGGTGTCATTTCCCCTTGCAGACACTTCAAATTGATCCTTGTGGTTTGCATTTATGGAGGCCTGCCATGAATTAGCCTAAGCTGGGATTATGCAAACACAGTCACTCCTCTTTCTTAGAAAAGGGTGCTGGTTCTGAGTGGGGTTCAGTGACGATCCTGTCCACAATGTGGAGTTCCTTGTACAAAGGAACAGGGGGAGGAGCTCCCTCACCCCCATATCTGGCTCCTCTTCCTGCCAGATCTAAGTAGGGAAGCCCTTGAATAAGGGACAGATCATCCATATGTGGGGACATTTTAAAATTCACATTATTCTAGATACTTACATAATAAGCAATACATGTGTTTTTGAGACAGGGTCTCACTCTGTTGTCAGGCTAGAGTGCCGTAGCAAGATCACGGCTCACTGCAGCCTTGACTTCCCAGGCTCAAGCAACTCTCCCACCTCAGCCTCCTGAATAGCTGGGACCACAGGTGCATGCCACCCTGCCCAGCTATTTTAATTTTTTTTTTTTAAGAGACGGGGTCTCACTATGTTGCCCTGGCTGGTCTTGAACTCCTAGGCTCAAGCAATCCCCCCGTGTCAGCCTCCCAAAGAGCTGGGATTACAGGCACAAGCCACTGTGCCTGGCCAGAAATAAATGATTGCTATCAGATGCTGATATCCAAGCGTGCTGGTCATAATGAGGTAAAAGAAGTAGAAGGAACCGTGGCCTGATGTGCAGGAGAAAGGTGTCCTGACAGCACAGGCCCAGGGAGGTGGGAGTATGAACAGTTACAAACAGACCCCATGCATGTCAGAAGGCTTGACCAGGCATCCAAACAGGGGGTACTCACCTTTATTAATTTCCTTTTCTACCTCTGAAGCATCCGAAATCTCAATCTCGTAGTCCTGGTAACTGACCTTGCCTCTCCACTTATCTTCGTTCACAAGTTTCTTCAGTTTCAGCACCAGCGGGCATCTGGTCACGATCCCTAGGAGGCCACGCCCACATCAGTGCTCCACTTTGCTCTTAAAAGACCTACATAGCGCCTTAGGCCCATGGTTCTCAAACTTTTATACAATCATATGGGGAGACATTTAAAACTGGAAACTTTCTGGTCTTACCCTCTGATATGCGGGGACATCGCACTGTGTCTGGGTGACCTCAAGAACATGCATTCTGAGTATGTAACCCAGGTGAGTTTTTGCTTACTAACGCTTGAAAGCCACCACTTTTGGCTTCCTGCCTCATCCCAGTGTTCTGCCATCAGCTCAGGTGGCAGACCACATTGGGAATCCCCCGAAACTCATCCGAACATCTTCCATTATCCCCCCAGCATACACACTCTACCCCCATTAGGAAAGCATCCTGCTGCTACCAGGCCACCTTACAACAGTCCTCCTACTGTAAACTCCTTCCATATTCTTCCTACCACACCTGATCTGTATTGCAAGACCCGTCCCAGGCCTGAACTCTTTGAGACCTCACTGATATAGTTCTGAACTGGGGGACCCAAATGTGTTTATTCAGATTCTCCTCAAACTGTAGATTACATATGACTTATGTGAAAAAAATGTGCAATGAGATAGCGTTATGAAATGGTGTTCCCTCCAAATTCCTATGTTGAAGCCCTAACCCCTAATGGGACTGTATTTGAAGATAAGGCCTTTAAAGAGGCAATTAAGGTTAAATGAGGTCATTAGGGTAGGCCCCAATCCAATATGACTGGTGCCCTTATGAAGAAGGGGAAGAGACAGCAGAGATGCTTGTGTGTGGAAGGAAGGCCGCATGGGGGAGCGGTGAGGAGGTGGCCATCTGCAAGCCATGGAGAAAGGCCTCAGGAGAAGCTAAACCCTGATTTTGGACTTCCAGTCTCCAGAACTGTGAGAAAATAAACTTTTGTTGTATAAGCCACCCTGTCTGTGGTATTTTGTTATGGCAGCCTGAGCAGACTAACACAGAATGTAAGTTCTTACCGCTGCCTCTGGGAAGGGCAACTCCTGACAGTGCCTCCAACACGGAGCTCTTGCCCGAGCTCTGGTCCCCGATGACGGCGATGGCTGGCAGGGCCAGGTCCTGCTCCACACCTAGAGCCCGCAGGGAGTCAATGAGGTCGATGCAGGGGCGCACCTTCTCCTCATACTGGCTGCACAGGTTGTTCTCAGCCACCTGGAGGAAACAAAAATGGAGAATTCTTCATGGCCTGCAAATCATGCTCATGATATGGTTTGGTTCTGTGTCCCTACCCAAATCTCATCTCGAATTGTAATCCCCATAATCCCTACGTGTCAAGGGAGAGACCAGGTGGAGGTAATTGGATTGTGGGGGAGGTTTCCCCCATGCTGTTCTCATGATAGTGAGTTTTCATGAGGTCTGATGGTTTTATAAGTGTTTGGCAAGTTCCTCCTTCAGTCATTCTCTCTCCTGCCACCTTGTGAAGAGATGCCTTCCTCCATGATTGTAAGTTTCCTGAGGCCTCCCCAGCCATGTGGACTGTGAGTCAATTAAACCTCTTTTCTTTATAAATTACCTAGTTTCAGGCAGTTCTTTATAGCAGTGTGAGAATGAACCAATACACTCCATTAAAGACGGCCAACTTCAATAAGTCTAATACACAGGTTACTGGAATCCCCAAAAGAGAATGGAAGAGAGACAGAAAAAAATATTTGAAGAAATAATACATACAATTCCCTCAAACTTAATGAAAACCATAAACCCAAAGATCCCAGAAACTCAACAGACATTAAGCACAGCAAACATAAACATCATCAAGCCATAAGAGGGTCAAATTGCTCAAAACCAGTAATAAAGAGAAAATGTTAGGAGCAGCCAGAGAATGATACAGTGTGAGCAGAGGGACACAAATGAGAAATCTGCTGTCAATCTTATCAGAAGCAATAACAAGCGAGAAGACAGTGAAGCAGTATTTTTAAAGTACTGAAAAACACCATCAATCTAGAATTCTATACCCAGCAAAAATAACTTTTAAAAATGAAGGCAAAACAAAGACTTTTTTAGCCATTCAAAAGCTTAACTAATTCATTACCAGCAGACCTGCACTACAGGAAATGTTAAAGAAGTTCTTTAGGTAGAAGGAAAATGATACTGAATGGAAATCTGGATCTATACAAAGGAGTCTATACTAGAAGGGGTAACTACTACACTTTTTTGTATTCCTTTGCTATCTTTATTTAAAAGATAATTGAATGTTTGAACATCAATAATAACAATGTATTGTGGGGTTTATGATGTATGTAAAAGATGCATGATAGAAATAGTATGAAGGCTCAGAGCAGAGAGATGGAAATACACTATTCTAAGGTTCTCGCACTATACATGAAGTGACAGACTATCACTTGAAGGTTGACTTATTAAGTTAAAGATATATACTAAAAACACCAAGAGTTATACTTAATAAGACAACAAAGGAGACATGATGGAATCATAAAAAATAATCCAAGAGAAGGCAGAAAAAGACGAAAGGGGGAACGAAGAACAGACGGGACAAATAGAAAACAAATAGCAAGATGATATTCTCAAATCTAATTATATTACCAGTCACATTAAATAGAAATGATCTAAATATTCTTAGTCAAAATGACTTTGAAAAAGAAGAACAAAGTCAGAGGACTAGCATTACCTAATTTCCATAATTACTATAAAACTAAAGTAATCAAAATAGTGAAGTACTTGCATAAAAACAGAGAAAGCAGCAGACTTCACACTCGGTCCTGCCTACCTACCAGCAGCTGGGTGCAATTTTCCTAAAGTGGGCTGATTGAGGTTCAGGAAGAAAATATGAGAAAATCATTTTGTCTTTTACCTCTTTCTAATGACTATTTTTGTGCATGCTTCATCATAGACAGACGTTTTTACTAGAATAGCTTCTTTATAACAGGACAAGAAGCTATTCATATTTGGGGTTAGAAGATTGTTTGTTGCAGGGGCTACCCTACACATTGTAGGAGGTTTAGCCAAATACCTGGCCTCTATTCACTATTCACCCTGAGTTGTGACAACCAAGATGTCTCTAGACCTGGCCACAAGTTCCAGGGAGCAAAATGGGCCCTGACTGAGAAAGAACCACAGCCTTACCAAATGCATGAATACAGTTGGTAGCCTCGGTCTTAGTTCACCTTATAACTTTTTGTTTGTTTTCATTTATTTATACTATCTATTTACAAAAGTGTGTCAAACATAATAAAGCAAATATGCATGTACCAACCACTTGGGTTAAGAACACAAACACTCCCAGTACTTAGGACATTGCACACACCTCCCTGGGTCAACTCCTTCACCTCCAGAGGGTCCCTCTATCCTGAGGCTTGCAATCATCACATCCTTGCTTTTCTTTATAGTTTTGCCACCTATATGTTTTTCCCACAATGGTATATTGCCTATTGCTGCCTGTTGGGGAATTTTACGTAAGTGGAATCATTTTGTATATTTCCTGTAACTTGATTCTTTGGTTCAACGTTGTTCATTTGATGCAGCCATTTTGATACCTGGAACTCTAGTTCATTCCTCTTTACTACTGTATAGAATTCTGCTACATGAACATACCACACTCCCAGTATCCATTCCACCATGACAGGCACGTAGACAGGGTCTGAGTTTTGCTGTTATAAACAGTGCTGCTATGCATGTGGCTCCCAGGGGGATGTGCAAGGGTTTACACATGGTCCTCAAACTCCAGCACACAGCAGAATCACCTGGAGAGCCTGGTAAAGCACAGGGGGTGGGCCCTGCCCCAGAGTGTCCAATTCACCAGGTCTAAGAGTGGGAGGAGGGGCTGGTCATTTGCATTTCAGTCAACTTCCCAGGTGATGCTAATGGGCTGGGCTGGGGGCCACACTTTGAGAACCACAGTCTATCCCCAGAAGTGGAACTGCCAGATCACGAGACACACTCTGTTCTCCTTGACTGGAAAAGGCCAAGCTGCTTCCAAAGCACGCAAGTATGAGTGGGTGAGAGTTCCTCCTGCCCCATACCCTGACATAATTACATCTCTTACAGCCAGACAAGAGACGCACCAGGGACGGAAATGCAGAAAAATGTAAACGGTGGTATCAGGGTGGTGGAAAGGTGGTGGTCCTCTGTATTTTTCTAAACGCTTCAATGTTTTTTGAATATTGTTTGAAAAATTGTTTAACATTGCCTAGGAAAACAGAGCCAGCCTGAAACAGACCAGTGATCCACGGTAATAAGAAACTGAGCACTCTGAGTACCTGGACACTCCCTGCACTTTGCTCTCAGCCATATAAAGCAAAGACCATTATTCTCATTTTAGATATGGAAAACCAGGCTTATAACAGGAGGAATAACTACCCACAATCACACAGCTGAGAGTGTCAGCGTCGGGACCAACTGAGGTTGGACTGATTCCAGGGGCCATGATTGGTTCCCACCAAAAATATGTCTTGATTCTGGGCAAAAAATTCACCACGTGGCTTCCCTACAAAGATAATATCTTAATGATGCCCCAGGGTTTGTAGCTTGAGACTGAATCATGATGTGGGCAGGAAAAACAAACCTAGTGCTCCTTGAACCCAGGGCCTGGGCCAGTTCCTTCTAGTATAGATGAGCTGAACCCATCGACAGCTCAGCCAGTGTCCCCAACCCCAGCAGCACCTCCACCCACGGTGAGCTAAGGCAACGAGTCTATACATGGTTGTCAGCTGGCAAGTAGAGGGTCAGGATCTGCGTCCTGGCACAGGAGAGGCGAGAGAGCAGGCATATCTGGGCAGCAGTAGCACCGCTGTAGAAAAGGGCAGCCTCGAATGGGCATGGCTCATGTCACATGGATAGCGACTTTCAGAGAGCAACTTACCGAGCCTGGATTTTTCTGGGCCACAGTAGCATCTCCATTCAGTAATAGAGGGTGGGATGCAGCAGCTGGATCAGCTTTTGCGATGTCCACTTCGGAAACAACCATCTTCCTTCTTTGCAAAGTAAGCTTAAAATAAAGCAGATGCCTATTGAACAGATAAGCAGCTGGGTGCATTCAACCATGGAACCAAACCCACCACCAGAACGGAAGGCCCCTGGAGGTGGGGACTCTGACTAGTTGTTCATGGTGATGTCCCCAGAGCGTAGAAGAGTGCCTGGGACACAGTGTGTGCTCACTGGCTTTTTATTCACGGAAAGAGAAACAGAGTGACCCAAAGAAGCCAAGGTCAGATAAAGACAAACGCTGCCTCCCTGCTCAAGGCGCTTCAAGAATATCCCTCCAGGCCGGGCCCCGGGGCTCACGCCTGTAATCTCAGCACTTTGGGAGGCTGAGGCAGGTAGATCATGAGGTCAGGAGTTCAATACCACCCTGGCCAAGATGGTAAAACTTGTCTCTACTAAAAATACAAAAAAATTAGCCAGGCATGGTGGCGGGCACCTGTAATCCCAACTACTCAGGAGGCTGAGGCAAAGAATTGCTTGAACCTGGCAGGCAGAGGATGCAGTCAGCTGAGATCACGCCACTGCACCCCAGTCTGGGCAACAGAGCAAGACTCTGTCTCAAAAAAAAAAAATAGAATATGCCTCTGTTCCCCAAAATATTTTCTAAAACTATCTCCTGTCATAATTTTAGGTTGAACTTCAAAAACGTTTTCAGTATAAATTTGAATAGTTGCAAAGTATACAACTTCTGATGCAGTTGTAATACAATTAAAAAGTTTACATTTAAAGGCTGGGCACAGTAGCTCACGCCTGTATCCCACCCAGCACTTTGGGAGACCAAGGTGAGTGGATCACCTGAGGTCAGGAGTTCGAAGCGAGCTTGGCCAACATAGTGAAACCCCATCTCTACTAAATATACAAAAATTAGCTGGAAGTGGTGGTGTGTGTTTGTAGTCCCAGCTACTTGGGAGGCTGAGGCAGGAGAATCACTTGAACCTGGGAGGTGAAGGTTGCAGTGAGCCGAGATCGCACCACTGCACTCCAGCCTGGGCGACAGAGCGAGACCCCGTCTTAAAAACAACAACAAACAAAAACTTTACATTTAAAAATAAAATTGTTATAGAACTGTTTCCAATGTAGCCAAGAGAATCCAAATATTACGGTAATTTGATACCCAAACCTTTAGTTTAAAAAACACGTGAGCTCTAAATCTTTTATGCTCTTTCTTTTGATCATCAATTTCATATTGTCATTCTTTTACTCCCACAAATGGGGGAAATGAAATGTCATTCATTTTACTCTTGAAAGCATGTAACTGACTGCCTTATACTTGTCTGCATTACAAATACACACGTATGTATTTGAAATTCATTTTTAAAATGTTGTAGGACAAGTGCCTAAATATGAAATTTTACAGTGTCTAATAATCTTGGATAAAAGTAACTGAAAATCTTTCTCCTATGACTCAAAATAAATGTTACAGAAAATAGCATGCACCAACTTACCTCTAATATACGTTCCTTCAAATAAAAGTAATGTCAACAAGTTAAATGGTATCACAGAGCTGTTCTCCTGCACCTCCTTGAAATCAAGCAAAGTGTACAAGTAAGACCCAAACCCGCGGAACACCCGAGAGTACCCACCCACCCAGTCCCATTCCCAAGTCTGAGAACCGGGCAAGTGCAGGAGGGGTGTGCTCTGAAGCCGATTCTGACTTCCCAGAATCCTTTTCCTATGTTTTGACTATTTTAACTATTTTAACAGATGAATAAAGCACAGAGCTTTGCTGCAAATCTGCTGCCTGGATCAATAATATGTAAGGATGCTCTCCTTGCTTCCCCTCGCAGGAATCTCCCCCGAGAGCCATGTGATCTTTGTCAGTACCATGAGGGTTGAAGGGACAGGTTGTTAAAACAAAACTCATCACCCCTGCCTGTCACCCTGCTCTGTAACATATCTAGCTGCACACCTGAGCCAATGCCATTTCTCCATCACACTGGAGTTCACAGAAACGCCCATGTCAGGAAGGTTGGGAAGTGCTGCCATGGGTTCATGCTGCCTTGGCTAAAGAACACGTCCCCAACACCAATACTTAAAACTATCCTTTTCTGTCTCCCTTCCCCGGGTTTATACACTTCCAGGGCAGGCATCCTTGCTCGATTTGGAAGGGAAGAAAGGGATGTATTTCTTTCTTTTTTTTTTTTTTTTTGAGACAGTCTCGCTTTGTCACCAGGCTGGAGAGCAGTGGCGCAATCTTGGCTCACTGCAACCTCCACCTCCCGGGTTCAAGCGATTATCCTGCCTCAGGCTCCCAAGTAGCTGGGACTACAGGTGCACGCCACCAGACCCGGCTAATTTTTTGTATTTATTTAGTAGAGATGGGGTCTCACAGTGTTAGCCAGGATGGTCTCAATTTCCTGACCTCGTAATCTGCCCACCTCTTTTGTCAGGTAGGATTGGGATGGTTATAAAAGGTAATCCATTGTAAACGGTACTTATGGAGTCTGACAATCTGGGAATTTATTCCCTAAAACTCCCATGCCTTTGGAAATACCTCATGTGCCCAGGGCATCCCAGGCTCGATATCAAAGACCACCACTTCATCTGCCTCTCAGGAGTACCAGTCTTCTGGGCTATGGTTGCCTCAGTTGGCCTTTCTGCAGCCAGATAAGGAGCATCATTGAGACCAGGACTTGTACCACATGACCACAGGTTCCACTCAATCAGCTGAAACAGGACTTGGTGAGTAGATTCCCTTCCCTAATTTGCTTCATAAAATGAGATTCTCTGAAAGCTAAACCTTATGGGTTTTGTCTGTAAACCATAAACGTTTGTACCTTTCCCTGATCATTCGGAACATCAGTTTGGATTTCAGGGGCAGGGCAATCTCGGGAGTTCAAACCGGTTTCTTACTCCTCCATGGAACTTGGCATCCAGCTGCAGTCTTCAAACTGAACTGAGTGCAGGCACCAGTTCCGGCCTTGGAAGAGCCAAGAGGTGGCGACTCCTAGCTCTCCATCCCAAATTGCTCCTAAAATGTCTTGGCTGCACCCTGTGTTTGGAGAGGAGGCTGCAGGGTTCCAGCCCTCCATCCACTCGCTACTGCACAGCCCCACTGGTCAGAGCCTGAGATGTTAGGTGGGCATGGATGGGGTTATGCACCAGGCTCTTCTCACATCCTGAGCAACTGCCCCTGTGCAGGGGCTTCCTTCCGTCCCTGCCCAGGGCAGGTTTGTGCCCATGATATATAATAATGACTTGTGACCCTAATGTCTCAAAATGGAGGCACTCACTAGGTAGCATTAAGCCCATATTAAGTTTCTTTCTTTAGAAACAATAAACATACGTGTTTCTCACTTTCGCTCATAGTAAAGGGGTTTTTCTTCAAAGTGGTAAGCATGTGTGTGGTAGACTAAGGGGATGAGGGAACACTTGCTGTGGCCCAATGCCACCAGAGACCCCAGTGAATAAGGACCCAGTGGCACGCACACCTGTGGAGGATCGCAAAAGCGACAAGGGACTAGCAATGTCTGAAGCGTTTTCGGAATCTTGGCAGTGAGATTTCTGAAAGCTTATTCCTGACTTTGGCAGCTGGGCAGCCGAGGACGAGGTCCCTGGAGGAACAGATTTCCCTCCACCACCCAGCACTAGAGCGGGACTTCTGGACTCCCTGGAGTGGCTGTCAGTGGGCTGGCCTCCAGAGCCTCCACTGTGGGTCCTTACCCTATCACTCCCTTTAATCATTGTACTGTGAATGTCTGCTCAATTGTGTGTGTGAATCTCTCACAATAAATCCTGAATTTGAGAATCACTCATTGCCTGCTGGGTCACCCTGAAACCTTTTGGGAAAGTGAAAGTTAGCGCACAGGTGCAGGAAACCTGGTTAACATAACAACTAAAATGAACCTGACTGGGTGCAGTGGCTCGTGCCTGTAATCCCAGTACTTTGGGAAGCCAAGGCGGGTGGATCATTTGAGGCCAGGAGTTTGAAACCAGCCTGGCCAATATGGTGAAATGCTGTCTCTACTAAACACATACAAATTAGCCAGGTGTGGTGATGTGTGCCTGTAATCCCAGCTACTCAGGAGACTGAGGCACCAGAATCGCTTGAACCTGGGAGGCGGGGGTTGCAGTGAGCTGAGATGGCGCCACTGCACTCCAGCCTGGGCGACAGAGTGAGACCTTGTCTCAAAAAAAAGAAAGAAAGAAAAGAAAGAACCCAACGGCCCACTTCATTTCTGCCTTACCTTGGAATGGTGGCTGGATGGCGGCGTTCTTCACTCCAGATTTCAGGGAGTGGGAGTCTTCCTGTAGCCTCCGACCCAGAACCGATCTCCTCGCAGTGTGGCCACAGAATTCCTGCAGTGAGGGTAAAGGTGGCATCCAGGGTTGTCAGGGGGTTCTCTCCTTGTGGTGAAGCTTCCTCAGCTCAGACCCCATAGAGGAGCAGGGATGGGAGGTAGGATTCAGCCCCCTTCCTCTCCCAAAACTCCTAATAAGGACCACCTACTGCCTACGTTCTAGGAAATGCCTAAGATGGAAGAGGCTACACTTTCCCAACATAATCCAGTCTAGTTTTTTCTTTTTTTATAAGCTTTTAAGTTCTGGGGTACATGTGCAGAACGTGCAGGTTTGTTACATAGGTATACATGTGCCAATTCAGTCTAGTTTTAAAACTAACTCTTGCAGGACTGACATTCACCTTTTCTTCTGAAAGCGTTTTTCCCCCCAAACCCTGCTGGTATTTAAATTTGTTATGAATAAAAGAGAGAACATCTTGCCCTTTAGACCAAATGCACTGCTACCTACCAAAGCCCCTGAGCTGGGTGAGCAGGTGGGCGGCAAGGGCGCGAGGGAGGCGTGTCCACCGTGACACTGGGATTCCTGGCCGGCAACTGCGGTCCAAGGCTGAAAGATGACACAGCCATTTTAGGAGCCCTTTGGGACTGACACCGGTGGTGGAGGTAGAGGCGCGGTTAGCATCACTGGACTCTACTTCCCAGTAACAAACGTGATTTAAAATTTAACCAAATAACTTGGGCCATCCCAATTGCCCAGCTCGGCAGCACCTGCTGTGAGTGTTGGTGGGATGGGAGCGCAGGTCTCAGCTGTGCCCGGGCTCCTTCTGCCACCCCCGGGACTGTCCTGCCTCCCTTCGTCCACCGCACCCACTCCACGATCCCGGCCAACTACGATGGACCCCGAGGGTGCGTCAGCCCCACGCGCCGGGGAGGCCCCAGGCATGGCATCCACTGGGGCGGTGGGGGGGAACAGCGGGCAGGGGTCTTCCCGCGCATGCCCCATCTCGGCCCAGCTCGGAACCCCCTTTATTCAGCAGGATCGGCGAGAACTCCTTGAACCTTCCCTCCCCAGCGACCTCCGCAGTCTGACTTGGGTTTGCTTTCGCGCGTTCCCAGGAAATAGAAGTCGACGGAAAGCAGTGGTCGGCGTTCGGGTGGGCTCGTGGCCCGCGCAGCCGTGGATCTGAAACTTTCCCGGCGCCCTTCCCCGCTTACTAGAGTCCCTCGGAGACCTCCCCCGAGCCCCGTCCCCCACCCCTTCCCAACCTCTCCTGCAGGAAGGCCGCGGGTTAGGGGGATGTTTCTGATGCGTCATCAGGAGCCTGGGCAGCCTGGTGGGAACCAGAATCAGGCGTGCTCCGAGCCCGCCCATCAGCGCCCTTGCTATGATTATGATTATTATTATTGTTAGTTACTAGCAGCCGAGAAGGTGCCCCCGTCGTGCCCGTGCTCCGGAGCGCTAGTCTCCGCCACGAACGCCGCTCTCCCAATGCCCTTCTCCGCGCTCCTAGCGCGGTTACTGGGCGCTGCCCCCAGAAGCGACACTCACCGGTCCCTGCGCAGTGCTGGAGTGCGGCCTCCGCTCTCGCTTCGCCTCTTTCACCCCGCGCCCAGCCCCGCCCCGCGCCGCGAAGAAATGAAACTCACAGACCCTGTGCTGAGGGCGGCTCCGGGCGCAGAAACGAAACCTAGCTCCTGGCCCCGCACCTGCAGCACTTGCCTCGCGGGAACTCGCGGGAGACGCAGGTTCTCGGGCCCGAACCCAGGCCTGCTGAATCAGATGCTCGTTTCATCAGGCCCGTCTGAGGATCAAGGTGCTCCGGAGGCTCCCTAATGGCCCGGAGTCATCCAAGCCTGCACGTATCCTTGAACCTAGGCATGTCCTTCCCCCCGTCGGTTTTGAAAACAGATGCATTGGTAATTGGGGGTCTTCAGTTCCCTCCCAGGGCTCACTGGGATGATCCCAGCACCAGCAGGGACTCCCAGGCATTGTGTGCCAATGGCTGCAGAGCCCCTCTTGTCCCGAACTCCGTCCAGCACTCCCACCCCTAACCAGGCACACCCATACCATCTTCCTCCTTTCCCGTTTCCCCTTGCCCACTTCTAGGCCTCCCTGGAGTCTGGCTCATCTGGCCTCTCCAGGGTGGAAACGGGTGTGTGGAAGGAAAATAAAATAAAATAAATAAAATAGTAATAATAAAGCTTAAAATAATAAACATAACATAGGTAATAGTTGTCAGGCCAGGCCATCGCATCCCAGGCCAGGCCATCGCATCCCCTGTGACTTGCAGGTATACATCCAGATGGCCTAAAGTAACTGAAGATCCACAAAAGAAGTAAAAACAGCCTTAACTGATGACATTCCACCATTGTGATTTGTTCCTGCCCCACCCTAACTGATCAATGTACTTTGTAATCTTCCCCACCCTTAAGAAGGTTATTTGTAATTCTCCCCACCCTTGAGAATGTACTTTGTGAGATTCACCCCTGCCCACCAGAGAACAACCCCCTTTGACTGTAATTTTCCATTACCTTCCCAAATCCTATAAAACGGCCCCACCCCTATCTCCCTTCGCTGACTCTCTTTTCGGACTCAGCCCGCCTGCACCCAGGTGAAATACACAGCCATGTTGCTCACACAAAGCCTGTTTGGTGGTCTCTTCACATGGACGCACATGAAAACAGTTAACATTTAGTATAAGCTATTTAGAAGTAACACATAGGCTAAAATTTTAAGCAGCCCCTCCCAGCATTGTAACAAGTTGCAGATGCAAGCTTATCTCAAAAGCTTATCACCTGCCTCGGGACCCCAGCCTCCAACCCTAGTCCAGCTTGGAGGATGACTAGTCAATATAACTGAATTGCCAGTTTCCTCAGAATTGTCACGGGTTAAGTAATTTACTGTCTTTGTCTGAAACCTGTATCCTACCTTGTTTTTCCCATCTCAAACGACATATAAGCTAGCTGCTTTCTTTGTTGGGGTTGGCAGCCATTTTGGGCATGAGCCTGCTGTTGGCCCGAATTAAAAGTTCTGTTTTGGTCTCCAAAGGTCTCTTTGTCTTCCTTGGCTAGAGTTTTACTGCAAAGGTGAAAGGGGTTGGGGAGGGCTGAGTCAAGCAGACCCATGGGTGGTCCTCCCTTTGGGAGCTCCCATTCTCGGCTAACTGGCTGTGAGTGGGAGATGGCATTTCCCTTTGGGAGCGGTTGGCACCCCACCTCCATTCTCCTTAGCTCAGCTCACAGTCCCTTACAAGCCCCCGCTAAAGACTTCCATGATTAGGAAGGGTCACCCCCAACCAACCTCAAGGCCCAGAACCTGCCCCAGCTTTAGGTCCTGGGGTCAGGGGAAACCTGGATGGAATCAAATTCAATACTGCTGCACCTACAAGAGGGGGAGGAGCCCCCCAGCCAGCTCCCTGTGCTGAAATCTATTTTGCTTTGCAGGATCCACTCCTAGGGCTGGGCAACCCCATCCAAGGGGTTCTTCATCCAAGGGGTTCATCCAAGGGGAACACAAGTTCTCCCAGGAATTAGCAATGACCTCACTTTAACACACACACACACACACACACACACACACACACACTCAACCCCTCTGGGCCTTTTACTTCCTAGTCAAGAACCCAGGCAACAGCACATCCTGGGGGACTGTGAGCAGGCTGGGCTGATGCTTTCTGAAGCAGGAACAGTGCCTTGGGAACGCAGGGTAGGTGTGAGCAGAGCTGGCACTCATGTGAACAGAGACTTCACTCTGGGTGATGCTGCTGCTGTTTCCAACAGCGGGAGGCTTCCCTAAGGGCCCTTGTTCACGAACAAAATCAGAAAGAGCTGCAGGCAACTGATAACCAGATAGAGGCACAACCTCAGCCAGGGCAGGACTCGGAAGGGCAGTGAGGCGCCCTGCCCAGGAAACACAGCACACACAGCTCACTCCCAGTTGGTGCAATGCCTCCTTAAGTTTTAACGCCCTAGGCACTTCCCTTGTCCACCGCAGTCCTTCCCTGGCCTTAGATTTTGGTGCTTCATTGCCTCTAATATGCATATGATATGGCAGGGCCTTGGGGAGTATAGGTGGTTGTTTTGGGGTGTAATTCAGCAGTCAGTCATACAATAATAGCTCCTGTCTACTGAGCATGTAGGATGTGTTAGGTGTCAGTGAGAGACGGGACGAGCTGGATGTCCCAGGCCGACTAAGAATCCCTAAGCCTAGCTGGGAAGGTGACCACATCCACCTTTAAACACAGGGCTTGCAACTTAGCTCACACCCGACCAATCAGGTAGTAAAGAGAGCTCACTAAAATACTAATTAGGCAAAAACAGGAAGTAAAGAAATAGCCAATCATCTATTGCCTGAGAGCACAGGGGGAGGGACAGTGATTGAGACAGAAACCCAGGCATTCGACCCAGCAATGGCAACCCCCTTTGGGTTCCCTCCCTTTGTATGGGACGTCTGTTTTCACTCTGTTAAATCTTGCAACTGCACACTCTTCTGGTCCGTGTTTGTTATGGCTGGAGCTGAGCTTTCGCTTGCCATCCACCACTGCCATTTGCTGTCTGCTGTTGTTTGCCGCCATCACAGACCCACCACTGATGTCCACCCCTCTGGATCCGGCAGTGTGTCCGCTGTGCTCCTGATCCAGCGAGGCACCCATTGCCGCTCCCATTCGGGCTAAAGGCTCGCCATTGTTCCCGCATGTCTAAGTGCCTGGGTTCGTCCTAATGAGAACACTCACCACATGCCCCAAGATTCCATTCCTTGGAATCTGTGAGGCCAAGAACCCCAGGTCAGAGAACAAGAGGCTTGCCGCCATCTTGGAAGTGGCCCGCCACCCTCTTGGGAGCTCTAAAAACAAGGACCGCTCGGTAACATCAGCTAGAGGGACTCGTGTGCAATCACTCACCTTAACAGCCACCCTCCCAGAGGAGTAGGATTATCACACCATGTTCTCCATGAGAAGACCGAGGCCTAAGGAGCTGGGTTCCATATTGGTAGAGCTATGGTTCCAATCCAGGTGATCATTCTCCAAACCTGCGCTCTTCAGCACCTCCTCGCTATGCTGAAATCAAGAGGCAGCTTCTGTACTTAAGAAGCTCACAACCTCCCACCTGAATTGCAGAGGATGTGTGCTCTATTAAACGAACAGCAGTTACTCTTTTTTTTTTCCTACCAGATAAGTTTCACACTCTTATACTCTGATAATGGCCCTCTCTTCTTCCAGGCAACTTCTGATCCAGTCTCAGTTACCCCATTGCCATCCCTGAACTCAGGACCCAGGTCACACTCAGAGGCTTTGTTGATGCCTGTCCCTCTGCCAGGCTGCCCTCTGTCCACAGGCTCAAAGGGAAATTCATCTCCCCTGCCTGAAGTGAAGGAGTAAGAGAATGGCTACTCCACAGAGCAACCCTGAGGGCTGCTGGTTGCCCATTTTTGTGGTTATTCTTGATGATATGCTAAACACGGGGTGGATTATTCATGCCTCCCCGTTTTAGACATACATGTAGGGTAACTTCCTGACATTGCCATGGCATTTGTAAACTGTCATGCGCTGGTGGGAGTGTAAAAATGAGGACAACCACAGGTCACTCTCGTGGCCATCTTGGTTGTGGTGAGTTTTAACCAGCTTCTTTATTGCAACCTGTTTTATGAGCAAGGTCTTTATGACCTTTATGACCTTGTGCTGACCTCCTATCTCACCCTGTGACTTAGAATGCCTTACCCGTCTGGGAATGCAGCCCAGTAGGTATCAGCCTCGTTTTACCAGCTCCTATTTAAGATGGAGTTGCTGTGGCATGCACCCGGTGTGGAGTTGCTCTGGGTGTACCTCTGACAACAGGGTTCTGTTTGGGAAAAAGAATGGCAGCGTTGATGGCTCAGTTCCCAGGCTCGATGTTTCCCTTAGCATAAGGAGTTTGGGGGTCCCGAGATATTTTCTTTTGCAACCTGTCCTGCTCCAGGCCCAGGTGGACTTAGGTGCCTGTGGGGAAAAGCAAGAGAGATCAGATTGTTACTGTGTCTGTGTAGAAAGAAGTAGACATAGGAGACTCCATTTTGTTCTGTACTAAGAAAAATTCTTCTGCCTTGGGATGCTGTTAATCTATAACCTTACCCCCAACCCCATGCTCTCTGAAACATGTGCTGTGTCCACTCAGGGTTAAATGGATTAAGGGCGGTGCAAGATGTGCTTTGTTAAACAGATGCTTGAAGGCAGCATGCTCCTTAAGAGTCATCACCACGCCCTAATCTCAAGTACCCAGGGACACAAACACTGCGGAAGGCCGCAGGGACCTCTGCCTAGGAAAGCCAGGTATTGTCCAAGGTTTCTCCCCATGTGATAGTCTGAAATACGGCCTCGTGGGAAGGGAAAGACCTGACCGTCCCCCAGTCCGACACCCATAAAGGGTCTGTGCTGAGGAGGATTAATATAAGAGGAAGGCATGCCTCTTGCAGTTGAGACAAGAGGAAGGCATCTGTCTCCTGCCCGTCCCTGGGCAATGGAATGTCTCGGTATAAAACCCGATTGTACGTTCCATCTACTGAGATAGGGAAAAACCACTTTAAGGCTGGAGGTGGGACATGCAGGCAGCAATACTGCTTTGTAAAGCATTGAGACGTTTATGTGTATGCATATCTAAAAGCACAGCACTTGATTCTTTACCCTGTCTATGATGCAAAGACCTTTGTTCACGTGTTTGTCTGCTGACTCTCTCCCCACTATTGTCTTGTGACCCTGACACATCCCCCTCTCGGAGAAACACCCACAAATGATCAATAAATACTAAGGGAACTCAGAGGCTGGCGGGATCCTCCATATGCTGAACGCTGGTTCCCTGGGTCCCCTTATTTCTTTCTCTATACTTTGTCTCTGTGTCTTTTTCTTTTCCAAGTCTCTCCTTCCACCTAACGAGAAACACCCACAGGTGTGGAGGGGCAACCCACCCCTTCAGGTGCCTGACACCACAGGCTCCTGGGCGGGCAGGGCCCAGTGGAGCCTGACCTTGTGGCACTGGCCTGGCCTCTGCTACCAGGCTGAGGACCGGGTCAACCGGCAACCCCAGGCCCACGCTGGGTGCCGCTGCACTTGGGATCCGGGCACAGCGTGGTTCGGTGCTTCTGGAATGAATGGGGAATCGGAAGGCCGGCCCTGGTCCTGCAAACACGGGCCTCAGGATCCTGCACTGGGCTTACTTCTCCCTGCGCTCTCCGCCCCCACCGCGAATTTCCCGGACAATTCAGTTTCGGTTTCATTTCTGCTCGCTGGTTTCCAGAAAGGAAAAGTCAAATTGCATGACTTCAGACTTCAGAATCCAGGGGGCGGGGAAGGGGGCAGGGAAGAAGGGGGCGGTGCCACGACGAGGGGGCAGTGTTACTCACATACACCGCTAGCACCTCCCCCAGCCTGGACCCGGTTCTGCTGGGCCGGGGAGGCGGGTGGTCGCGGAACGGCGGAGCATCCCACAACCTGCCCATCCTCCCGGCTGCATTTCCTGCAAGTCCGTCCGCCTGCCCGCGCCCGCGCCCGCGCCCCCGCCCCCACCCTTGCCCGCTTTGTCCTGCCTGGGCGCGAGTAAAGGGACTGGTTTCCTTTGCCTCGTTTCGTTTCCTCTTCTGTGCGTGTGGTATAGACCCGTGCTTCTCAAAGGGTGGTTCCTGGAACAGCAGCATTGGCTTCACCTGGGAAATTATTAGAAATGAACGGTCCGGGGCCATCCCAAGACCCCTGCATTACCACCTGTATTTTAAGGGCCTTCCTCAGGTGATCCCTTGGCAACTGGGCACGAGACTGCTGGCGTCTGACGTGGTCGCTTTTGGTCCTCAAGGTCAAGGCCAGACTTTTCCTTCATCTCTGTCTGGGGCCCACCAGAGAGCCCTGCGGAGAGGAGCAGAAGCTGAAATCCTTTGATACTGGTGAGCTTTGGAGAGCCAAGCTGGGGGCTGCAGGACCTGGGTTCAGGCATTGTGTACAGGTGGCCCAGCCACTGAAGGAAAGCAAAATATTTTACCCCTAAAATCTTTTTTTTTTTTTTTTTTTGAGATGGAGTCTCACTCTTGTCATCCAGGCTGGAGTGCAGTGGGGCAATCTCGGCTTACTGCAACATTTACCTCCTGGGTTCAAGCGATTCTCCTGCCTCAGCCTCCTGAGTAGCTGGGACTACAGGCATGCGCCACCAAGCCCGGCTAGTTTTTGTATTTTTAGTAGATACAAGGTCTCACCATGTTGGCCAGGCTGGTCTTGAACTCCTGACTTCAGGTGATCCACACGCCTCGGCCTCCTAAAGTGCTGGGATTACAGGCATGAGCCACCGTGCCCGGCCCAAAATCTATTTCTTTCGCATACTTTGAGATGGCTGCTCAGAAAGCCAGCCCACAGAAGCACCCTGCGGAACTGTCTTACCTGGGGAAGGCTTGCATCTTAGAGGGTCTGCACTGAGGCGGTCAGGCTTGCTTGCTTTTCTTTCCCTTGTCCAGATCTAGGAAGGGAGAACTGACATGACATGACATGACATGACATGACATCCCCTCTCTTGCCCTCCTTTTCTCCCTCCGTCTCCTCCCTTCTTCACCTCTTCCCTTTCTTTCTCCACAAACACTTACTGGGCCCCATGCTGGCTTCTATGCTGGACATTTGTGATATGCAAATGAGTAAGACAAAGCCACTGCCCCTAAGGAGACAGGTGGGGGGCACAGGTGAGCAAGGAAGGAGTGAGCTACTAGGAGCTGGAGCTAAGTGCCACTCTTGGGGCTCATTCCAGAAGCTGGAAGTCCAGGAGAGAGACTTTGAGGGGGTCTTGGGAGCAGTGGCCAAGAGGAAAGTGTTCAGGAAGTACTCATGGAGGAAGCGAATAGGCCACTTCAAAAGCTCATTTTCCATTTCCCAATACACAGGAGTTATGGTGAAAAGTAGAACATGTTAATGCTTTCCTTGAGCTGGGCTTCCAGCTACTCTGGAGGCCAAGGTGGGAGGATGACTTGAGCCCAGGAGTTCGAGGGTGCAATGAGCTATGTTTGCACCACTGCACTCTAGCTTGGGCTACAGAGTAAGGCCCCAACTTAAAAAAAAATAAAAATAACAAAAACAAAACTTTCCTTGATCCTTGTTTGTGTCACAGATGTGAGGACAGCTAAGCCCTGAAAACTCAGCTCTGTGCTCTAGATTTCTGTACCCCACAGTGCCAGGCGCGTGCTAGGCATTCAGCACATGATCGAGGGGTGCTCCGGTGAGGTCGAGCATGAGGGCTCACAGTGATGACAGAATAGCTCAGCTAAGGGCCAGTGTCTTGCCCCCAGGGAGATCCAGAACTGATATTTCAGATTGTGGCCCTCTCTTCTTTATTCCTGCTCCTTCTACCTGAAATATAAGTGCCTAAAGGTGCCATCACCTCTCATAATAGAAGCCGGTACAAGAAGTATTTGGGGCTGGGCCTCTGCTGTTCCTCTCCAGACCCTCTGAGCAGCAAGGGAGCTGTATGGACAAGTTTGCTATTTCAGAGCATTCCCCAGTACTAACATGGGTGAATGTCCATGAAGTTTATCCAGTAGAAATTGGGTTTACCTAACCAGCTGCCAAGCAGCCACTATCAGAGGTGCTGCAGGTAAAGGTAGCCAGGCAGCCTTTCTCTGTTGTTCTTGAAAAAAAGAAAGGAACTTGTATCCGAAGAATGCAAGGCTTTTAAAATTATCAGGCCCAGAGAGACATTAAAATAAGACAGCAACCACTCCCTACTCCCCACTTTCAGCTGTGTGTTCATCTCTTGAAACCTCTTACTATTGCCACAGGTATTAATAGCTATGGATTAACCTAATAATGCCACACTGGACGCTGTAATCCACACCCTGTAGCTTAACAATGTATAGTCAATCACTCTGATATGGTTTGGCTCTGTGTCCTCACCCAAATCTCATCCTGTAGCTCCCATAATTCACTCATGTTGTGGGAGAGACCCGGTGGGAGATGATTGAATCTTGGGGGTGGGTCTTTCCTGTGCTGTTCTCATGATCCTGAACGGGTCTCACAAGATCTGATGGTTTTAAAAAAGGGAGTTTCTCTGCACAAGCTCTCTCTTTTTTCCTGCTGTCATCCATGTAAGATGTGACTTGCTCCTCCTTGCCTTCCACCATGATTGTGAGGCCTCCTCAGCCATGTGGAACTATAGGTCCAATAAACCTCTTTCTTTTGTAAATTGCCCAGTCTGAGGTATGTCTTTATCAGCAGCATGAAAATGGACTAATAAGCACTTATCAATGTTATTTCTGTAAACCAATAAGAATTCCTGACAAACAGCTTTGTATCAGCCCTCTCCCTGTCTCCCCCTTTTGCCTTTAAAAATCCACTTATAAATGCCACTTATCAGAGTGTAGATTCAGGGCAACTTAAATCTGTGCTCCAACGTTGCAATCCTCAAGCTTGGCCCAAATGCACTCCCTACTTAGATTAATTTAACCTCAACTTCTTTTATGTATTTATTTTTTATTTCAATAGTTTTTGAGGAACAGGTGGTGTTTGGTTACATTGACAAGTTCTTTAATCGTGATTTCTGGGATTTTGGTGCACCCATCACCCAAGCAGTGTATACTGTACCCGATGTCTAGTCTTTTATCCCTCACCCCACCCTCACCCTTCCCCCTGAGTTCCCAATGTTTATTGTATCATTCTTATGACTTTGCATCCTCATAGCTTGTATAATCTCACTTATGAGTGAGAATATACAATGTTTGGTTTTTATTCCCGAGTTACTTCACTTAGAATAATGGTCTCCAACTCCATCCAGGTTGCTGTGAATGCCATTATTTCATTCCTTTTTATGGCTGAGTATTAGTAGTAGTAGTAGTAGTAGTAGTAGTATTCACATATATATATCACATTATATATATACACACACACATATATATCACATTATATATATATACATATATATCACATTATATATATATACATATATATCACATTATATATACACATATATATCACATTATTATATATACATATATATCACATTATATATATACATATATATCACATTATATATATATACATATATATACATATATATCACATTATATATATATACATATATATACACATATATATATAACATTTTGTCCACTTGTTGATTGGTGGGCACTTGGGGAATTGTGCTGCTATAAACATGTGTGTGCAAGTGTCTTTTTCATATAATGACTTATTTTCCACTGGCTAAATACCCACTAGTGGGATTGTTGGATCAAATGGTAGATCTACTTTCAGTTATTTAAGGAAACTCTACTGTTTTCCATTGGTTGTACTAGTTTACATTCCTGCCAGCAGTGTAAAAGTGATCCCTTTCACCACATTAATGCCAACATCTATTATTTTTTGATTTCTTGATTGTGGCCCTTCTTGCAGGAGTAAGGTGGTATCCCATTGTGGTTTTGATTTGCATTTTCCTAATAATTAGTGATGTTGATTTTTTTTTATATGTTGGCCATTTGTATATCTTCTTTTGAGAATTGTCTATTCACATCCTTAGCCCACTTTGTGAGGGAGTATTTGTTTTCTTCTTGCTGATTTGTTTGAGTTCCTTGTAGATTCTGGATATTAGCCCTTCGTTGGCTGCATAGTTTGCAAAATTTTCTCCCACTCTGTATGTTGTCTATTTACTCTGCTAATTATTTCTTTTGCTGTGTAGAAGCTTTTCAGCTTAATTAAGTCCGATCCATTTGTCTTCATTTTTGTTGCATTTGCTTTTGGGTTCTTGGTCATGAACTCTTTGCCTAAGCCAATGTCTACAAGGGTTTTTCCAATGTTATCTTCTAGAATTTTTATGGTTTTAGGTCCTAGATTTAAGTCTTTGATCCATCTTGAGTTGACTTTTGTATAAGGCAAGATATGAGGATCCAGTTTCATTCTTCTACATGTAGCTTGCCAATTATCCCAGCACCATGTGTTGAATAGGGTGTCCTTTCCCCACTTTATGCTTTTGTTTGCTTTGTCAAAGTTCAGTCAGCTATAAGTATTTGGCTTTATTTCTGGGTTATGTATTCTGTTCCATTGGTCTATGTGCCTATTTTTATATCAGTATCATGCTGTTTTGGGGACTATAGCCTTGTAGTATAGTTTGAAGTTGGGTAATATGATGCCTCCAGGTTTATTCTTTTTGCTTAGTTTTGCTTTGGCTATGCGGGCTCCTTTTTTGGTTCCATATGAATGTTAAGAATGTTTTTTCTAGTTCTGTGAAGAATGATGGTTGTATTTTCATGGGAATTGCACTGAATTTGTAGATTGCTTTTGGCATTGTGGTCATATTCACAATATTGATTCTATCCATCCATGTGCATGGGATATGTTTCCATTTGTTTGTGACATCTATGATTTCTTTCAGCAGGATTTTGTAGTTTTCCTTATAGAGGTCTTTCACTTCCTTGGTTAAGTATATTCCTAAGTTTGTTTGTTCATTTTTTTTTGCAGCTATTGTGAAAGGGGTTGAGTTCTTGATTTCACTCTCAGCTCTCAGCTTGGTCACTGTTGGTGTATAGAAGTGCTATTGATTTGTGTACATTGATTTTGTATCCTGAAACTTTACTGAATTCATTTATCAGATCTAAGAGCTTTTTGGACAAGTATTTTAAGGTTTTCTAGGTATATAATCATATCATTGGTGAACAGTGATAATTTGACTTACTCTTTACTGATGTGGATGCCTTTTATTTCTTTCTCTTGTCTGATTGCTCTGGCTAGGACTCCCAGTACGATGTTGAATAGATACAAGTGGTGAAAGTGGGCATCCTTATCTTGCTCCAGTTCTCAGGGGGAATGCTTTCAACTTTTCCACGTTCAGTATAATGTTGGCTGTGGGTTTGTCATGGATAGCTTTTATTACCTTAAGGTATGTCCTTTCTATGCTGATTTTGCTGAGGGTTTTAATCATAAAGGGATGCTGGATTTTGTCAAATGTTTTTTCTGCATCTATTGAGATGCTTATGTGATTTTTGTTTTTAATTCTGTTTATGTGGTGTATCACATTTATTGACTTGCATATGTTAAAACATCCCTGGATCCATGGTATAAAACCCACTTGACCATGGTGGATTCTTTTCGATATGCTGTTGGATTTGGTTACCTAGTATTTTGTTGAGGATTTTTACGTATTTCATCAGAGATATTGGTCTATAGTTTTCTTTTTTTGTTATGTCCTTTCCTGGTTTTGGTATTAGGGTGATACTGGCTTCATAGAATGATTTAGGGAGGATTCCCTCTTTCTCTATCTTTTAGAATAGTTTCAAGTTTTTAAATTGCCAAGATTTCAATCTTGCTCCTTGTTATTAGTCTGTTCAGAGTTTCTATTTCTTCCTGGTTTAATCTAGGAGGGTTGTATATTTCCAGTAATTTATCCATCTCCTCTAAATTTTCTCGTTTGTGTGGATAAAAGTGTTCGTAGTATCCTTGAATGATCTTTTGTATTTCTGTGCTATTGGTTGTATTATCTCCTATTTCATTTCTGATTGAGCTTATTTGGATACTCTCTCTTCTTTTCTTGGTTAATCTTGCTAATGGTCTATCAACATTTATCTTTTCAAAGAACAAGCTTTTTGTTTCATTTATCTTTTGTATTTTTTTGTTTCAATTTCATTTAGTTCTGCTCTGATCTTTATTTCTTTTCTTCTTCTGGGTTTGGGTTTGTTTTGTTCTTGTTTCTCTAGTTCCTTAAGGTGTGACTTAAGATTGTCCATTTGTGCTTGTCTATTTTTGATGTAGGTATTTAATGCTATGGTCTTTCATCTTAGCACCAGTTTTGCTGTATCCCAGAGGTTTTGACAGGTTGTGTCACTATTATTATCATTCAGTTCAAAGAATTTTTTAATTACCATCTTGATTTCATGCTTGATCCAACAATCATTCAGGAGCAGATTATTTAATTTCCATGTGTTTGCGTGGTTTTGAGAGTTCCTTTTGGAGTTGATTTCCAATTTTATTCCACTGTGGTCCGAGAGAGCGCATGATATAATTCCAATTTTCTTAAATTTATTGAGACTTGTTTTGTGACTATCATACGGTCTACCTTGGAGAATGTTGCATGTGCTGATGAATATAATGTATATTGTTGGTTAGAATATTCTGTACATATTTGTTAAGTCCATTTGTTCTAGGGTATAGTTTAAGTCCATTGTTTCTTTGTTGACTTTCTGTCTTGATGACCTGTCTAGTGCTGTCAGTGGAGTATTGAAATCCCCCACTATTATTGTGTTGCTGTCTATCTTGTTTCTTAGGTCTAGTCGTAATTGTTTTATAAATTTGGGAGCTCCAGTGTTAGGTGCATATGTATTTAGGATTGTGATATTTTCCTGTTGGACTAGTCCTTTTATCATTATATAATGTCCCTCTTTTGTCTTTTTTTTTTAAACTGTTGTTGCTTTAAAATCTGTTTTGTCTGATATAAGAATAGCTACTCCTGCTTGCTTTTGGTGTCTATTTGCATGGAATATCTTTTTCCACCCCTTTACCTTAAGTTTTGTGCGTTTTTATGCATTTGATGTTTCTCTTGAAGACAGTAGATACTTGGTTGGTGAATTCTTATCCATTCTGCAATTCTGTATCTTTTAAATGAAGCATTTAGGCCGTTTACATTCAACGTTAGTGTTGAGATGTGAGGTACTATTCTATTTATTATGCTAGTTGTCTGAATACGTTGTTTTTTTTTTCCATTGTGTTGCTGTTTTATAGACCATGTGAGATTTATAATTTAAGGAGGTTCTATTTTGGTGTATTTCCATGTTTTGTTTCGAGATTTAGAATTCCTTTTAGTAGTTCTTGTAGTGCCGGCTTGGTAATGGTGAATTCTCTCAGCATTTGTCTGTCTGAAAAAGACTATTTCTCCTTCATTTATGAAGCTTAGTTTTGCTGGATACAAAATTCTTGGCTGATAATTATTTTGTTTAAGGAGGCTAAAGATAGGACCCCATTCCTTTCTAGCTTGTAGTGTTTCTGCTGAGAAATCTGCTGTTAATGTGATAGGTTTTTCTTTCACCCTAATGCTTTTGCCTTATGCCTCTTAAGATTCTTTCCATTGTCTTAACTTTAGATAACCTGGCGACTATGTGCCCAGGTGATGATCTATTTGCAGTGAATTTCCCAGGTGTTCTTAGAGCTTCTTGTAGTTGGATGTCTAGATCTTTAGCAACATCAGGTAATTGTTTCTCAATTATTTCCTCAAATAAGTTTTTCAAACTTTTATATTTTTCTTCTTACTCAGGAACACCAATTATTCTTAAGTTTGGTTGTTTAACATAATCCCAAACTTCTCTGAGGCTTTGTTCATTACAATTATTTTTTTCTTTGTCTTTGTCAGATTGGGTTAATTTGAAAGCCTTGTGTCTGAGCTCTGAAGTTCTTTCTTCTGCTTGTTTCAATCAATTGTTGAAACTTTTTCCAGTGTGTTTTCCATTTCTCTTTAAGTGTGTCTTCAATTTTCAGAAGTTGTGATTGTTTTTTATTTATGTTATCTAGTTCTCTGGAGATTTTTTCATTCATATTCTGTATTATTTTGTAAATTTCTTTTAGTTAGTATTTACCTTTCTCGTGCCTCCTTGAGTAGCTTAATAATCAACCTTCTAAATTCTTTTTCTAGGAATTCAGAGATTTATTCTTGGTTTGGATCCATTGCTGGTAAGCTGGTGTGATCTTTTGAGGGTGTTAAAGAACCTTGTTTTGTCATATTACCAGAATTGTTTTTCTGGTTCCTTCTCATTTGGGCAGACTATGTCAGAGGAAAGATCTGGGACTCAAGGGCTGCTGTTTAGATTCTTTTGTCCCACAGGGTGATCCTTTGATGTGGCGCTCTCCCCCTTCTCCTAGGAATGGGACTTCCTGAGAGCTGGACAGCAGTGATTGTTACTGCTCTTCAAGGTCTAGCCACCTAGTGGAGCTACCAGGCTCTGAGCTGGTACTGAGAGTGTGAAAAAAGCCCTGTGATGTGATACGTCTTTAGGTCTCTCAGCCACAGATACCAGCACCTGCCCTGGTGGAGGTAGCAGGGGAGTGAAGTGGGCTCTGTGAGTGTCCTTGCTTGTAATTTTGTTTAGTGTGCTGGTTTTCTCAAATGCTGGTTATGCTAGCAGTGAAGTTGTCATGTGGACAGATTCAGGACCTCTGGCTAGCCAGGATATTACAGGCAGTGGAATTAGCTGTTGTTTTCTTTTTCTCTAGGGGCAGGGTTGTTCTGTTATGAGTTGCTGTAATGGCTTGAGTGGGTTGGCCTCCAGCCAAGAGGTGGCGCTACAAAGAGGGCAATAGCTGCCACAGTATAGGGAGGATACAAGCTTGCCCTAAGGTTGCCTGGGTAAGTATTTCTGTTTCTTAAGTGATGGGTGGGGCCGTAGAGCTCCCACGAGATTATGTCTTTTGTCTTTGAATACCAGGGCAGGTAGAGAAAGACCATCAGGTGGGGCAGGGTTAGGCATGTCTGAGCTCAGATTCTCCTTGGGCAGAGCTTGTTATGGCTGCTGTGAGTGATGGGGTGTGCTTCTCAGGCTTATGGAGATACATTCCCAGGGGGATTATGTCTGCTTCTGCTGTGTCATACAGGACACCAGGAAGGTGAGGGAAAGCTGGCAGTGACAGGTCTCATCCAGCTTCCATGCAGCCAAGAAGGCCAGTCTCACTCCCACCATGCTCCCCCAACATCCAACAGAGCCGATTTTATATCCATGCCTGTAGTGCACAGGACTGAGATCTTGCCGCAGGTTACAAGCCTCCCTATTGAGAAAGCAAGCAGGGCTTTCAGGCCATGCCCCTCCCCTCCCCGTCATGGCTTCTGTGCTCCTACCTGCACTTCCCATTTCCCCTTCTCCCTGCCCTGGATGCTGTCCAGGAAAACTCACGATCAGTCAGCATTATTACAAAGTTCAGCTGGAAGTCTCCTCCCTGTGGCCCTTCCCCACTTCCACTGGCTGCCCTCCCCAGGGACCCCTGTGAGATTAAAGTCAGAAATGGCTTCCCTGGGTTTCCCTGGGGACCAGGAGTGCCTGCAGGGCTCTTCCCACTGCTTCTACTACTTTTATATTTCACTCGGCTCTCTAAATTTATTTCAGCTCTAGATACTGTTAAATCCTTCCCCTCTGATCTGGATTTTTGGGTTCCCCAGTGAGGATGTGTGTTTGGAGATGCTTTCCCCTCTTACATTTCGGGTGCTCACAGTTTTTTGGCTGTCTCACAGTGTTTGCAGTGACAAGCCACTTTGTTCAAAGGGTCTGTGAATTCTTTTGGTTTTCCTGGTATGTTCCTGTGGTGGTTCTTGGAGAAAAAGCTCACAATGTGAGTCTCCACATGCTGTTCTATCCATCCAAGTGGAAACTGCACATTAGTCCTGCTTCTTACCCACCATTTTCCCTCTGAAAAAAAAAAAATAGCCAGCTTCTTCCTTTTAGGTTGACATTCTTACTTTTGGAAATCAGTGCTAATGAAACCCAAGTGTTCCTTATGGAAATGTAGTTTGAAGAGTGAGGCTCCCTTGGACCTCCCAGCCTTGTCTAGCTTCTGTGTGACTGTGACGCATGGGTGAGCCCAGGTGAGACACACAGAGGAACAACACAGACTTCCCACAGAATCCAGAGAAAGAATACATCTGCTGTTTTAAGCCATTAAGTTTTGGGGTGATTGTTACACAACAATAGATAACTGGAACATATTCCCAAATTCCACGTTTGGAGGATTGCAAGCAATCGATCAATGTCAGCCTTTCCATGATCATCTGGTTTGCTTCAGGCCAGATCTGCTGCCTTTTGAATTAGAGATACCTTTTTCCAAGTTTTTGGTCATTGCTCGAGTTTTGTGTTCAGAATGCACATGTCTATTTTCTTACTTGCTGTAATGGAACAAATTATGCCCCCACCCTCAAATTCATATGCTGATGCCTTAACTCCCAATGTGACTGCATTTGGAGGTAGGGTCTTTAAAGAGGTGATCAAGCTTAAATGAAGCCCTAAGGGTGGGGACCTGATTCAAGAGGACTGGGATCCTTGTAAGAGAAAAGAGAGAGGCCAAGCATAGGCCTGGTGAGAAGGTGGCAGTCTGCAAGCCAAGGAGAGAAACCTCAGGAGAAACCAAACTAGCAACACTTTGATCTCAGACACTTCCAGCCTCTGGAGGTGGGAGGAAATAAATTTCTGTAGCTTAAGCCACCCAGCATGTGATATTTGTTATGGCAGCTATAGCAGACTAATACACTAGCATTTGAACACAAATCAAAGAGACCTCTGCAAGAGAGCTCTTGGGGATGCTGGTCAAGCTGTGATTTTTGACTTGAACTTTCTTTTCCAACATCTTTTACAGCAAATGAAGAAAGAAATTCACGTAATCTTTCTCGTCTGTACCCCTGAACAAAGCTGAATGTTTTTGAGGCACTCTTTCCATCTCAAACTTGGGTTTTAAAACAAATCAGCAATGATATTTATTCTATTGCCTTTTTATTAAGGAATCTATATGTTCATCATTTGAAACATACAGGAAAACATGAAGAAGAAAAGAAAATTACCCATAATGATGATCACTGGTGTGAAGTTCTCTCTCTCTCTCTCTGTGTATGTGTGTGTGTGTGTGTGTGTGTATTCAGAGACAGAGTCTCACTCTCACTCTGTCACCCAGGCTGTAGTACATGGTGCAGTCATGGCTCACTGCAGCCTCAAAATCCTGGGCTCAAGGGATCCTCCTGCTCCAGCCACCTGAGTGGCTGGGACTACAGGTGTGCACCACCATGTCTGGCTACTTACAAACAAATTTTTTTAGAGACAGGGTCTCCCTGTGTTGCCCAGTCTGGTCTTGAACTCCTGGGCTCAAGTGATCCTTCTGCTTCAGTCTCCAGAGTCACTGGGATTACAGGTATGAGTCACTGAACCTGGCTACGTTTTTAAAAAGTTTCTTTGCTTTATTAAATTCCTCTTCAAGACTTAACAGAACAATGGAAGCTCATCATAATCAGGGAAACAAGAAGAAAAGAGAATCACTCAGGCTCCTTTCTGGCGGGGGAGTGGAGAGGCTGGGAAACACAATGACAGTGAACCATGGGAAGCAGGGGGCATGGCCACTGGATCTGAAAGGGACCGGCTAACAGTCACTAAATGTCCAAGGCCTGGGCTTGAGCAATAGCCTCAGGTATCTCCATCACTTACACAGCACTCATTCGTTCAGTGAGATGTCATTTATTAAGCAGTTACAATGCTGCAGGTGCTGTGCAGGAGACTGGACATACAAAAGAAGAATTTGACCCAGACCTTCCCCCTCTGGGGTCTCATAATCTTGTAGGGGGAAGGGAATACAAATACAAATTAGCGAAGAATGATAGCAGTATCTTAGGACACTGTAACTGTGTGCTACGGGACCCAAGGACTGGAGAGCCATCCCTTCGTGAAGGTCAGGGAAGAGCTGGGTGGTGGAGAGAGCTGAGCCTGTGTGGACCCCTGATGCATGCTCTGATGCTGAGGGAGTACAGTAGAGATGGACACTGATAGTGACAGAAGAGTTTGGCCCCAAAGCAGAAGCGGCATCCTGCACCGACTCCCCTTAGAATGAATGAGTACGCACAAGAAAACAACCACAGGCATCGCCGCCCTTCAGTGGATCTCTTTGCTGGAGAATTGACAGAGTGCGTGTCGCGCCTGAGTGAGCCGGTAAATTCTCTCCTTAAGGATTCTTCTCTTGGTAGCGGTCTCACTCTGCTCTTGAAGCAGCCAGGAATAGCGATTTTTTTCCTGTAGTATCTGCATCATGGCTTTCTGCAAGGAGTCACCATTCTCTCGGAGCATAAAATACTGAATTATAAATGGGATCTGGTTGGCGAGACGTTTGCTGGTTTCCTGGAAGAGGGAGAAAGAAGGGTTTGCTGGAGTGGTCTCAGCCCAAGGCCTGTGGTTGCAGAGAGAAGGCATGGAGTTCCTGGATGCGCACATGGTTGCCTGGCGAAGCCCTGGTGGTCTCGCCCACCTCCACTCCGGTGGTCAGCATCAAGCCCCGTGAAGGTTCTATTTGCGCTGACCCCTCTTTACTTCCAGGCATCCCCTCTAGCACTAAGAAGCCCCCTGGTAGGCTAGCAAGCCCATATCACCTCTGGGCATCCCCACAGCTCCTCCCTGCTGGAGAAACTCCCCCAGCCCAGGACTCCCCTGGCTCCCTTCTGGGTATGCACCAGGGCCGTTTCGAATCCTCCCCTCATTCCTTCTTCATAGGCATAGCCAGTATGCCTGGCAGCCAGGTGCCCATGGCTGGGAAACCACTCTATTCTGATTGAGAAAGGGCTTCGGGAGGTGGGTGTCTTTGCAGTTTAAAAGCTATTTTTTCTTCCTGGGAACAGTGATACTTGCATATTGGATAGACAGTCAGAGGCCAAAAAGTTCACTGGGTCACAAAATCTAGGGAAAGGAAATTTCATTCCTATCTTGTGGGGCTGGCAAGTGTGGCATGTTAGTGCCTTCTGAACACCAAGGAAAGCTAGTTTATAGTCACAATCGTTGACGTTTGTTGTATTTTGCTGTATTCTGATCATAGTAATTTTGTAATTCATGGACCGCATAAGAAATATAAGGAATTTTGGGGTCAGAATTAATTTTGAGTACACGCTCTACCACTTTAAAAATTGATTGTGGGCAAATTAATTAAAAGTGCCTTCATAGGGTTCATGTAAAATTATAAATGAGAAAATATATAAGTAGTTTATCATAATACAGAAGGGCTTAATACATTGTAGTGGTCCCTCCCTCCTTCCCTCAGCAAAGCCTCTCTAGGTTAGCATAGCCCCTACTCAGCTCTGCAAATTTCAGAGAGCACGGCTCCTGCCCCGCCGGGAACTCACCAAGAAGTAGGCATTCAGGTGGATGCCTATTTCAGTAAAGGAGGAAACCGAAGACTCATTACTGGGAAAATGAGAGTTCAACTTCATATTCTGTGAAGGCGTCCCCAGAGGGTTAAAAATCTCTTCTCGGACTTTCTTCAGAACAACACTGTAAATCTGATCTTGACAAAAAACCATCTGCTCCATTCTGAACTGAAGTTGGATCATGTTTTCTGCCTTTGCTGTGTGTTTCACTTTTATGTCTTCAATCGTGCTCTGGTTAGATAAAAAAGACAAACACATTACTTCTTTTTCTTCTTTCCTGTTGGCTTAAACAAATTTGGAAGTACTATTATGTTGAACTCAGAAATAAAACGAATCCATAGTCAAAGAAGTCCTGAGACTTGAAATGATGATTTTTAGAAAGTCCCACTTCGCCCTTTCTGTCCTTATGAACCCGGTTTCCTCACTCCCCACTTGCGACATACCTTCTCTCCTGCCCTTTCTTCCTCTCTGGCCATCCCCAGTCCCTCCTACACCACCAGCTTTCTGCTCCTTCAACAGGAACAGGCTTAGTCCATGCTGTTGGGACGGTGTCAGTCATTCCTGGGGTGCTACTTCTGCTAGAATGGTTCCAGTGCTGACGAACACTGGGATAATAGTGTGATATACCTGTTTCCCAGGAATCCCAGGACTCCTACATCACCCATGCAGTCAAGGAAGAAAGAGGTTGGCTGGGCATGGTGGCTCATGCCTATAATCCCAGCACTTTGGGAGGCCAAGGAGGGTGGATCACTTGAGGTCAGGAGCTCGAGACCAACCTGGCCAACATCGTGAAACCTCATCTCTACTAAAAATACAAAATTAGCTGGGCGTGGTGGCACACGCCTGCAATCCCAGCTACTTGGGAGGCTGAGGCAGGAGAATGGCTTGAACCTGGGAGGCAGAGGTTGCAGTGAGCTATCATGCCATTGCACTCCAGTCTGGACGACAAGAGCGAAACTCCGTCTCAAAAAGGCCGGGTGCGATGGCTCATTCCTGTAATCCCAGCACTTTGGGAGGCTGAGGCAGGTGGGTCACCTGAGGTCAGGAGTTTGAGACCAGCTTGGCCAACATGACGAACCCCCATCTCACTAAAAATACACAAATTAGCCAGGTGTGGTGGCAGGTGCTTGTAATCCCAGCTACTTGGGAGGCTGAGGCAGGAGAATCACTTGAACCTAGGAGGCAGATGTTGCAGTGAGCCGAGATGGCGCCATTGCACTTCAGCCTGGGTGACAGAGTGAGACTCCATCTCAAAAAAAAAAAAAAAAAAAAAGGAAAGAAAGAGGTGATGTAGCAGAGAAGGGGGGTCACAGGGTCACTGCCATGGACTGAACATTTGTGTCCCCTGCCCCCCAATTTACATGTTGAAACCAAAGTAGGAAGGTAATGGTATTGGGAAGTGGGAGGCAATTAGTCATGAGGGTAGAGCCTCATGAATGTGACTGAGGCCCTTATAAAGCAACCCCAGAGAGCGCTCTTTCCACCGTGTGAGGATACACAAGAAGGTGGTGGCCATCCGCAACCTGAAAGAGAGCCCTCACTGCCACCTGACCATGCCGACACACTGATCTCAGGCTCCCAGCCTCCAGAACCATGAGAAACAAATTTTTATTGTTAATAAGACACATCCAGTCTGTGGGACTTTGTGATAGAAGCTTGAACTAAGACTGTCATGTCCTGGCTTTGAGTTTCTTTTTCTTTTTTTTTTTTCTTTTTGAGATGGAGTCTCTCTTTGTTACCCAGGCTGCAGTGCAGTGGCACAATCTCGACTGACTGCAACCTCCGCCTCCCAGGTTCAAGTGATTTCTGGCTAATTTTTGTATTTTTAGTAGAGACAAGGGTTTCACCGGGTTGGCCAGGCTGGTCTCGAACTCCTGACCTTAAGGGATCTGCCCGCCTCGGCCTCCCAAAGTGCTAGGATTACAGGCGTGAGCCACCACACCTGGCCTAGGCTTTTGAGCTTCAAATAGACTTTTTAAAACTGAAGGCAGAAGCAGTGGCTTGAGAGTGAGAGAGTGAGTTTCAGAGGTGAAGTTTCACAGGTGCTGGTTTGTTTGTTCTTTCTCTTTTTTTTTTCTTTTTCTTTTTTTTTTTTTTTTTTGAGTATATGTGACAACTGTGAAAGAAAAATAGATTCTTGGGACCCCAAACTTACTATACTAAAGGGAAAGTTAACTGCCTTTCTTTTGTTCCCAAACAGAAGCTGTGATTTCACATGTGCACTTTATCCGATGTAAAATGTAGATTTACTGAGCGCGAGATGAATGCATGATTGACTTTCTCTCCACGCCTTTCTTTTCACATTTAACACATAGATTCACTGAGTGCTGGTCAGAGCCTTACACGAGGGTGACCTCTGCCTCATTGCCTCATTGCCTACCCTCCTTCCTTCTTTCTTCCCCACCTGCTCGCTCTTTCCTTTTTAAATACTGAAGTTCCCCTAAACCCTCTTAGGAAAAGCACAGGTCACAGATAGCACTGGAACTTGTATTTCTTTTTCCCACGTACATCCTCGACCTGGGCAAAATAAATCTCGGATCGAGGCAGATCTGCCTCAGTCACTTTCGGTCTACACAACAAAGGACAGTAGACCCTCTGGGAGCAGAAGTGGCCTGTGCCGCACTCCTCAAGATTTGTGACACAGGAGGCAGCGAGCCCCCCAGGCTCTGTTGTGGCTGAGGGCAGTGTGCAGGTCATGGCCTTGGAGAGCCCCGCAGTCCCTGGTGAGGAGCCGGGAGCTGCTGCAAGGCTGTGTCTATCCAAGGGCAGCACAAAAGAGGTGAAGGCCCTTGGTGGATGCCAGAGTTCCCATGGCCCAGAGCAGTTGGGCCTGCAGCCGAGTGCTTCCTGTGTCCCGGCGGGGCTGGGCAGGAGCTCAGGGACCAAGGGGACCAAGGCCCGGGAAGGACAATGGACATCTTGGTGACTGGGGACCAGGCAGGTCACCCACCCCATGAGCAGGCACCCGGGACTCAGACACAGCCCCTGAGAAAGTGGGCGGGAGTCAGAACTGGGATTTAATTTTCACTAACAGGCAAAAAGGGTGAAAGAAGAAATTAATTTATATGACGGAAAAATGACGAAAATTGTCCTTCTTGCTTGCCTGCACTATGGAATGAGATTTCAATCCACCAGCCCAGGCCTGGGCAGAAGAGGAATTTTATCTACAGCCCAAGTGCCACATGCCCTCTCTTGCCTTTGCTGAAGGTAACTCGGGGGAAGAGTTGCTAAGTAGAAACCCACAGAGCTACGGCAACATCTTTGAGTCAAACATACAAATTTGGGAGTAGGACTAGTAAACAATGCTGTGCTTTATGCTTGAAAAAGATTCAGCCTACCAGCCAGTCCTCGGTGGAGCCCCACATCCTGCGTAAGGTCGTGCAGAACAGATGGCAGGGCACGGGCCGCATTTCATTTCTCCTGGGGAGTGAAGCCGCCTCCTGAGCAGAAGCCAGGCAGGCAGGTGCTCCTGGAGTCACCAGCTCCACCAGCCCCGCCAGCCCTGCCAGCCTCGCCAGCCTGCCATTACATCCCTGGCCTCATGGTTCCAAATGACAGTGAATATCCAACTTCTCTCAAGGTTAAACAGCCAGTGGTCCAGGTGACTAGCAAGTGAACTCTGGGTGCTTACCTGAACAGTTTGGTTAAGGTTGAAAAATTCGCCAAAATGTTTTTTGGCCACGTTAATGAAAGCTTGCTGGATAATTTCTGACCAAAAAAAGCAAAAAGGAGAAGAAGAAGAAAACATCAGTAAAATGCAAGCAGAAATAAAACTGGTTAAAGACACAGGGAGGATGACTGATGATACACTGACCCATTCCAGGAGACTGAGTTCCCTAGACCTGCAAACCGCGATAGGAGAGGGTGGGACATCATTCCAGGGCCACACAATCCAGCCCTCATGCAGCCTGGGCAGGTCCTGTCCATTTCCCGTGCCTGTGTGCATGTTAGCCTCTGACTATTCCTTACATCAGGGGTCCCCAACTCCCAGGCTGGACCAGTTCCAGTCCGTGTCCGGCAGGAGGTGTGCAGTGAGCTAGTGAGCACTGCTGCCTGAGCCCCACCTCTTTTCAGATCTGCGGTGGCACTAGATTCTCACAGGAGCACAAACCCTGTTGTGAGCTGCACGTGCGAGGGATCTAGGTTGCGTGTTCCTTATGAGAATCTAATGCCTGACGATCTGTCACTGTCTCCCATCACCGCTAGATGGGACAGTCTAGTTGCAGGAAGACAAGCTGAGGGCTCCCACCATAATGAGGATTCTATATTTTGGTGAGCTGTGTAATTATTTCATTATATATTACAATGTAATAATAATAGAAATAAAGGGCACAATAAATGCAATGCAGTTGACTCATCCTGGAGCCATCCTTCTTACCCCTCACTGGTCTGTGGAAAAATTGTCTTCCATGAAAGCAGTCTCTGGTGCCATAAAGACTGGGGACCGCTGCCTTACGCGGCTGTGTTGGTGGCTGCGTGTGATACAGATGAAGTGCATGTGCACCCTCTGCCTGCCCCCCAAAGACAAGAGAAACCATCTTCCCCGCCTCCTCCACGTGTTTGAAGGACAGCGATGGAACGCCTATGGCACTCAGTGTGCTTCCCCATCTCCTGGAAACCTCAGTACGAGTTCTCAGGCAGAAGGGCAGAATCGGTAGCTCTGACCAGCTCTCAGGCCTTGCCAGTGCTGCTGGCTCACAGACCACACAGAGTAGCAATCTAGCACACCAGTGAGCGTGTCTGCAGGCTGGTTTGGTAACTCCATTCCAATCTCTCCCTCCAAGGCACTGGGGTCTATGGAAGGTATGAGAGTGATGGTTTGGGAGTCCTGCTTGAAAGTCCTCACCCATGGCTTTCTGGAGCATGCTAAGGGCGGGCTCCACCAGCTGCTGGATGTACTGATGCACGATGATCTCAAATGTCTTGTAGTTGACAAATCCCAGAAGCTCCTTGCCTCGATACTGCTTTTCATATTTTTCAACTTCTTCGTGGATAATATTTTTAACTGCAACATCAAACAGACCTCCATGGTGAATTCTGCTAATTCTGCAGACGTCGTAAAGCTAGCAACAGTTTTATAAAGTCTTGCTCCCCACTGTACGCAGAGGCAATGTTGCAAAGTGGAGTTTTGTTCACAATGAGAAAAATATTCATGGTCTAATAACAGGAGTTTAAGAAATACTGACTTTTGGGGGAAAAAAATCTTATTCTATGAAAATGTGTTTCAATTGAAAGTCATCACCCCAAGAGAGAAGCTATTGTTTCTAACTGGTAGGAAAAAAAAAAAAACCTGATTAGAAACTAGGTGTGGTGGCTCACACCTGTAATATCATCACTTTGGGAGGTCAAGGTGGGAGGATCACTTGAGGCCAGGAGTCCGAGACCAGCCTGGGCAACATAACAAGATCCTGTCTCTACAAAAATAAAAAAAAGATGAGCCAGGCATGGTGGTATGTGCCTTTAGTCCCAGCTATCTGGGAATGATCACACCACTGTGCTCCAGCCTGGGTGACGGCAAGAGCCTGTCTCTGAAAAACAAAAACAAAACTAAACACAAAAATCTGATCAGTTAAATGAATATGGAAACTTAATCTTGTACCCCTTACCTCCCAAGCATACAGCCACAGTTTACCGTTGGAGGGATCTTTCCACGGAGGTAAACAGTGCTGTTTTCTCCAAGTGCCAGAACAAAAACACAACAGCACACACACAATGAGATGGTTTGGCTCTGTGTCCCCAACCAAATCTCATCTCAAATTGTGTTTGGCTCTGTGTCCCCAACCAAATCTCATCTCAAATTGTGTTTGGCTCTGTGTCCCCATCCAAATCTCATCTCAAATTGTAATCCCCATGTGTCAAGAGAGCAACCTGGTGGGAGGTGATTAGGTCATGGGGGTGGTTTTTCTCATGCTGCTCTCATGATGGTAAGTGAGTTCTCACAGGATCTGATAGTTTAAAAGTGTTTAGGGGCTGGGAGCAGTGGCTCATGCCTGTAATCCCAGCATTTTGGGAGGCAGAGGAGGGCAGATCACCTGAGGTCAGGAGTTCGAGACCAGCCTGGTCAACGTGGCAAAACCCCATCTCTACTAAAAGTACAAAAATCAGCTGGGTGTGGTGGCACACAACTGTAATCCCAGCTACTTGGAAGACTGAGGCAGGAGAATTGCTTGAACCTGGGAGGCTGAGGTTGCAGTGAGCCGAGATCACACCACTGCTCTCCAGCCTGGGCAACAAGAGTGAAACTCCGTCTCAAAATAAATAAATAAATAAAGTGTTTGGCAGCTCTTCCTTGCTCTTTCTCCTGCCACCTTGGAAAGAAGGTGCTTGCTTCTCCTTTGCTTTCTGCTATGATTGTTAAGTTTTCTGAGGTCTCCCTAGCCATGTGGAACTGTGAGTCCATTAAACCTCCTTTCTTTATAAATTACCCAGTCTCAGGTAGTTTTTTATAGCTGTGTGAAAATGGACACACACATACACACACACATGCCCTACTGGAACCTGGGCTGGAGCACATGGGAATCAGAACTTTGCCAGGTGAAGCCAGCAGGCTCTTGTCAAACCAAGAATCTCTCTGATCTTGAATTAGGGGCAAAGAGAAGGGGGATTGGGATGAGTGGAATTGTTTGGGTGATCTGGGCACATTTTAGCAGTTAAAAAACTGCTACTTCATCTAGTCTTTACTTATTGCTAAAACCAGATCATCACACCCCAGACCTTCCAGAGGGGGAGATGGTAAACGATTTCATGTGGATTCCCCCCTCCCCTGGTCCCCTGGCACCCATGCTGAGCTCTGTCTCAATGCCACCAAAATAAATAAGTATCCCAGGTCACTTTTTCTACCAAGCTGATGTTTAGCTGCTACTAATGAAGGCTCCGTGCCTGGTGTGTCCACAACAGGCACCATGGCCAGCTGGCAGCTGTGCACTCAATTCAACAGTGGCTGGAGAGCCTTCATGTGGGGCTGGCCCCCAGAGTCATCTGGACCCCTGCTTTGGGCACAGGCTTCCCTCCAGGCACTCAGGATAGCAGCCCTGAGGTACCCTGGGCTGCTCTGCGAATTCCTCAGGTGGGCATGGAATGCCATTTAGCCTCAAAACCAAGAAGCAAGGCCAGGCACAGTGGCTCACATCTATAATCCCAGCACTTTGGGAGGCTGAGGCAGGTGGATTGCTTTAGCCTAGGAGTTCAAGAGCAGCCTGAGCAATGGTGGTGAAAACCTATCTCTACAAAAAAGTACAAAAATTATCTGGGTATGGTGGTTCATGCCTGTGGTCCCAACTACTCAGGAGGCTGAGGTGGGAGGATCACTTGAGCCTGGGAGGTTGAGGCTGCAGTGAGTCATGATTGCGCCACTACACTCCAGCCTAGGCAACAGAGGGAGACCCTGTCTCAACAAAACAAAACAAAATCAAGACACGAGGACATCAGAGGCAGTGGAATTGCCCTGTGTTGAGTTGCTGAGGTCGATGCCCCATATTTCTGGGTTTTGTTCGTTGAGAGACAGTTGCTGATTACCAAGGGTTCCACGGTCTTGGATGGACGTGTTCCACTCTTGGCACACTTATCATGTGCTGGACATAGCCTCTGGTCTGGGTAAATACCACCCTGTTTTGCAGGGAGCCCTGCCCAGAACTTACCTTTTTGGGTATTAGTTGCAAGTATGCCTACCCAGTTTTTAAAATCCTCTCTGATTTTGTTGTATAAACGGGTCTCATTCTCCCTTACAACTTCTTCTCCTTCTACTAACTTTTCGATGTCCTGATTAAACATCTTGATTTTCTGAAAATGATATAAAGTCAATAGTCTTTGCGGAAATCATATGAAAGAACTGGGACCGGCGTTGCAAGGAGATGTCCACCCGCCCACCTCATCTCATGGGTGAAGAAGGGGAAGGGCAGCTGCAGGGCCACCAGGGAAGGATGCAGTGTCACGTGGAGTCCTGCGGAAATCCTCACCTCAATTAGAAAGAACATCTTGTCGGCCTCCTGGCTGGGGATGTCAGCCCCGCAACGCCGCAGCTCCTCGGTCGCCTTCTGGTGGCTCTCCCTTATTTGTCCTTCTAACAACGGGAGCGATTTCTAAACAAAACAATTGCAAACAATCAAACTGCGGCTTAAGAGATTGGCCAACTGATTTCTTTGGTATATGAGTAGGAGCCCTTTAAAGCATCCAGGAAGATCTGGAATTTTTGACCCACCTGCCCCAGCCTCCCAAAGTGCTGGGATTACATGTGTAGGCCACCTTGACTGGTGGAATCTAATTGTAACAAACTTTCCAGGTAATTCTTGTGTGCCTTAAAGTTGGAGAACCACTGGCTCCTTCAAACCAAATTTTCTTTGAGTATGTGCTTCCTGGCTCAAGTAAGTCATTGCTTTTGTCTGATATACAATTTAGCATGGGCCAAGTCCTAGGATCTGGAATCATCTTTGCTCTAAGGGTACATTTAAATCTTCCCATGTTGCTTGGCCTCATTTGTGAAGGTTTAGGCAAGCACTAAAAATATTCGATTTCTCAATAACCGCCAAACCAAAGTTTTTCTATAATCGATGATGTCATGAGGCCCTTGTCTGTAGTTGTCTGCTTTTGAGAATCCATAAAAATGGACTTATTTCTTACAAACCAATTATTTCTTAGAAGTTTGAGGCTAGAAGAAATTTTTTTTTTTTAGATGGAATTTTGCTGTTGTTGCCCAGGCTGGAGTGCAATGGCACGATCTTGGCTCACCACAACCTCCACCTTCCGGGTTCAAGCGATTCTCCTGCCTCAGCCTCCCCAGTAGCTGGGATTACAGGCATGTGCCACCATGCCCAGCTAATTTTGTATTTTTAGTAGAGATGGAATTTCTCCATGTTGGTCAGGCTGGTCTCGAATTCTTGACCTCAGGTGATCCACTGGCTTTAGCCTCCCAAAGTGCTGGGATTACAGGCATGAGCCACCATGCCTGGCAAGAAAAATTTTTTATACCAGGAAGTATTAACAACATATTGAAAAAAGAAAACTTGCTCTCTCAGTGGTCACTCCTTTTTATATTGCTAAACTGTTTCCTTCTCTTCTTTTTCCCCCCTGTTGACCAATTCAAACATTTGTTTTAATACTATGTACTTGTTGCTTCCCCAATTTGGAAGTTCTTCCAGTGAGCCTGTGACAGTGAGTGAGACAGTGTTCAGAGGGTACTTGTTTGCTTGTTTGGACAGATCAGTGGGGCATCTTAGCCAACTCCAGACCAAGAGAGTGACTTGGGCATGCTGTATTGATGACTTGTCACCCAACCCACGTGGCTCACTTGGATATGCATGATGAGTTCAGTGGTAAGTCTTTCTGCCAGTCGGGGAACCGTGGCTGACCCCTCCTCCAGGAGAACTCTGAAATGAGACAGACATTCATGCATTCAGGAAGGACTTGTGTACCATCTTGCTAGTACCGGACTTTGTGCGTGGTAGGTGAGCCCAGCTCCCCGGGGCAACACGTGCCATCAGAAAAGCCAAGTGGTGCATAAGAAAGACACTTGCCACCAGCCTGCACCCAGGCAACTGTGGGCCAGGAAGCTTCCTTCCCTCCTCCCTTTCTATCATCCCCACAAACTCATGAGGTAGGTCATCTTAGCTACAGGAAAACAAACCCAGCCTCATGGAGATTAAGTGAGTTGCCCAGATTAGTATTTTATTTCTCATCACAAAAGTATATATGGTGCTTACTAAGTGCCAGGCACCAATCTAAGGGCTTTATAAATATTAACACATTTAGTCATTTAACAACCCACTTTAGAGCAAGAAAGGCTGAGACACAGAAAGGTTAAGCAGCTTGCTGCATTTGCTTGCTGCAGCCACACAGCAGGCAGCGTGGCTGCAGCATGTTTGCCAATAGCAGGAATTTAGGATGAAGCACACAGGATTATTCCCCAGCACTGCCAGTGCCTCTTACTGCAAGGGACGGCTCCCAGCAAGCAGGCATGCAAGGATTTCAGATTTCCCAAAGACCTTGAGAAGCGGTTTGCAAAGGGAGGTCCCTGGACTGGCAACATTAGCCTCAACCAGGAGGAACCTGTTAGAAGCAGGAAGTCTTGGGCACCTCCCCCGGCCTCAGGGCAGAGCAGGACAGAGCTAGCACAATTTTAAGGAACTCTCCAGAGAGTCTGCTGCTCACTCAGCATGGAGAACCATGGGCCTGATTATTTTGAAATCTTCTCCCAGCTCAAGGAGGAGAGTTTTCTTCTCCTCATGTCCTCCAGTGCTATTGGAAACAGTATGTTTCATCCACTCAGAGCAGGAGCAGAGAGGAAGAAAGAAGGAACCGGGTGGTGTTTACTGAGTGCTGGCTGTTGGCGCTCAAGACCTTTGTGTATGTCGTGTTACGTAATCCTAACCACAATCTTGTGAGGCAGTAGTAGGATCCCCTGGAGAAGATGGGAAAGGCAAAATTCCGAGAAGGTGGCCCATATTGTAAGATCACATAGTCAGCAAGCCGTAGACCTACTCGGCCCAAATTCAGTTTTCCCATTAGCTCTCCTTCAAGCAGGAGTGACCTCTGTGCTCCTGGATCATTCAGGAACAACAAGTTCCAGAATGAAGGGGAAAAGTGCTCCATTCAATGGGAACAATCCCAGCGTCCTACAAACTACAGAGTCTCTATAGGATAATTTCTATTTAATAAAGCCAGTTATTATTAAGTTTCTATTTAATAAAAACAAGTGATATTCTGGCAAATGACTGTGGGCACTGGAGGCTCTAAAAACACGGAGAGTTCCATCGAGCAGGTTTTCCTGTGTGCCGTTTACGGTGGTACACACGGGTTTCTGGAAGTTAGGTGCTCTGTGTTCAGTCCTGTTCCCATTCACTATTTGTTTGACCTCATTATTCTTATCCATGGAAATGGGAGAAACTTCACCTGCCTTATGTATCTCTTAATATAAGGACTCAAATCAGAAAGGAAGTGAAAACATTTTGGGAAACCAAAGAGTTCTACGCTTTATGTCATGACACATTCCAGTTTTTAATCAGCACCATCATTGGAATCTAAGAAACAATAATTTGTCTAAATAAGCCAAGAAATCTAGCACAAAAATCAGGTGAGGCTAGGTTATACTACCTTGTGTAATTTGTGCATACACTTTGGTCATGATCTGGGCCAACTCTTGCAGATGGGCTGGCTTTCATGGAGTCTAATTCCAGAGCTTTCCTGAAGAGTCTCACCTGAAATATGGATGTGTTTGAAAGAATGTAATTTCTTTCTTGGTTGCCTCTGCCAAGCTCAGCCTGTTTGTGATCTCCTGCTGGCCCCGGCACTTCACAATCATGTAGCCCTTCTTGAGGGGGTACGTGAGGTTCCGCACCACATTCATGACGCTTTTCTCAGTGCCCCTGTCCATTAGATCTGGTTTGGTCAGGATACCTGTGAGATGGTTAAAGAAGGGAAATGGAAAGGTCAGTGATCCCCTCAAACAGGTTTGACTCCTACTGGACTATGGGCTCCTTTTTTGGCCAACAAGGTCTTCTGCAGTCTTGATCCTCCAGTGCCTCATTCCATCCTCATTCCCTCATTGCCCCTCTTCTTTGCATTTCTATTGGCTCGCTATCTCACCCTCTCACTCAGTTCATTCAGTGTCCTGGATAGTTGACTTAACAAATATTTCGTGGATGCCTACTGGGTGCCCAGCACTAAGGCAGCATGCATGGTTAGAATGGACTGGCTCCATGCACCATGTTTCCAAGAAATGCCTTGTTCCCTACTGAGGGGAGTCCCTCTCTAGTGTCTCCTGAACAGACTCACTCCGCTCCCTCTTGTGGGCACCTCCTCTGATCTCCTCCTTCCCACTTTCCTCTCCCCCTCCTCTGTCCCCACTCCTTCCTGCTTGCACTGGATTGAAAACTTTGAATTCCAAGTGCTCTTTTTTGTTTATGTTGCTTGAGTGTCAAATTGCCACTGCATTTCTTGTTTGTGTATGTTGAAAAGCACTTTTCTTTCTTCCTTCTTTCCTTCCTTCCTTCCTTCCTTCTTTCCTTGCTTCCTTCCTTCCTTTCTCTCTCTCTCTCTCTCTCTTTCTTTTTTGAGATGGAGTCTCGCTCTGTTGCCCAGGCTGGAGTGCAGTGGCTCACTTCAACCTCCGCCTCCCCGGTTCAAGCGATTCTCCTGCCTCAGCCTCCTGAGTAGCGGGGACTACAGGCATGTGCTACCACGCCCAGCTAATTTTTGTATTTTTAGTAGAGATGAGGTTTCACCATGTTGGCCAGGCTGGTCTCAAACTCCCGACCTCATGATCCACCCACCTCAGCCTCCCAAAGTGTTGGGATTACAGGCATGAGCCACCGTGCCTGGCCTTATCTTCCGCTATTTTGTCCTTCGTTTTAATTTGTGGGTAAGTCTGGCTATCTGGTCTACTATTCTTGAACCTCTCTTTCCAGATAAATTAATCTAGTAATATACGAGAAATAAAGAAGAATGGATATTGATAAGGGCTATGCAGAGAATTAACATAAAGTGACGTGCTGGCAAATGACCGTGGGCAGCGGTGCGTGATGTAGTCTCAAGTTGGGTGGACAGGGAGGTCCGCTCTCAGAAGGCAACATTTGGACTGACATCTGAAGGAAGGGAGGAGTCAGCCTAGTGGGGAGGGAGAAGGAGCACTCCAGACCCTGGTTGAGAGGGAGCAGGGATGGCAGAGCCGTATTGGAGGGTCATGAGCAAGGCAGAGAGCGGTGGAACTGAGATCAGAGAGGCAGGCAGGGCCAGGTCACCTGGGGCTCTGCTTTCTAGATAAAGGAGTCCGGGGTTTATATGCATGTGAGATGGCAGCAGGAGAGAATGTAAACAGAGAGGGGCATGACCCGATTGACATGTCTGGAGGCCAGTGGAGAGGGCACTGCCATGGGCAAGGTGAGTGCTCGAACAGCAGGAGAATGTTTGAGCAGACCAGGCAGGAGACCATGGTGGCTTGGTCTAGGCAGTGACAGTGGGGATGGAGAGCAGTGGATGGATTTGGCACCCGTTTTGGAGGCAGAGTCACCAGGACTTCAGATACATTAGACTTGGAGGCAAGGGGAGGGAGGACTCAAGTGGGACTCTTTGATTTGGCTTTAGAACTGGGTGGGCGGATGGGTTCTGTGAATGAGGTGGGGAAGCCTTGGAGAGGAGGTGAATCAGGATGGAGTACGAAACCAAGAGTTCTGTTCTGGTCACGTTTAACTGGAGACATTGGCCAGACAGCCAAACGGAGTTGTCCAGTTAAGCAAGGTCAGGGTTAGAGATACAGATTTGGGAGTCACTGGCATGTAGATGGGATTACAAACCACAGCCGGATAAGATCACTTAATGTGATGATGCGTTGATAGAAGGAGAGCCCAGAACCAAGTTTTCCATACTTAGAGGCCTGAGAATTGAAGAGGCATGGAGACAAGGAGTCTAAGAATGTGACTTCCAGCTGGCCAGTGACGGAAGCGACCCGAGAGAGAGAGAATGGTGGAGGAAGGAGGGAGTTTCAGGAAGGAGGGAGGTTCAGGAAGGAGGGAGTGGGCAACTGGGGTGACTGCTGCTGAGAAAGGAGAGGCAAGGACAGAGACGTGACCATGTGCTCCTCAGTGCAGAGGGTGTGGGTGACCTCGACAGGAGCAGTCTCTGTCTTAAGAGGGCACAGGAGCTCGGCTGAAGCCAAGGGAGTAGATAACATCCATAGCAATGGACAGGTGGGGAACCAGCTTAGTGAGGGCCTGAAAATATCGACCCACTGTTCTTTTTGAAACTTGATATTCTCTAAGCCACTGTTATATTATAATCAAATTTGCTCTATTCTCATCCTTTGGAAGTATTGTGTAGTCATTCAATTTTCTTTTTTTTTTCTTTTCTTTCTTTCTTTTTTTTTTTTTTTTTTTTTGCTTTTTTGAGACAGAATCTCACTCTGTCACCAGGCTGGAGTGCAGTGGTGCAATCTCGGCTCACTGCAAACTTCGTCTCAGGTTCAAGCGATTCTCGTGCCTCAGCCTCCCAAGTAGCTGGGATTACAGGCCTGTGCCACCACACCCGGCTAATTTTTTGTATTTTTAGTAGAGATGGGGTTTCACCGTGTTGGCCAGGGTGGTCTCGAACTCCTGACCTCAGGTGATCCGCCCGCCTTGGCCCCCCAAAGTGCTGGGATTGCAGGCATGAGTCAACATGCCCGGCCTCAATTTCCTTTTTAAAAGAATTGTAAAATACACGTAACTCAAGTCTGCAAGGGAATAATTCAACTCATAAAAATAGGATGCTCCCCCCTGCTCTGTCTTTAGCTACCTTGTTTTTTTAAAAAAAATTTCTTTACAAAAATGGTAATAAAGTGTACGTAAAGTGAATTTTCCTATTTTAGCCAGTTTATAGTTCGCGTAATTAAGTACATTTACATTGTTGTGTAACCATCACCACCGTCCATCTCCAGAACTTTTTCATCTTCCCAAACTAAAGCTCTTCACCCATTGAACAACAATTTCCCACTTCCCCACCCTCCAGTCTTGGGCAACCACCATTCTACTTTGTCTGTATGAGTCCGACTACCCTAGGGACCTCAAATAAGGTAGAATCACCCAGTGTTAGTCCTTTTCTTACTGGAATTTCACTTAGCATAATGTCGTTGAAGTTCACTCATGTTGTTGTGTGCTTCAGAATTTCCCTCCTTTTTGAGGCTAAATAATATTGTTTTACGTATATGCCACGTTTTATTTATCCATCCAACCATCTGTAAACACCTGGGCTGCTCCCACCTTTGGGCTATTGTGGATAATGCTGCTATGAACATGGGTCTGTTTCTCTTAAGCCTAGCACACTTTTCTCTATTTCTATACTTGACCTAGAATGCATAGAAAATTTGCATTTCTGTGGGATGGATCTGGAGGCCATTATCCTTAGTAAACTAACCCAGGAACAGAAAACCAAATGCCACATGTTCTCACTTATAAGTGGGAGCTAAAGGATGAGAACACATGAACACGTAGAGGGGAATAACAGACACTAGGATCTGTCAGAAGGTGGAGGAGGGAGAGGATCAGAAAAAATAAATAATAGGTACTAGGCTTGATACCTGGGTGATGAAATCATCTGTACAACAAACCCCCATGATACAAGTTTACCTATGTAACAAACCTGCACATCCTGCACATGTACCCCTGAACCTAAAACAAAAGTTAACAATAAAATAAAATATCCCAAGTTAAAAAAAAAAAAAAGAAAAAGAAAATGTGCATTTATTTTACAATATTGTTTTGGGCTATACTAAGAGCAGAACATGTATATCCCATGACTATTGATTGACTGAATTTATAATAATAATAGCTGGCTGGGAGCTGTGGTTCACACCTGTAATCCCAGCACTTTGGGAGGCTGAGGCGGGTGGATCACCTGAGATTGGGAGTTTGACACCTGCCTGGCCAACACAGTGAAACCCCGTCTCTACTGAAAATACAAAATTAGCCAGGCGTGATGGCATGTGCATGTAGTCTCAGCTACTTGGGAGGCTGAGGCAGGAGAATTGAATCCAGGAGGCAGAGGTTACAGTGAGCCTAGATCATGCCACTGCACTTCAGTCTGGGGGATAGAGTGAAACTCTGTCTCAAAAAAAAAAAAAAAGCTAATATTTATTGATAACTGTTGATTATCTGAGTTTATGGCGATGAGAGGACCAGAAAACTGACTATTAAAAAGTAGTACTAAGTTTCCTTGGAGATGTTAATATTCAAATAGATCCTTTTTTTTAGAAAACTTTTTTTCTTTCCTTTCTTTTCTTCAGTGTTAACTTTGTTGACATGCTCAGGTCCATCTACTGGGCAGTTGATATTACCTACTTCAGTCCTCAATAAGCCATTCCTAAGGAACAAGAACAATAGCACTTGTATTCAGCGCAGGACACACTGGCATATGATACGTTCCAGGATCTTCCAAAGAAGTGCGGCATCCCTCCCTCCCTTCCCATGCCCTGGATGCCCTGGAAGCTTGGTTCTTTTTTTTTTTTTTGAGATGGAGTCTTGCTCTGTCGCCCAAGCTGGAGTGCAGTGGCATGATCTCGGCTCACTGCAAGCTCCGCCTCCCGGGTTCACGCCATTCTCCTGCCTCAGCCTCCCAAGTAGCTGGGACTACAGGCACCAGCCACCATGCCCGACTAATTTTTTTGTATTTTTAGTGGAGACGAGGTTTCACCGGATTAGCCAGGATGTTCTCAATCTCCTGACCTCGTGATCCGCCCGTCTTGGCCTCCCAAAGTGCTGGGATTACAGGCTTGAGCCACCGCACCCGGCCACTTGGTTCTTTCCTCTTACCGATGGTCCTGTCCCCTTCCGGGTCCACCTCATGGGCCATGCTCAGCGCCTCCGTGGTGGCAATGTCCACGTTACAGGGAACCACCACCAAGTTGATCGTCTGCTGCCTCTGGATGTACTTCTTGATGAGAGCCTTGATCTGATGCCAAAGAATCGCACAAAGAAAGAGCACACGTCTCACTTCTGGTCACTCAGCAGCACGGCCAGGCAGGCAGGCATGATGGCGCAAAGGCAACATTGTCCCACAGTGTGACTCTGGGCTTTGCTAGGCCGAGCCCCGTCCTGGGAATGCCTGCCCCGGCGGCCCTGCCCTGGTCTCTGATGACCTCCCACTTGTCCTTCAAAGCCCACGGCTGGCATGTCTTCTTTCCTGAAGACCCCCTGATTCCTGCAACCAAGTACAACCCCTCCCTCCCCTCTAGATCTCACCCGAGATGCCTTGGAGATCCTGCCTTCTATTAGAGTGACTTGTGCGTATGTTGTATCTGACTCAGAAGTCCAGAGATGCCTTTGCGGCCAGCGGTGACATCTTCTCTGTCCTGGTGTCCCCATGCAGAGTCCAGCACGGAGCCCAGGCAGCAGGTGCTCAGCGAGCAATGCCTGCTCCCCACACAGTTCCCCAGAGGCAGGGACCTCAGATGCTTCCCATGGAGAATATCTCCACGTGTTTCTTTCTAATATTAGTGACTTTTTACCTGCGATTTGTTCTTGGAAGGGGTCTAGTTCAATCAAATAAGAGAAATCTAATAAAATTTATTAGACTGTGTAGGCAAAATGGAGATGTAGGCAACATATGCCTTAAAATGCCAACTTTTAATATTATTTTTCTCAACAACAACACAAACAGACAAGGAAAAAGCTGGCACCTTGGGACATAGTTCCTTATATTTTGGCACAATTTACATATAGTTGTGCTCAGACAGTGCCCCATATAATTATTTTAAGTTGTGCACAGAAGACAGAAAACTGCACAGCCAAAAATGAGCCATTCTGTGTCCCATTAGCCCGAGCTGACAACACAGAAGAAATTGAGCACTGGAGTCAAATAAAATCATCAAATACAAACAGGCCCAATGAAGCCTCGGCCAGGAGAAAACTTAACTGGCTAAAGTTATAAGCAATCTTAATTTTTATGTATGTATGTATGTATGTACGTATGTATGTATGTATGTATGTACTTACTGAGACATGGTCTTGCTCTGCTGCCCAGGCTGGAGTGCAGTGGTACAATCACGGCTCACCCCAATCTTAAACTCCTGGACTCAAGTGTTTTTCCCACTTCAGCCTCCCGAGTAGCTGGGACCACAGGCATGCACCACCATGCCTGGTTAATTTTTTAATTTTTTATTTTTGTAGAGACAGGGTCTTGCTACCTTGCCCAGGTTGGTCTTGAACTCCTGGCCGCAAGTAATCTGCTCACCTCGGCCTCCCAAAGTGCTGGGATTACAGGCATGAGCCACAGCACCTGGCCTTAAGCAACCTTTCTGAACAAGTTTTTTTTTTTTTGACTTTATTTTCTGCTTTACTAATCATTGAATAATAGATGCTATACTTCTGAACAAGTTTTAACGTTGATCGTCCTTTAGTTGAAAACTCTCTTCTTGCTTGTGTGCTTATTCCCTTTGCTACACCCATGGGGCTGTCCTGCTGATGTCTGCAGGCAAACAGACCACACAGCCCAGGGTTCTCCAGCTCTCCTTCCAGCACTGTTGACAATTCAGAAGGATGACTCTGCCATGGTGGCCATCCTAGGCATTGTAAGCTGTCCAGCAGACTCTGTGGCCTTTACCCACTGGATACCGGTAGCATCCAAACCACTAGCAAACCCTACCCCTTACCTGAGTTATGACAAGCAAAAAGATGTCCTGACATTGCCAGTGTCCCCTGGGGGTACAAAAGCTCTGGGCTGGGAATCACCGTATTTAATGCACACTCACTCATGTGCATTCATGTAGGATATCAGAGAGTGAAAATGCTCCCCGGAACAGTTTGCCTGGAGAGGGGGTGACCATAAAGAGCACGTTATGTGCATGCAGCAAACATTAGCAGTGCCCACCAGGTGTGGGGCCCATCCTGGGGTTCAGAGACTCGGCATTGAGCATACGCCCCCAGAGCCTTACAGCCCAGGAGGGGAGACAGGCAATAAACACAATGGAGACATATCAGGGAGGGCAAGTGGAATTGAAAGAGCCAGGCACGGGGAACAGTATGTCAGGCAAGGCAGCCCAGGTAGGGCAGCCTTGCAGCAGAAACCCGCGAGGAATGAAGGATGCCCTCTGCGGAGAGCCATGCGGGCAGAGCACCGGGCAGTGGGAAGCGTGCATGCACACGCAAGAGTCCAGGCAAAAGTGAGCCAGAGGGACCAAGGGCCGCAGAACCCGGATGTGGTAGGGTGGAGCGAGGGGCCAAGGCGCAGTGACAGGAAATGTGGTCCATGAAGTAGGGGGATTGGATCACATGGGACCTTGGAATTTTACACTGATTGACATGGGAGCCGCTGGGGAACTTTAAGGATGATAGCATCTGACTTGTGCCTTAAAACACAAGAGCTGTGTGGGAAACATTCTTGGGATGGGTGCTGCCGGGAAGGGCAGAGGCAGAGAAACCCAGCAGGAGGCCAGCAGAGGCGGTAACCCAGGTTCAGGATAGCAGCAGCTTAGGTGAGGGTGCTGGTGGAAGTGGGAGGAGACGTGGGCCTGGGTGTGTTATTTGAAGCAGAGCCAGCAGGCTTTGTAGGTGGACTGGACGTGTCGTGTGAGAGGAGGAGAAAAGGGAGGGCTGACCCCAGTGGTCATGGCCTGAGCCACTGGGAGGGTGGAGGTGCCACTGTCTGAGACGGGGATGTCTATGGGGCCAGCAGATACTGGGGGGAAGATCGGGTGTTGCTTGGACCCACTGAGTTTGTGTACCGATTAGATGCTCAAAGGGCACTGGTGAATCGGCAGCTGGAGATAGGAGCCTGGATTTCAGGGGAGAGAGCTGGGCTTGAAATAATGATTTAGGAATCGCTGAAGTGGTATTTACAGTCATGAGACTGGGCTGTAGTTCAGGGACATAGCAGGGAGAGTTTTCAATGGGAAGAATGGATCTCTAGGGCATTGCAACATTTGGAGGTCAGGGAAGTGAGGAACAATTCACTTAAGGAGAGACCAACAGGAGGGAGAGAAAGAACCAGGGTCAATGTGCCCAGATGCCAGCGAAGAAGACTTTCAAGAAGGAGAAAGTGATCAATTGCAGTTGAAAACTAACACATTTGGTGGGTGAACACTGCCAAGCACTTGTTGCCGGGAAAGTGGAGTCGTACAATGAGGCCGTGAATACAGAAAGACCTTTCACAGGGACAGTCTGGGGAGACAAATCGGCCAAGAATAGAGCCCACCCCCTTCCTTATGAGCATTAATCGGCTTTCACATGGAGGAGAGGCATGAATCTTTCAAATGAAAGACACATGTGTTCTTGCTGGAGGAGCTAAGATTTCCATGACTTCTCAGGAAGACCGGGAGGGGAGGAACACAGGGTGCACATGACCAGCAGTCTGACCTTGGCAGTGCCTTTGGAAATCAAAGACAATGAAGAATCTGAGAAGAGACACAAAAATACGAAGGGAAAGCGTGGTGGGACTCCAGAAAGGCACACGATTGCGTGCAGGAAGCTTTGACTCTATGACTAAGCTTGTCCAACCTGCCTTATTTTGTTGTTGTTGTTGTTCTGTTTTGTTTTAGGTTTTTAGCAGCCTGAAGCCATGGTTTTTGGTTTCTGTCTTTAGTAGTAAGTGGAAAAGTGGGATGAGGAAGGGGCTTTACTGGCCCAACCAGAAACAGAAACTAAGAACCTGTGACTGTATTCTCTCCTTCGGACACTCCTGGACATCCTGGGGAGTTCAGGCTCCTGAGCCAAGCAAAGGCTGAAGTTCCAGGAACATGGAGGAGGATGTTCCTTCACAAGCCCAGGAACGTGGAGGACAATGTCAAAGAATCGAGGAATTCCCAGCAATGGCTTCCTGGTGCTCAGACAGGCCACCTGGAGGCCTCAGCCAGGTTGGGTAGGGCAGGACCCTGGGGCTCCAGGGAGCCTGTGGGACCTGGAGGCCCCGATCTGCAGGAGAGAGGTCTAGGACAGACTACAGGGGGCCAAGGAGGGTGGGAAGGTGATGGAGAAGGAGATGTTTCGGGATGGATTCCCAGACTGGTCTTGATCCGAATTTTCCCTCTGCCATAACAGTTCTTACTCCCTACTCTTTCACACTCCCAGCCTCTCACAGCCACAATGACAGTTTTCATTGCTCCTCTAAACTCCTGTGACCCTGTTCTCTCATGCAGTTTGCTCTAAGAAAACATAAATTTTTTTCTCTCTTGAAGGCAGCACTTATACCTGAGAAGGCTCAGATGTGGAGAGAGTGTGCACGGGCAAACCTCCTTTTATTGTGCTTCGCTTTATTGTGCTTTGCAGATTTGTTTTTTTTTTTTTTTTTTTTTTTTTTTTTTGAGATGGAGTATTACTCTGTTGCCCAGGCTGTAGTGCAGTGGCGTGATCTCAGCTCACTGCAAGCTCCGCCTCCCGGGTTCGAGTGATTCTCCTGCCTCAGCCTCCTGGGATTACAGGCACAAACTCCTGACCTCAGGTGATCTACCCGCCTCGGCCTCTCAAAGTGCTGGGATTACAGGTGTGAGCCACTGTGCCCAGCCCTTATCTTTATTTGTATTTTTTTTAACAAATCAAAGGTTTGTGGCAGCTCTGAGTTGACCAAGCCTATTGGTGCCACTTTTCGCAACAGCATATATTCACTTTCTGCCTCTGTGTCTGGTAATTTTTGTGCTATTTCCAACTTTTTCATTATTATTCTATCTGTTATGGTGATGTGTGATTATCAATTTTGGATGTTTTTATTATAATTGTTTTGGGGTGCTATGGAGCAGGCCCATATAAGATAGATAACTTAATAAATGTTGCCTGTGTTATGACGGCTCCCCAGCCTCTCTCCCTCTCTCTATTCCCTGAGGCACCACAATATTAAAATTAGGCCAATTAATAGCTCTATAGTGGCCTCTAAATAGAGTGGCTGCATTAGTCTGTTCTCACACTGCTCATAAAGACATACCAGAGACAGCGAAATTTGTACAGAAAAAGAGGTCTAATGGACTCACAGTTCCACATGGCTGGGGAGGCCTCAGAAGCATGATGGAAGGGAGGAGCAAAGGCACATCTTACATAGCAGCAGTCAAGAGAGCGTGTGCAGGGGAACTGCCCTTCATAAAACCATTAGATCTCATGAGACATATTCACTAGTAAGAGAACAGCACGGGAAAGACCTGCCCACATGATTCAATTACCTCCCACCAGGTCCCTCCCACGACACGTGGGGATTATGGGAGCTACAATTCAAGATGAGATTTGGGTGGGGACACAGCCAAACCATCAGTGGCCTTCCTTCAACTAAAAGGAAAAGTTGCATGTTTCTTACTTTAAATTAAAAGCTAGAAATGATTGAGTTTAGTGAGAAAGGCATGTAAAGGCCAAAAGCTAAGCTGCTTGTGCCAACCCGTTAGCTAAGTGTTGAATACAAAGGAAAAATTCTTGAAAGAAATTAGAAGTGCTACTCCAGTAAACACATGGATGATAAGACAGTGAGACAGGTAAGGAGACACACACTCACACTCACACTCACAGAAGGCCACTTGCAGGTTTATATACTCCATGTTAACAGGGATGGGGCATAAAATAACATTTATTCTTCCTGTTCTATCTTGACAATTTCAATAACAAAATCCCTTTGTAATGATTTAAGCAAGAATTAAAGAAACAAAAGAAACTTAAGGTAGGGCATTTTATTCCTAATTAGTTTTTTAATTCTTTTTTTTTTTTTTTGAGACAGAATCTCACTCTGTGGCCCAGGCTGGAGTCCAGTGGCACGATCTTGGCTCACTGCAACCTCTGCCTCCCAGGTTCAAGCCTCAGCCTCCCAAGTAGCTGGAACCTAATTAATTTTTATAAAACACTTGTTCACTTGGCAGTGTTTTCGTATACTGCCACCCTTTCAGATAGAATTCTTTTTGGTCACCAGGTCAAGGCTTGGTAACTGAGCACACTGTACAACGTGCATCATAACTCACTGTTAGGGATTAACCAGTCCCATAGGGCACGTGGCTGTAATTATGAGCTGATAATTAGAAGTAAAAGAATGTAGAGAAACAAAGCCCTTTAGAAATCTGAAACATAAATGAAAAGCTTAGAGAGACCGCACACTTATTTCCCCCAATATTTACAACAACGGAAAAATTTTGCCGTCTCAACCAACTTGCTTTTGATGAAACTGTTTGAGATCAAACTGTCTCAGACCAAATCATGTGTATCCTCCATAGAGGAGAGGATGAAGTGGCAGGAGGAAGCTGCATGTTCTGATCCCACCTGTATTAGTCCGTTCTCACACAGCTATAAAGAACACTACCTGAGACTGGGTAATTATAAAGGAAAGAGGTTTAACTGACTCGCAGTTCCACGGGCTTAACAGGAAGCATGGCTAGGAGACCTCAGGAAACTTACAATCATGGGGGAGGGCCAAGGGGGTGCAGGCACCTTCTTCACAAGGCGGCAGGAGGGAATGTGTGCGAGAACAAGAAAGTGCCACACTTTAAAGCCACCAGCTCTCATGAGAACTCCCTCAATCACGAGAACGGCATGGGAGAAAACACCCCCATGATCCTATCACCTCCCACCTGGTCCCTCCCTTGACACGTGGGGATTACAATTTGAGATGAGATTTGGGTGGGGACACAGAACCAAACCATATCACCACCCAAGGATCTTTTGCAGTCTCTAGGAAATCCCATAACTTGATGGATGAATCAGCCACCCTCCTAGGAGGGCTAAGAAATATGGAATTCATCACTTAACTCAGCAAGTGATACGAGCTAATTTCCCTGCTCTTAGAGAGACAGAGAATGGCGATTTGGATGTTGAGGAAGATCACTAACCAAGATTTTGCCCCAAACAGCAGAGCTAGTGAAGACCCCACCCAGGAGGCTCTTAGGGCTGCCACCCCTTAATTTGGTTGTGGTTGGGTTGTCAACACTGCCACTGTCTCCCACAAAATGGAAGAAGCCAGGAAAGTGGCCTCAGTTCTAGCAAAGGAGGGCCTCATCTCCCCAGCCTTCCCCTGCCCTGGCATCGACTCTGTCTCCTTCATTTCCACATGAGCTGGCTTGCCAAAGCATGACAGGGCTGGTCCGGGGACTGGCCTAACCCAAACAGGGTATGCACAAGTTTTCCTGGACCACATTTGATTCAGGCACCTGAGCGAGGACTATGTTTTCAGGCAACCTCAGGTTTATTTATTTATTTATTTTTGAGACAGAGTCTCTCTCTGTCACTCAGGCTGGAGTGCAGTGGCACAACCATGGCTCACTGCAGCCTTGACCTCCTGGGCTTGGGTGGTCCTAGCACCTCAGCCTCCCAAGTAGCTGGAACCCCAGGCATGTACCACTGCACCCGGCTAATTTTGTTTATATTTTGCAGAGACAGGGTCTCACTATGTTGCCCGTGCTGGTCTAGAACTTCTGGCCTCAAGTGATCCTCCTGCCTTGGCCTCCCAAAGTGTTGGGATTACAGGCATGCGCCACCGTGCCTGGCCTCATGTTTAGATGGGTAGGTTGTTGGCAGAGAAGCCACAGCCCTGCTGTTGGCTGATGTGTGTCCTTATTGCCCGGTCGCCCTCCCTCACCCCTGTGCCTCTCCTGCCCAGACCAGGACCACAGTCCATGTTATGACTTATGTAACATTCATTTTTTAAAATATTGCCAAAATGGACAGATTTCATGTAAAAATCCAAATTTCTGCCCGCTTTTGACTATCAGCACAACTGATCACAACTGATCACACCGGGTTCACAGTCCTGAATGACTGGGCAGGGCGTACACTATCCCAAATGCCTGCCAGTCCCCTGGAGTCCAACTCTCTTTTTTCTGTGACTTGTCAAGCCCAAGTCAGAACCTGGGCATGAGGCCCCCACCTGGGCAGGTCTTACCTGAGACTCCATCCTCATCCCTCAGTGTAAAGGCTCCAGGAGGTACACCAGGACCCTGGGGACCTCTGACCCTTCCCCCACTTCAGCAGAGCCCAATCCCAAATTCCAGAAGGGCTCACCTGCAGTCCGATGTCTCGGGGCTGGTTGTCCACAGCCACCCTGGTGATGCCGGGAAGGTCAATGATGGTCAGGTCTGGAACCTCAGGGGAGGTGATCTCCAGGCTGATGAGCTCATGGCTGATGCCCCGGCCATTCCCGGCCATGACGTTCTGGGCTATGGAGGCCAGGAGGGGAGAAACCCAGAGCCCTCATTAATGATCCCTGTGAGGAAGCAGTTCCTGAAGGTAATGACTGCTCCTTTCCAGGGTATGAGAGCTTCAGTAGGTCCCTGGTGTTTAGAAAACATTTCAGAGAAGCCTGCAGAGGGATCTCAGAAGCCACCAAGATGGCTGTTTAATATGTAGGTGCACAGACCTACACTTTCCAAAAGACGAGAAGAAAAGATTCTGGTATGTTAGCTATGGGACTGCGGATGGGTTCTGTTCTCTTTCTTCCTGCTTTTTAGCATTTTCCAGTGAGTGCTGTGGTGGTTTTAAAATATGTCCACAAATCCTTCAACATTCCTCCCTCCAAAAGCACCCAGTCTATTGGCTGGACATAGGGGCTTGTTTCTAATGAATACATGCAGTGGAGGTGATGGTGTGTGACTAGTTCCTAAATGCATCATGGCTTCCTCCTTGATTCCTTTTGGATGACTAGCCCTAGGGGAAGCTGGCTGCCATGTCACAGGGACACTAAGTAGCTATGGAGAAGTCCACAAGGTAAGGAAGTATGGCCTCCTGCCAACTGCTTTAGTGAAGATTGCCAGATGGTTTTCCAAAGTGGTTGCACCAACTTACATTCCCACCAGCAGTGGAGGGGGTTCCAAGATGCTATTCTAAAGATGTCTTGTCTTGGGTTTGCTCGCTATTCATTCTTTTTTTTTTTTTTTTTTTTTTTGAGACAGAGTCTCGCTCTGTCGCCCAGGCTGGAGTGCAGTGGCACGATCTCGGCTCACTGAAAGCTCTGCCTTTCGGGTTCATGCCATTCTCCTGCCTCAGCCTCCTAAGTAGCTGGGACTACAGGTGCCTGCCACTGCGCCCGGCTAATTTTTTGTATTTTTAGAAGAGACGGGGTTTCACCATGTTAGCCAGGATGGTCTTGATCTCCTAACCTCGTGATCCGCCTGCCTCGGCCTCCCAAAGTGCTGGGATTACAGGCTTGAGCCACCGCGCCTGGCCCTCACTATTCATTCTTACCCAAAACTTTGACCAAGCCTGCACATATGGTGTGCTGTTGGTCTGCTAGAGACAGCTCTCCTGGCCCTGCCCCACAGAGCTCACAGCTGGTGAGACTCCAGACAGATGTCAACGAACATTGCAAGATGTCCTGGGAGCACCACAGTAGCTGTGGTGGGCACAGCTGGGGTGCAGACCTTTTGCAATTTGAAGTTAGGAAACTTGCTAATTGAGGGTATCCAGCAGCTTCTGTTTTAGAGGGGTGAACACGGAAATTGGAGTGAAGACCTCTCTATTTGGGAAGGGATTCCTCCAGAAAGCCATTTGATCCAGGCAGACAGGGGTTCTGTGGGAAAGGGCTGAGCCCACAGGGTCGTCTAAAGGGCCCCCGCTCAGACACTGAGTTTGCTATCCAGTAATGCAAAAGGCCTTCCTTGGACTTAGTTCCTCCCTGCAGGGAGTCTTAGTACATTCAGGATTGTTTTTCCATCTATCCTGGCTGAGTCCAGGACAGGCTGTGCAGGCAGGATAGGGGAGAAGCCTTTAGGGAGGTTGAGAGGCTCCAGTGCCTGGGGCAGGCAGGGCTGTGCACTCCAAGGGACGTAACCACTAGGGCCCCTCGGGGGAGAAGGGTGTGGACTCCAGGAGCAACTGAGCCTTTTCTGATCAGCCATGGCCAAGAACAAGCATTGGGAAACTTGTTCCACAGCTGGGTGAGAGGGGTCTGCATTTGGAGGGGGTGCTGGGAGGAAAGGTGGCCACAAGGTGGCTGGCCAGGGTTAGAGCTGAACTTCAGGAAGACAAGCCATGGTTGTGACACCTGGGGTGGGACCAGGGGTCCTGCAGCAGCATTTCCAAAGGGGGCGCAGGTGACCTGAGATCCAAAGATCGAGTAGGGATTGGGCAGGTGAAGGGGAGAAACCTGGAAGGAAGAGAGGGCGAGTACCCTGTGGAGTAGAGAAAGCCTGGGCTGGCGGGGAGCGGGAGAGGACAGGTAAGGCCAGCCACGTGGGCTGCAGGCTGCTAAGGGAAGCCACCAGAGGGTCCTCGGCATGGGATGACTCGATGAGAGGGGACCTGGACAAGGACCTGGAGGGATGGTGGAGGTGACAGCAATGGGTTCAGCCCCATGTGGGAGCACATGGGGCTAGGAGCTGAGTGGTCACTGTGGGGGTGACTTGAGGAAGAGGAGAAGGAACCGAGGAAGTGAGAGGAGCGGCTGCCAGATCCGAACCTCAGAATGACGTGGGCCCACCTTTGTGTATCTCTTTCTCCACCTGGCCAGGGTCCTGAAGCTCTAGCTCGGTGTTCCGGTAGCTGATCCTTCCGGCCCATGCCTCACAGGGCTGCTTTTTCAGTTTCAGCACCAGCGGACACCTGGTTACGATTCCTGAGCGAGAGGTTCCCCAAATATCCTCAGTTTCCTTTTAAAGAAGTGGCACTGGGCCCTTCGCTCCCAGAACCTGCCCTGCTGTCCCCAAAGGCCTCGTCTGCACTTTCTGGCTCTCCCTGGGGCCTGGTAGTAGGTGAGGGGGTCTGGACTGAGCAGATGCAAAGGGGCACAGGGCCCTGGGAGGTGCTGCTATCCTTGGGAAGTGTTCGCTGCCGGAGTAAGCACCCTGAGCTCCGATGGACATGAGCAAGTGGCTATAGCCACAGTCCTCACCACAGCCATAGCCCCCACCACACTGCCCTGGAAGTGATGGAGGCAGATGCTGGGGCTCCGGTACATGTCCAGGCTCCCCGTCTTTCTGCAGCTGGAGTCAGCATGTCAGGTGTCTGCCCCAGGCCCTGTAATTGTCCCGGTGGGCAGCCCTGGTTAGTGTGGGGGGTGGGGGATGGCGGGAATGTGGAGCAGTGAGACCCATCCAGGGGCCATGGAACCCCTCTCAAGGAGTGGGAAGAAGGTGGTGAAAGCCTGGAGGAGAAGCCGGACATCCCGAAGGAGGAGCAAGGGGAATCCTGATAGTGCCCTTTGAGGCAGGATCCTCCGATGCTACTGAACCCAGGAAAGGTGGGAGCGGTGCTGAGTTCCTTGGGGTGGGGGCCCTCACGCTCCTGCCGTGAAGCCCTGAGAACCCGCGACCTTTGTCCCGTGCCCTATAGGGAGGTATTGTCCCGTCTTCCAACTATGGGACTCGCCCAGGGTCCCGTGCCTGCCCTCTGGCATTCAGACTCTCCACCCCGTAGTCTCACTGCCCCAAATGCTGAACCCAGAGCACGGAGAAGGACTGGCCATCCCACACCCTTACTCTCTCCTGCCTTGTGCCCAGGCTGATGGCCATCTTACGGGACACGCTGGGTAAAGGACCAGGCTGCAGGTGGCAGCAGGGAGGCCAGGGGAGGGGCACTCTCCCAGGCTCACTGTGGCTTTGCGGTTGTTGCAGGGGGCTGTGCAGGGTCCGGGCAGCCCTCCAGCAGCCCCACCTTGCTCTGGGCAACCTTGGAGAAACCATCAGATGCCTCCCGGCCACCCCAGCATTCTGGTTGGGTTGAGAAGTAAGCAGCAGTGGCAGGAGAGGGGAGCCAGGGAGGAGAAGGAGCTGGGCGCTCTCTGCTGCCGCTGCACCTGCCAGGGCCCCTGCATGCTGCTCCTTCTTGGGTTCTGGAAGCTGCTCCCCTTCCTGTCCCACCCCCTTCTTGCTGGCTTCCCTATGCCCTGCTTACCTAAAAACTCCTTTCTAAACACTCTCCAGTACCCACTCTGAGGGTACCGCCTTTATCATTTTCCTTTATAATTATTTTATTAAATTATGAATGTACAACAGCTTCTTCACTCTAAACAGACTTTTAAAAGTTTTTGTTCAAGGAAAAGGTGTCTCATATCATGATCCTAAATAAGAGGTTTTCAAAACATTGAGACAATTCTTTAAGAAGGCTTCGCCTGTCACCTAAAACTTATCAACTTATCAAAGAAATGCTTCTACATTCTTACAAAGACCACTAGGAAGAGGTGGCAAGGTCCCTGCACCTGACTGACACACGGGCAGTGAAAGCTATTTAAACATGTATGGGGAATCCAGCCCCCTGCCACCAGGCCTGAGAAGCTGCCCTCCTAGGGCCCTCCCAGTGGCCTGTCTCTCCCAGCGGCCTGTCTCTCCCAGTGATCTGTCTCTCCCAGCAGCCTGTCTCCCAATGGCCTGTCCCTCCCAGCAGCCTGTCTCTCCCAATGGTCTGTCTCTCCCAGTGACCTGTCTCTCCCAGCAACGTGTCTCTCCCAGCAGCCTGTCTCCCAGAGGCCTGTCTCCCAGCGGCCTGTCTCTCCCAGTGGCCTGTCTCTCTCAGCGGCCTCTCTCCCAGCGTCCTGTCTTTCCCAGCTCTCTCACCCAGCAGCCTGTCTCTAAAACCTCTTGGTGCCTGGGGAAGCTTTGTGGCTTACAGGTGGCGCTGCTTGCTGCGGAGGGAAGGTGGTCCGTTGAACTTACCGCTGCCTCTGGGAAGCGCGACTCCTGACAGTGCCTCCAGCACAGAGCTCTTGCCCGAGCTCTGGTCCCCGATGACGGCGATGGCTGGCAGGGCCAGGTCCTGCTCCACACCCAGAGCCCGCAGGGAGTCGATGAGGTCAATGCAGGGGCGCACCTTCTGCTCGTACTGGCTGTACAGGTTGTTCTCGGGCCCCTGGAGAAGGCAGAACAGATGCCACTGCCTTGACCCCTGATAGGGTCCCTGGTGTCATGGAGATGTGTGGCAGAGTTTGTGCGGCTATGATGTTAGGTTGGGTTGCAGACAGGAGGTGAGAAGGTGGATGGAGGGGTGCTGCTGCTTTCAGGGGCCCTTCTGTTCTGTTCCTATTGAGGCCTCACAGGGGCAGATGCTGGGAGGATTTGGCTGCAGGTGTGCAGGGTGTGCCTCCTGGGGAGGGGCTGGGAGCACTGAGCCAGGAAGAAGTTCCAAGAGGCAGAGACTCCAGCCAGAGGGAGGAGAGGTTCTGGGTTGGGGAGCTGCAGAGCTGGGGAGGGTGGCAAGTGGGTGGGCTGGCAATGTGATGGCTGCAGGGGAGGCTGAAAGAAAAGCTCCAGGAAGGGGACCCCCGCACACAGAAGCCCCAGACCCACGTCGCAGCAGCCCGTTGCTGCAGGAGAGTCTATGTATGTTCCTGGTACTTGTTGGGCATGACCAGGAGAGCTGGAGACATCAGCTGTGCTGGAGGAGCAGACTGGCTGGTTCTATTATTGTGGTGGGCTTACATGACAGCCCTCTGCACCGGCAGCCAGAATGCACCCTTTCTGAACGTCCCTCCACCGGGCTTACCATTGCCCTTGGTTGGCTCCTGTTTCCTGGTGGTGGCTGATTGTTCAAAGTGAGAAAGTTGAAGTCCTTGGCGAGGAAAGCAGCGTCCTTCTCTGCCCCCTGCCAGTTTGGAGGAAACATCATTTGTGGTGGCACTGTGCCGAATGGCGGTGGCTGTTGCTGGAAGGAATTCATTTCTTTTTTCAGGTATTTTCGAGAAGAAAATTGACTTCTCCTCCGGTAGGGCCAAGGCTTGTGGGCCTTAGACATGTGCTGTCTCCCTGTCAGAGCTGGGGGATGCTTTCTCTGCTACTTGGCACCTCCGATCTTCCTGACAAGCTCTGCAAAGACACAAGAGGGAGAGCGGCCCACAGGTCACCAGAAGTCCTCCCTGAGTTGGCACTTTTGCCAACCCCTCCTCACCCCACCCTACAACCTACCCCCTACACACAGATGCAGAGACCAGGGGTCCAGTGCAGGGCCCCTGTCTGCAGGAGGGGCTCTTGGCAGCCACAGAGCACAAGTGGATTTCTACCGGCCCGGGCTTGGGGAACGGGGGGCAGTGGACTCCACATTCCCAGTAGAGTCTCAATGTTCCTTTGCTACTTGTAGTTGTTGTTGTTGTTGTTGAGACAGGGTCTCACTCTGTCACCCAGTGGGGGAGTGTAGTGGTGCAATCAGGACTCACTGCAGCCTCAACCTCCCTGGACTCAAGCAGTCCCCCTGCCTCAGCTTACCGAGTAGTTGGGACTAGAGGCATGCACCACCATGCCCAGCTAGTTTTTTTTGTGTGTGTGTATTTTTTATAGAGATGGGTTTTTTGCCATGTTGCTCAGGCTGGTCTCAAACTCCTGAGCTCAAGCAATCCGTCCGCCTCAGCATCCCAAAGTGCTGGGAATACAGTCGTGAGCCACCACACCCAGTCTCCTTTGTCACTTCTGATGGTCTGTGTCATCTATGGCATCAGGTCTCTGTGGCTCAGCACCAGGCAGGAGAACCATTAGGTGTGCAGAGATGACAGGCAGCACCTCCTGGGCCTGCTGGAAGCCAGACCTGGCCTCACACCCGGGCTTGGCCAGGCACCAGGGGAGTGTGGGAGAAGCAGGTGTTGGGCCCCAGTTCTCAGGCTGTGGCCTGCACTCAGATGAGGGCAGCACCATGCTGAGACATACATTTAAGCTTCACAACAAGCCTATGCATTTGGCCCTTATCTGGATTTTCAGGGTCAAGAAACTGACATCCGGGAGGGCCAATGACGCCTAAGCCAGGACTCAGAGCTGGGCCTGTGCTCCGGGCAGGAGCCCCCCACACTCTGGATCACACTGTATCCCCCTTTCCTCTAGTAGTAATGTGGATCTAGGAGGCTGAATGGTGTCCCCACAGTCCCCCCAAAATTTATGTTCACCTGGAACCTGGGAACATGACTTTTTTTTTGGAAAAAGACTCTTTGCAGATATAATTAAGGTGAAGATTTTGAGATGAGATCATCCTGGATTTAGAATGGGCCCTAAATCTCATCACAGGTGTCCTTATCAGAGACAGGCAGAGGGAGATTTGGGACCTGGAGACACACAGGGAGAAGGGCCTGTGAAGACAGAGGCAGAGACTGCAGTGCTGCAGCCCAGGCCAGGGAATGCCAAGGCCTCTGCCACAGCCACCAGGAGCTGGGAGGAGAGCACAGATTCCCCCTGGGGCCTCCAGAAGGAACCAGCTCTGCCGACACCTTGATCTGGGACTTCCAGCCTCCAGGGCTGTGAGAGAACCAATGTGTGTTGTCTAAGCCACCCAGTCTGTGGTCTTTTGCCATGGCAGCCTGAGCAGACTCATACAAGGGTACGACTCTGAATGTGCCAGGCACTTTCCACCACGTGGTTATTGTGGTGATCAAGTCAGACCAAGCCCTCACTCCTGGCACACCATCCTAGCAGGGAAATGCCAAAACAAATATACCAACCAACCAGGCTCCAGGTGACAAGGGAGTGTCTGGAGAAAGACAGGTGGTGGGCTTGAGATTCTGGGGTGAGGGTAACTTGGGTGCCCACTGGAGGGTGTGCCTGGGAATGGGCAGAGGAGCAAGGCTTGGAGGAAGTGGGGACCAGCCTCTCCCGCAGAGGAAATGCATGTGCAAAGGTCCTGAGGTCGGAATGAGCTCAGGGAATAGGAAGATGGTCAGTGTGACTGGTGAAAAAGAGGGAGGAAAAAGGCTTGCAAGATGTGGGCAGAGGTCTTGCATTGTGTGTGGGTGTGAGGGAGGCCTTTGGAGGGTTCTGAGCTGGAGAGTGGTGTGATGGGCACCCTTGAAGATAAGGAGACCAGGTACAATAAAGGACACAGCCATGGACCAGGAAGGGCATGAAGAAGAGGTAAGGTTTACACACAGCCAGAGTGCTGGGGCTTTGGGACAGTTGGGCCAGGCCACAGGACTCAGGCTCTGTACAACTGAATCTCATGCGTCCAGAGTTTCTCCCTCGAGCAACCTGCCACATCTGCTACCTGCGACACCTGCCGGCTTTCAGCATGGCAGCCTGGAGAAGTGGGAAGCTAGCCCCTGGGGCAACCTCCCATCCTGAGGTGGGACAACTGGGGACAACTTCCTCCTTCTCCCACCTCTCAGATGGACATGCTTCCATGTGGCTCGTTAGAAGGTCCACGTAGGATGGAGCCCAGTCATCCTCATGGGGTCTGCTGTCGGGGCCTTCCCCGTCCCTGCTCACCAGCCCAGACCCTACTCCTGCCGCCCGGGATCCCAAAGCCATGCACAAGCCTCTGTGGAGGCTCCACTCGGCGAGGGGCAGGGCAGGACTAGGCCAAGGCAGAGTGTCCTCCAGAGGCAGGTGGCAGCACCATCTCCCTAAGATGAGGCCCACAGTCCGGGTTTAGGATAAAGAATTAGAAAGTAGGGTTGGGGCCGTCCAGCACAAGGGCTGTGCATGGGACCCGGGGACCCAGAGCATGTGCTGAAATCTCTCTGGGTGTCAGTTTTCACATCTAGAAAATGGGGCTGACCGTTCCTCCTGAGGATGTGGGAGGGTTCCGTACTATTACTTACATCTTATAAGCACTTGTGGCTCAAAGACTGAGTGCTGGTACCAACACTGTCATGTGTGGCTGTCATGTGTGGCGCTGGTCTCTGTGGAGGGGACACTAGGCTTCTCACCATCCCCTTTCTTGGGAGGGCAGGGCTGCTGCGCCTGCTCAGGCTGAGAGCAGGGACTGCGCTGTGCAGGAGGCGGTGCTCAGTGAGTGTGTGGAGCCTGTCCCAGGGCTGGTTCCCGCCTGCTGTTTAGGAGGGGGGTGCAGTACAGCCATCGAGGCCCGGCTGGGAGGACACCTGCCTGTCTCTGTCTGGCTTTTTTTTTTTTTTTTTTTTTAAGTTTGAGAGTCTGGGAAAGCAAGGCCTGCTTGAGGTTTGGTGCCTAGCTCTCTTTCTGTCTTTGAAGTCCTCCCTTCTCCTGGGGGGCTCCAAAAGACAAACCCAGGGGCAACACCCTTTTGGAAACAATGGCAAAGAGGGTGGTGAGAGCCGACTGGATTCTGGATGCTTTGAAGTCATGGTCAACAAGTCAGCTAATGGCTGGCTGTGGGGCTGAAGGGCAGAGGGGAGTTGGGGAGAGCAGGAAGATCTGTGGACAGAGCAGCTGGAGGGGGAGCCACACAACTCCAAAGGGCCTCGGGCTGGAGACTGCCTGCAGCCTGGAGGGCCCTGGCAGGGGTGGGCTTCCAGGACACCTCATCCTAATGACCGCTCCCACCCCTGCTCTCCAGTGCCTACTCCCAACAAGGCACAGAGAGGGTGTGGCTCACCCAAAGTCACATCATGCATTGGTGACAGCCGGGGCTCCTGGGCCTGGCAGACACCCCCCTTGCCACACCCAATTTATCTGCCTCAGCTCCATGGCTCCCCTGGTTGGGTTCCTTGCTCTCTCTGAGCTGCAGTTCCTGAGTCAATGTGAGTCTTCATCCACTCTGTAAACATTCATTGAGTGCCTGCTGTGTGCCAGGCTCTGGACACCCAGCCGGGAGACACTGCCACCTTTTTTGGTGCTAAGGATCTGATGGGGGAGGCAACAGTCAAAAGCTGCATTCCCACCATCTGCACGATATCTTTCCTGATGGATTCTGCCTGTTTCCTGTCTCCCCAGCTGCAATAAGGCCCCAGGGGGGCAGGGATTTTTACCTGTTTTTTTTCACAGCTGTACCTGCAGCCCAAAGTACCTGGCATACAGTAGGAGCTTAATAAAGGCTGTGGAGGAAAAAACAATAAAAATGGCGAAAGCATTTCCTGCGTAGGAAACTGCCATGCACCCATCAAAATGTTCTATCTCTTCATGTGAGCTATTTCCCAGTGGCTAAGCTGTAGTCCTGACTTCAAGTCACATTATTTTAAGAGATAAAACAGTAAGCATTTATACCAAGAATAGATAAGATGGGCATTTGGAGCTGCTTATGATTTGGGGATGCTACGGAAGCACAGAGGATTTATGATATCTGTGATTGTTCACATCAAAAATGAGTAAGGGATCAGTAACTTATTAGAAGCTACCCAATATCCAAAGGAGGTATGAGATACTAAAGTAGAAGCTTTTAGTTGAGAAGCCATGCCAGAAGTCAAGGGCGATGTCCTTACTGACTTCATGTTAAAAAAAAATAGCTTTAAATACTATATTAAGAGTTCTAAAATAGTAACTGACATCTATCCACCAAACTTTCAGAAAGAAAATTGGATCCATTTATAATTGACTCATAATAATCGATGCAAACTTCTGACAAGTAATATTGGCAATCTCAAAAATAGTTTCTTAATAAAGATGGAATCTGGTCATCTCAGAACACCTGTCCTTGAGTGCCATGAGCCTTCCTAGCTAAATTACTCCATAATTGTTTGCATCATGGAAAAGGTAAATTAAGTTTTACATGCAATGCATATTGGTCAGGAAATTTTCTGGAATTGGCCCAGGAAGTGGTAGAGTCCTATCTCATCTGCAACCAATATAACCCAGGCAAGACTGTAAAGGTGAGACAGGATTCAGAGCCATGGGTTCATGATAGCAAGTCTACCTCTTGCTAGACTTTCTATTCTCAGCATGGACAATACCTATCTTCCTATCAAAAGATTATAGACTTACTGTCCTGGAGGGTCCTTCTTCTAACACAGACACTTCACTGTCTGAATCACCCTCGGTGTTCGCAAAATACAAAATCAATCACACACTGAAGCTGAAATTCCCTAACTATAAAAAACCCTCCATCTCTCTGGGCTTTGAGTTTTGCCACCAGCTTTATTGGCCGTGCGGTCTTGGCCTCTATCTGTAAGCAGAAGATGTGGCTCACCCAAAGTCACATCATGCACTGGTGACAGCCGGGGCTCCTGGGCCTGGCAGACACCCCGCTTGCCACACCCAATTTATCTGCCTCAGCTCCTTAAGGAGCTGCTTAAGGAGTAAGCAGAAGATTACTCCTTAACTCCTAGGTCGAGGATATAATAGGCTATTGGCGTGACCGTCTCTGAGTGCTCACTTAGTCCAGCACCCCATGAGATCATAACCAGATGCTGTACATGACCAGGAGTAACTCCAGCAAGGCCTGGCTCTGCTCCATTTCATGTACGCAGTTAAGCATTGTCAAGGATTAGCCTCACACACCAAGTCTCGTGCCCAAAGGAAATGCCAGCCAGAGGAAATGCCGGCCAGACTTTTCTGACCTCCAGCCTGGTGTGGGTCCGCTGGAAGAGACCTCAAGGCAAAAACTTTTCAGACCTCTTTGGAAGGAGCCATTTCAGGTCCTCCTAGCAAATGCCAGGGCAGTCAAGATCCAAGGTGTTGACCCAAGTACTCAAGAGTCAGTAGAAACAGGCAACAAACCCAGACCAATGGATCAGCTCAAATGACCTCAAACCAACACTAACCACAAAAGCCTCCAGATGCAAAAACTAAGAGCTATGGACCAAGCAGTCGGCTTTGGGAGTGGACAGCTTCACTCGAGATGACGAGACCAGATAATGATTGAACTTCTTGTGACTCCCACCACAGTGGATTTCTTTGTGTGTATTTTTAAACATTATACTCATGGCTATTCTCTCTTTTTCAGGATCAGATTTCAATCCTGCAACCACGTTTTCTAATTTACTTGTTTTTGTCTTCTTCCTCCCTCCTTCAGACCAAAACACATTTTCTCCTAGCCCACCCTAAGAATGACTCAGCAGTCCATTTGGAAATCTTGCCTCTTGCTGGATCTGCCACCCATTTCCAACTCCAGGAACCACACAAATCGTGAGCATTCCCCTACTGAATTCCACGCCATACATTTTCCAACACATAATTCCAACACATAATTACCTTAAGATCCATAGAATAAGTATTCTTATGCCCAGACACACATAGGCTGCCATAATCACTCCTACCATAAAACACAACCCGCATGGCCGCGGTCTGGGGGAAATGATCCTGCCTCCTATATGAGCACCCTGATGCTTTTCACATCCCTTTAGATCTGCTCTCAATTTCACTGAAGGCAATGTTACCACATACTTACATTTCTCATGAACAGATTTTTGCTTCCAACTCTTCTCCGCTCATGAAATACTGTTATACAAACAATAGAACCATTTGCAAGAGAAATATGCATGAAGAAAAATGTCCACGTGCAGGAAGGCAAGACTGTTTAGTTGCCACGGAAGTGGTCATCGCCGTTTGCTGAAACAGAGCTCATGGGAAACTTTTCTCTCCGAACAACCCCACACCGCCCCACTCCAACGGTGCCACGGGAGGGCCCCTTTCCTTACATGGTGCCAATGCACCCCCATGCTGGCCCGAGGACCGTCATCGTACTTTGGGGGCTCCTAGCGATACAATCTCAGGATTCAGCTCCTCTCCTGTCCCATTTCCTCTGCTCGTCACAGCTTTCACAGAAGTAGCTTTGCTGGAAGTGTTAGAGCCGCAGGTTCCAACAATTAACTTGAAGGTCTTTCACCTTGGTAGTGGTTCCGGATTTACGGCTATCACAGGCTTATCCCTTGCTCTGGGTGGAATGACACAGCCCAGGAAAAGAACCTTTACCCACCCGCCATGGTGGGACGGACGACCATCCAGCTTTGGGCCACGCAAGTCGTGGGCGGAGCTCTGGGGAACACTTCCTGTTGCTTTGCTACCCTCGTCGAGTCTAGCAAAACAATCTCCACATGCAAACACTGGCTTTCCAAAGTAGAGAGCAGAGCTTGGAATCTTTTCTGGCTAAAGGCAGGCTGAGGGGGACGCGGGCTTCCTGGAAGTTCCCCGACTTTGCTGATGGGACTGTCCCCTGCTTGCTGCACAGCCACGGCGGGGCGGGAGCGGGGGCGGGGGCGGGGGGCAGGGGTGCGGCGGGCAGGGAGGTCCCCGCTATTGTGGAGGGAGGAGAGTGACTGATCGCAAGGCTCTGTGCTGGATGCGGCATCATCCCCCATGCAGGGTGGCCCTGGCTTCTACCGAAGGTGGCTGCTGAGAGCGCCCTGCAGGAAGGCCCCAGGGGCACCAGAGTCCCAGAGCAGCACCTCACTTCTCGGGAATACCCCTTCCAGAAACCCTGAGGCCAGCCCAGCACTCCCACCTGCTGGCCCAGCAGCTCTCAGCGGCTTTCCTCCCTTGGGACAGAGACTGCTTACACTGCCGGGCTCAAAAACCTGCCCCGTGCCCCGGCCAGCCTCATCCCCAGATGTCACCCTGTGATGACCTGGACTGCCCTCTCTGCAGTGGAATCTTCACTAGGACCCTCTGTCTCAGCGTTTCCTAATGAGCTCTTGCCCAGTCTTGCATCCTCCCCGCGCAGCCTCAGAGGGGCGGATCTTCCAGCAGAGCCAGCGGCTCCTGAGCTCAGCAGCCCCACCTGGGGTCCCTCCTCACTGGGAGGAAAGACCATGGTTGTGTGAATGGCCCCGCCGCCGCTCAGCCTTCAGCTCCTGTTCTCCAGCCTGGCTCCCAGAGGTCCAGGTCCACAGGCCTCCTGCACCCCCCTCCTCCCATGGGGGCTGAAAGCACTTCCTGTTTTCAGAACTAGCCCTGGGTTCGTAAAACGTTTTCTGATGTGAAATCCTTGAAACCAGAAGGGCTAGGCAGCAATTTTATGGGATCACTGAGAGATGAGTCCATCTAAAGTTGGCACAAACAGCTCCTAGCCCTACGGAGACTTTCTCAGGGGGTACAGGAGGGCTTGGCCAGGACCCAGCAGCTCGGTGGGCCTGGTGGCACCCACCCTAGCAAGTGAGATCTCAGGTGGCCTCACTCCACCCATCTGTCTGGGAGGGAGCCTGGGACTCTGAACCCCTAGCCACAATATCCTTCAAAGGCTGAGAGCTGGAGCCAGCTGCCCTTGGTGACGAAGTCAGGGGTCCAGGAACAAAACCGAGTGCTGATGGGAGGTGATAACTCAGCCTCAACTTCTTCCTCTCCATGGGAAGAAAGAACAAGGGAAAGGAGGGTTCCTTTTGTGAAGCCCAATATTCTTCATTTCATGTTCCTTTTAAAACATATTTAAAACTGTCGCCACCCTCACCCTCACCCTCATTTTCATGAAGGGCAGGTCTTGCTAAGCGTATCATGAGCTGATTAAGTTTGAGAGGACAGGAGCTGGGCACAGATTGCTCTGCAAAATAAAGGGGTGAAAAGTTGCAGGGGTGAACATGTGTGAAGGTCGGAGGCAGGAGTGAGCCGTGGGGTGACATGTAGGGGATGAGAATTCCCTCAGTCCCCCTCCCCATTGCAGTTTAGGGAGGATTTTCTGACACGGGCCTGTTGAGTAAGGAATGTAGGTTTCGGGTTGTCTGGTGTGTGCCTGGTGAACCATCTGTCTCCCCTGCACAATCTTCAGAAATGGCTACAGTGTGTCTGTGTGAGTGGACTGTCTCGGGAGCCTGTCGGCTGGCTGGGTGCCCCTGCAGGCTCACGGAGACGACACGGAAGAGCCGGGTGACACATGGACAGGTGGGACTTGGGCTATGCACAGAGGCAGGAGGGAATGAAAGTGGGGGGCTTAAGAGGCTTAGGGGTGCAGGCCTCTGCTTTCAGGAGCCGCTGCACTGTGGGTTCCTCTCCAGGGCTTGGTCCCCACGTGGGAGCTTCCGCAGCCCAGTATAAATGCAGAGCATGGGAGCTGTGGACCTTGACTTGAAGAGAAAGTGCAGGTCTTGAGAGAGGGGAACTGAAAAACCAAGAAGACAGCTGGTGAGAGAAGAGGAGAAAAGAGAAGACAAGGTGGCTGTCAGGGTGCAGCAGACAGCCAAGTTAAGAGTTAAGACAAAGATGAGGAACAGGGTGAGGTCAGAATCCAGGAGGGAGCTACTGAGGGCCAGGTCGGGGGTGACGGATCCAAGGAAGGACAGCAAGGCCTTGATAAGATGCAGTGGACCCAGAGGAGAGGTGAGGCCAGCTGGCTCTGTACTGCTGAGCCGCAGGATTTGGAGTTGCTGTCAACTTCGAGGCTGCTGTTAAACCAGGGGGCTGCCAAATATTTTCAAGCGGTGACCAGGCCAGGAGTCTGAAGACTAAGAAGCATGCATTCTGGATGAATTGAAAATCGGTAAGAAAATAGGAGGGGATCCTTTTTTCTTAGAGGATCAAGCTTGGAAAGTCCCTCCTTCTGACTGAGAAAAAAAAGGGATTTGGTTTATTGCAGCTCCCACACTAGCAGGCTGCTTTGCATCTTCCAGTTTTAGCCATTGCCGGGTTCTGCATCAGACACTTTCCTATAACATTACCATCTTATTCAGGTTTCCCCGTAGAATCATTCACTGAAAAACAGCCACTTAACATGGTCCTGCCTGCCTCCCAGGAGTGTCAAAAGAAAATGTGATCCCGTGGAAAAGGTCTCTGCTTTAAAAAAAAAAAAATTTCACTCAAGAACATATCCATGGATTTATTTAATCTCCTTAATATAAAGAAATTATGTTAAGATTATGTTAAGATTAGTCTCCTTAATATGCAGTCACAACAAATTACCTTGCAGAAGTCCAAGCTAGTCAAATTTACTCTCCCGGTGAATCCAGGAGCTCCCTCTTGTTCAAGAGTGAGAGAGACAATTGTCCTATCCTCCCTTAGCCTTGGCCGTGGGAGGCTGAGAGCCAAATGCTATGGTCAATCAGAGCGGCCCTTAGTTCTCACGTGATGTCATGTTCCTTGGTTCCTGTCCCCTGATTCTTGCTGGGTTTCATTCTTGTGTTACAGGTTTATGGTGGCGCTTTTTAAAACACCTCAGAGCAGAGTACGCAAGAGATAGTCTTTGTGGGTTGAGCGAGGAGTCCAGGGGGTGGGGGTTGCCATGTCAACAGTGAGTCACAGCTGGAGAGGCTCTGGAAGGGCAATGTTGGGACATATATATATCAGCATCCGGGTTTCTTGTGTAACAGGACAGGGTGCCGGGGTCAGACCAGGTTAGGAACCTAGAACTGGTTCCTGATAAGATAGAGGAAAACAAGGGACTCCACGCACAACACAGGGTGCCAGGGCTGAACAATATGGGGCGGAGGAAGACGGCTGGTCTTGTGCAGGGATCACTGAGGCTCTCCCAGGGAAGGGACTTCTCTTCTTCCCTTTCAATGGCAGGACCCAAAGCATCTGAGAAGGACCTCTGCCTGCCCTAGTAGCTGGGATTACAAGCATGCACCACCACGCCCAGCTAATCTTGTATTTTTAGTAGAGATGAGGTTTCTCCATGTTGGTCAGGCTGGTCTCCAACTCCTGACCTCAGGTGATCCACCCGACTTGGCCTCCCAAAGTGTTGGGATTACAGGCGTGAGCCACTGTGCCCGGCTAAACCTCTTTTCTTTGTAAGTTACTCAGTCTCAGGTTTACCTCTATCGTGACACAAATGGACTAGCACACCAGTCATAGATCAGCCCCGTGAGTGATATACAGGTGCAAAAAGGGAATTCATCAAATCTATAAGACTATGTTCCCCAAACTGTGCACCTGGGGTATTTCAGCAAACTCACAGGCCACTGTGGGATCTTTAAGATTTCCCAGTGATACACGAAGGCAGCTGTTGGACACCACCCAGCCTACTATTACTGAGTTGTTTGGACCTACCTAATTAGTAAATAGAACTGCCAGGAATTTATTTTGGGTGGCGGGCACCATAAATGAACTACGGAACCACTCAGGGAAGCCCAAATGGAGAAAGGTTGAGAATCTCTGCTCTAAGAGCAAAGGCCGGAGGACCGGCAGATGCTGAAGCAGTGTGAGGGTGCACACGTGTGAGAGGCAAGCGAGGGCGACTGAGACAAATCCAGGCTGAGTGAGGAGGCAGGAGTGGGCTTCTGCGTGTCTGTGTCCAAATGTCCCCTTTTGGGGAACACTTCTGCACTGCTGGTGGGAGTGCGAATTAGTTCAGCCATGTGGAAAGCAGTCTGGTGACTCCTCAAAGAACTTAAACAGGATTACCATTCGACCCAGCAATCCCATTACAGCGTATGTACCCAAAGGAATAGAAATCATTCTACCGCAAAGACACATGCAGACGAATGTTCATGGCAGCACCGTTACAATAGCAAAGACATAGAATCAACCTAAATGGCCATCAATGGTAGACTGGATAAAAAAGCGTGGTACATATACACTATGGAATACTATGCAACCATCAAAAAGAATGAGATCATGTCCTTTGCAGGAACATGGATGGAACTGGAGGCCATAATCCTAAGCAAACTAATCTAGTAACAGAAAACCAAATACCACATGTTCTCAATTATTAGTGGGAGCTAAACATTAAACACACATGGCCACAAAGAAGAGAACAAGAGACACCTGAGCCTACTCAAGGGTAGAGGGTGGGAGGAAGGAGAGGAGCAAAAAGCTATCCATTGGCTACTACGCTTATTACCCGAGTGATGAAATAATGTGTGCACTAAACTCCCATGACACAATCTACCCATGTAACAAACCTGCACATGGACCCCTGAACCTAAAATAGAAGTTAAACAAACAAACAAACAAACAAACAAACAAATTTTCCTGTTTTATAAGGATACCAGTCATATTGGATTAGGGCCCACCCTACTGGAAAACAACCTCGTCTTTAATTACATCTGCAAAGACCCTATTTCCAACTAAGGTCACATTCAGAGGTTCTGAGGTTAGGATTTGAACATATACATTTGAGGGGTGTGATGGTTAATACTGAGTGTCAACTTGATTGGGTTGAAGGATGCAAAGTACTGATCCTGGGTGTGTCTGTGAGGTGTTGCCAAAGGAGATTAACATTTGAGTCAGTGGCTTGGAAAGGCAGATCCACCTTCAGTCTAGGTGGGCACCATCTAATCAGCTGTCAGCAAAGCTAGAATATAAAGCAGGCTGAAAAATGTGAAAAGAGAGACTGGTTTAGCCTCCCAGCCTACAGCTTTCTCCTGTGCTGGATGCTTCCTGCCCTCGAACATTGGACTCCAAGTTCTTCAGGTTTTGGGACTCACACTGGCTCCCCTTGCTCCTCAGGCTGCAGATTGCTTATTGTGGACCTTGTGATCCTGTAAATTCATACTTAGTAAACTTCCATATATATGTATATATTTATTTTTTTATATTCCATTAGTTCTGTCCCTCTAGAGAACTCTGACTAATACAGGGAGCCTAGTTCAACCCATAACAGGTACGTAGTGACTGAAAGTAGTACAGCAAGAAAATCAGCCCAGGCCCCACCTCCTGCAGCGCTGCCCCGCCCCATCCCTGTCCCTGTCCACGCTTGAGGAGCCGGTGCCTGTCCCCGATGCCCAGGATGTGCTTAGTCCATCTTCCACCAGGGTCCTCAGGAGCCTGAGAGTGTGGTGAAAAGGGCAGCCTGGTCACTGTATTGATTTCTATTGAGGGCTGGAAAAAAACTCCAAAAGTGCAAAGGGGAGGGAGTTTCCCTACATATGCTTAAAGCCATAACTTGGCAATTCCAGAGACCTTTGCAAAGAGAAATCCCTCTTTCCAGGCGCATCACTGGAGAGGAAGGCCCTGCGGGGTGAAGGCCCAGGAAGCTGGTGGTTACCCAGCTTAGGCAGCACTGAGGTGAGGGAGTCCAGGCAGAGGTGGTCAGAAGTCATGGTGAATTCATGACTGACACTCCCTGATGCCCCCGACGAAGGCAGAAGCCTCTGGCTCCAGAATGCTTTTGGGTCTATCATCCCCCCAAATTCTCAAGAGAGCCTGTCCTGCAGATGAGGAAACTGGGCCATGGGGAGATGCTGGAGGCCTTGTGGGGGCCCCAGCCCAGGGCTGGGAATCGGGTCTCCACTGCTGTCTCTGACCTGCACCTGACACTGCATCCCAGGGTGTTGAGATTGGAGGACAAGCACACACATTCCCTGCTGAGTTTGGAAGTTTGACTGAGACTGCCAGGATCACGTAAGCACCCCTGGGAAGGATGGAAATGGCTGTGCCGGACATGGTGGTTCCCGCTGAAGTCTAAGGCAAGCTGCGTCTCCCACACGGGCATAGCCACTATTGCTGGCTTGCAACCAGTCCGAGAGCTCTGCCGGGTCCTGGGCACCAGGGGCCACTCTGCTGTGTCCCTTTGCTCCAGTCCCAATGTCACTCGCATGGTGCAGGGTCATGGCTGACCAAGCACTGGCACTGAATGCGACCTTATCTCCCCGGGCTCACCTCCTTTCTTTTTAAGACCGCTTGTTTTTCACCCACTCAAAGATATATATTGAGCACTAAGTCCTTGAGATACATATCGAGTCAGGCAGACAAAGATCTCTGGGGGAGCTTGCATTCTAGGGCAGGGGCTAAACCTAAATAAAGCTCACATACATCCTGGCCAGACGCAGGGACTCACACCTGTAATCCCAATGCATTGGGAGGCCGAGGCAGGAGGATCACTTGAGCCCGGAAGTTTAAGGCTGCAGTGAGCTATGATGGTACCATTGCACTCCAGCCTGGGAAACAGAGCAGGAAGACCCTGTCTCAAAAAAGAAAAAGAAAAAAAAATTGTACATCCGAAGGGAGTCAAAAGTGCTTCAGGGGTTGGCGCGGGGCTGGGAAGTAGAGCAGAGTAAACGGAGGAGAGGGTGCGAGGAAAGATAGCTTGGAATCCTGATCTTTTTAAACAGCTAGAGACAACATTCTAAACACAAAATGAGAAAGAACAGTGTTCAAAAGGTGTCATCAAAGCCGAATGGGGTGGCTTACGCCTGTAATCCCAGTGCTTTGGGAGGTTGAGGCGTAAGGACTTCTTGAGCCAGTGAGTTTGAGACCAGCCTGGGCAACATAGAGAGCCCCTGTCTCTACAAAAAGAAATAAAATTAACCAGGTGTGGTGGTGCACACCTGTAGTCCCAGCTACTTGGGAGGCTGAGGTGGGAGGATCCCTTGAGCCCGGGAGCTTGAGACTGCAGTGAGCCATGATCACGCCACTGCACTCCAGCCTGGGGAACAGAACGAGAACTTCTCTCAAAAAAAAAAAAAAAAAAAAAAAAAAGAAAAAAAAACTGCGTCATCAATACCACCATGTCTCCTTTCCGCTCTATATCAATTATAAAATGGACTTCAGCCCCCAGAGTGCAGGCGATCCAGGGTGCAGTGGTCCAGAGTGCTGGAGTTGGCCCCTACTGGCTGGGAACTGGCCACGGTGGGAGCATTCACACCATGAGAACGGAAGAGAATCGGCAAAGGCTAGAAATCAGGCACCACCCTCTGCCCTGCCCCGCCCCATGAGAGCCAATTTCCCAGCATATCACCGTCACTAAGGTTACGTCAGAGCATCACAAATACCACAAAAGAAGGAACACTTGAAACCCTCCGAGACGACTTTTCGGGCACAAAGCTCCTTACTCAACCCCCAGACTTTGTAGGACGCTGAGCAAAGCTGTCCTAAAAACCACCCCTTTGCGTCCACCCGACTTTTGGCCAGATCAGGATGGAGGCCACCCTGTCCCCAGGGCCAGCCACTTCCCCTCCAGAGCCTCTTTGTCTGTGCACAAGGCTACTGTGGGCTGGTGGCAACATGGGCCCTTTCTGCTCCTCACACCAGAATCTTATCTTTGTGGCTCCTGCCTCCCAGCACAAGCCACATTCACCAAGCAGATGTCACGTTACTCAGGAAATATTTTTTAAACACGCATCTGCTGTGCATCAGACACAAAGCAGCCCTCCCTGCACCGGCCCCGCTCTTACCGCTGCACGTTCAGGATGGAGAAATCATCTCTTCCCTTTCCTCCACTTCACTTTTATGTGGCATATGAACCACTCCCTCCCCTGCTCCGTCATCAACAAACAGGGAGAGAAATGAAACTACTTGATCTGGCCACAGAAATGAAACTGAGTTATCAGCGTGCTCTCCAGATGACTCACAGAGTGGTCCCCAAACTCCAGCTGCATCCGAATCCTGGGAGAGCTGTGGAGACGGGGCGGCTGTCCCCCCACCCCCGCCAGAGAGTCTGATCTGTCAGGTCTGGGCTGGGCCTGAGAATCAGCATTGCTAACAGATTCCAGGGGAGGCTGGCATGGGGGCAGCTCAGAGTGGCTCAGTCACTGGAAGGTTCTGCCCTGACAGTGCCATCCAGTACCACCTGTGTGGCTCTGAAATGTGACTACTGCGACCAAGGAACTGGACTTCGAACTCCATGTAATTTGAATGAATAGCCACGTGTGGTTCGTGTATCGGGCCTCACAGATGCACTCCTGTTACAGCCGAGGACATGCTCTCAGGTACATGATCTGGACGCTCTGAGCTGTCCTGCTTAGCTTCATGCCTGAGCCGCACCTGACAAATGTCACCTCTCCCCTCATTAGGTGCGGAAAACCCAAAGAAGGAGGGTCAACAGCTTTCTCCAAGCACCCGTGCCTGAGGTCCCCGCCGCAAAACCAAGACGGTTTTCTTCCCATTGGAGATAAGGAGGCCCCAGGACAAACCCCAGGCTCCGGAACTCAGCCCTGAGCCAGCTGCATGTCATCTTTCTGGTCCTCAGTTACTTTTCACCTGCAAAAGTGAAGGTGCACAACCGCATGCTCCCTAAGGCTTCCTGCTCTGTGACCAAAGTCAAGGAGGGCCAGGCATTCCCATCACCAGAGCCAAGAGGTCTGGGAACCTCCAGGAGGAGCCCTCCAGACACCGGGGAGGGGACCAAGCCTCTCAAGGACTGGCAGTGATGGCTGGGAGGGAGGAAGCAGGCTCTCAGCTCTCCTATCCACCCGTGATCCTCTCCCAGACATCAACACTATACGTTTAAAAAAACTCCTGAGCTCCTCTTGGCTAAGTCATTGTAGTGACTTCCCTTGAGTGCAGGCTTAACTTTACGGAAGATATTTAGAAACTTAACATGTTTTTCAAAACCTTGGCATTAGAAATATTAACACCAGGAGATCATCGTCAGGATCACCTATCCCTGAACCACTTCTCTTCCCAAGAGCCCGGGCGGACAGAGGCTGAGGAGTGAGGGGAGGAATGTGAATCTCAGACTTGGCAGCGTGATGTGACATTCGGTTTCACTAGGAATGTCTTTCACAACAGGGCCTGGGCCGGCCTACTGCTTCAAGGAAGGCACAAAGAAAGGCCTCAGAGAAGCCGGACAGAGGGACACGAGCAGCTCGGGCCAGCTCAGGGGACCCTCCACCCTCTGTCAAGGCAGCATCCCCCTCCTGCACGCCCCTCACCAGCAGCCCTGGGAAGGACCAGAGGTGCCTGCGCATGCAAACTTCAAGGACAGGGTTCTTGCGTTCTGAGCACTAAAGCCCTGAGGGTGAATGAATGTCCCACGCAGCATCCAAGCACAGGGGCCGGGGCCAGAAAAGATGCTGCTGCTCAGGCCTCGGTCACAGCCGCTGGGCGGAGCTCTTCCCTCAGCTCCACATCAGGGAGCGTTACAGTGTGCAGCTTGGTAAAGAGGCGAAGTCCAGAAGCCCCAGTGCCCGCCTCCTGCCCTGGCACGCTGACTCTATGGAAAGCGCCAGCGCCTCTGTGTGCTGATGAAGTTCCTGGCCACCTGGAAGCACCTGCAGCACCTGGAGCCATCCAGAGCCAGCATGCATCCACTCTCCCATGGCCTCTCCAATCACAGAAGGAAAGATCAAGCAAATGCTTTCCTGAATTAACAGGACAAAGGCAATGGTGAAGTGCTGTAGACAAGCAGGGTTCTTACCTGGGGTGTGTCCCTCCCAGCAGAGCACAGGAGCAGCGGGTGCACCTTGGAGTGGAACTCCACCCTGTCATTGTCCGTGTGACCTGGCTCTTTGTTTCTTTTTTGTTTGCTTGAGATGGAGTCTCGCTCTGTTGCCCAGGCTGGAGTACAGTGGTGAGATTTCTGCTTACTGCAACCTCGGCCTCCCAGGTTCAAGCAATCCTCCCACCTTAGCCTCCCAAGTAGCTGGGATTATAGGCATGTGCCACCATGCCCAGCTAATTTGTTTTGTATTTTTAGTAGGGATGGGGTTTTACCATGTTGGCCAGGATGGTCATGAACTCCTGACCTCAAGTGATCTGCCCACCTTGGCTTCCCAAAGTGCTGGGAATTTGGTTGTGAGCCACTGCACCCAGACTGGCTGTTTGGTCCTTAGCCTCTCTGTGCCTCACCAGCCCCACTAGGTTAAATCATCATGACCCTGTCACGGGGCGGGTGTGAGGGGTAACCAGCAGGGTCCACAATGCGTAGGAAATGTGACTCTGATGTGGCAAGCCCCCTTGCGTGGTGCCCACCGGTGGGGGACTGGGCTGGGGGCTGGCAGTGCCCAGTGCCTTCAGAGATGGAATGACAATCTCCACACTAAAGACCACATTGTAGGGAAACATCAACAGGAAGTGGAAATGAATGGCAATTCACAGTCCTGTGCCCCGGGTGCGGACGCAGCAGTGAGCTGCAGGGGCAGCAGAGGGCCAAGGGGCCATCACTGGGTAGGAGGGGCCGTCATCACAAGAACTTCACAGCCCAAAGCCGGATCCCCGGGCGATGCCTGGCCAGAAGCTCCCCTGCGGCCTATTCCATGACAGTGAACTAAGATCAACGAAGCTACAAAAACATAGCAATTTCAGCCAGAATAAAAATGTACTGCCCTCCTTTTTTGATACACAGAAACGTCTATGCCTACCTAAGAACTTAGCACTTACAAGGGCCTATATTAGTTTTGTGGGGTTGCCATCACAAAGAACCACACCTGAGTAGCTTAAACAGCAGAGGTCTCTGGTCTCACAGCTCTGGAGGCCAGAAGTACCACATCGAGGTGTCAGGAGGGCTGTGCTCCCTCGGAAGTCTCTAGGGCAGACCCTGTTCCAGGCCTCTGTCCAGCTTCCCGTGGTTTGCTGGTGATTTGGGGTGTTGCTTGGCACACAGATGCATCATCCCAGTCTCTGGGTGGGTGTTTCCAAATTTCTCCTTTTTATAGGGACACCAGTCCTGATGGGTGGGGGCCCACACTACTCTAGGACCTCTTGATCCTTACTGACCGCATCTGCAGTTAACCTGTTTTCAAATAAGGTTGCATTCTGGGGGTTAGGACTTCAGCAGATGAATTTTGGGGGATACAGTTCAGCCCCTACTGGGATCTGAGCCATGACCCCATCCAGTGGTTTGCAGCCTTCCTTGCAGACAACCAGGCTCCCTGAGGGGCCTCTGCCCAGGGCAGGGCTTGCAGGCTGGGTGATGCTCCTCCCTGGGCCAGAGCACTGCTTGGCTCTCAGCAGTCATCAGGTCATTGTATCTCCACTCACAGTGGCCACCCCCTTCTTTGGACAAGGGCTGTCACGCAGCCCACAGCCATGCAGTCCATGGTTTGCTGGGGCCCCTGAGGAAGGGGTTGACATACTCTGGCCTCGCTGACCTGGTGCCTCCCATGTTTGGAGCCATGGGATGTGAGCAGCTGGGGCTGACACATCAGGCCAGGAGCTTGGTGGGGCTTGGAGGCTGGATTTCTGTTCCCTCTCTGGCTTTCATGCCTGACAGGGGACACCCCTTCAGCCTGGCTTTTCACACCTAGGGCTCAGCCGTGGCTGGCCTGTGGCCACATTAACACAAACAAGAAATCAATGCTGTCGTAAGCCACTGAGAATTGGGGCAGTGTGTTACTGTGAGAATGCTGGAATTCGGGGTGCCATGTAGCACCATGTTTTAAAAGGAGTCCTGCCAACAAAAATGCTTGGCAACCATTCATCTATCCCAACTCTTTTATCTTACAGATGAGATATAGAGGCTCAGAGAAGGAATATTAACCCAGCACCAAAGTCTCCTAGCTCTTCTGGGGCCAGGCCCGGGAAAGAGGTGAGAATGGACAGTTGGCAGTGACTGCTGGCCCCAGTGACTCTTATTTTCTTAGCCCCGAATCACATGTGTCATCTGACCCACCGTTCCAGCACGTGTGGAACATCCTGGACTCTTGGATCTACTGCTGCATCTTCTAGAGAGTGAGGTGTTCAGTTGCCCTCCTGAGAGCAGCGCCTCCCTCCCCACCCCGCTCAGCAGCCTGGCATGAAGGCAGGGAATGTGTACTGTACCCCCGGTGCCAGACGTGGGAGGCACCCAGAGTTGTGGAATGAATGAATACATTCACAGGCCCACAGGAGGAGTTCAAGAGCTCAAGTTGAGTTGAACAAGGACATAACATAAGCCCCCTGAACTGCTGCTAATTCTCCCAGCAGAAGGAGATGACTGTCGGAAACTAGGAGGTGCTTGGTGATAATGGAATAAAGGTTTTCTCTCTGCAGGGCTGTCTGGACCACACAGGGGTCACACTTCGATCTGATCATAACATAGCTCCACCTGGACAAGCTGTTTCTCCCAACCCTCTTTCCAGCTTGAATCACATCATTCCCTTTAAGAATTTCCATTCATTTTAGTTTCCTGCTAATTGACATCTTCACTACATAAAATACTGGTATAAAAATACTGCGTACCAAGATTTGATACAACTAGCAAATGTTCATTGGTTTACAACAAACCCAAAATACTCATCAAATATGGGCTGTTGGATTTAGAAAAATAAGATTCTTGAGCGATTCCAGCTGCATTTGTTTATACAGAACACATTTACTCAGGACCCTGCAGTGTCAGCTTCGTTCTTTGGGTATGCAGCCTTCTATCTGGATCTCTGCAGGCCAGCCAGAATATCTGTTGTTCTTAGCATCAGAGTGGTTGATCTGTGTAGAGAAAAGAAGAGTTTTATTTATTCATTAATCTAATAAACAAGTATTTAATCAGTATCAGTTGTGAGCCGACACAACCACTTCCTAGATTTGGATTTGCTCCAACCAAAGCTGGGTGTTTGATTTCCAATACATTTCTTAATAATAATTTTTAAATTAATATATAATAGATGTACATATTTTTGGAGTATATGTGATAATGTGATATGTCCATATCATGTGTAAAGATCAAATCAGGGTCACTGGGATATCCATCACCTTAAATTACTTTTTCTTTGTGAGAGGAACATTCAAATTATTCTCCTTTATTTTGAAATGGACAATAGATGATTTTTAACTATAGTTGCTCTAATGATCTATTGAACACTATGTCTTCTTTCTTCTACCCATATATTTATACCGTGTTTCTTAATAATATTTGAAGCAGGTGTTAATACAGCTCTAGAACTTTATGCAATGATGGACATGTTCTATAATCTACCTGTCCAGTGGAGTAGCCCCTAGCCACACTTGCTTATGGAGTACAGATGGTCCCCAACTCATGGTGGTTTAACTTTACAATGGTGCAAAGGAGGTAATGCATTCAGTAGAAACTATACTCCAAGGACCCACACAACCATTCTGTTTCACTTTCAGTACAGTGTTCAATAAATTCCATGAGACACTCCATACTTTATTGTAAAATAGGCTTTGTGTTAGGTGATTTTGCCCAACTGCAGTCAACTGTAAGTGTTCTGAGCATGTTTAAGGTATGCTATGCTAAACTATCATCTTTGGTAGGTTAGGTATGCTACATGTAAATTTTCAATTTACAATATTTTCAAATACGATGCTTTTATTGGGATGTAAGCTGAAGAGCATCTGTACTTGAAATATGAATAGGGCAACCGATAAACCAAAATTTGAATTCTATTTAATTTTAATAAATTTAAGTATAAAATGTAAATTTAGCTAGTAGCTACCATATTGGACAGTGTAGCTCTAATGTTTAGTTTTCAACTCTGGGAGTAAAACTATGTGTGTGTGTGTGTGTGTGTGTGTGTGTGTGTGTGTGTGTGTGTATGTATTTTTTTCCCAGAGTCCTTGTATAGCTCCTTCCTCAGCAAATATGTATTCATCCCGAAGTGGGTTTAGTCCTCTATATCTTCAACTCTTTCACAGATAATAGAGCACCTTAACTTGATGCTTAAAGTAAGGTGCATTTTGTTAATAACCTTGGAATTCCAGTAATATATCCCTTTTTATATAACAGCTTTACTGGGATATAATTCACATAGTAAAATCCACCAATGTAAAGTGTACAATTCAATGGTTTTAGCATGGTCACAGACCTGTGCAACCATCACCATGGTCAATTTTAAAACATTTTCATCACCCAAACAAGAAGCCATGTGCCCATTAGCAGCCACGAATCTCCTTTCCCCCAACCCTAGGCAGACACGAATCTCCTTTCTGACTCTGTGGATTTTCTCATTCTGGAAATTTCATATAAATGGAATCACATAATATGTGACCTTTTGTGTTTGTTTGTTTGTTTGTTTGTTTCACTTAGCCTGTTTTCAAGGTTCATCCATATTGTAGCATGTATCAGAATTTTATTTCTTTACGTATTTGAATATATTCCATTGTATGGCTAAGCCATATTTTATATATACATTTCTTACCCATTAATCAAACATTTGGGTTGATTCCATTTTTTGGCTATTATAAATAATGTTGCTATGCACATTTGTGCACAAGTTTTTGTGTGGACCTATGTTTTCATTCTCTTGGGTATATACCTACAAGAGGAACTGTTGGGTCATAGGGCCACTGTATGTTTAACTTTTTGAGGAACTGCCAGAATGTTTCCCAAAGTAGCTGTACCATTTTACATTTCCTCCACTAGTGCATGAGGGTTCTAATTTCTCCATATTCTCACCAGCACTTCTTCTTATGTCTTTTTAAAAATCATAGCCAACCTAGTAAGTGTTAGGGGATATCTCATTATGGTTTTGATTTGTATTTTTCTGAAAATGAATGATGTTGAGCTTCTTTTCATGTGCTTATTGACCATTTGTATATCTTCTTTGAAGCAAAATCTATTCACAACTTTGTCCATTTTTAAATTGGGTTATTTGTCTTTTTATTATTGAGTTGTAAGAGTTCTTTATGTATTCTAGATTCAGGTCCTTTATTTGCAAATATTTTCTCCCATTCTGTGGTTTATCTTTCACTTTCTATAAGGTATCATTTGAAGCACAAAAGTTTTTTTTTAACTTTTAAGTTCGGGGTACACGTGCAGGATGTGCAGGTTTGTTCCATAGGTAAACATGCATCATAGGGGTTTGTTGTACAGATTATTTCATCACCCAGGTATTAAGCCTAGTATCCATTAGTTATTTTTCCTGATTCTCTTTCTCCTCCCACCTTCCAGCCTCCAATAGGCCCCTCTATTGTGTGTTGTTCCCCTCTATGTGACCATGTATTCTCATCATTTAGCTCCTACTTATCAGTAGGAATGTGTGACACTTGATTTTCTGTTCCTGCATTAGTTTGCTAAGGATAATGGCCTCCAGCTCCATACATGTCCCTGCAAAGAACATTATCTCATTCTTTTTTATGGCTGCATATTATTTCATGATGAATATGTGTCACACTTTCTTTATTCAGTCTATCATTGATGGGCATTTGGGTTGACTCCATGTCTTTGCTATTGTGAACAGTTTTGTAATGAACATATGTGAGTACGTGTCTTTATAATATAACAATTTCTATTCCTTTGCTTTTTGAATATTAAATTTTACTTATAACAAATATAATTTGTTAGGAATATTCCCAGTAATGGGATTGCTGGTCAAATAGTATTTCTGTCTTTAGGTCTCTGAGGAATTGCCACATGTCTTCAACAAAGGTTGAACTAATTTACACTTCCACCAGCAGTGTAAAAGCATTCCTTTTTCTCTGCAACCTTGCCAGCATCTGTTATTTTTTGACTTTTTAATAATAGCCATTCTGACTGGTGTGAGATGGCATCTCATCATGGTTTTGATGTGCATTTCTCTAAGGATCAGTGATGTTGAGCTTTTTTTCATATGCTTGTTGGCCACATGGATGTCTTCTTTTGATAAATGTCTGTTCATGTCCTTTGTCTTTTTAATGGGATATTTTTTCTTGTAAATTTGTTTAAGTTCCTTTAGATGCTGGATATTAGACTTTTGTTAGATGCGTACTTTGCAAAAATTTTCTCCCATTCTAAAGGTTGTCTGTTTACTCGATAGTTTCTTTTGCTGGAAGGACAAAAGTTTTAATTTGCTGAAGGGCAACTTACTTTTCTTTTGTTGTTAGTGGTGTCATATCTAAGAAACCATTGCTTAAACCAAAGTCACAAAAATTTATGCCTCTGTTTTCCTCTAAGAGTTTAATAGTGTTAGCCATTACATTTACGTATTTGATTTATTGTTACTTAATTTTTGTATATGGTATGAGGTAGGGTCCAAGTCTATTCTTTTCCATGTGAATATCCAGCTTTCCCAATACCATTTGTTGAAGAGACTATTCATTCCCCATTAAATAATCTTGGCACTGTTGCCTAAAGTCAATTGATCAAAAATGTGAGAACATGCACATCTGCTGGAGTCTCAATTCTATTTCATTTCTCTGTATGCCCATCTTTATGCCAGAGTGACAGTATCTCAATCACAGCAGCTTTGTGTTATGTTTTGAAATTGGAACATGTGAGCCCTGCAACTTTGTTCTTTTTCAAGACTGTTTTTGTTATTTGAGTCTCTTGAATTTCCATATGAATTTTAGGATGAACTTGTCAATTTCTACAAAATATATCAACTTGGATTCTAGTAGGAATTGTGTTAAATCTGTAGATCAATTAAGAAAGTATTGACATCTTAACAATATTAAAATTTCTGACCCATGAACATGGAATATCTTTTTTTAAGTCCTCAATTTCTTTCAACATGTTTTATTGTTTTCAGTGTATTAGTCTTGCATCTCCTACGTTAACTTTATTCCTAGGAATTTTATTCTTTTTGATACTGTTATAAATACAATTGCTTTCTGAATTTCATCTTCAGGTTGTTCATTGCAAGTAAAGAGAAGTATAATTGAGTTTTTCCATTGATTTTTGTATCCTGCAACTTCGCTAAACTTGGTATAAGTTCAAATAGTTTTTTAGTGGACCTCTTAGGATTTCCATTAAGTTGGTGCAATTACTTTTGCACCAGCCTAGTATACATAAAATCATGTCACCTGCAAACAGAAATAGTTTTACTTCTTCCTTTATTTATTTATTTATTTATTTATTTATTTTTGAGATGGAGTTTCGCTAATGTTGCCCAGCCTGGAGTGCAGTGGCATTATCTTGGCTCACTGCAACCTCTGCCTTCTGGTTTCAAGCGATTCTCCTGCCTCAGCCTCCTGAGTAGCTGGGATTACAGGCGCCCGCCACCATGCCTGGCTAATTTGTTGTATTTTTAGTAGAGACGGGATTTCACCATGTTGGCCAGGCTGGTCTTGAACTTCTGACCTCGTGATCCGCCTGCCTTGACCTCCCAAAGTGCTGCAATTACAGGGGTGAGCCACTGCGCCTGGCCTAAGTACTTCTTCCTTTCTAATGTGATAATGCACCTTCCCTTCCCTCCCCTCCCCTCCCTTCCCTTTTTCCTTCCTTCCATTCCCTTCCCTTTCTTTCTCAGGGAAGGTACAAAATGCCATGGGCATTACGGGCAGCAGTGGCAGGGCCAGAGAGGCTTCTCAGAAGAAACAGCCTTGAGGTGGATCTTTAAGGCTTTGTGAAGGCACCCCCTGCATGGAGGGAGGCATGTGCAGAGGTCCACATGTGGAAAGTTACAGCAGGAATATAAAGACGAGACCTGAACAGAGCCAGCATAGTGGCAAAGCGCTGCAGGGTATGGTAAGAGCAGCCACTCATGAGGCTTTGCTGGAGTGTTGAGCACACAAAGCATGGGAGGGGCTGAGTGGGGCTGAAGACAAGGGTCTGTGCTCCAGTTAGGATCACCAGAGACAAGACTCAGACCATGCTGGAGGCGATGAGAATGATGGCTCCTCCTGCTGCATCATGCTTGTCACACACACAGGGAGCAAGGCAGGCTCCGCTACCCACAGTTCAGGGTGCAGAAGAGGCGCAGGCCTATGAAGTGCCAAACTCAGGTCATGCAGTCGGGGTGGCCAAGTCCAGATCTGAACCAGGTTACCCTCACTTCCAAGACTCCTGTCCTTATTTATTTCTCAGTTTCCTTCCTCCTATAAAACCAAGAGGTTGGATGGAATAATCTTTGAAGTTCCTTATACTTTAAAATTCAATTCAGCAGGTAGTGGGGTCATTAAAGGCTCTGCATGAGAGTGGCCCAGGCGCTGTGCCTAGAAAGCTGACTCCTGGAATAGCAGGTGGAGTGGGAGTGAACATGGGGCTGGGGAGACCCCTGAGGACTCAGGAGGCCCTCCCAACATGGGTACACCACCCTTAGGGAAATACACCACCTGCAAGTCTGAATAGCCAAAGTAACACAGACACAAATGATTCCTCCAGTGGCACTTCTCTCAAGGTCTCGGTAAGACCTGTCTTGAAGCCCTGGCTACCAGTCCAGACCTCACCAACATTTGAGCAAACATCCTTTAGCGCCCCCAAACCACAGAACCTCTAGTAACTCTCCAGCACTGACTGCTTGCTGTGTTTAGGTCTCGTCTTTATACTCCTGTAGTAACTTGGATAACTTTTAGCTGACACAGGTGGGCAAAACAGGCATTTTCCTGAAATTCACTTGGAGCCACCATTTCCAAACACATTCCAATTCTCTAAACTCAGCCCTGGCTTTGACGTCCAGTCTTTTTCTTGATTTCTCCTGCTCCAGAAACTCTTTCATATGAAGGAAATCATAAGGAAGGACTACAACTTCCTCTGTGCAATTCCAATGAGGTTTTTGTTTTCTACGACTTAAACATTAATGAAGAACCTGTTTGATGAGATGTTAACATTTGAGTTAAAAAGGATTTCAGCCTCACATGCCAGCCTTTCTGGTACAGTCTGGACACTCTCATAAATCAGCTGGAGAACCGCACCATTGGTAGTAATAATAACCACAGACGCTCGTGTGCATGGGGGGGTCCCTGTGTGGCACAACGCCCGGGCTGCCAGGAGTACCTGCTCACCGCCGCCCTTGCTAGTTAAATAAGCTGGGGTGGTTAGATAAGGTGGGACAAGGCCCCTGGAGATGCTGAAGAGACTGTGGAACTGGGAAGGAAGGAAAGAGGAGGAGGAAAACAGGGTAAGAGCCGGGGAAGGAGCAGAGAAGTCGGAGGACGCTGTTAAGGGGAAGTGTGGGTGTGTATGTGAAACCAGGGCCTCCATTTTCTCCTGGAGATCCACGCAAGGAGGCTCCCTTCCCCGTGCATCAGAATCTCCAGGCCAGGCCCCACCCTCTGAGAAGCTGGTTCAGTTGTCCTGCGCACAGCCTGGACATCACTGGTTTTTGGGGAGACCCAAGTTGGGAGAGACATTGATTGCAGAAGCTGTGCGGAGGGATCTGGGTTTGGGGTGGGCTGGTGGGGCAGGACCCGGGGAGCTCCAGGAAGGCCCAGCTGTTCTGGGTTACAGGACTCCACTCTGAGATCCATGTGTTTCTCTTCTTTCATGTTCAGGAGCCCTTCTGTGGCAGGAACTATCTTTATTCACCTCTCACAGGTGATGATTCTGAGCACAGAGGGTTAGATAACTTTCCAAGACCACACAGCCAGCTGGATAAAGCCTGGACATTCTCAAGACGACAGCCTGTGGCATGGATCACACAAGGGATCGGAGAGATGGGGACCCAGTATTCGCTCCCCAGGGTCAGCCTGAGGAAATCCCGGGGAGAATGGGGTGCACACTGCAGCACAGCTGCTGGCCCTGGAGGAGGCAGGAAAGCTGGAGCCCAGAGAGGTGACGTGACTTGTTTAAGATCACACGACGTCCCCTCGCAAAACTAACACAGGACCGTAAGCCCCGGCTTCACTATTGTGTGGCTGGTTCAGCTTGCCCTCAGTGTGGGTCCAGGCAGTGGTGGGGCCCAAGGAGCCCCACCAATCAGAGCTCAGGGAGTGCCTCTCGGTTAGGGCAGACCCATGAGGGCTCACTGTGCATGCAAGTGCCCAGGCACAGTCATAAGCAAGGAGGGGTCGAGGCCAGGGCCCCGGGAAACATTCCCTACACGTTCTGCAGGGCTGGCTTCCTGGCTCTAGAGGAACATGAAGTCACAAGGGGAAAGCATGCTTGTGTAGATGCATGCTAAAATAACCATGGTTTCCGGGCCTCCGGAACATGAGACTAGAGGGGGTCACAGAAGGTCTAGGGTTTCCTGGGAACCAGTTCCAAGTTGTCTGGTTGTGTGGCCTGCGCTGAAGTCGCACCTTATCCAGCCCCCTTCTCCTCTACCTCAGGTGGTCATGGCAACAAGAAGATGCCGAGCTGCTTCTGTTGCTTGTCTTTCTTCCCAGACCCGTATCCACAGCACAAGGAGGCAGACTGGGACCAAATGTCAGAGCCTGAAATCAGAAGCGGCCTATTGCACACCCTGGAGATGTAGAAATCTCTGCTTTCTGGGAATTTCTGGCTAAGTGGAAAGGAGGCCCTTATCCTCAGAAGGTATAGTGGGGAAGTCTCGCGCCTTGGTCATGCAGCACAATTTCCTCCTCTTCTGCACCGGTTACTGCAGCACCGGTTACTGCAGCATCTTTTCCTGGAGAGCAGAACCCTCTGAAATTCTCCAGGATGTTGTGATTGTCATCGGATGCTCAGCTTGTTACTCCCACACATTTTGCAAACCCTCAGTTGGAATTTTCACAGGAGACTTAGTGGTTAATAAGTGAGAACGCCATTCTTTTGCTCTTTACTTCTCTTTGATAAATAAAGGCCATAAAGGGAGGGACTTAGAATCAATCACGTGCCCAGTTAGTACAGCAGCAGCAGCAGCAATGGAAGCCAGATTTGTGCAGTGTTGATTTGGTGTCCAGCCTGTTTTGAGTGTTTTGCATTCACCATGTCTGTTCATGCTCTCAGCCATCCTAAGAGGTGAGCTCTCTTACTTTCCCCATAGCAGGAGCTTGGGGAGGTAAACCTCCTGCCCAAGGAAGGAGAGGCCCAGGACAGACCATGTTGGCTGCAGCATGGTGAAAAACCAATACCAACAGCCCATTCAGAATTTTCTACTTTGAAAGAGATTGGAGAAGTTTGAAACTTCTGTCCGGATCTAATGCTGATCTCATGGAAACAGCTGACACAACTCTTATGTTTGGAGACGGAGTTATAACCCACCAGGAACGTTTTCAAGGCACAGCATTTACTATACTCACCATTGGTGGGAAGGGACATTTTAAAACCACTCACCTTTTCTCTCTGAATTTCGGAAGGGAGTTCCAAGCCTTTTGCTGCAATAAATACCCAGCTAGACCTGAATTTCATGTTCCTGATTTCTTTACTTCCAAGTGCTTCTATGGCATTCTTGGCATCGTTATTCAGTCTGCAGGACAAAGGGAAAAGCATGTGAGCATCTCAGGGAGACGTGGAGAGGAGAGGAACTCTGCTCTGGATGTGTTACGCTGTGCATCCTTGGATGGAGGTTTCTAAACACATTCATCTCCTGCTGCAGTGCATGACACACAGTGGCAGCTAAGAGGCACACATGCTTCTTGAGAATGTCACATTTCTAGTTAACCATTGGACATCCAGAGCCATTTTAGGCCCCAGTTTGGGGCACAGAATTCTACTTCTCAATTCTGGAAAGCCCTTGTGCTTTGGGGTTCAATCTCAGGCTCACACTCAGCCAATACAATTTTCGGCTATTGCTCTGCCCCTTGTTTAGTGACCACAAAATAAGGTGGAGAGAAGTTGCTGAAAGATGAAAGCAAATGCCAAAACTGCCCCCTTTTCATAATCAGAAAAGTCCACATCAAAAAGGAAAAAGAAATGTAAAACAATACTGCCACTGCAAACATTAAGATTTAGAGGAAGTGACAGGAGGGTAGACAGGAAAGTAAACAGTTAAGTTTAGATTGTTCTAAGTGAGTTAAGTCAGAATTTTTCAAAGTATGTGCCAAGGAACTTCAGTTTGGTAAGATGCTCCATGAAAAAAGGAATCTGATAAATTTGGGAAATGCTGTGGTCAGTAGCCCTGTCTGGGAAATTCACCACACAAATAAGCACTTTGAAGGTTCTTAGACATTCTGCAGCAAAGACACAGGTTTGGTTTACTTAGTAGGACACACTCTGAGAGGCACTGAGCTACATCCACTTCTAGTACAGTATTGAATGTGTATGTGTGTATTTCTTTATTCTTTTCCTCTTTTTTTTTTTTTTTTTTTTGAGACAGTCTCGCTCTGTCACCGGGCTGGAGTGCAGTGGTGCAATCTTGGCTCACTGCAACTTCCGCCTCCTGGGTTCAAGCGATTCTCCTGCCTCAGCCTCCTGAGTAGCTGGGACTACAGGTGCATGCCACCATGCCTGGCTAATTTTTTAATTTTTAGTAGAGACAAGGTTTCACCATGTTGGCCAGGATGGTCTCGAACCCTTGACCTCGTGATCCGCCTGCCTCGGTCTCCCAAGTGCTAGGATTACAGGTGTGAGCCACTGCGCCCAGCCTCTTTTCCTCTTTCTATAGGGAAATTATCTCAATTTCCTTTCACATTGCTGTAACTATTAATGCCACCCTGGGTTTAGGCTTTCTGTCCGGAGGTTAGTTTGTCTGTCCTAATTATGGTCAACAGTGGCTTTGTCTTGATTCCTTGAAATACTCCTTTGATTTAGGTTCTAGTACTTCTGTGGTTAGTGATTTAATTTTTTTTTAAAGAAATGCCATCTATTTTGTCATGATCTTTCATTCTTTTTCCTTAGAGAAGTACTTTGCTCCTGGACTTTCTGCTTGTCCCCAGAGGATGTCACTGAGAGACCCTGGCAGCCTCTGCCCCAGCTGGCTTCTCTTGCCCACCGCTGTGACAGACCTACACCCACTCACCTTGTGCTTCCGTCGTCATAGGTCACCATGAAGAGCAGGGATTTTGGAGCAGCACTCTGAATAAACTTTGTCATCGGTCCAGAGTTATCTATTGGGGGATGCAAGTCAGTTTTAGGGTCTTTGCTGTTCACTGAGGCTCTGCCTTGGGTGCTGGGCTTCCTCCTGCACCTGCATTCTGTGTCCATTCTGAATCCTTGGGGGTCCCAGCGCTCGCTGCTCAACCCTGCAGATGGTGTGCTAGCTCTGGACGTGTGAACATTCACTGGGGTACCATAGGGACTATCTGAGGTGAGTGGCACAGCGTAGAAGGAAAAGAACCTAACACTTGCAATAGGTGTTCAGGGCAGTAGTGAAAGGGGGTCAAGATAAGGAGCTTTTTTGACCAACAAACAAGAGAAGTGGAGCCCCTGGTAGAAAAAAAAAACCCTCCTTAGAAATGAGATCACCAAACTCTTAACAAGCAGCAGCCTGTGTGGCACAGGTGGAGTGTTCTCTGTAGTCACTGATAAAGGGCCACACCCACACCCACACCACGACCACTGAGCAGAGTGGCCTTGCAAACACACCGACGTGTGCAGGAGAGAGACTCCCACAGAACTCAAATACGAGACATGTGGACCGTGGGCAAGTCTGTGCCAAGAGACTTATCTATGCCTTATAAAATAAAGGTAAACCTCAAACCCTGTTACTCACCGCTGCGGCTCATTATTTACTGTTCTGCTTAGGTTAACTGCAGAGTACAACTGTGTCCTTCTTATTGGGTGGGTGCAGGCGTTTTCTATTCTTCGTCTTCACTATCTTTATAAAAACTTGTTTTTGAAAGTCTCATTGATATATAAAAATAAGAGGGGATAGTATATCCTGGCCAACAACTGCAGTCAAGAGTCAGTGCCTAGAAAGGAGAGACCATCGAGAAAGACTGGGCACCCGTGGGTTCCGGGAATGCTTGCCCTGAGCCCAGCAGAGCACTGTGAGTCACCAGGAGTAATCGTGACAGCTTTCAAAGGATGATGATATTTAGGGCTGGATGCTGGTGGCTTTATTTTACATATAATGTATTTGGCTTTTTTTTTTTTTTAAAAAAAAGGCTTTTTCTCTTTCTTATTATATCATGAGAGCTAAAAAGAGAAAGACTGAGGAAAACTAACAGAAGAAAAGACATTTCTAGATGATGCCTTCAAATGTTCTATGAATTCAATTAGAGTTTAAGAGGATCTACATAAGACCACTCTAGATTACTCAGGAGAGCTGCTGGCGTTTTTCTAGTAGACAAAATAAAAATGGTTGACATTTTTCTTTGTGCTTTTTAATCTTAATTTTCTGTTTAAAATTCATTTGAATTTTAACAGAAAAAATTTTCTTACCACCTTCATACATATCAAAACATCGTGTTGCTGTCACATTCCCAGTTACATCTGAAAATAAAAGAAATGGTATTTTAAAAGAAAGTTCACAGAACTAGGGCGCACTTGTGGCACCAGGGCCTGGGGAAGGAAATATTTCTTCCCTGTCTATCTCCAGCAAACACCACTGATGTAATGACCCAGCCTGCAGAGACAGGGCGGGCCCCTTGAGGAGAGTCCCCAAAACCAGGTCAAAGGAAAGTGCTGGAAGCTGTGCTAGAACTTTCTTCCAGTTTGCTTTGGGTTACACCTGATGGAACACTAATACCTCCCCCACCCAACTCATCTCACAGAAACACCAGAGACCCCTCACTCAGGCCCACCCGCCTCATCCCACAGAAACACCAGAGCCCCCTCAGCCAGGCCCACCCGCCTCATCCCACAGAAACACCAGAGCCCCCTCAGCCAGGCCCACCCGCCTCATCCCACAGAAACACCAGAGCCCCCTCAGCCAGGCCCACCCGCCTCTTCCCACAGAAACACCAGAGCCCCCTCAGCCAGGCCCACCCGCCTCATCCCACAGAAACACCAGAGCCCCCTCAGCCTGCCCACTTCCTACTTTACAGCCTCCTTCAGGGCTGTCAGATTGGGAGCATTTTATCTTCACTTCCACAGCCCTCACGTCTCGGGGCTATGCGGCCCACTCACTCACAGGGACGTTGTGGGAAACCCTTTCCTTCTCCTCTGGGCCCCTCAAAGGCAACTGTGAGAGAGCTTTATTCCAGACCTAAGAGAAAGGCCAAGTTTTGTTTCCCACGAGGTTGCAGTGGCTTTTATCACACAGAAGGATGAGATGGTCTATGGTGTCAGCCCCTGAGCAGACACTGGGACTCTGGGAGCAAATGAGAGGCTCAGTCCAGGACCACAGGCTGCACCCCCTTGGCGGCCCTTCTGGTGTTAACCCTAACTTTGGCCTATCCCTCTGTTTTTTTCTTTTTTTAAAATAAAGTCTATATTTGGTTTTCAGTTGTTTATTTGTTGTTAGAACCACAAATAATCTGTGAAGTGAGACTTGTAAAAATAATTGAGTATATAATCTTAAAATGCATTAAAATACAAACCTAGACTAAATCACGCGCAAAAGTCTCGAAAACCCAAGGTACCTTTGAAAATCTGACCAGAGAGCTTTTAGAGAAGTTTAAAGAAAATGTTTAGTAACTTACAGTTGACAATGGCAATGTTTATTCCTCTGGCAACATTTCCCAGCTGTTCTCCCATAAGTCTGAAATGGAGCTAAGCATTAGTCAAGTACCAAGAGGCGTGCGACTCTCCCCGCTCCGCGAAGTCTTCGCCTGACCAAATGTCAGTCTCATCTGCTGTCCCCCACCTTTTCCTTGAAAGTCTGCATTCGCCTTGGTGCAGCTCCCGAGACCGCCACCCCCATGTTCATCCACACACATCTATTCTCAGTGTCTACAGACTCAGTCCCTCAGGGGACCTGGACTCTCAGGGGACCTGGACACTGCATTCAATCTTATAATTTAGACAAATGGCTAGGGGGAAGAAAAACTAACATTTATTTAGCTCAGGCTCTTCACAGATGCACTTTATTGTTAATTTATTATCTATTTATTTATTGAGACAGGGTCTCACTCTGTCACCCAGGCTGGAGTGCAGTTGTGCAATCGTGGCTCACTGCAACCTCTGCCTCTCGGGCTCAAGCAATCCTTCCATCTCAGCCTCCCAAGTAGCTGGAAGTACAAGCGTGCACCACTACAACAGGCTAATTTTAAAAATTTTTTTGTAGAGACGGAGTTTTGCCATACTGCTCAGGGCGGTCTTGAACTCTTGGGCTCCAGTGATCTGCCCGCCTCAGCCTCCCAAAGTGCTGGGATTATAGACATGAGCCACCATGCCTGAGTATGTCACTTAATTTTTAACCTTTAAATTGTAGAATATGAAATGCCAAATTCAAGAGGATTGTGCCCTAAAATCAGGAAAACTAAATGACTTACCTGGAGATGGTAATTATTGCTGAAGATCACAGAAATTGTGTGTGTGCATGTTGTATATGTGCATGTTCCCATTGTCAAGTGTCAGAATCAATGACATGTTAGCTTTATGAAAATAATTTGGAAGGCTTCCTCCTTTTTCCATGCTTTGGAATAGCGAACACGGAACTTTAATATTTTGTTTTGACACCTTTACCTAAACTCCCCTATGAGTTTTCTAGGCTTAGTGCTTTTTGACAGGTTTAGAGACTATTCCATAATAACTTGAAGCAGAAAGAGATTTCTGATAATAGAAAATCGGCTAATCTAAACCGACTTTCTCATGGAGAAAAGCAGAAAACATGAGGCAAGTTTTGTTGTTGCTGTTGTTGTTAAAGATCTGGTTGTATACGTTAGAGACCAAATAAGGTAGTTAAGAATTTCCCAGGCCAAGATCTGGGAGAAGACTAAATTTCAGGTTGGTAAGTCCAGCGTTTAAAAGCTACTTTTAACCAAGGAGAATTTGCTGATTCCAGAAAAGGTGTGTAAGGAAGTGAACAGCCCTTCTGACAACCATGTGAGCCAAGGGAACAGAAGTTGGAAGCCAGGGTCAGGGCCATGTTAAATCTCCCACATCTTATTTGGCCTGGGGTCACAAAGGGTTGAATCCTGAAAGTGAGAGCAAACCAGAAAAAAATCAGAGCTTGTATAAACTTCAGCCTAGTTTTTAGTCAACTAGGTGGCCCAGAAAATCTTTAACACTTATTCAGGTCATCCTGTTCTGCTAAAGGTTCCAGGTCCCTGGGAGAAGCAAAGATAATTCCTCAGAAGAAGATATCATCCCATGCCTCAATTTTTTTAAAAAACAGGTGCAGGATCAAATGAAACCTGACACGTGAGGAAAAAGGCCAACGCACACAAGAGACAATGGAACCAGCAGAAAACAGTAGATAATAGTGACAGACTCACAGGCACTCTAAATGCTAGAGTTATCCAACTCAGACTTTAACTATAATGTATTCAAAAACATGGTTGATAAAATTAAAAATTTCAGAACTGAAAAGTACCAAAACTGACATGCTGATTTTAAAAAGAACCAGAATGAATTTCTAAAACTAAGATAATATAGTAACCTAAAATCAGTAGTGATTGAATGGGTTTGACAGCAGATTAGGTACAGTGGGTGAGAGAATTAGTGAATGGAAAACAACTCTGTCCATGATAAAGAGCAGAGAGGTAAACAAATGGAAAATACAAAATAGACTATAGGCTCTAGAGACTATAGTAGTGATAAGGTCTAATATATGTTTCATTAAGAATCTCAGAAGAAGAGGAGAAAGTGAATGGGCAGAAGATACAAGAGCAGAGAATTTGTTAAATTTGATGAAAGACTTCAATACCTACCAATTTAAGAAACTCAAAAAAACTCCAAAGAAGATAAAACAACAAAAGACACATTGGAGTACAAATGTTGAAAACCAGACAAGGAATCTCTAAGGTGACGGGGACGAGGGCAATGGGCAGTTACTTTCACAGCAGCGACAATAAGACTGTCAGCTGACTTCTCAAAAGGAAAATATAGAACCTAGAAGACAGTGGAATAGTACCTTGAATGTGCTGAAAGAAAGTAATGGCTAACACAGCCTACAAAAGTATTTTTCAGGAACAAAGATGAAATAAAGATATTTCAGAGAAACGTAAACTGGAAAGATTCACTATCAGCAGACCACACTATTTTTCAGGTATGAAGGTGAAGTAAAGATATTTCAGAGAAACATAAACTGGAAGAATTCACCATCAGCAGAACATGCAGGAGGGTTTGCTCTGTGTCTTTTGCTGTAAGAAAACTTACCTATAAGTGTAACCTGTTATTGGGTCTTAGGAATTTTTCTAGAGTATCACTGAATTTGAGGCTAGTTGTGAGAATCCTTCTTCAAAAAAACACTCAACAAAAATGTATGTGCATGTGCACCAAGAGACATAAACAGCACTGTTCATAATAACCCCAAACTGGGAATGACTCAAATGTCATTCAACAATAGAATGGATAACTGTAACATATTCATGCAATGCAGTATCATACAGCAATGAACATCTAAGAACAACAGCTACATCCAACGTGAAGGATAAATCTCAGACACAAAAGAGTATTTGGTTTATGATTCCACTTATACAAAGTCCAAAACAGACAACATTAAACAAGTGTTGAATTAAATAACAGTATTTTGCAATGCATGCTTAGGCAGTAAAACTACCAAGAAAAGTGAGGAAATAAATCACCACCAAAAAAAATCCAGGTTACCATTGGGCAGGAAGGAAAGAGGAAGCTGCATTTCAGAAGGGGTACACAGAGGGCTTATGGGGTGCTAGTGATAGTCTATTTCTTAGCCAGGATGGTGGTTACACAACTGCTCGCCTTATCATAATTTATTACAAAATGATATATTCATAAGGTTATTTATTGCAGCATTACTGGTAATACCAAAAGATATCAAACATCAGAAATGCCTATCAGTGCAGAACTAGTTGAATAAACTATGACACATCCGTGCTATGGAATACCACATATCAATAAAAGAAATGAGGAAAAGCCTGATGTACTGATATGGAGTAATCTCTATTAACTGTTAAGTGAAGAAAGCCAAGGTCATAACTGTGTATAGAGTTTACCACCTTTTATGTAAGAAAGGATATAAATGTGTGTGTACATATGAGTGTATACGTGTATAATGTGTATATACACATATGCACACATATTCATACACACATATACATATATTCACATGTATACATGCATATATATACCTGTATATAAAAATATACATAGGTATGTATTAATTTTATATATATATATAGCTTATTTTTTGCCATTAAGAAATACTGGAAGAATAAATCAAAAACTAATTAAAAAATTAATGGAGATGGGAACAAGAGGTGGGGAGAAAAGGTGGAGAATACAGGGAAGATTTCTCTGAGCCTCCTTTTTTGGGACATGTAATATTCAAACATAATGTTGATTTCTGAACCAAATAAATATATATTCAAAAATTAAATGAAACCCAAAGAAAAACAAACCTAGCATTGAAAGCAAATGGAAATTAATTCAATGTAAAATAACTACAGGGAAAGTAATTATTTCATATGACTTTGGTCATTGCTATGAGTTGAATGTTTGTTACCTCTCAAACTCATGTGGAAATAGCATTAAGAGGTGGGACATTTAGGAGGTGATTAGGCCATGAGGACTCTGCCCTCCTGAATGGATTAATGCTGTTATCACAGGAGTGAATGGGTTCCTTATAAAAGGACAACTTTGGCTGGGTGTGGTGGCTCATGCCTGTAATCCCAGCACTTTGGGAGCCTGAGGCAGGCAGATCATGAGGTCAAGAGATCGAGACCATCCTGGCCAACATGGTGAAACCCTGTCTCTACTAAAAATACAAAAATTAGCTGGGCATGGTGGTGTGCGCCTGTAGCCTCAGCTACTCAGGAGGCTGAGGCAGGAGAAGCGCTTGAACCTGGAAGGCGGAGGTTGCAGTGAGCCGAGATGGCGCCACTGCACTCCAGCCTGGTGACAGAGTGAGACTCTGTCTCAAAAAAAAAAAAAAAAAAAAGACAACTTCAGTCCCCTTTTGCCTCTCTCTCTCTTTCTGCTGGAACTGGGACACCCTTCTACTTCTCCTACCTTGAACATGAGAACTTCAGGCTCCCCCGCCTTTAGACTCCAAGACTGATACCAGCAGACCTCCCATCTCCTATTGATTCTCAAACTGAGAATTACACCATCTGCCTCTCTGGTTCTGAGGCTTTAGTACTTGGGCTCAGCCATGTTACCAGCATCTCAAGGTCTCCAGCTTGCAGATGGCCTGTCGTGGGACCTCTTGGCCTCCATAATTGCATGAGCCAATTTCTCTAATAAATAAATCCACTCTTTCCTTTCTCTTCTTACCTCCCACTGCCATTGGCTCTGTCTCTCTGGAGAGCCTTGATTAATATAGACATCTGACTCTTTATAACCTTAATAAAATATTTTTAAATCTATGAGGAACTGCAAACAACATTTTTTAACTTCACTCAGTAGTTGTATTGTTAGTAGTCTTGGTATTGTAATTTGAAGGCGAAGGTTAATAGTACTAGGAACCAAGATTCTCAGTGTAAGGGAAGAGTTAAAATGTAAAATCGAAGAACTTAAGGGGGTAAGACTCCTGCACTGTTGAATTTGAATTGTAAATGCTAACGTAAATTCATGATTTAGAAACAAATGCATTGCTTGGTTCTGTCCACTAAAAGTGCTTAGGAGGAACCCTATCAAGGGCCCATGAGTGTCTAGATCTTGGTTTCTAAATACCACATCCCATTAAGGAACTCTCTCTTTAGAGAAATGGCTGATTTCAGTCTGAACAAAGAAAGACTCGGCTGAGTTTAGCTATGCTGTAAATCAAGGAAGCACTAAAACAAAATAAATAAATAATAAAAAAATAAAAATGGGGCCCACTCAAGAAGAAACAGATAACTTAAGTAGTGCTGTACTTATTACATCAATTAAATTTGCAGTTAAAAACCTCAAAACAAAACCCTCCAGGCCAGGACGACTTTGTTGGGAAATCACACCAAATATTTAAAGAAGAAATAATATCAATCTTATATGGATTTTCCCAAAATATTGAAGAAGTGTAAAGTATGGACTGCAAACAGAAACAACACCTGCTTTAATCCAGGAAGGTGAGGATCATAAAATAAAACGAAGAAACTATCGGCTGAGTTTTCATGTTCCCATGACTTTGAAGGACTTTGCCACATATTCAAAGTAAAGTAGTCTAACTTCGCTTTTTAAAGTAGTCTAACTTTGTTCAGAGCCCATCTGGCCCCGAACACCCCTGAGGCTCTCATGCCCCCACGTGCCCCACACACCTTTCACTGCATCAATACTGATCCCTACTCAGATCCCAGAGTACTTGTCTATCATCACCCGTAGAACCCACAGGGCTGTGCTCACTTCAGATTTAAATCCTAAGTACAACTGCAGTCAAACGAAACCGTAAAACCATTAAACACAAGACACATACAGCCATTAGAGACAATCAGCTCCTTCCCTGGTGAATACAGCGGAGCTTTCTCATTTCCACTTGGATGCTCTCAGCCTTTTGCCTGAGACCAACGACATATGGTTCTCTCCTGTGGGCAGAACTGCTGCTTGGTCAGCCTCAGGGAAGGGGCAAGAATCAGTAGGATCGCTTTATTTTCCTTCTAAACGCTGGTACTTACAGGTTATCCTCAAAGCAGATTTTGGCGTACTTGCTTCTGCCACCTCCGCTGAGTAACCTGTAGGCATAGGTGTCAGATGGGCAGGGAGTCCAGTGGTCACATTTTTGCCTTTTGGGGACTGGAGCTGTAATGAATAAGAAAGTATATAGCCATTAACATCCCACAGTAATTTACAGATGCACCTGCTGCTTGGCGGAGAACACCAGCACTTCATACCAGAAACTCCAAGCAGCGGTCGGAAAACCTGAGGGGGAAGGGTTTCCAGACTTCACTGAGAATTCCCCTAAAGACACAAAGCTCACTGAATCTGATTTCATTTTAAAGTGACAAATAAGCAAAGAAGGAGAGGGGTACTGAGTAGGCGTAACAATTTCATAAGGGCTGGGAATCACTGCCCATGGCTGCCCATTGTGACATTCTTGGTGGGCAATGTAATTTGCAATACAATAAAAGAAAGATTACAGGGGTCTAAGAGAGCTGGTGAGCAAAGACAGCCATCTGTGGAGCATCTATAAAGCTTCTGCATCTACACAGCCTTAGACACCCTAAACACACACACATCACACAACATGCCACATACACTATAAACATACACACCATACATATCATACAACACACCACATGCTCAACACACTGACACCCACACCACACATTCATGCACACACACCACATGATGTATCACACACACACACACCATATACAGCACACATTCACACACAACATACAACATACTGCACATCTCACACACACACCATGTACTCACCACACACGCATGCACACCATACCATATAGACACACACACCATACATGTACACACACGCACCACACCACTCCCACACACATCCCCTCCCCCAACACATACCATATCACACACAGTCACACATACACTCTATACCACATACACCTGACCACCACAGCTGACCCACTCTCCTTTCACTTGAGTGTGAGGAACTGAGCTTTTTGCCCAGGACGCTATGATGTCAGATCCTGGAGATATCTCTCCTAGCATCAGCATCCTTATTTCACAGGGGTCAGCAATTTGGGAGGATTGAGGGACCTGAGGCTGGAATGCGAGGAGCCCACCTGGCCCTGAACACCCCTGAGGCTCCCATGCCCCCACAGCCCCCACACATCTTTCACTGCATCACTACTGATCCCACTCAGATCCCCGAGTAGTTGTCTATCATCACCCATAGAACCCACAGTGCTGTGCTCACTTCAGATTTAAATCCTAAGTCTGCAGAAAGGAATTCAGAAAGCACTCTCTCACTCTCTCACCTTAAGTTTGAGTAGAGACTTGGCTCTATTTTATGAATTACTGTACTCTTAGCACCTTAAACTAAGAAGTATAGTCAGCAAAATGGTAGATTATACATAAAATATCACAAGTAAAGAATCAAAGGAAAGAAGGACCTACAAAACAACCAGGAAACAATGAACAAAATGGAAGTAGTAAAGCCTTATCTATCAATAATTACCACAAATGTAAATGAATTAAATTCTGTAATCAAAAGACACAGATGAGCTCGACAGATTTAAAAAATGTATAGGTTGAAAGCGAAAGGATGGAAAAAACACTCCATGCAAATGGAAACCAAAAGAGAGCAGGGATAGCTATATTTACATCAGTTTAAATAGACTTCAAGTCAAACTTTTAAAAAAGACAAAGATGGTAATTATATGATAATAAAGGAGTGAATTCATCAAGAAGACATAACAATTGTGTGTGTGTATGTATGCACCAAACATCAGAGCACCTAAATGCAAAAATTAAGAGATCTGAAGGCAGAGATAAACTGTAATACAATAATAGTAGTGAATGTCAATACCCCACTTTCAACAATAGACAGGTAAGCGAGGCAGAAAATTTTTTAAAAATTAAATTTTGTCTTAGTCTGTTCAGGCTGTTTTAAAAAAATACCTTAGGCTAGGCAATTTGTAAATAACACAAATTTATTTCTTAAACTTCTTGTTTCTTTTCAGATGGAGTCTCACTCTGTCACCCAGGCTGGAGTGTAGTGGTGTGATCTCAGCTCACTGCAACCTCCGCCTCTCAGGTTCAAGCGATTCTCCTGCCTCACCCTCCCAAGTAGCTGGGACTATAGGCATGCACCACCACATCTGGCTAATTTTTGTATTTTTAGTAGAGATGGGGTTTTGCCATGTGGGCCAAGCTGGTCTTGAACTCTTGACCTCAGGTGATCCACCCACCTCGGCCTCCCAAAGTGCTGGGATTACAGATGTGAGCCCCCATGCCTGGCCTATTTCTTAAACTTCTAGAGGCTGGGAAATCCAAGGTCAGGGTGCTAGCAGATACAGTGTCTGATGAGGGCCCATTTCTCATAGATTGCACCTTGTTGCTGTGTCCTGACATGGTGGAAACGGGCAAACATGCCTCCTTCAATCTCTTTTATACGGGTGCTAATACCATTCGTAGAGGCTCTAATCCCATTCATAAGTCTTCATGTCTTACTTTCCAAAAGGCCCTACCTCTTAATACTGACAGATGAGTAATGAGGTTTCAACATATAAATACTGGTGGGACATCAACACTGGGTAGAGGAGACTTGAATTGCTCTTTACACCAAAAGCATCTAATAGACATACAGAGCATTCCATCCAGCAGCAACAAAATATCCATTCTTCTCAAGCACACATGGAATGTCTTCCAGGACAGACCATGTGTTAGGTCACAAAACAAAACTTAATAAATGTAAGAAGACTGAAATTGCATCAAGTATCTTTTCCTACTACCATGGTATGAAACTAGAAATCAATAATAGAAGTATATTAGGCCGCTATCCCATTGCTATAAAGAAATACCTGAGACTGGGTCATTTATAAAGAAAAGAGATTTAATTGGCTCATGGTTCTGCAGGCTGTAAAGGAAGCATGGTGCTAGCATCTGCTGAGCTTCTGGGGAGGCCTCAGGAAACTTACAATCATGGTGGAAGGCAAAGCGGGAGCATGGCCAGAGCAGGAGCAATAGAGAGTGAGGGTGGGAAGGAGGCGCCACACACTTTTAAACAACCACGTCTCATGAAAATTCACTGTTATGAGCACTGCCTCAGGGGGATGGTGCTAAACCACTCGTGAGGAATCCACTCCCGTGATCCAAACACCTCCCACCATGCCCCACCTCCAACAACAGGGAGCAAAATTTGACATGAGATTTTGCTGGGGACACAAATGCAAATCACATCATTTTGCCCCTGGTCCCCCAAATATCTTGTCCTTCTCACATTGCAAAATACAATGATGCTTTCCCAATAGTCCCCCAAAGTCCAAAATCACTCCAGCATTAACTCAAAAGTCCAAAGTCCCAAGTCTCATCTGGGACAAGGCAAATCTCTTCCACCTACAAGCCTGTAAAATCAAAAAGAAGTTATTTACTTCCAAGACACAATGGAGGTACAAGCAGTGGGTAAAATATTTCCACTTTAAAAGGCAAAAAATCAGCCAAAAGAAAGAGGCTACAGGCCCCACACGAGTCCAAAACCCAGCAGGGCAGTTATCAAATCTTAAAAGCTCCAAAACAATCTCCTTTGACTCCATGTCTCACATCCAGCATACACTGGTGTGAGGGGTGGACTCTCAAGGCCTTGGGCAGCTGGTTCCACCCCAGTGGCTTTGCAAGGCTCAGTCCCTGAGGCTGTTCTCACAAACTGGCATTAAGTTTCTGTGGCTTTTCCATGCTGAGGGTGCAAGCTGCCAGGATCTGCCCCTCTGGGGTCTGGAGGATGGTGGCCCTCTTCCCACAGCTCCACTAGGCAGTGCTCCAGTGGGGACTAGTGTGAAGGCTCAAACCCCACATTTCCCCTTTGCACTGTTCTAGTAGAGGTTCTGCCCCAGCAGCAGCTTCTGCTTGAGCACTCAGGATTTCCCATATAGTCTCTGAAATCTAGGTGGAGCCTCCCAAGCATTAACTCTTGCATTCTGTGCACCTGCAGGCTTAATATCATGTGAATACCCCCCAGGCTTATGGCCTGCACCCTCTGAAGCAGCAGCTTGAGCTATACCTGGGCCCCTTTGAGCCATGGCTGAAACTAGAGCTGCTGAGATGCAGGGAACAGTGTCTAGAAGCTGAACAGGTTAGTGGGGCCCTGGGGCTGACCCATGAAACCATTCTGTATTCTTAACCCTCTGGGCCTGTGTGACAAGAGGGGCAGCTGCAAAGGTCTTTGAAATGCCTTTGGAGACTTTTTCCCATTGTCTTGGCTAATAGCACTTGGCTTCTTTTTACTTATGCAAATTTCTGCAGCCTGCTTGAATTCCTCCTGTGAAAACAGGCTTTTCTTTTCTACCACATGGCCAGGCTGCACATTTTCCAAACTTTTATGCTCTGCTTCCCCTTTAAATATAATTTCCAACTTTAGGTCATTTCTTTGCTCACACTTATAAGCGCAGGTTATTAGAAGCAGCCAGGCCATATCTTAAATGCTTTGCTGCTTAGAAATTTATTCCATCAGATACCCTAAATGATCACTGTCAAGGTCAGAGTTCCACAGATCCCTAGGTCAGGGGCACAATGCAGCCAAGCTCTTTGCTAAGGTATAATAAAAGTGACCTTTGCTCCATTTCCCAATAAGTTCCTCATTTCCATCTGAGACTTCATCAACCTGGCCTTCACCATCCATCTCATTATCAGCATTTTGGTCACAAACATTCAACTAGTCTCTAGGAAGTTCCAAACTTTCCCTCATCTTCTTGTCTTCTGAGCCTCCAAACTCTCCAACCTCTGCCTGTTACCCAGTTCCAAAGCTGCTTCCTTATTTTCATATATCTTTATAGCAATGCTCCACTCCTATGTACCAATGTTCTGTATTAGTCCATTCTTGCACTGCCAGAAAGAAATATCTGAGACTGGGTAATTTAGAAAGAAAAGGGTTTTAATTGTCTCACGATTCCACAGGCTGTACAAGAAGTATAATGCTGGCATCTTCTCAGCTTCTGGGGAGGCCCCAGGAAACTTACAATCATGGCAGAAGCCAAAGGGGTAGCAGGCATATCACATGGCCAGAGCAGAAACAAGAGAGAGAAGAGGGAGGTACCACACATTTTTGAACAACAAGATCTCATGAGAACTCACTCATTATCATGAGAAAAGCACCAAGAAGATGGTGCTAAACCATTCATAAGAAATCCACTCCCATGATCCAATCACATTTCACCAGGCCCCATCTCCAGCATTGAGGATTACAATTCAACATGAGATTTGGTGAGGACACAGATTCAAGCCATATCAAAAAGTAATTTCAGAAAATTCAAAAATATGTAGAAATCAAACAACACTGGCTTCTGAACGGCTAATGGATCAAAGAAGAAATTAAAAGGGAGATTAAAAACTATCTTGAGACAAAAAAAAAAAAACCAGAAACACAACATATCAAAACTTACGACATACAGCAAAACAGTTCTAACAGAGGAGTTTATGGTAATAAATGCGTACATTAAAAAAAGGTCTCACATAAACAACCTAAGATTATACATCAAGAAAATAGAAAATGAAGAACAAACTAAGCCCAAAGTTAGCAGAATGAAAAAAATGACAACAATCATAATAGAAGTATATGAAATGGAGACTAGAAAAACAATAGAAAAGGCCAAAAAAACAGACTTGGTTTTTTGAAAAGAGATAAAATTGACAAACTCTTAGCTAGACTGAGAAAAAAAGAAAGAGAAGACTCAAATAAAATCAGTAATGAAAGAGCAGATATCACCGCTGATACCACAGACACACTGAAGTATCGTAAGAGACTATTGTGGACAATTATACACCGAAAAAAGGAACAGACCAATAAATGTGAGGAGACGAAGTCAGTAATAAAAAGTCTCTCATCAAAAAAAATCCCAGGACCAGATGGCTTCATGGCTGAATTTTACCAACCAATTAAAGAACTAATACCAATCAATTTCAAACTCTTCCAAAAAATTGAAGAGGAGGGAATGCTTCCAAACTCACTTTATGAGGCCAGCATTACCCTGATACCAAAGCCAGACAAGGGCACTACAAGAAAATAAAAGTGTAGGTCAATATCCCGGATGAACGTAGATGCCAAATTCCTCAACAAAATATTAATACTAGCAAACTGAATTCAACAAGCTATTAAAAAAATCATTCACCATGTGTATTAGTCCATTCTTGCATTGCTATAAAGAAATATCTAAGATTGAGTAATTTATAAAGAGGTTTAATTGGCTCATGGTCCTGCAGGCTTTAAAGAAAGCTTGGTACTGGCATCTGCTTAACTTCTAGGGAGGCCTCAGGAAGCTTACAATCACAATCATGGTGGAAGGTGAAGGGGAGCAGGCATGTCACATGGTGAAAACAGGAGCAAGTGAGATAGAGCGGCAGGGGGAGATGCCACACACTTTTAAATGACCAGATCTCACAAGAACTCACTATCGTGAAGGCAGCACCAAGCCATGAGGCATGCACCCTCATCATCCAAATACCTCCCTCCAGGCTCCACCTCCAGCACTGGGAATTACAATTCCAAATGAGATTTGGGCAGGGCCAAATATCCAAACGAAATTGCCATGACCAAGTGGGATCTGTCCTTGCAAGGACAGATGCAAGTATGATTCAACATACACAAATCAATAATGTGATTACCACATCAACAGAATGAAGGACAAAAACTGTATGATAATGTCATATGGTTTAGACAGAAAACAGAAGCAAGAAAAGAATTTGACAAAATTGAAATCCTTTCATGATAAAGGAATGTTCCTTAACACAATAAAGACCACATATGAAAAGCTCACAGTTAACTTCATAACATCAACTCAAGTTGATGGAGAAAGGACAGTCTCTTCAATAAATGGTATTGGGAAAACTGGATATCCATATGCAGAAGAATGAAATTAGATCCTCATCTCACACCACATAAAAAGTCAACTCAAAATAAATTAATGACTTAACCATAAAACCTGAAACCATGAAATTACTAGATAAAATATAAGGGAAAAGCTCCATGATGTTGGTTTGGGCAATGATTTGGGGAATATGCCCTAAAAGCACAGGCAACACAAGCAAAAACAGGCAAAGGGAATTACATCAAGCCAAAAAGCTTCTGCACAGCAGAGGAAACAATCAGCGGAGTGAAGAGACAACCTACAAAATGGGAGAAAATATTTGCAAAGTGTAAATCTGATAAGTGATTAATATCCAAAACATACAAGGAACCCAAAGAACCAATAACAAGAAAACAAATAAAAAACATGATTGAAAAATGGATAAAGAACTTGAATAAAGATTTTTCCAAAGAAGACATACAAATAACTAAAACGTATATGAAAACATGTTCAATATTACTAATAATCAGGGCAATGCAAACGCATGAGGAGATATCAGCTCACACCTGTTAGAATGGCTATTACTAATAACAGGAAAGATAATGAGTGTTGGTGAAGATGTGGAGCAAAGAAAACCCTATATGCTATTGGTGGAATGTAGGTTAGTATAACCATTATGGAAAAACAGTATGGAGATTCCTCAAATAATTGAAAGTAGAATATATGATAAAGCAATCTCACATCTGAGCATATATCCAAAGGATATGAAATCAGTATGTCAAAGAGAGATCTGCACTCCCAGGTTCACTGCAGCATTATTCACAATAGCCAAATACAGAATCAATCTATGTGCCCATCGATGAATGAATGAATAAGGAAAATGTGGTATAACAGAGTGCACAATAGAATACTATTCAGCCTAAAAGAGAAGGAAATCTTGTCATTTGTGACAACGTAGATGAACATGGAGGACAGTATGCTAACAGAAATAACGCACCCACAGAAAGACAACTACCACGTGTTCTCACCCACATGTGGAATGTAAACAAGTTGAACTCATAGAAGCAAAGAGCAGGATGGTGAGAGGAGAATGGTACTTACCAGTGGCCAGAGGTTCAGGGGTTTGGGAAGATGTTGGTCAAAATGTACAAAGTTTCAGCTACACAGGAGGAATAAGTTCAAGAGATCCATTGCACATCATGGTGACTACAGTTAATAACAATATACAGTGGTCCTCCTGTTATTCACAAGGGGTACATTCCAAGATGCCGAGTGGATGCATGAAGCCACAAATAGTACAGAACCCTATATATACCAGTTGGGTATACCTTATCCAAAATGCTTGGGACCAGCAGTGTTACAAATTTTTGTTGGATCTTGGAATGTTTGCATTATACTTACCAGTTGAACATCCCCCAACCTGAAAATCCAAAATCCAAAACGCTCTGATGAATATTTCCTTGGAGTGTCATGTCGCTGCTCAAAAAGTTTTGGATTTTGAAGCATTTCAGATTGTGTGTTTTCAGATTTGGGATGCTGTACCTGTATTATGTTTTTTTTTTTTTTTTTCCTATACAGACATAACTATGATAAAGGTTAGTTTACAAATTAGGCAGAGTAAGAGATTAACAACAATTAACAATATAGTTTAATTTATAAATTAGTTGGAGTAAGAAATTAACAACAACTAACTCTAATAAAGTTATGTGAATGTGGTCTCTCTCAAAATATCTTACTGTATTTACTGGAGTTCTTAGCAAATTCAGCAAATGATTTTTTTCTTTCCTTATGAAATCAAGAGCTTTCACCTTTTCACTTAAAGAAAGCACTTTCTAGCTGGGCATGGTGGCTCATGCCTGTAATCCCAGCAGTTTGGGAGGCTGAGGTGGGCGGATCACCTGAGGTCAGGAGTTCGAGACCAGCCTGGCCAACATGGCAAAACACCGTCTCTGCTAAAAATACAAAAATTAGCCAGGTGAGGTGGTGAGCACCTGTAATCCCAGCTACTTGGGAGGCTGAGGCAGGAGAATCGCTTGAACCCAGGAGGCGGAGATTGCAGTGAGCCAAGATGGTGTGACTGCATTCCAGTTTGGATGACAGAGCATGACTTCATCTCAAAAAAAAAAAAAAGGAAAAAGAAAGAAAACACTTTCCGGCTTCTCTTTGGCGTATCCAAGTTGCCAGCACCTCTACTCTTGCTCTGTGGAGCCATTATTCAGTAAAATAAAGGTGACTTGAACACAGATACTGTGACAGTCAATCTGATGACCAGGCTGGCTCCTAAGTGACTAATAGGCAGGGAGTGCGTGCAGCACAGAGATGCTGGACAAAGGGAGGATTCACGTCCCCCGTGGGATGAGGCAGGACAAGGCGAGAAGGTGTGAGATTACATCACACTAATCAAAATGACACACAATTTAAAACATATAAATTGCTTTTTTCTGGAGTTTTCCATTTAGTATATTTGGACTGTGAATGGCCAAGGGTAAGTGAAATCAGAGAAAGCAAAACCACAGATAAGTGGGGGGAACTACTGTATTGTATACACGAAAATCACCATGAGAGTAGATTTTAAGTGTTTTCATCGCATAAAAATGCTAAATATGTGAGGTGATGCATGTTAAGTGGCTTGATTCAGCCATTCCACAACGTATACGTATATCAACACATGCTGTCAACGAATTAATTAAAGATAAAAGCTATCATGACCAGGGTGAACAGCACTGGTGCTGGAAGGGCCTGCTGGAGAAAACTGGGCACACAGAAGTGCTGCGACATCAGAGCAAGCTGCCAGGGCCGAGCTGGACGTGGTCTGGGTTTTTTTGGTGACCACAGTCCTCCGTCCCCAGTAGGTGAAAACACAGAGCTCTCCTGGGAGTGCTCACACCAACCCTGCAGGCTGGCTCCCCTCCTTCAGACCTTCCTCCTTGACTGCCCCGTCTCATCTCAACACTCCAGCTCACCCCAATACCACCTAGCCCCACTCCCTGTTTTAATTTATTCTTCTTAGCAGTTAACACTCAAATAGCCTACAGTTTCTTCTCCCTTTTTAAAAATTCTCAGCCGGGCGCAGTGGCTCATGCCTGTAATTCCAGCACTTTGGAAGGCTAAGGCGGATGGATCTCCTGAGGTCAGGAGTTTGAGACCAGCCTGGCCAAAGTGGTGAAACTTTTCAAATAATTAACTTAATGTTTTTTTTTTTGGTCAGTCTCCAGATACCTAAATTTAAAGCAAACGTCCAATTGCTCATATGAAAACGTGCTATAAATGGACTATTTTTTCCAGTGTTTCTAGATTTTTGGACACTCTGTCTTTAGTACCTTTTTTCAATTTAATAATTATACTCATTACCTAGGTATTCGCCTGAAAACACGTTGAATATAGCATTTGAAAATGTAACTAACAGTTTAAAAGTAGGTGTGTCCTGGTTTCCAACTTTGCAGACACCCTGTGTATGGGTACTCAATTCAGAGAGAATACATGAATGGGAATACTCAGGAATCCTCCCTGGAGCCCGCGCTCCCCTTTAGTGTACGTGACCTGTTCCCTTCACAAGCGCACAGACCTGTCCACTTTCCCGTGGGCAGTGCTGTTCTCAGCAAGACAGCTCCATGGTTCGTTTAACCAGGCCCTGCTGTCAGAAACTTATGAATTGTGTCTCAGAAACACTTCCAGCTCCTCTTGTCATCATCAGGATGCTGCACGGAGTAAACTAGATACAGAATCCTCTCAGCTGGAGGGTGAAGAGGACTCGCGCCTCTATACGGACCCACTGTGCATGCTGACAGGTGTGGTGCACTTACTCACAGAGGTGGATGGCATGCCACATCCACGGCCCTGATGGCTCCTAAAAGATAAAACCACCTCTGCATCCTGGAGGGTGTGGTCATTAGGACAACAGTATGGCAGCAGCTTAGCACAAGAGGTAGCAAGGGAAGATAGAAAAGGTAGTTTTACTTTGTGGTAAAGCCAGCTGAACTATTACAAGTGAGCAAATGGTCTGAAGACTCCACAAACGAGGCAAAGAGAAGATCCCCACCATGAGGGTATGAAACTAGAAATTAATCACAAGAGTAATTTCAGGAAATCTACAAATATGCAGACATTTAACAACATGTTCCCGAACAACCAATGGGTCAGAGAAGAAATCAAAAGGAAATTAAAAAATATCTTAAGACAAATGGAAATGGGAATGCAAGGTGAATAAGGCAGGGTCTCTTTGCAACTAAACTGGTATAAATATCTGGTCCTCATATTTCTCCAACCTCTACTAACCTTTGGGATGATTCTGGCTCCTGTGCAAGTCACACGTTCTGGTCAATAAGCCTCAAAAGCAATACAGGAAGCACAGAGAAGTTAAGCCTAAATTCAAAGTTAAACCTTTAATTAATAAGGGAGGAGAGAATAACAAAGCCAAGGAGTACTTCTTTCCAGAAATGGTGGAAAGATTTATAAAAGAATCCGTGGTTTGTGATTTAGCTAAGGGCTGTGACTGCAAACATATCGAATAACAGTTTTGACCTAAAAATACATTTTTCATTCTAAAACTAGCAGTAAATGTTTTCCAGGTAAAGTTTATTTCAGATGCATTAAATATTTCTTTTAAGAGCACCCTGGGAGGCTGAAGGGCCACAGGGCACCCGGGCCTTCCTCCCACCTGACATCCTCATTCTTTGTTTTCTGGCTTTCCGTGGCTCTGGCACCAACAGGCACTGGGAGCCTTTGCAATGATCAAAGGGCACCAGGCCTGGCCTCAATCCCATGACAGGTTCCCAAGGCAGAGGCAGCAGCTGCTAAACTTAGGTGAAGGGAAACGAGGAGCTTGGGTGAAAAGGGCCCCAGGTGCAGAACAGTGGGCTGGGTTCTAGCCTAACTTGTTCCTGTTCCTCCTCCTGCCTCAGGGGCTGGGGCTCAGGGTACACAGGCCTACTACACAGGCCTGCCCAGCACTCCCACCCTTGGACCCAGGACACTCACCCAAAGGGCTGGTGCTGGCGTCTCCAGCGGGGCCATTGTGGGGGTCCCATAGGGATGCTCTCCCCAGGGACTTCCCCTACGGGATCGGCAGCAGAACGAGCAGGTCCCCACGCCAGGGCCTGGCAGCCCGTCAGCCATGAGCATGGCCTCCTCCCCAGCTTCTAGACTTGCAGCCCCTGGCGCTCTGCAAAGTGAGAGTCCTGTTTCGTGTGGACATGCGCAGGAGGGCTTTCCAGAAGGGAGGTGTTTGATGTGCCTCATATCCTCCAGGGAGTATGTGGCTTTAGTGACTATGGGTGACACACAGATGGGCATTTGTGTTTCCTCACAGGGCCTGGGAGTGGGCAGGGAACCCATGTGTCATTTAAAAAAAGAGTCAGTAGCTTTCTGAGTCCCCCATCCGTTTCCCAGAAGCACAATGTGTCACCACGTGAATGAAGAAAGAAGACCATGTTCCTAACTCAGTGTGGGATTGGAGGGTGGACACAGCTCCTGGGAAAACACAGCTCTTTCCAAACCCTGCCTGGAGAACCACATCTAGGTCTTCAGTGCTTTTCCTGAAATTCCTTCCCCCAAACAATCAAAAGGTAAAGTTCATGTGGCTTACGTAGAAGCCAGTGTCCTAGCCAGGGAGAACGGCGGACCTTCTATTTAGTCTCCTGTTTCTTATGCCTCATGAAAAGCTGGTTTGTTTAAGACTGAAAGCCTCCAGCAGCAACACCATTCCCTAGGATGCAGTCAGCCTTCTGCTATCAGTTTCAGTCTGAGAAATTATTCTCTTGCTGAGGAAAATCCACCTGGTTCCTCATCCTCACGAGCAGCTCCTGGTTTATAATACAATAGCTGCTTCACCCAGCTCTGAAAGTAGCGACAGCAATGAGAACCCAGCTATAGAGCTCGCACAGCCTTGCGTCCGGACTCTCCTGGTGGCTTTCCCCAGATATGCTGTAACCACAGGAATATGTAGACTGGGACTTGGAAGGGTGGAGAGGAGGTTTTATGAAATTTAGATACAAATCACAAAGAACCTTAGATTTAAAAGAAACCATAGTGACCGTTTAGTTCCAGGATGATCAAATTTGGCTCTGTATGAAGCCAAGTTTTAAAACAAATTAAAATAAATACAGGTTCTTGGCTTCCACCCTGGACCTAGGGAGCTTTGAATTTCCCAGAGTGGGGTCCAGGAATCTGTCTTTTAAAAATACTTCCTGATTTGGGAACTATGATCTCATTTTAACTCCTATAAATGAGGAAGATTATTCCAGAGGGTAGGAGATCCATGCAAAGTCACTAGAAATATTGAGTCATGAAATAAGATCCTGACAATATAGACCAGGCAAACAAAGAAGGTGGCTGTTTGCATATGGCATTTTGACCATTTCAACTACCTCATTGTTCTATAGGAGATTAAAAGTCCAGTCCGCAAAAACCAAAGACCAGAAGCCATCAAAGAGTGTTTCTCTGCTAATCAATGCTCATGATTTATTAGGTGCCTCTGAGTACAGTGAAGGTAGTATGGCTGGGTGTGCATTTGGCACCCAAATGCTTCTTTCACCCCTTCCCAATTGGAGTTGTATTCCAAATGCATATATATGTTTTTTGTTTTGTTTTCTTTTTGTTTTTGTTTTTGAGAAGGAGTCTCTGCCACTCAGGCTGGAATGCAGTGGCACAATCTTGGCTGACTGCAACCTCCACCTACTGGGTTCAAGCTATTCTCCTGCCTCAGCCTCCCGAGTAGCTGGGATTACAGGCACCTGCAACCATGTCCAGCTAATTTTTGTATTTTTAGTAGAGACAGGGTTTCACCACGTTGGCCAAGCTGGTCTGGAACTCTTGACCTCAGGTGATGTGCCCGCCTCGGCCTCCCAAAGTGCTGCGATTATAGGTGTGAGCCACTGCGCCAGGCCCCAAATGCATATTTTTGTTCAACATACGCTGCACATTAATTTTCTTTGTTCAGTTTCCTAACATTATGATTTGGCTTTTAAGTTCTTCTCTAGTAGACTCTGAGGTTCTTAGAAGTAAAGGATGAACCTTAAAACACGTGCACTCAGACCACGGCCCAGAGAGGGATGCTGTTACTAAATATACCTGCTGAATTAATAAATAAATGGACTTTCACAGTAGGCATTTCCTTCGGCGATAATTCAGTCTGTCCCAGAATGTGTATTGTAAAATAAGATTGAAACCAGGAAGTAAAGAACATAGTGATCAGTGTGACTTACAGATAATCTATGTATAAAGCACAAGGACCTCGTTTTCCTTGTTTCTTCCCTGTTCCTGTGACTTTACTGGCCACTGGATGAATCCCTTTGGTCCTGGCCATACTCTCGCCCTTGTGTAACCACAGCCTGCCCAGCTGTGGCTGATCATGGCCTTGCAGGAATGAGGGCCTGGGGTATCAGAGCTTCTACTGTTTCAAGAGATGCTCTAACATGGAGTTTTATGGGAGATCTCTTGATTTTGAAATACTTGTCCATATTTTATGTGTTTTGCTTTTAGACAAATCTTGTCTCTGACAGGTCTGTCTCTGGGCCCCCAGTTTGCAACTCATGTGCTGTGGACTGAATGTGTCCCCCTGAAATTCATATGTTGGAACCTAATCCCCAGAGTGCTGGTGTTAGGAGGTGGGGCCTTTGGCAGATGAAGCCTTCAGGAATGGGAGTAGTGCCCTTATAAAAGGAGCTTCAGAGACCTCGTTTGCCAGAAGGAGCCATCCATGAAGCAGAATGCAGGTCTCCACCAGACATGAAATCTGCGGGTACCTTGATCTTGAACTTCCCAGCCTCCAACACTGTCAGAAATAAATGCGTTGTTTATAAGGCCCCCAGTCTATGGTGTTCTCTTACAGTAATCTGGGTAGACTAAGTCATGATGCTCCCAAACTGGCACACAGCCCTCAGAACCCAGCATGGCCCACTCCCTTGCTTCACTGAGATGCTTCTCAATTGTCACCTCCTTCTCAGAGGCTTTCCCCACCCATCCTCTCTCGAATCTCATTTGTTCATGCGTTAAGCTGTCACCTCCCCTCACTAGGGTATCAGTGCCAAAGGGGCAGGGACCTCGTGGGCTTGTCCTCCGTCTCTCCTTAGCTCCTGGACATGCCCAGCACACAGCAGGCTCTCAGAAAACCCACCTTGATTGTGGGGAAGGACAGAAAGCAGCCGCCCTACAGAGAGCTGGGCCTTTCCTAAGCTGATGGTTGAGGCCGTGTGTTCACCGACATACAATGTCTGCCCTTTCTTTCACATCTACTCAATTACTAGCTTTTGCTTCCCAAGACTTTACAGAAGATTTTCCAACAGCTCTTCAGTCCGACAGAAACCTTAAAATGATTCGGGATCTCAGAACCTGGACCCTCCTGTGCTTCCCAGGGGAGGAAGCCAAGATCTGGGCGGAAAGAGCACAGTTCAAGGTCTGGCTGCAGGTTTGTGCTGGTAACCAGAAGCCACACTGTTCTAGTCTCACATGGGGTCAGCAGCGGCACGTGCCTTGGAATGGCGTGGGACCTAAATGAGTAACTGCAAAATGCTTCTCTCCTCCTCCTTCCTGATATAAAGCCGTCAGGGCCCCCCAGCCTCCAGCTGGGACAGAAACCACCACTCCTCCCTCTGCACACAAGCCATGAAGGCAGCCGTCTGCCCCAAGCACGGCACTCACCTTTGAGGACAGGCCTCTCCCCGATGCTGCGGATGCTATAGGCAGCACTGGACAGGGGTGCATCTGGAATGAGCTCTGCGAGCAGGTACCCCGAATACCAGGCACACAAGGAGGCGAAGACCACGAACACCACCTTGAGCAGGCCTGCAGAGAGGACACCAAGCAGCTGCTGTGAACGACTTGGTGGCGGCCCTGGCCCTTGGCCCTCCCCATCCCCCCTGTGGCTTTTCATCCCGGCCCAGTGTCAGGGGACTGCGCTATAGGCACTGTGCTCCTGGGAGGAGGCTCCCAGGGTGGGAGGCGGTGTCAGGACCTTTGAAGTAGACAGTATCAGAGAATACAAACAAGACAGGAATGCTTTCCAGGGCAAGTTGTATTTGCTGTTGGTTTAGGTCTTAACTTAACCAACAAACGTCCTTGAACGTTTATGTCAAAGCAGCTAATCAAGCACCTTGTGAGCCAGCATGCCCAACGTGAACCTGAAAAAACAAAAGCGCCTCATTCCCTTTGTGAGACACAACTGGATTTGAGCACGCTCCTGCAATTACATTGAAACCTTCAGGGGTAAAGCTCTGTCTGTTTTGTTGATTTCCATATCACCAGCACTGGGAATAGTAGCCGATGCCCAGCAAGCATGCAACGTATTCCTGCTGGATCAAGGCCTGGCCCCGTAATACTGGGAAAAAGTCCCCAAACCTGTTCTATCATCCCGGATGTGCCTGCTGGGCCAGTCAAGGTTCCCAGTGACAGAAAGTCCGTGGAGATATCTTTCTGGTTGATTGGCAACAATATCTTACTTCTCTTGTTTGACATGAGTGGCACGATTTCCAAGGAAAAGGCATTGATCTCCTCCTGGGTCACCAGAGGCCTGGGGGGTGGCTCTCTGTCTTTTCATTGGCAACCCATGGCCAGGGCTTTTAGAGTTTGCTCCCTAAATATAGCATAGATCAGAACTTATTCAGCAGTTTGCTTACCCAGATTGCTACGATGCAGGGATAACCACAGGCCCTGAGTAGGATGGGTACTGGGGTATGTGCCCAGTGCATTTAAATATGTGCTAATAGGGACAGTCCTAAGAAGTAAGAGAAGGAGGGAAGGAGGGAGAGAGACAGGGAGGAAAGAAGGAAGGAAGTGAAGGGGAAATGAGGAAAGGAGGAAAAAGGAAAGGAAGAGAAGGGAATGTCAAGTCTGAAGGGCCTGACAATGGGCCCCACCCGGGGTGCAGTTCTGGACCTCAGCTTGACTTCCAGCACCTAGAGATCATCCTTCCTTTCTCAGGAGCGCAGCTGTCCCCGACCCATGCACCGGCTATGCTGCGCCAAGGCAGCGTGTGCTATTGCTTGGAGGCCCAGCGCTTCAGCAGAGGGAGCCATGGGGATAGAACGCGATGTTTCTGGTTAGCCTTGGGGTTTGGTTTTGTTTTGCTTTTTTGAGTGCATATTTCAACACCATTTTTAAATTTCGAATTTCCAAACTGCTAAGATTGTTAGACTAGTAAGCACAGGTGGTTTCCTCTGGGGAGAGGCCCAAGGCAGTGTGATCAGTGCAGTTTTCAGGACTGGAAGGTCATCTCAAAGCAGATAAACCAGACACAGAAAACAAAATGAGACAGGTGCAGGCTTGCAGGCCCCTCTCCCGCAGCTGCGCCAACGGTTGTGCTCAGCCACCTGCGGGCGCTGCACTCCCGGGCTCACTCCTCTGCAGGAGTGATCTCTGCCTAGAGGGTGCTCTCCCCTACACAGCCCAGCCACAGCGCCCACACAGACACCACAGATGCTTCCCTCCAGGGCCACCCAGCATGCCTGTGACACCGCGTGGGTCGCTGATTTTCCAGAAAATTCTGTTGGATGAACAGAGTGCAGAGTGGGCTAAGACAGCAGCAGAACACGTTCAAAGGAAAAGGCCGTGCCCTGTATTCTGTGCATGTGGGTCGTAGCTGGACTGTTTCATCCAAGTGTTGTATTTGGAGAAGGAAACTGGCTAACCAGACAATGTTCAGGGGCTCTTCTAGACAACACGCCACACCTGAGATCCTGAGCAACAAGCTGCTGTTTAGCTTGGAGAAGGCTGAAAAGGAACATTATTTACCTTTTGAATGTGTAACAAGCAGCTACATGAAGGAATAGGTAACGGTGGCCCCAGCTGAACAAAAACAAACATGTGGACACGACAGAGAAGAAAACGGAGAATAAATAAGCCAAGTGTCCTCACAAGAAGAAGGGTAGCCCATGGCGGGTCCTGATGCGGCAGGGAGCTCTCTTCCGGGACACTTTTCAGGACTCCCAGGAAGACTAGAGAGTATCTGTGCTTTGGGTGAGGGATGCATCCAATGACCTCTAGGCTGGGGACAATCTGGAGTGCAGCATGCAGCTGGCTGGGAGAAGCCATGATCTAGAGTCTGAACCACCTCCTGGGTGGGAGGCAGATCCAGCCGCCAGCACTGGGATCGGGACATCATCAGAAGATGGGTGATGAGCTGAACCAGCAGCCTGTGCTCAGGTCTAGCACAAAGTCATGGAAGTATCCCAGCCGCTAGAGGGAGGGCAGGACATAGTAGCCAGGAGGTGACAGACAAAATCCAGGCAGGCAGCATCATTTCCTCAGGCTGCTGTAACAAATTAACACCAACTGGGTGGCTTCAACAATAGAAATTTCGGCTGGGCTCGTTGGCTCACGCCTGTAATCCCAGCACTTTGGGAGGCCAAGGTGGAGGGATGGCTTGATCTCAGGAGTTTGAGACCAGCCTGGGCAACATAATGAGACCTCATGTCTACAAAAAATTTTAAAAAGAATAGTCAGGTGTGGTGGCACAGACCTGTAGTCCCAATTACACAGGAGGCTGAGGCAGGAGGATTGCCTGAGCCCAGAACTTTGAGGTTGCAGTGAGCTACGATTGCAATATTGCACTCCAGCCTGGATGACAGCGAGACATCATCTCTTAAAAAAAAATTGAAATTGAAATTTATTTTCTCAAGATTCTGGAGGCTGGAAGTCCAAGATCAAGTTTCCTCTGAGCCTCTCTCCTTGGCTTGTGGATGGCATCTTCTCCCTGTGTCCTCACAGGGCCTCTGTGGGTGTCCTCATCTCCTCTTCTTATAAGGACACCAGTCAGATTGGATCAGGGCTCACCCTGATGACCTCACTATATCTGAAATAGCTCTTTAACGACCCTATCTCCAGATCCAGTCACATTCTGAGGTACTGGGCAGGGGTTAGGACTACAACATGTAAATGGGGTTGGGGGGTTGGCAGGGGGAAGGCACAATTCAGCCCCAACATAGCACCGGGCGAGCTGTGGCACAGCCTCTCTGTGGGTTGGACACCAGCAATCAGAGCTCAGTCCTGGGGATGAAAGCAGGATGGGCAGGAGCCGAGGCAGCCTGTCAAGACAGAGGCTCAGACACCAGGCAGTAGGGAAGAATCAGCGCTGAAGCTGGGACACACTTGGGAAGAAGAAAGCTTAGGAGCCCAGGGCTTCCACTAAGATGACTCGCGGAGCCCCAGTGGGCCTGCCCCGATGGGAGGAGACCCAGCAGCTTCAGAGGTGGGGGAGGAAGCACAGAGTCCAGGAACACTTCTGAGATTTTGAAACCAGGATCCTGCCTTTCCCTGTAAGGTAATAAAGTCATCATCAGCTCACGGAAATCTCCTCCACTGTGCTTGCTGCCCAGCAGACAGGATGAGTGTTAGAGCAAAGGCCGTTCTTAGCACAGGGGGAAAGCTAGTGAACTTTCTCCTAAGAGACTCACCTCTAGCGTGTCTGCCTCTGTGTGCATGTGTGTGGGTACATGTACACATGTCCCAGCCAATCCCCACTCTCAGATCCACAGGGGTCTCAGGAGGGTCCTGGCTGCTTCACTTAAGAGCCAGAAGCTGGGTGCAGTGGCTTACACCTGTTACCTCAGCATTTTGGAAAGCTAAGGAACCCGGGAGTTCAACTTGAGGCCAGGAGTTCAAGACCAGCCTAGGCAACATAGGCAACCATCTCTACAAAAAGTTTAAAAAAATTAGCTGGGCATGGTGGCATGTGCCTGCACTCTCAGCTACTCAGGAGGCTGAGGCAGGAGGATTTCGTGAACCTAGAAGTTCAAGGCTGCAGTGAGCTATGATCATACCACTGCATTTCAGTCTGGGCTACAGAGCAAGACCCTGTCTGTAAACAATAAACATTTAAAAGGTGCCAGAAAGAAAGTAATACTGAAACCAAATGGATATGACACTGGGTTACAGGTAGGAGGATTTTAGGGCTCTCTCCCTCCCTCCAGTCCAAGGGCCACCTAAAAAGGGCAATCTCAGGCCCTAGGACCCAGGTCTATTGACGGGATTTCCTTCAACCTGAACGAGGACAGGGAAGCTGTTTTCACTGCTGTCTTACCAATATGTATTCAGATCACCTCACCATGAAGGCCACACCCACACCTTTTGTACTTGAGAGGCCAGGAGAGATGAGGGTGGATGGTCAGTATTTTGGGACTCACTGCCTTTGGGATCCCAGGCTCTGCTGGCCTCAGTGTCCACTGTCATCACTGTCCTGTGCACTGAGCCTTTTTGGCAGAAGGGCTAGGAAGGGCCACTCTGAAACACCACAGCAGGAGTGCAGCGTAACCGGCCTTGACGGTCCACAGGCCAACGCCCACTTCAAGGTATTACGATACCCACTACCAGGCCCTGCAGGCGAAGGCATGGCGGCAGCTCAACTTGCTCCTCCCATTCAGTCTGAATGTCCCTCCTGGGAACGTCTGCCTGAAACAAACCCAGCACTGGACAGAAGCGTCCAGGGCAAGGCCCACTCCAATAATGTCTCCTGATCTTTAGCTCATAAAATCAAAAGTGAGGCATCTCTGAGTTCCCTGGGCAGCTTCTCCACAATCAAATACACCTGGATAAATACAAACCTGGTGTCATCTCGAAGCTTCCTACGAAAGGACCCCACAGCTCATGAGTGAATCATGAGGTCCGGATGTGAAAAAGTCCTGGCTGAGGGAAAGCAATGTAATCATATTCAGTATTGTCCATAAGTCACCAGGAAATAATAATTATACAATACAGAAATAATAGAAAACACTTTTCCAGAATAGCTATAATGAAAGTCGGTGCCCTAAGGGAGGAGATACATATCTCTCCTACAATCCACACAAGTTATCGAAAACAGTGTCATTTATAGTTTTTAAGGAAAATATGAATATTTTACACGAGGCAAAAATCTTAAAATGCGGCTTTCCTACATTTGGGAATGGTGCAGAAAAGAGAGCATTTAGAACTTGCTGGAGTGTGATCACAGCCAGAATGCTGGTGCTGGCAGGAATGGCGATGGTTCAGTCCAACACCCTCACTACAGAGGACCTGGGATCCAGGACCAGGAAGTGATCTACCGAAGAGGCCCAGAGAACTTCCCACTTCTGAACCTGCCATTTTACACAGCCAGGCTACGTCGCTCCAGGAGGAATCCATGTTCTTCAGATTATAGGAGGAGACCCGCAAAACCAATTAGAAAGGGCATGTGTGACAGAGGCCAGGGCAGTGGACACCAGGACCCGAGATGGTCTGTGACAGGAAAGTGACAGAGGACAGAGGCGCAGCTAAGACAGACTGCAAGAAACGCGATGACTGGTCAAAATAATGGGTTTCTCCTTTCCTTTTTCCTATTTTTCCAAATCGTCCACAGTGTCAAGTCGTTTGAAAAATGGAAAAAATAAAAACAGCCTTACCAACTGGCAGCGGCCAGCCCCTCCCTGGCGTGCAAGGTCAGGGGCAGGGGCAGGCGCGTACCCTTCCCCGGAAGGAGAAGCGTGGAGAGCCCGGGTGGGGGGTGGGGGTGCGGGGCTGTGCCTGCGCTCCCCACCAATCTACTTTCCAAGTAAAATGTTACAGTGTTACATTCCAGGTTCCTCCCTAATCCCATGCACCCCGGCTGGGGCGGCGGGAACAGGCCTGGCGAGCGCGGGGAAACAGGGTCGGGGAACCCTGCTGGAAACCCCCGCTGTTCGCCCCCTCTGGAATCGCTTCCCGCATTCCTGATCCCAGGTCTAAGACCAGCCTCGGCGCCAAGAACCAGCCCTCCCGCTTTTGCTAAGCGTGGCGGGTCCCAGGCAGGGTTGGGGAGCGACGCTTCCCCTGGGGTCCTCCTTCCCCGCCCCTACCCTCGCCCCGAGGCGGGGGCGCACTCACCACCAGCCAATGGGCGCATCTTCCAGGTGCCGCTCCCCTCCTGGCCCTGGCGGCAGCTCCCAGGCGACCGCAGCCAGCGGAGCCCCTGGGTCAGGAAGGCAAGGGGCGGGCAGCGGTCGTGTCGGGCAGGGGCGGGCCAGCTGGGTGCGCGGCCAGTCGGGCAAATGGCAGGTGCGGACCCGGCAGGTGCGCGGGGCGGGCGTGGGCGGGGCAGGTGCGCGGGGCTGTGCCCCGGGCTGTGCCCGGGAGCTCTGAGGTCGCTGGCGGAGGGTGGACCCGTTCCCCGCCGGGCTGACCCCGGGCCAGGGCTGATCTGACCGGAGAAGCCCAGCAAGGTTGGCTCTGAAGGGAGGAAACGACGCCACTTGATACTTTGGCTCCCTAGGCTCCCAGTTAATGTCTCCCAAGAGGAAAGGGAAGCATGACCCAAGCCTTTCAAATGACAAAGCAGAGGCCCAGCCCAGTCCAAGTTCGCCGTCCATGTCCACTGTCTGAGGCCATCGGTCTTCTTTGCTTCCTCCAGAACAGTCGCTACAGGCTCGCTGTTGCCAGCCCAGCCCAGCCTAGCAGGCGCCCCACCTCTTGTTTTCTCTTTTACTGCCAGGATGATGAATTCATTCTGGGAAAGTGAAGCGAGGGCCATGCCCAGCCCCTCTGGCCACGGCATGGGTCTGCAGGTCCTCCTTTATATGATATGATGACCAAGGAGCTTCAGGAGTGGGGGTCAGGCAGATGTGTGAAGACATCAGGATCCCCAAACAGGAATAGCTCCTCTCTCCCCATCCACGGGTACACCTTCATTCCAAACACACATCAGGTTTTTATAGCACTTTTGACCCATGATAGTCACAGTGGCCTCAGGTAACAAGGGCAAGTTAAAACTCCGAGCCCAGTTGGTCACTTTTGCAGAAGAGAGCTCCAGGGAAGCAGGGTCTGCGAAAGACCCAGTCCCCGCCCCAGGGTCCGGCTGGTTCTTGGTAGTTCTACTCTGCTCCGGCCTCTGCTCTCTCAAGAAGCCCAAGGTGCCCTGCCTTCCCAGGGACATTATCCACCCTGTGGGTCACCCTGGTGGGCTTGGCCCTGAGTCTCCCTCCACCATTGTCTTTGCTCCTGGGAAGTTCTAGGGACACATGTCCTGTGGACAATGTGGCTTTATTCCTCCAGTTCACCCCCACCTGCAGTCTCCCCAAACCAGAGGGACCAGAAGACAGGGGTCTCCACAGTAAGGAATCCTTCCTAATGACTCAAGAATCATGCCAGCGTTGGGCCTGAGCACGGCCCGTTTGAGTCTGGATGCCACTCGGACCTGCTGTGCAAGAATACTAAGAAGCCACTCTCCAGCTAGTTGGAACGACTCCCTTAAACCAATGAACTGACCGCCAATCTTACCTTCATCTTTAGCTCACCTGACTTCAGAGGTAAGGCTTTTATCTCTGGGTTTGTTTTCAATTTTTAAAAAATGTGGCTAAAAAATGCACAACCTAAAATTACCACCTTAGCCATCTTGAAGTGTAAAGTCCAATAGAGTTAAATAAATTCACATTACTGATCTCCAGAACTTTTTCATCTTGCAAAACTAAAATTCTGTACTCATTGCACAACTCACCATTTACCCTTGCCCCCAGCCCCTGGAAACCACCATTCTGCTTTTTCTATGAAGTTGAGCACTCTAGATACTTCATATAAGCGCAATCATACACTATTTGTCTTTTTGTGACTGGTTTATTTCACTTAGTATCATGTCCTCCAAGTTCATCCATGCTGTAGCATGTGTCAAAATTTCTTTTCTTTTTAAGGCTGAATAAAATTCCATTGGACATATGTACCACATTTTGTTTATTCATTCATCCATCCGCGGACACTTGGGTTTCTTCTGCCTCTTAATTACTGTGAATAATACTGCTATGAACATGGGTGTGCAAATATCTCTTCTGGATCCTGCTTTCAATTCTTTTGGATACATACTGAGAAGTGGAATTGCTGGATCATACGATAATTCTATTCTTAATTTTTTGAGGAATCACCATACTGTTTTCCATAGCTGCACAATTTTATAATCCCACTCAGTGCACAGGGCATCCAGTTTCTCTACATCCTCACCAACGCATGTTGTTATCTCTCTCTTTTTTTTTTTTTAATAGTAGCCTTCCTAATGGGTATGAAGTGATATCTGATTGTGGTTTTGGTTTGCATTGTCCTAATTGCTAGTAGTGTTGAGTATCTTTTCACGCTCTTGTTGGCTATTTGTATATCATCTTTGGAGAAATGTCCACTTAAGTCCCTTGCCCAGTGGACTGTTGTGCATCATATTTCCTTAAATTACTTTAATTACATATTCCTTTTAAAATAAAACATCATCAATAGCAAGAACTACTGTTTTTAAAAATATTTTCATTGTACATTTTTCCCTCTAGATTGTCATTTGATGTTGACATTACCTTTGAAATAGACACAGATCAAATAAAATCAAATTAACAAATATGTATGGGGCACCTGCCATGGTGCCTTAGTCTCCTTAGGCAAGACTTAGTCTGTTTGCTGTAACGAACACTATACTCTGGGGACTTAAACAGCACACATTTATTTCTCACAGTTCTGGAGTCTGGAAAGTCTAAGGTCAAGGTACTGGCTGATTCAGTTCCTGGTGAGTGTCTTTCCCTGGCTTGCAGACTGATCACTGTCTTCTCACTGTGTCCTCACATGGTGGAGAAACAGAGAGAAGAAGTGAGGGCTCTGGTGTTTCTTCTTAGAAGGGCACTAATCCTATTATGAGGGCCCACCTTCATGACCTCATCTGAGCCTAATTACCTCCCAAAGGCCCTATCTCCAACCACCCCAAAGCCATCTAATTGAAAGATTAGGGCTTCAACCTATGAATGTTTTTGTTTTTGTTTTTGTTTTGGTGGGGGTGGATGCAATTCATCCATGGCAGCTAGATCCTAGAGAAAAAACTGCATACCCTCTGTCCACAGTATCCACATGTGATTATAGCAGCAAACCATATACAACCCAACATTCCATCTACAGGAAAATGGAGGAACAAATTTTGGTATATTCATGTGGAATACAACTCAGCAAAACAACAACAACAACAACAAAAATGCCCCACTGACAAAGGCAACAACATGATGACTCTCAAATGCGACATGCATACATACTGTATGATGAGGTTCAAGAATGGATCAAATGCGACATGCATACATACTGTATGATGAGGTTCAAGAATGGATCAAATGCGACATGCATACATACTGTATGATGAGGTTCAAGAATGGATCAAATGCGACATGCATACATACTGTATGATGAGGTTCAAGAATGGATCAAATGCGACATGCATACATACTGTATGATGAGGTTCAAGAATGGATCAAATGCGACATGCATACATACTGTATGATGAGGTTCAAGAATGGATCAAATGCGACATGCATACATACTGTATGATGAGGTTCAAGAATGGATCAAATTCATCTGTGGTGACAGAAGTCAGAACAGTGGTTTCCCCTGAGTGCAGACGCAGGGTGGTGTTGAGTAAGATGGAGCAAGGGAAACTTTCCAGAGCAACAGAAAGTTCTTTGTATTTATCTTGGTGAATATACAAGAATCCTATAAAAAAGGTTATAGGGTTATATATATCAAGGATTTGTGTATTTTACTGCATATAAATTACACTTCAATAAAACATGTTATCTAAAAAAGAAAAAACAAATGGTTCAAGATGACAGAGCCAATCAGGGGATTGGACCTTTGAAGGTACATTCATAGCTCTGTCTGGTCAGCATGGTCAAGTGCCATTTCAGGCCTAGAGTGGCCTCGAGAAGCCTGCTTTCAGCTCTGATTAGCTGAGCGTACTTCAGGATGTTCCCACCTCCTTCAGAAGGACTAGGATGAACAATCTGTGGTCCCAACAATGTGGGGTCTGCACTTCCCCACTCGCTACACTCTGCCCTGCCCTTCCTTGAAGGCCTCCCCTAAGCCTTGCTTCTTCTCTGCCCCATTCCCACTGGACAACACAGGCCTCTGGTCATTCCAAACTCTCCAGCCACCCCTCAGCTCCTGAGAGGCTGGCACAATGTGCCTCTGTGGCTTGGGGACATTGAGTCATCACAATGTAGATGTAGCACAGTTAGATGCAGACATCATACACACACACACACACACACACACACACACTCTCACACACACAGTGAGACCCAGAATGGCTTTTTCTGCTTCATAACTTACATGTTCAGGTCTTCATTTGCCTTTCTTCAGACTCACATACTGAATTGTACATGCTTTTCTTTTTAAATGTTAAGATATTTGGCTTAATGTTTTATTTCTTTTGTATCCTCTCATAGGGCTTTGCATTCAGTGATCATTCAATTTATACTACAGCCCAGCAGGTCTCAAGGTGCGACTCAGGAACTCCTAGGATCCATGAGACCCTGGAGTGAGTTTGTAAGGTCAAAACTTAATACAAAGACAACAGCTGCACTTTTTGTTCTCATCCTCTCAGAATTCTACAGTGGAGCTTTCAACTGTGCACTGGGAAGGTCTGTGTGACTCAGTGAACCAGCACTTTTAAATGATGGATGTATAATAATCATTATACAAAATTATATACATATATACAATCATTAGAGGGGGAAAGATTCATTCAAAGTGCCAGATAGAGCAATTAATTTTAACATGACAGTGTAAACTACCACGCATCAAGTTTTGGTACAGTATCAAATAATAATATCCACAATGACATGGTTTGGCTCTGTGTCCCCACACAAATCTCACCTTGTAGCTCCCATAATTCCCACATGTTGTGGGAGGGGTCTAGTGAAAGATGATTGAATCATGGGGGCGGGTCTTTCCTGTGCGGTTCTCATGATAGTGAATGGGTCTCATGAGATCTGATGGGTTTAAAAATAGGAGTTTCTCTGCACAAGAGCTTTCTTTGCCTGCTGCCATCTACATGAGACGTGACTTGCTCCTCCTTGCCTTCCACCATGATTGTGAGGCTTCCCCAGTCATGTGGACTGTAAGTCCAATAAACCTCTTTCTTTTGTAAATTGCCCAGTCTCAGGTATGTCTTTATCAGCAGTGTGAAAATGGACTAATACACACAATTATCTGAAAAGGGTATTAAGGTACTCCTCACTGTTCCAACTATGTATCTGTGTGAAACTAGTTTTCTCCACACCTACAACGAAAACAACATATTTCAACAGACTGAATGCAAAAGGAGCCCTGAGAATCCAGCTGTCTTCTGCTAAGGACATTAAAGAGATTTGCAAAAATGTAAGACAATGTCATTCTTCTCACTAGATATTTTGTTTTGGAAAATAAAACTGTTCTTCATAAAACTATTTATGTTTATGTTAACAGGCAATGGTTGTATTGTTTTTATTTCTAAGTGAATTAATATATTAAAAATTTGTCATTTTTAATTTTTTTTTTAATACAGGGTCTCACTCTGTCACCCAGGATGGAGTGAGGTGACATGATCATAGCTCACTGCAGCCTCAACCTTCCAGGTTCAATGCGATCCTCCCACCTCAGCCTCCTGAGTAGCTGGAATCACAGGTGTGTGCCACCACACCCAACTAACTTTTGTATATATACATATATATATATATATATATATATATATATATATATATATATATATTTTTTTTTTTTTTTTGTAGAGACAGGGTTTTGTCATGTTGCTCCTCACTTTCAACTTCGAATGCAGTAAATATCAATAGCCAGAACCTTCAGAAACAAAAGCTCCTGGGGCTCCTCCGTCACTTTTAAGTGTATAAAGGGGTCCTGAGAGCAAAATGTTTGAGAACCACTGCTTTAGACTGCCTGGCTGAAACACTGAGAAGATCCATTGGAAACGAAAGGGACAGATAACCTAGGTTTAGAGTCAGACTTGGTGTCAATCAAGGTTCCTCACCAAACTAACAGATTTGGAACAACTTATTTAATACTTTTTAAACTCAGATTTTTAAAAAAATACGTGAAATGGGGAAAAAATATCCTTTTAGGAACTGTTAAGATTAAATGGGATAACACATGAAACATGCCAGCAGACACTTACACTTGTCATTACTTATGCAGCTGCCCTTCACCCTACAGGGCTGGGAGCAGCCAGGCTTGCTGAGCCAGGGGTGATGTTATCCAGAATCAGGGCCAGCTGACCAACTACGTGGAAAGCAAGAGGCTCTCTGTGTCCCAGCATGCACCCTGGGAGTACCAGAGGATGGTGCAGGGCTGACTCTTCAGAGCTCTTCCAACCTGGGAGAAGGGTGTGCTCATTTTGGAAGGGCCAGAAACCCAGACAGAGCACCTTAGTGGAAGTACAGGTCCTAGTTCAATTCAGTTCAATCAGCCAGATGTGGATGAAGCACCTACTAGATCTCAGGCAATGTGTAAACTTCAGAGATGCATCAGTGCACAAAAGTGACACAGATATGGAACTTGTGCCACTCACATTCTAGTGCAAAGATCCAGAAAATGAGGCAGTAGCTCACGGGGTTCCTAGGGAGGACTGAGCTGCAGATGGGAGCACCAAGAGTGGAAAACCCACAAATGAGCAGAGGACAGACAGTGACCCCACAGGCTCCTGTGTGGCCAAAAGAGTGTGTATGGTCACGTGGTGCCACCAAGAGGAACTGGTGATGCGGGGCCGGGGTGGGGTGAGGCTCATTGTGAACATAGCCATGGAGAGCCAGGGTGATGACTGGCAGGACAGTGGAGAGACCGCAGGCTTCTCCTGGAGCAAGAGAACCAAGAGACAAGGAAGATGTTGAGGCTGAGCAAGGCTGCCTTTGGGTAGAAACTCCCACCCTCCTTCCTGAATCATAGCTCTGTCAGTCACTTCCCTGCAGCACCAGGCTGGGAGGATGAGAAACCCAGAGACCTGTGAACTCTGGCTTGGCAGAAAGCTTAGCCTACATAAAAATTTCTGAGTCTGAATGGGACCAGAAGAGGCAGGCAAAGGTAAACTGAGCTCTCCTGAAAGAGGGAAAGTCACCATTTTGGGTTGCTCCCCTTTTGTTCTGGGAAACAACCTGGGTGGACCAGGTGGTAATGCAAATGTCCAGTTCCCAAGCGTGATGGTATCTGGCACTGGGGCATGACTATTGCCCTCAGGAAGGACAGCCATCAAATATTCAGATCAATGCGTCTAAGCTTTTAAACTGGTCTTGTTGGTTCTGCCGGTAAAGCTGCTGCAAACTGTTTCCCCTGTGAGTCTCCTGAATGTGCCAAATGTGTCTGTACAGAAAATCCATGGCTCTCATTTGGAAAGGTGTGGGTTCACACTCTTAGCTGCAGCAATGCACCCTGAAACATACACTGCAGGTTTTGGGAAGAATCCAAAGTTTTAGATGGTTTGATCTGCAACTGTGACTGGGGATGTGTATATCCTACAGTTCCACGTGTCCCTTATGGGTTTTCTGCATCATCATGATGCTCGTGGCCAGCATGGGAGGACAGGAAGAAGCGGAAGCAGAACTCAAGCCTAGCAAGGAAGAGACCCTGGCACATGGGTGACCCACTGTGGGAAGGAAAGGCACCCAACTCTCATGAACTTGAGTGACACAGAAGTAAGAAAACAGCTCCAAGGGGAGGCTGAAGCTATTATGGTCCATTTGTCAGAAAAGGAGACTCCAGTTGGAAAAGAGATTTTGACCAAAAGTAGAATATAAATCAGTACTACAGTTTACAGGATCATCTAACTAGCTAGTCCTGAAGGCGGATGATGCTGTGTGCTCACTTGAGCAGTGTGGAAATCCCTGGCCACCCTGTCTTTTACCCATTAGGCAACTGAAGTGCACAAAGTCTGTGTGTAGCCCAAGGCCACTCAGCTAGAGCCTCGGTCTCTTAAGTTGAGACCCTGCATCAGAGTCTTCTTGGTCCCAGTAACACATCCCATACCTCCTTTTGTGAAGATGAATCTAAAGTGGGAGGTCACCAGGTCAAGGGCAAGGGAAGATCCACATGCTTCTGCTGACCTCCCAGAGTCTGTGTGACCCTGCCACCACTTCTCTTCCTACTTGTCCCAACCCTACTCCTGGGACCTGATGACCATTTCACTGTTTATTTGCACCTCGCCTGGACTGCAAAATGTGTGAAAAACCGAGGCAGGCGGATCACCTAAGGTCAGGAGTTCGAGACTAGCCTGACCAGCATGGCGAAACCCTGTCTCTACTAAAAATACAAAATTAGTCGGGTGTAGGGGTGCATGCCTGTAATCCCAGCTACTCTGGAGGCTGGGGCAGGAGGATCGCTTGAACCCAGGAGGCACAGGTTGTGGTGAGCCAAGATCACACCACTGCACTCCAGCCTGGGCAACAAGAGTGAAACTCTGTCTCAAAAAAAAAAAAAAAAAAAAAGAAAAGAAAAACAAAAACCAACAATCAAAAGACTGGCACCCAAACTCGTTGCCTTTGCTACTGCTTTTCACTCTTGTTAAAGCCATTTCTGCTGACGGCAGCTGCACAGATTGTTTGGAGGAAGAGCATGGAAGTTGGGTGAGCACTACCCAGAACCTCTACTTCTGCCCTCATGGCTGGGTGGTTTGGGGCATGCCATTTAACCTCTCTGAGCCTGGCTTCTTCATCTACACAACAGGGGCAGTGACACTCATCTCATAGGGTGGTTGTGGGGATTAAGTGAGAAAATGGAGAGAAGGTACCTTGAATAATCCTGGATGCAAATGAGGCATCCCATAAGTGGTCACTACGGTTGTTATGTTAATGGGTTATTTTATCTCTCACTGTCATAAGACATCAAGAGAAAAACTGGCTGAATTTCAGTGTTGATTTAGAAACAAGTTATGTAAGGGATTATGTATAAAAAAGAACTATATGACACACATCTTGAAATACAGGCACACCTCACTTTATTGTGCTTCACTTCATATGCAGATACTGCATCTTTTACAAATTGAGGGTTCCTAGCAACCCTGCCTCCAGTAAGTCTACTGCTGCCATTTGTTTCCAACAGCATGTGCTTACTTCCTGTCTCTGTGGCGCATTTTGGTAATTCTGGCAATACTTCAAACTTTTTCAGCATTATCATATATGGTATGGGGATCTGTGATCAGACATCTTTGATGTTACTATTGTGACTATTTTGGGGGTGCCATGAACAGTGTCCACAGAAGACAGTGAACTTCATCCATATATGTGTGTGTGCTTTGGCTGCTCCATTAACCAGCTATTCCCCATCTCTCTCCCTCTCCTTGAGCCTGTTCCCTGAGATACAACAATATTGAATTAGACCAATTAATAACATTACAATGGCCTCTAATCATTCAAGTGAAACAGTCACACATATTTCTCTTTAAATCAAAAGCTAGAAATGATTAAGCTTAGTGAGGAAGGCATATTAAAAGCCAATAGAGGCCATAAGCCAGGCCTCTTGTGCCAAACAGTTAGCTAAGTTATAAATGCAAAGGAAAGTTTTTAAAGGATATGATAAGTGCCACCCCAGTGAAAACAGAAATGATAAGAAAGTGAAATAGCCCTGTTACTGATATGGAGAAAGTTTTATTGCTCTGGGTAAACCATGATATTTCCTCAAGCCAAAGCCTAATCCAGAGCAGGGTCCTAACTTTCTTCAATTCTGTGAAGGCTGAGAGGTGTGGAAGCTGCAGAAGAAAAGTTGGGAGCTGGGAGAGGTTGGTTCATGAGGTTGAAGAAAAGAAGCCATCTCCGTAACACAAAAGTGAAAGGTAAGGCAGCAAGTGCTGATGCAGAAGCTACAGAATGTCTTCCAGAAGATCTAGCTAAGATCATTGATAAAGGCGGCTACACTAACAAATTTTCAATGTAGACAAACAGCCTTATATTGGAAGGTGCCATCTGGGACTTTCAGAGTTAGAGAGGAAAAGTCCATGACTGGTTCGAAGCTTCAGAGACAGGCTAACTCTTTTGTTAGGGCTGACTTTAAGGTGACACCAATGCTCATTTACTTTTCCAAAATGCCTAAGGCCCTTAAGAAGCATGTCAAATGGGAAGGAGGAAGGGGTGAGGGATGAAATACTACCTATTGCATACAATGTACACTATTCAGATGATGAATGCACTAAAATCCCAGACTTCCCCACTAAGCAATATAACATCCAGGTAACACAATTGCACTTATACCCCCAAATCTATAAAAATTACAAAAGAAGTATGCTACATCTACTGTCTGTGGTCCAGAAATGGAAAAACAAAGCCTAGATGACAGCCCGTCTGTTTACAGCATTGTTTACTGAATATTTCAGCCCACTGTTGAGATCTACTGCTTCGAAAAAAAATTCCTTTGAAAACATTAGTTCATTTATTAATACAATCACCTGGTCACCCAAGAGCTCTGATGGAGACATATAAGGAAATCAATGTCGTTTCTGTATCTGCTAACACAACATCCATTCTGCAGCCCTTGGATCAAAGAGTAATTTTGACTTTCAAGTCTTATATTTTAAGGAATACATTTGTAGGAATACAGCCACCATAAAGAGTGATTCCTCTGATGGATCTGGGCAAAGTCAATTGAAAACCTTCTGGAAGGGATTCTGCATTGAAGACGCCATTAAGAACATTTGTGATTCATGGGAGGAGGTCAAAATAAAACATTAAAAGGAGTTTGGAAGAAATTGATTCCAACCCTCATGGATAACTTTGATGACTTCAAGACTTCAGTGTAACTTCAGTTACAGCAAATATGATGGAAATAATAAGAGAACTAGCATTAAGAATGGAGCCTAAAGATGTGACTGAATTGCTGCAATCTCATGAGAAAATTTGAACCGATGAGGAATTGCTTCTTATGATTGAGTGAAATGGGTGGTTTCTTGAGATGGAATCTACTCTTGGTGAAGATGCTGTAAACATTGTTGAAATGACAACAAAGATTTGAGAATACTACATAAACTTCGTTGATAGAGTAGTGGCAGAGTTTGAGAGGACTGACTTCAATTTTGAAAGAATTTACACTATGGGTCAAATACTATCAAACAACATTGCATGCTACAGAGAAACCTTTTGTCAATTGATGTGGCAAACTTCATTGTTGTCTTCTTTTAAGAAATTGCCACAGCCGCTCTAATCTTCAGCAACCACCGTCCTGATCAGTCAGCAGCCATCCACACTGAGGCAAGGCCCTCCACCAGCAAAAAGATTATGATTCTTTGAAGTCTCAGATGAACGTTGGCACTTTTAGCAATAAAGTATTTTAAAATTAAGGTATGCACATTGTATTTTAGACATACTATTTCACACTTAATGGAGTAATGTAGACATTACTTTTATGTGCATTGGGAAACCAGAATGTTTGTATGACACACTTCATTGTGATATTGGCTTTATTGCAGTGGTCTAGAACCAAATCTGCAATATCTCCAAATATGCCTGTATTCCAAGGAAAACAGGTTTTTTTTTCTTAAGCACAAATCCTTTGAGAAAGAAGGCAAAACAAAACAAAAACTCATAGCAGTATATGTATATGACAGTCCAAGACTGCTAAACAGAAGAAAATAGAACGTATTTCTGAAATCCATGGGATTCCTAAGTGAGACTGAGTGGCCACGTGTTGGTAGTTTGGGCTGGCATGGGACTGCTCCTTACCCTTTACTGATCCCCATGTCCTCACTCCTCAAGCCAAGGGCATATCGCCTATACCTCTGCATGGAACCCGCACCAACCCCACTTTCTTTTCTATCTCCCTGTAAAGTGCTTGAAAACGTCGCTCCCCTCTCATTCAGCCTGCAGACCTCTACCCACCTGGAGTGTGGTTCCAGGAGATGAAGAGGTTCAAGCCTGGAAACTCATGATTTTGTACACATTTCCTTTCTGCATTGTTGGAGCAATGAAAATATACGTGGTCAAATAAAGGAGGAAAACGTGTTGCGGAGGTCACAAGGTTCCACACGTCATCCCTTCAGTTCCAATCTCTCCCTGGAACTGTGTGCTTCCTTGTTTTGATCCCACTTCCTTCTTGGATCTCAAATTCTCCTCCTTCACTCCAGCAGCCCCTGCCTTTGCTGGTTGACCATAGCATCCACCTAGCTGGTCTCCCTACCCACGGTCACTTCTTTCCAGATGCCTTTCAGCTGCCCCCAGGGAACGTTCCTACTGGCACCAGATGAAAGCCTCCATGGCTCCCAATGTTTTCAGGGACAAGCAGGAGGATCCCATCCCCAGGCGTCACCCTCCCCCTGAAGTAGGTTCTGGAATCCTCTGCTGGGAATGCAGTCCCTGGTCGCCCGTGTGGGGTCGGGGGCTCCTGAGTGCCCACCCGCTGCCTGCAGGCCGGGGCAAGCCAGGAGGCCTTGGGCCAGAGCCTGGGGTCCATGCCCAGGCAGCCCCATCCCCTGTCTGGGGATGAGTGCAGATGGGTGCCAGGCTCGGGTCTCCTAGGGGCTGAGAATTAGACGGGAGTTGGGGGCTGTCTGCGACTGCACGCGCAGCCGCAACGGGAGGTGCCTGGGCACGTGGGAAACCGCCGGTGCAGGCAACCTGGGGCCCTTCGGGGGCGACTCCCTCGGGCTGCTCAGGGTCCCAGATGCAGGCGGCAGCGTCCTGCCCCGTCCATCCTTCCCCTCCCCACGCCAGCCCCGCGTCCTCTCACCCAGTCTCGGGCTCCTGCCTTCGCACGGTGGAAAAAGATGGCGCCAGGGTGCCCCAGCCATGCCCGCCGAGCCCAGCCAGGCGCCCGCGCAGGCGCAGTGGATCACGGGAACAGCGCAGTCGCGAATCCAGTCTATGAGGAAGTTTCCGCCAGTAGACCCCAGGAAGCAGATCTGGTCTACATGGCCTGCCTCTCCAGCCTTCAGACCCTGGGTGTGGCCGTTGGGTGCATCTCCCCTTTCCCACCGCGCCCTTCCCCTGCGGTGTGTCCCCACCTTGTGCCCATCTCCCCTTTCCCGCTGCGCCCCTCCCCTGTGGTGTGCCCCCCTCGTGTCTATCTCCTCTTTTCTGCTGCGCCCCTCCCCTGCCGTGTGTTCCCCCCTCGTGTCCATCTACCCTTTCCGGCTGTGACAACCCCCCCCCTGCCACACACACACACACACACACACACACACACGTGAGGTCTGGTCTGGTGACTTCTCCTCGCTGTTCTGGTCCCTGGCGCGCAGCTCCCGGGTCTTTCCTGCTGGGATCCTGGGAACATTACATGGGGTCTGAGGGTGTGTCCTGAGGTCCTGTGAAATGAATTTCCACGTTTCTGTGAAAACGCTTCTGGCGTTGCCTGCCATCCATCACCCCCACAGTACTTTCATGTACTCCTTGCAAACTGGGCTTGAGGACTCCTTTGGGTGCCAGCTGCACCTGTTGGCCTGTAGGTTCCTGGAAATGAGGATATGTGTTTATTTCTCTGCATCCACACTCAGGAATTAAATACTGGCATAGCTTTTTTTATTTGTCTTCCATTTATTGTGCTTTACAGATGTAGTTTTTACAAACTGAAGGTTTGTGACAACCCTGTGTGAACAAGTTCTCTGAAAAAAAAAATTTGGAGAAAAGACACTTTATTCCAGTGAAAAATTTGCAAACTGGGGAGACAGCACCACACGTGTAAAAATTAAGATGCACTCCAGAGAACAGAGGGAAGGCCCAGGTTTTATAGCAAAAGTGCCTTCCCAAGTTGCCAATCAGGTCTGTTTATGCAAATGAAGGCTTGAAACTTATTTAGTTCTGATTGGTTGACAGAGCTGAACCCTGATTGGTCAATATAGCTGAGCTCTGATTGGTTAATACAACTGAGCCCTGATTGGCCAAGGAGGTGAGCTCTGATTGGTTGTTCCAGGTCTCATAGTTTAAGAAATACATCTCATAAGGCCATACTTGCCATAGAGAGTGATTCCTCTGATGGATCTTGGGAAAAGTCAATTGAAAATCTTCTGAAAAGGATTCACCATTCAAGATGCCATTAAGAACATCCATGATTCATGAAAGGTGGTTAAAATATCAACATTAAGAGGAATTTGGGAGAAGTTCATTCCAATCCTTATGGATGACTTTGAGGGGTTTACGGCCCCAGTGTAGGAAGTTACAGCAGATGTGGTGGAAACAGCAAGAGAACTAGGATTAGAAATGGAGGCTGAAGATGTGACTGAATTGCTACAACCTCATGAGAAAATTTGAACAGACAAGGAGTTATTTCTTATGGATGTGCAGAGGAAATAGTTTCTTAGATGGAATTTACTCCTTGTGAAGATGCTGTGAACATTGTTGAAATGACAACAAAGGATTGAGAATACTATATAAACTTAGTTGATATGGCAGTGGCAGGGTTTGAGGGGATTGTCTCCAGTTTTGAAAGAATTTGCACTGGGGGCCAAATGCTATCAAACAACATTGCATGCTGCAGAGAAATATTTTTCTGAAAGGAAGAGTCAAACATTATTGTTATCTGTTTTTAGAAATTGTCAAATCCACCACAACCTTCAACAACCTGATTAGTCAGCAGCCATCCACATTGAGGCAAGACCTTCCAGCAGCAGAATAATGATGATTGGCTGAAGACACTTGATTGTTAGCATTTTTCAGCAATATTTTAAAATTAAGGTATGTACATTACTTTTCCAGATATAATGCTATTGCACATTCAATAAACTACAGTAGAGTGTAAATATAACATAAACAACTTTTTTGTTTATGTTATTTGCTTTACTGCAGCAGTCTGAAATTTAAACTCCATTTAAAAAAATGGGCAAAAGACATGAACAGACACTTCTCTAAGGACGACATACAAATGACCAACAAATATATGATACAAATACTCCATATCAGGCATATCTCCTGGATATCTCAGGATATCAGGAATATTTCCCAGGTATGCACGTATGTGTTCAATAAATGCCTGCTAAAATGCAGAGCTGGCAGAATGTCTAGGTTTCCCTTAGGTCAACTCCTTTGGGGCATTTTTTTTCCTCCATTACCGTGATAATCGAAATCTAGAACAACATAACTTTCACGTGCTGGAAGGAGCCCCTATATGCTGTCTGCTCCTCAAGCCCTTGTTTCGAAGTGAGGGAACAGAATCTCAAGTGAAATGACTTGCTGCAATGGCTACTCGAGTGGATGCTTCCATACCTATGTGTTATATATCAATGTTCTGTTTTTGAAGATCTGATCTTCAAGGACCTCAAACTGTACTCAACTGTGAGTAATAATAAGCTAACATTTTTTGAACATTTGTCACATATAACAATGCTCTTGGCTCCAACCAATAATTGTAATTGGAGTTTAGATCACAAGAATCCAAAAGAGTGGTTGAAGCCAAACCTCCAATCATCCTGGCCATCAACATTGACAGGTAAATTATATGGGTATTTAATCAGCACAGGATTTGGCTGGAGAAAAGCAGTTTTCTGAGAGAAATAAAAACACTAAACTTGTTCCCTTCTCATAGTTTGTTCTCCATCTTGTTTGCAGAACACAATACCGCATACCCAATTAGTAATGCAAATCCAAAACTCTTTGGTTGCATCACCTTACAACAATTGTGCCAATGAACTTGGCTTATTTTGTTCTTTCAATGGAAATACCCCTTTTAGAAGGGAGCCAAAAGCTTCCTTTTTCTTTCTGAAGCCAAGCAAGGAGCAGTAGAGTGCTCACACACATACACACACACGCACACTTTTTTAAAAGAGGACAAGAAAATTTCTAAAATCCACTCAATAAAAATGTCTGCCATCTTTCTAAAGAGGAAACAAAAGAAGATTTCAAGTTTTTTTTCTTTTTTTTAATTATACTTCAAGTTCTAGGGTACATGTGCACAGTGTGCAGGTTTGTTACATATGTATACATGTGCCATGTTGGTGTGCTGCACCCATTAACTCATCATTTAACATTAGATATATCTCCTAATGCTATCCCTCCCCCCTCCCCCCACCGCATGACAGGCCCTGGTGTGTGATGTTCCCCTTCCTGTGTCCAAGTGTTCTCATTGTTCAATTCCCACCTATGAGTGAGAACATGCGATGTTTGGTTTTTTGTCATTGCGATAGTTTGCTGAGAATGATGGTTTGCAGCTTCATCCGTGTCCCTACAAAGGACATGAACTCATCCTTTTTTATAGCTGCATAGTATTCCATGGTGTATATGTACCACATTTTCTTAATCCAGTCTATCATTGATGGACATTTGGGTTGGTTCCAAGTCTTTGCTATTGTGAATAGTGCCACAATAAACAACGTGTGCATGTGTCTTTATAGCAGCATGATTTATAATCCTTTGGGTATATACCCAGTAATAGGATGGCTGGGTCAAATGGTATTTCTAGTTTTAGATCCTTGAGGAATCGCCACACTGTCTTCCACAATGGTTTAACTAGTTTACAGTCCCACCAACAGTGTAAAAGCGTTCCTATTTCTCCACATCCTCTGCAGCACCTGTTGTTTCCTGACTTTTTAATGATTGCCATTCTAACTGGTGTGAGATGGTATCTCATTGTGCTTTTGATTTGCATTTCTCTGATGGCCAGTGATGATGAGCATTTCATGTGTCTGTTGGCTGCATAAATGTCTTCTTTTGAGAAGTGTCTGTTCATATCCTTTGCCCACTTTTTGATGGGGTTGTTTGTTTTTTTCTTGTAAGTTTGTTTGAGTTCATTGTAGATTCTGGATATTAGCCCTTTGTCAGATGAGTAGATTGCAAAAATTTTCTCCCATTCTGTAGGCTGCCTGTTCACTCTGACAGTAGTTTCTTTTGCTGTGCAGAAGCTCTTTAGTTTAATTAGATCCCGTTTGTCAATTTGGGCTTTTGTTGCCATTGCTTTTGGTGTTTTAGACATGAAGTCCTTGCCCATGCCTATGTCCTGAATGGTGTTGCCTATGTTTTCTTCTAGGGTTTTTATGGTTTTAGGTCTAACATGTGAGTCTTTAATCTATCTTGAATTAATTTTTGTATAAGGTGTAAGGAAGGGATCCAGTTTCAGCTTTCTACATATGGCTAGCCAGTTTTCCCAGCACCATTTATTAAATAGGGAAACCTTTCCCCATTTCTTGTTTTTGTCAGGTTTGTCAAAGATCAGATGGTTGTAGATGTGTGGTATTATTTCTGAGGACTCTGTTCTATTCCATTGGTCTATATCTCTGTTTTGGTACCAGTACCATGCTGTTTTGGTTACTGTAGCCTTGTAGTATAGTTTGAAGTCAGGTAGCATGATGCCTCCAGCTTTGTTCTTTTGGCTTAGGATTTTCTTGGCAATGCGGGCTCTTTTTTGGTTCCATATGAACTTTAAAGTAGTTTTTTCCAATTCTGTGAAGAAAGTCATTGGTAGCTTGATGGGGATGGCATTGAATCTGTAAATTACCTTGGGCAGTATGGCCATTTTCATGATATTGATTCTTCCTATCCATGAGCATGGAATGTTCTTCCATTTGTTTGTGTCCTCTTTTATTTTGTTGAGCAGTGGTTTGTAGTTCGCCTTGAAGAGGTCCTTCACATCCCTTTTAAGTTGGATTCCTAGGTATTTTATTCTCTTTGAAGCAATTGTGAATGGGAGTTCACTCATGATTTGGCTCTCTGTTTGTCTGTTATTGGTGTATAAGAATGCTTGTGATTTTTGCACATTGATTTTGTATCCTGGGACTTTGCTGAAGTTGCTTATCAGCTTAAGGAGATTTTGGGCTGAGACGATGGGGTTTTCTAAATATACAATCATGTCATCTGCAAACAGGGACAATTTGACTTCCTCTTTTCCTAATTGAATACCCTTTATTTCTTTCTCCTGCCTGATTGCCCTGGCCAGAACTTCCAACACTATGTTGAATAGGATTGGTGAGAGAGGGCATCCCTATCTTGTGCCAGTTTTCAATCAAGTTTTTTTTTCAACCTTTACTTTAGGATCAGCTGGTACATGTGCAAGCTTGTTACATAGGTATATTGTGTGATGCTGAGGCTTGAGGTATGAATGATTCCACCACTCAGGTACTGAGCATAGTACCAAACAATTCGTTTTTTAACCGTTTCCCCCTGCCTTCCCTCCCCACTCTAGTAGTCCCCTGGGTCTGTTGTTACCATCTTTATGTCCATGAGTACCCAGTGTTTTGCTCCTACACATGAGAGAATATGCAATATTTGGTTTCTGTTCCTGCATTAATTTGCTTAGGATAATGGCCTCCAGCTGCATCCATGTTGCTACAAAGGACATTATTTCATTCTTTTTTATGGCTATGTAGTATTCCATGGTCTAGATGTACAACATTTTCTTTATCCAATCCAACAGTGATGGGCACATACGTCAATTCTATGTTTTTGCTATTGTGAATAGGGCTGCAATGAACATGCGAATACATATGTCTTTTTGGTAGAAGGATTTGTTCTCTTTTGCATATATACACAGTAGTGAGATTGCTGGGTTGAATGGTAGCTCTGTTTTAAGTTTTAGAGAAATCTCCAAACTGCTTTCTACAATGTCTAAGCTAATTTAAATTCCTACCAACAGTGTATAAGCATTCCCTTTTCTCTGCAGCCAAGAGAGCATCTATTGTTTTGTTTTGATTTTTTACTTTTTAATAATAGCCATTCTGACTGGTGTGAGATGGTACCTCACTGTGGTTTTGATTTGCATTTTTTATTATTAGTGATATGGAGCACTTTTCATATGTTTGTTGGCCACTTGTATGTTTTCTTTAGAGAGGTGTCTGTTCATGTCTTTTGCCCATTTTTTGATGGAATTGTTTGTTTTTTGCTTGTTCAATTATTTAAGTTTTTATAGATTTTGAATATTAGACCTTTGTCAAATGCAGTTTGTGAGTTTTTTTATCCCATTCTGTAGGTTCTCTGTTTATTGTTGATAGTTTATTTTGCTGTGCAGCAGCTCTTTAGTTAAGGTATTATTGATGAATAAAAATTGTATGTTTGTGGTATACAACACAATGTTTTGAAACATGCATACATTGTGAAATGGCTAAATTGAGCTAATTATCATATGTGTGACCTCACATACTTATTATTTTCATCCTCCTAACTGAAATTTTGTATCCATTGACCAACATCTCCCCAACTCTATGCCCAGCCTCTAGTAAGCACTGTTCTGCTCTCTGCTTCCATGAGTTTAAGATTTTTAGATTCCACATATCAGTGAGATCAGGTGGAGCGTGTCCTTCTGTACCTGGCTTATTTCACTTGCCATAATGACCTCTAGGTTCAGGATTTCCTTTTGATAAGGCTGACTAGTATTCCATTGTGTATATATACTACATTTTCTTATCCATTCGTCTGTCGATGAACACTTAGGTTGATTCCAAATCTTGGCTACTGTGACTGTGCTGCAGTGGACATGGGAGCGCAGCTCTTTAGCATACTGGTTTCTTTTCCTGTGGATGTATATCCAGTAGTGGGATTGCCAGAAATCATATGGTAGTTCTACTTGTCAAGTTTTGAGACACCTCTATACTGTTTTCTACAATGGCTGTGGCCTATTTGCTTTGAATTTGTAAATTCTGGTTCTGATGTCAGCTTTGCTACTTTTCTGGCTAGTTCACCTATTTTTTCTGACTCTGATTTTTCTCACCTGTATGATCAGATGATTAAGATGATGATTAACTGTCCACCTTCATAGTTTTAATAAAGATAAAATGAAAAAAATGTCCTGTAGTCTCCATGCTACCTGAAGCCAATAGTGATAAACTTAGGGTAGAGTGGGTCTCTTGGAAAGGGGGACACATGAGGGCCTTGGCCCTGTCCTTTGCATCAGGGCCCAGTCAGAACCACCAAGCACACTTGGGAAAGGCCTCAGATTCCCCAGGTCCTGACTGAGCAGACCACTCAGCTGTTTGTCCTCAGGCTGCTCCACACCATGGCAGCTGCTGTTAACAGAATGCATGCTCTGCAGTTGTATGGGACATACAAAGTTCCCACACACCAACCCTGTTATACAGCCCACAGTTTCCTCCATTGGAGTCAATGTTGGTTGAGGCCGTTGGGTCTCAGCTGGGTTTGCACATTGGAATCATAGGGAACATCTAAAGAATACAGAACAAAGGTGCCACCCCCAGAGATTCTAACATCATTGTCCAGGAGGGGCCCTGGGAATTTATATATTTTTAAAAGAACTCTAGGGACTCTAATGTATAGACAGAATTAGACCTGCTGAGTTAGTATGTAGGGTTCCTCAGCCTGAGCACTATTTTGGGCTGGATGAGTCTTTGCTGTGGGGGGTCTCTCCTGTGCATGGTAGGAGGTTGAGCAGATCCCTGATCTCTGTTCACTAGATGGTCAGGGGCAATGCCCCAGCTGTGACCACTGACAGTGTCTCCCTAGGAGGGAAAATTGCCCTGGTTGAGAACCACTGAGTTTAACAATAAAGGATGGAGGAAAGAGGCTATACTGACTCCTGAAACTCAAGGTATAGTCCCCAGACCAGCACCACTGGGGAGGTTGTTAGAACAGAAGAATGCCCCCCCACTTTGGAATCCTCATTTTATCAAGATCCCCTGTGATGTGTGTGCAAAGCTTGAGAAGGACTGCCAGGTCACAGGCATTTTTTTCTTCCTGGAAATACTTATTTACAGGGTTAGTTTATTAAAAGAGCAATTGACCATCTGAATCTTAAAAAATATGAGACCAGAGTCATAGAATGTCAAGGTGAAAAGGACCCTGGAAAGGTCACTTCAATCTCCTGACAGGAAGATGGAGATGGTGGTTTGGCTCACAGAAGCAGAGCTTGCTCAGGCCAAGTGACTGGCAGGGCAGGCAGGTGAGAAGATGAAGGTGTTCCCGAGGTGGGCCTTGTTGGGTAGAATGGGTGGAGGTAAGGAGGGCAGAATGAAAGGAAACCTTAATGATGTCCTAATCAGGGAGTGGGGTGAGTGAGCTGGCTGCTGTTACTGAGAAAATGCACTTCTCAAGTACTTTGCCCTTCTAGACACCTCCCAAATGGCATTCCTGCCAGACCCTTGCTTCCTGGTATATGAACAAGGGTTGCCTCTTGGTGGGGCAAGGGCTGCCACAGAAGCGTGAGTGAGAAGGGGACCCAGAAGCGAGTCCCAGCCTGCAGGGCACAGCCTGTCACCACACCCACCGCAGGGCTGGTGGGGCAGAGGGCAGGCCTGCCTGTTGGCATGCTACTCTGGCTTTTGAAAGGCCAGTTCCTGGAGTTTCCTCCAACCTCCCCCAAATGTTTGTGCAGATGATGGCTGCTGGGCTGTCACTACCAAGGTTAGCCTCCAAGATGGGAAAAGTCACAAAAGAGCAGGCTGTGAGGGACGCTGTGGAAAGGGACCATAATAATGGGTGGGATGGGATGGGATGTTGGCCATGGGGGTATTTCTCTAAATTAGCACCCCCCCTCCCATCACTCTCCTCTTTCTCTGCCTTTTTTCCCTCCTCCATAGCACCTATGGCACCTGGCATTATTTTAGACATTCACTTGTTAACCTGTTTATTACCTGGAGTGTGACCCCCCTTCTCTGCTAGACTCATGTTCCATGAGGACAGGGCCTTTGCTTCCCAACTGAATCCCCAGGGCCGAGGACAGGGTTTGGAGTACACTGGCACCCCACAAATATTTGGGGACTAACAGAATAAACGAGTGAGCAAATAGGTAAAGAACCAGGTTTATTTTAATGACGATGGGAGGAACCACCTCTTCCTTCTTCCTCTCCCTCTGACAACTTGAGTCACTGCATTTTTACAAAGCTACTTGTGGTTTCCCTAGTAAAGAACCAAGAGGAATACCTCAATTTTCCTACACCTGGGAGGCAGTTCTATTGATTGGATTCATTCTCTTCTCTTTCAAAGACATTAAAACTGTCTGTATTAATACCTCTGATTTCTTCTAAGAGTTCAGCTTACCAAATGCTTTCATTTCTTCCTTCAACGATATATTCAGTGAAAGAATATTTGTTGAGTACCTGATATCTGCCAGGCAATGTGCTACATGCTGGGACAGGAAGGTAAGCAAAACTATTATCTGAGCCATGCACACCTGGGCTATCTTGGTAAGGTGGGTGTTAGTATTCCCATCTTACAGGGAAGGAATTGTCAGAGTGGCCCCCTCCTGTATCTGGTAGATGGCTGCTCCACAGAAGCCTTAGGAAGAGCAAGCCTGGGACTCACCACTGGAGCTGGTTTCAGAAAATGAGAGAAACAAATGCCTTCTGATAACTGAAGGAAGGCTGCACATGTTAGGAATCAGGAGAGGAGTCACCTGAGGCCACCTGTGCACAGGGGGAGGGGACAAATGGAGACATGCTCTTCCTCCTCCTGGAGCTCTTTCCTGCTAAGTGCAGGTGGAAGGGTGGAGAGTGGGAGTGCAGGGGAGGGGCTGGAAGGCACAGGAGGATTGATGGGGAGGATAGCAGCAGCTCTGCAAGAATGAAATCAGTGTGTCTTTGCTGAGTGCATGGTATAGAAATGGATCTTCACACACATGCATGCCCAAACACACACACACACACAAGCACATTTCACATTTTTACTGTATGGGGACTGAAAATGTTTTAATGAGACTGTAGAAAGCACAGAGCAAAACATACAGGCAATCATTCATTCATTCGATTTGGATTTGGAAGAGTCACTGAGTATCTTTCAGGAGCCAGGCATGGTGCAGGACCCTGGTGGAACAGTGTTCAACGGCAGGTTCAGATATAGGCCAAACTAATCAATATCATTAGGGTGGGGATTTTTATCCCACCTCAGGAGGACCAGGAGGGCTTCCAGGGGGAGGTGAGGCCTGGCTGGGGCCTGAAGGATGAGCGGCAGTAACCAGGGAGAGAGTTTAGTGAAGGTGGGGCTAGGGGAGGAATTGTAACCTAGATCTTGGTAAGGGTAGCCATGGACCAGCAGCATTGCCCCAGAACTCGTCAGGAAGGCCCACCCCAGACCTACAGAATCAGAATATGCATTTTAAGAAAATCCCCATGTGACTCACATACACATTCAACTCTGAGAAGCCCTGACCTAGATAATTCTGTGCAAGGAAAATCTAGTGAGACTTGAAGGCAAGAGAGAGTTCAGGGCCAATAGAGGAAAGTGCCCATGAGCAAGAACAAAGAGAGAAGTTGTAGACCATTGTTCTAGCCCCTTCTCTCCCTCCTACGTCAACAAGACTGCGATTTAAGTTTCCTGACTTTCACTCATTTCAGTATTTTATCGTCTTTTTCCTCCGTTTATTGATGCCCTAAGTTTTGAGTGAATGAAAATGAAATCCATAAACAAGGCATTGATTTAGTGATTCATAGGAGAGAATGTGGCTCTTGTTTCAGCGGGTAGTTTAGTGTTCAGGGCCAAGGATGCAAATTTCTATTTGAATGTTTCCTCCTTACCTACACACAGGTCAGCTGACCAATGAAAGAAGGGATGCCCTTAATGCATAAAAGTTCACAGAAGGAAGATGGTAACTCAAACTTGAATCATATAAAACATGGGCCAAGGAAATGAAGCGACAGTGCACAAGGTTGGTGAATACAGAATAAAGAAATAATCTTACAACTGAAATAAGTATATGCCTCTGAAATTCCCAAGGATTTAATAAGTAATAAGATTCGTACAAGTCAGTTGACCAATTTGGACATCCTGACTGGAAAGGCACCCAGCAAAGCACTGAGCGATAGAGCCTCTGTTTTCTATAACACATGATACTGTCTGTTCTAGCTACCCAGTGAGGTTGCTGAAAGGATTAAAGGGAAAAGCAAAAGTGCAAGGACAAGTATGGAGATAACACAGGAGCATGCCCTGACCTGACACTGCTCAATCAAAACATTAAGTGGTATTGCAATGGTTGCTGTGAAGTAGTGTGTCCGGAATTGGTTCCTTCCTGTGGGTTCTTGGTCTTGCTAACTTCAAGAATGAATCTGTGACCCTCGCAGTGAGTGTTACAGTTCTTAAAGATGGTGTGTCCGGAGTTTGTTCCTTCAGATGTTCAGATATGTCTGGAGTTTCTTCCTTCCTGTGGGTTCGTGGTCTCGCTGGCTTCAGGAGTGTAGCTGCAGACCTTCACTGTGAGTGTTACACCTCATAAAGGTGGTGCAGACCCAAAGAGTGAGCAGCAGCAAGATTTATTGCAAAGAGTGAAACAACAAAACTTCCACAGACTGGAAGAGGACCCCAGCTGGTTGCCGCTGCTGGCTGGGGTGGCAGGCTTTCATTCCCTTATTTGGCCCCACCCACATCCTGCAAATTGGTCCATTTTACAGCGAGCTGATTGGTCCATTTTACAGCGAACTGATTGGTCCATTTTACAGAGTACTGATTGGTCCGTTTTTACGGAATACTGATTAGCTAGACACAGAGCGCTGATTGGTGCATTTACAATCCTTTAGCTAGACAGAAAAGTTCTCCAAGTTCCCTTCTCCAAGTTCCCTACATGACCCAGAAGCCCAGCTGGCTTCATCTCTCAGTAGGAGGTGGGACTTGACTCTGTAGAGCTTGGACACCAAACCAAGATGAAGGACTAGATTAAGGACTAGCTGAAACAGGAAAGAGGCAAAAGCCCCTCTCCGTAAGACCTGCCCACCAGTGCCATGTCAGTTTACCATTGCCAGGGAAACACCTGAATGTTGCCGCCCCTTTCCATGGCCATGACCCAATGACCAGGAAGTTACCACACTATTTTTAGAAATTTTTGCATAATCCACATTTTAATTTGCATATAATTAAAAGTGGGTATAAACGTGACCACAGAACTGCCTCTGGGCTGCTACTCTAGGCACACTGCCTACAGGGTAGCCCTGCTCTGCAAACAGCAGTACCTCTGCTGCTGCTGTGCACACAGCCACTTCAATAAAAGCTGCTGCCTAACACCATCAGCTCACCCTTGAGTTCTTTGCTGGGCGAAGCCAAGAACCCTCCTGGGCTAAGCCCCAATTTTAGGGCTCGCCTGCTGTGTATCAGCCATGCGGAATCTGGGGTTTCTACTCTTTAACAACTCTAAGTTGAGACATCATCATTTTCCTAGCATGGCTTAACACTCGTTCTGTCTGAAAAGGGGCATCAGACTGAATCACCTCCCTCCATTCCTCATGTGTTCAAGCCATGTCTGTTGAGCATCTATTAAGTTCTAGGCAGGGAAGATTTGGCCGCCCATGGCAGCTGGCATGGCCAGGATTTGTGCTGGTTGCTCAGAGTCTGTTGTGTGGCCAGTGCTGACAGAATTTGATGGTCATTCTTGACTCTAGGTTCAATGCTAGAATTCAGAGTCCCTAGAGACTGGAGTGCAGCAGGTGTGTGGCGGGAGAGGTAGATTCGAGTCAGACTGGGGCTGGCCTTGACTGGTTGAATTTGCATTTTCTCCTGTAGGCTGCAGGGAGCCATGGGAAGTGTTTAGGCTGGTACTGGCACAATCCATGGAGAAGTGGTATCAAGGTGGGAGAGGATAAAGGCTGGGAGATAAATAAGAAAATAACTAACTCAAGATCAGAAGACAGATCATTAGAACAATCCCAGTGAAGGTGCAAAGATTGGAGCTGTTTAGGGGGCAGAACCAAAAGGATTCATGACCAGTCAGGTATGGGGAGTGAAGGGAACGGAGGAGGCAGGAATGACTCAGGCTTCCATCCCAGGCTATGGGGGCCGGGGCACCATCCACCAAGACAGGGAGTGGAACAGGAACGAGATCAAATGTGGGGCCAGGAAGATGATAATAGGCTGATTTATATTTTGATTGGAAAAATGATATATTTTTAGGAAATACAGACTTTTTCCAAGAATATTTTAGATTACTTGTAATTTTGTTAACCTCACTTCTTTGACTTGTTGGTACATTTATTTCTGGTCTTTGGTCTTTTTTCTTTTCTCTGTGTGTGTGTGTGTGTGGGAAGTGTGCATTCAAAATTGTGCATCACACTGCATAGACAGTTTATATTTTTTCTTTTAATAATAATATTATTTCCTGACCTTAAAATGGTTAAAGTCTATTTTTAATGGCTACTGAATAATCCACCCTATGGGTGTGTAACAATTACTCGATTTCTTTACTGTTGGACACTTAGATCACCTCAATTTTTTTCCACCTTGAATAACACAGCTGCGAGCATTTCTGTAATAAATCATTATCCAAGTTTCAATAAAAAGTTAAAAACATTTAAATAACCAAACTAAAACATTCCTGTAGAAAAAAACCTTAAAATGATACAAAAAACATACAATGAGTACTGAAGGGCAAAATATATCCAATAAAAACTTCCAGTGTAAACATCACATATAAGTTAGCAACTGCTCCCTTCTCCTGGAAATCCCAGAAGAACAACAAGAAAAATGAAACAAAACAAAACGAACCACAGATCCCCAAAGGCTGCATTTCCAGTGAAACTCGGGGGCAGAGGGAGGCGCAGAGGGCAAAGAATGTGCAGGAGCTGCAACCCTGGGGCGGGGCGGAGAGCGTGGGGAGGGGACGAGGGGACGAGGAGACGGGGGTGCTAGTGGTCAGAGGGTTCGGCAGCGCCCAGCCTCAGAAGGCACCAAAAACATTCCCTAGTGAGGAGCTCAGCACGAAACGTCAAAGCCGTATCCCTCCTTCTCACAGTGGGAATGGAAAAGCAGGCAAGCGGGGCTGCAGGGCAGTGGGGTTCATGGACACTGAGTCAGAAGAGTTAGGCTCTGCAACCGTACACGCACATGCTCCGGTTCCCAGAAGACAGACTGTCTCCCTGGCCGCAGAGACACGGGGACTATTGGAAGACACGCCTGGAAGGTTGGGTGGAAACTGGAAGGCCGCCCACACCCTCTGCGCTTGTGGAGCCTCCTGTGAATAGCTGGTCCATCATTCCATGGTGAAAGAGGGAATTAATAGGAAAAGAAATAAAGGGATGGGTACTTCCTAGGATGCCACTGCAAACAACCACAGAGCGAGGTCTGGAGACTTCATTCCAGTCAAGGAGTAATTCACACCAAAGGCATTAAATGTTTCAAAGCGAAGCACTTTGCCTTATTTTTTAAAGGAGAGATTCCTAGGTCTATAACACATAATACGTACGGACAAAGCAATACAGCAGCAATGTTTATAACACAGAGATTAGCTGAGTGCAACAGAAACAGATAAAAACACATTGGTAGTAGGCGTCAGTTCTCTCAGTCCAGGACAGATCACATTAAAGAGTAAAGATATGGCAAAGCTACACAGCATAATAGAATAGCATCAATGGATATAGTTCAAATTATCTACCACGAAGGAAAGAATGCACCTTCTTTTCAAGCACCCATAGAACATGCAAACTGGTCTGTGCTGAGCCATAAAGAAAATCTCAAGTTCCACATCCTGGACCTGTTTCCCCAACCCCGGGCCGTGGACTGGTACCGGTCTGTGGTCTATTAGGAACCAGGCTGCACAGAAGGAGGTGAGCAGCCTAGTTCCTAACAGCAGGAGGTGAGCGAGGGAACATTACCGCCTGAGCTCCGCCTCCTGCCAGATCAGCGGAGGCGGCATTAGATTCTCATAGGAGAGCAATCCTGTTGTGAACCGCGCAGGCGAGGGATCTAGATTACAGGCTCCTTATGAGTATCTTAACTAATGCCTGATGATCGGAGGTGGAACAGTTTCTTCTCAAAACTATCCCCCACCTCCCACCCGTGGAAAAACTGTCTTCCACTAAACCGGTCCCCGGTGCCAAAAAGGTTGGAGACCACTGTTATAGACCACACTTATAATCACAGGGCAACTCGAGTGGAAATTACCAGAAAACAAAAAGCACCTTCCACTAAAAAATTTCAAAAATGTCTCTTAAACTCCTCTTTGGTGAAAGAGAAAATAAACAGAAGAAATGTAGACTTTTTAGAAAATAAAGACATATCAGAATATTTGAAAAACAATTACATCAGTGCGTAGAGGAATATTTATTGCCATAAATGCTTATGCCAGTGTAACAGAATGAAAACAAGTGAATTATCAATCAAAACTAAACAAGGCAAAAGTAATAAAAACAAAAACAAAGTAATAAGAGCATTAAATAGTAGAACTAATGAATTAAACCTTTAGGAAAAAAATTCTTAATAAAATAGATAAGTCATGAGCTAAGAATTTGAGAGAGAGAGAGAGTGTGTGTGTGCATAAAAACATACAATATAGGAAATCAGGGAAAACAACTATAAAAGCAGGAGAAATTTAAAAAATCATAACACTGTTCTGCTTAATTTGGAAACTTAGATGAATAATTTTATAAGAAAATATAATTTATCAAAACTGATACAGTAGAGATAAAAAATCTGAACAGATTATTTCCGTAGAAGACAGAGAAACTCATCAAGGCACTGCCTCTCAAAATAACACCAGGACCAGAGAGTGTCTGAAGGGAATTCTACCACATTTTTAAAGAGTACATAATGCCATATCTAGAGCCTAGAAAAAAGGAAAAACATCCAAATTATTTCTATGAAGCAAACAGTGACACTTGACATACAACACTGACAGAAAAAGAAAACTACAGACCAACTAAATTTGCAATTACAGTTAGAAAAATGCTAAATAAAGCATAATCTTAAGCACATTAAAAGATATCATGACCAAACAGAAGTTATTCTAGAAATGCACATGATTCAATATTAGGATGTCTAGTAATATAATTCAACATGTTCTTAAATCTATTCAATAAATCAGATGTCTTCCATAGATGATGAAAGACATCTAATAAAATTGTAAAACTTTTAATAAAATTCTCAATCAAATAGAAATAAATGGCTATTTCCTCAACATAATAAGTTATATATCTCTCAGCCACTAGTACCAGTTTAAAAAGCTAGGAACAAAATTTTTAAAATGCCCATTACTATTAAACACTATGCTACAGGTACCGGACAATGTAATTAGATAGGAGAAAGAAAACAGAGGTCTAAAATTAGAAAGAATGAAGAAATACTATGGGTATTTGCATATGATACAATTGTATACCTGGACACTCCAAAATACCTGAAAAATCTCAAACAAAATAATTTACTATGAAACACAGTAAGAATTAATACATAGAAATCACCAGTTTTCGTATTCACAAACAACAACCAGTTAGGAGATTTAGTGGAAGAAAAGGCCTCATTTGCATTAACAACCAAAAAGATCAATACCTACAAATACATTTAATAAGAAATTGGCAAGATAGCAATCAAGGAAACTTTAAAATGCTCTTAAGGAACAAAAAGGGAAAAACTAACAAATGGAAACACACTTCCCCTTCTTAGACAGGATAATTCAACATCAGAAAGGTGTCAAGTCTCCCTAAGTTAAATTATAAACGTATGTGATCCCAATAAAATTACAATAAATATTTGTTAGGGGAGTGTATAACAGCTGATTTAAATGCTCATATGAAAAAATAAAAATATCCATGGAAATTTTGAAATAGAAGGGTAATGTGAATGAAGCAGCCATGATGGCTAGTATTAATTTTTAAACTATAATACAGCCTAGTGCTGGCAAGTGCTTGGACAGACAAGAGGAAGAGAAGTGTAAGTGGAAAAATAAAGTCAAAAAAGAAGCCCAAACACACACAACGATTAAGTGTGTGATAAAGTTTCATGTCAAACCAATGGAAAGGATGAATTATTTAAAGAATAATGTTGGAACAACAGGGCAAACCATTCAACAACTGGGTAAAATCATACCTCACATCTTGCCTGAGCATACATTCCAAACAGATTAAAGTGTTAAAAATCAAATCATAAATATTCTAAAAGAAAACAGGAAAGGGTTTCTTTAGAAACTTGGAGTTGGGAAGCCCTTTCCAGTGGACCCAAATCCATTATCCTTATTAAAACATGTTTAGCATATTTGAATGTATATATGTATGCACTTTTTTTCAAAGGCCAAAACAAAAAACCAAACACAGGCAAAGTCAAAAGATACAACAAACTGGAAAAAGAATTTGCAAATTTTAATCTATTTTTTTTTAAATTAACCATCACATGCAGTGCGTCTGTGACAAACACTATACCAAGTACTTTACAAAATTAGCTCAGCTAATTAGTATACCAACACTGTGATGTAGTACTACTGCTCGTCCCATATCGCAGCTGAGAAATTGAAGCAGAAAGAGGTTAAGTAATTTGCTAAGGTCACACAGCTAGTATGTGCCTAATAGGTAAAGAGGCCCCCCATTCATGACAACAGGACATCCCACATCCTTGAGAATTAAGGTATCAAGAAATAGGCATGGAGCTACATAAAATAAACTCTACCGAGGGACATATAATGACTTAAACATGGAAGTATACCTTTCTTTTGAATTAGAAGGCTCAGTATTGTGAAGAAGTAAATTTTCTCTAAATTCATTTATAAATTTAGTGAAACTCCAAAACAAATCTCAAAAGGAGAATTTAAAGAAAGTTGTTCAGTATTTCTAAAGGATATCTAGATGAACACATTTGTGATAATATCACGTAAGATGATTAACTGGGGGAGACTGGCCAGCTACACATTAAAGATCACATTAATAAACAATAGTAACAAAAACTGCAGGCACAGATGCAAAAACAGACACATAGATGGGATCAGGAGAGTCTGGCAATGGGCCCAATCTATGTAGGAATTTAGAAAATGCTCAGATTGCCAATTACTAAATCAATGGAATCAAGGCTATTGGCTGACCAGATAACAAACAGAGCATGAATATACAATTTGGAAATATGCAAGCAACCATCAAGGCAAACAGAAGATTTGGTGGAGGAGGAACTACCACTACACAGTAGGACCTTGAGGTGGGGAGAAGTGAGGCAGTAGACACCTCGTGATAAGCTTCTTGAAACTATTTAATGTTTAATAATGACTAACTGTATGCATTAGTTAGGGTTCTCCAGAGAAACAGAAACAGAACATATATAAGATGAAACAGAATATCTATCTATCATTTATTTATCTATCTATCTATCTATCTATCTATCTATATCATTCTCTAGAGAGATTGACTAAAAAGAATTGGCTTACATGATTATGGAGGCTAAGAAATCCAAAGATCTGCAGTTTGTAAGCTGGAGACCCAGGAGAACAAATGGTGTAAGTTACAGTCCAAAAGCTGGCAGGCTACAGACCCAAGAAGAGCTGGAGTTTCAGTCTGAGTCTGAAGGTAGAAGGCTCATGTCCCAGGTGAAAGCAATCAAGCAGGAGGAGTTTGGGCTTGTAAAATGATCAGGTGTTTTAAATTCTATTTAGGCTTTCAAGTGATTGGATGAGGCCCACCTGCCTTAAGGCAATCTTCTTTACTCATTCTACCAGTTTAAATGTTAATCTCATCCAAAAATACCCTCACAGACACACTGCTATGAGCTGAATTGTGTGCCCCCAAAAATCCTAGCCCTCACCCCAATGTCACTGCATAAGAGATAGGGCATTTAGGAAGTAATTAAGGTTAAATGAGGTCATAAGGATGAGATCCTAATCCAATATGATTGGCAACCCTATGAGAAAAGAAAGAGCAACAGAGAGATCTCCATGTTCACACACCAAGGAAAGGCTATGTGGGGACACAGGAAGAAGGCAGCTGCCTGCAAGCCTGGAAGAGATCCCTCACCAGGAGCCTACTGAATCTTGATGTTGGACTTTCCAGCCTCAAGGACATTAGAGAAAATAAAATTCTGTTTTTTTAAGCCACCCAGCCTATAGCATTTGTTATGGTGGCCTGAGTTAATATACACATCTAGAATAATAATTGACCAAATATCCTGGCACCCTATGCCTCATTCAAGTTGACACATAAAATAAACCATTACAACGTATTACTTGAATACAAAATAAAATTAATTTAAACATCCTTAAGCCATCTCCTTTATGTATGAGTCCTAATTTGAGGGTAATAGATTAGTGTGAATTTCATGTACTTACTACACTCTTAAATTCTATACTCTCACATCCATATATGATATTTCCCTTTAAAAATCAATGAAATATTGGCATATTCAGCAAATTGCTTTTTTTGCTCTATACCCTATCCCATTTTGTCCATATTTCTATCTCTTTAGGAGAGATTTCTAAAGAAAGTATTGATGTAAAGATGACTTGGCTATTTTTTAGGGCTCTTTGAAATGATTGTTTTGATTTACACTTTCCATCAGCAAAGCAGAAGATGGGTGACCTCTTGGACATCTATTAATAATTAAAAGCTTTGTTCATTCTATCTGTAATTACTTACATATTATGCATACATTAATAAGATTGAACACTTCTCAGTTTCTCGGCCATTTGTATTCCCACTTTGGCCAGCTGTTGGTTGACAGCCCTTGCATGTTTTTCTACTGGACTCTAACACTCTTCTATTCTTGGTGTTTGAAGGGTATCTGGGATTTGTTTTAATGAGGTGTAATAAGGCACACAGACACACAAAAGACTGTCATAAAGAAAGAAGCTCTTTGTATTCATAGATGCCTAAAAACAGAAGGCACAGCTGCCACTGAGGGCCACGCAGCAAAGCACAGGGGTAGTCAGGAGGCCGAAGGATGGGGCAAGACGGAACAGGAGGCTTTACTGTGGTTTCTGTAGGAAAGAAGGGAAGAGGCAGGGTAAGCAGGCTTAGCTTTGGCTAGTTAGAATAATTTCAGTGGCTTTGGGCAGGGAAATTGTGCCTAGTTGTCTGGTACCTGGCTCTGGGGTGATGAGGGCAGGTGGATATGGCCTGAGTGTGAGAGCTCCAGAGAGGAGGTGGATGGGTGTGCGCTCTGGATCGGGGGTTTCCATCTAAAAGGCAGGCTGCCAGGGGAGTCGTTGACTTTCTCTTAGAATTAGCCAACCCTGAGAGAGGCAGTCCTTTCAGGGTCAACAGGGCTCCAGCTATCACAGCATCAAATACAGAAAATAATACACTTGGCTTATTTCGTACAATCTGTGTATGCTGAAGACAGTAGGTCTTTTTGTTTTTACATTTTTTACTGAGATGACTCTTAAGCCTTTGGCCTGTGGCATCTCATCCTGTGGGGTGAGATTCTCCCCTCCCTGGACCTCCTGATTTCCCTGAGCCTGTCCTTGGGAGCAGCTCCGTCTTCAGACCTTGGGTTTTAAAATGTTTTTAGTACCACGTGCACCTCGTTGTGGGTTGTTCTGAGAATGAAATGGCAGGATGCGTGGCCAGAATTTGCTGTTCGATAAATGTCAGCTTCTGCCCTTATATTTGTTACAAATATTTTCCCCAATATTTTTTCCTCGTAGCATTTTGATTTTAGCATATGTAATTTTAAATCTTTAACCTTAAAAAGGCAATGGCATAATGATTGAGCTTGTGCCTGGTAACCAGACACACTGGTGTTTTGAATCTGGCTGTCATTTCCAGAAGAACCTGGAGACTTTATAGCACCTCTGTGCCTCAGTTTCCTTCCCAGTGATGGCCAAGCAGACACGTCCAGAAGGAACTTGGAGATACAAGTCTAAAAACCCAGGTAGAGGCCAGGGCTGGAAATGTGTATTTGGCGGTTGCCTCTAAGATTGAGTACCCCTCTAGCTGGCCTATTTTTCAGATTCTATAAAGCACAGAATGAAAAAGCTCTGGGATGTAGTCTACTTACATACCCATACTTGATAAAAAGCTGCTTTGTGAAAGCTACACGGAATGGGGAAAGAGGCACAAACGTTATGTATACCACAACGCTTTACAACACCACCACCTAGTGACAGACTCGTGAAAATCCCATCCGTTATGTCCCCTCCAGCTTAGGGATGGCGAAATAGGATAAATCATCTCCTTCTTACTAGAAAGCAGATACTCTACTCTGTTTCTCCAGTAACTATCACTTTACCTCCTAATGGTTGGAGATTCCTTCTTTTCTCCTCATTTGGATATTGTCAGACAAAAAGTGTCTAGTCATTGAAAGCAGCGTATATTTAAAGGATTGGCATAGCAGCTAGATCATGGCTCATGGATGATCTTCATTTCATTCACTAAGAGCTTCTGCTGTGCCCATATTGGTGCACACCCTTCTCTAGAGACTGACCACTAGACTGGATTCTTCTGGCACAAGTGATGCATTAGGCTCTGAGAGTGTGGTTCAGGATGGCGGATGGACCAGAGTGTAGTGCAGAGAAAGAGCTGGGCTGTTGGAGGGGAACAGAGCTGGGTTCCTCTCCACTTTTTAGCTGTGTTTTTCTGGGCAGGTGACTCAGAGATGGTTTCTCGTCTGTGAAATGGTAGAATGCCATCTCCCTGCAGGGTGATCATGGGAGTGACCGCACAGGCATTGCCAACCTGGTCACCCTCAGTCCCCAGGACCAAGCTAAGCCATCTGTCCCATCCTTAAGACCGCTGAAATGTGCTTACTGAGTTTCTTCTCTGCAGGTGTTTTCTTTCCACCTGTAGGGTTTCCAGACTCTAAAGCACTTTACCCTCCCCACCTTCAGCATGTTTTGCATCTTAATGATTGAGCCTGAACCCTCCCTTCCACTCCATTTTATCCTTGACATTTTCCAGGAACCCACAATGAAGGAGTGGACGTAATGGACCGCCAGACATGTGACCCAAGAGAAGTATTTACAAAACATTCCAAAAGCAACAGGTTGGGAGTATTATTTATTCAAATAAACAAAAATGTTTTATTTCCCTTTCAATGGTATATATCTTAAATTGCTGGAACATACAAGTATAAAAATAAGATTATTTTAGAAAACTCCAGTTTTGAAGGGCACGACAATAGTTCAGACATTTGTCAGTAGCTATGAAGCCACTTTTAACATGGAATGAATATCCCTTTACTCCAACTCTTGGTCTTATTACATTTTTAAATCAAATCAGCGTGCTGGAAATAGAGAAAAATTCCCAAAGGGAAATATAAAATAATTTTAAGCATTTTCAGAAATACAAGTTACACTTAAGAAACTTGTATTAAAGGATGTTAATCTGAGATAAACAGAAAACAAACGTTTTGCAAAGCACTACTTTTTGCATCTGTTTGAGGATACACAGTTTGCAGCTCTCCTGCCAGAAGCAAAATACTGACTCTAGCACAGCAGAAAAGGCATCAACTTTAAGAAAAAAATGAGTGGTCGCTTTCAATGACTGAACATAACATATTAAACTTTAAGAATTTTTAACAATGCAAATTAACAGCAATAGTAGAAAATACATCATTTTAGATTACAAAAATTCAGCTTTTATTAGCACATGACAAATCTCATTCATTCGCTGCCCTCTCATATGTGCTGAGTAACTGCTACACAGAATTTCAAACCTCACTGATATAAATGTGAGAGATGACATCTACAATGAGAAAAATGAGGGAAAAAAATCTCGTTTTATACCACTAGCAACAAAGAACACAAAATTGTATTAAATTTGTTAAGAAATGTTATTTTGTGCAATTTTCATGATAGATTAATTAGCTTTGTTCACTTTTTTTCCTCCATCTTAAAAAGAGATAATCTTTTAATGTTTTCTTAACATTTCATTCAGGAACACTAATCTTAGAAATGCGAGGCTTGTGTAAAATTTTACTTTAATAGGCACAATGTAGCAAGCGAAACCATACTCATATCAGGGAACTTGCAATGACCTCCACATATAGCACTCAACAGAAAAACATATGTCCTGACCTTTGGAGACACTTCCCTGCTTATGATATTCTTATCTGTCTGTGCCTTGTGAATAAAAATGCATTTTTATTCCAACCCAAATGAAGAAAATCCTATGGAAAAACATCAATGTCAAAGGCTAGGTTGCCAAGGACACCCAAGGTTTCTAGCCTTTTATTGATACCACGAAAGTGACAGCTGTGCCCAACTTACTGAAGTCTATATTATAAATCTGTCATTTCTAATTATAAATCTACATTGGAAAAAATATTTTACTCAGATGGCTATGTGTGAGGCACACGTGTGTTCTACACAGTTTGGACTTTATCTGGTTGGTCTTACACAAACAATTATCCATCTGTAAAGGGAACTGCTCACTTCTCAGGGCTGCCCTGATTCCCAGAGGAGAGACAGATATTTTACCATCACAGCGTTCCCCAAGATGCTGGCAGAGACACCAGGATGGCTGCTCTCACAATAGTGTCCAAGAAGTACCCGAGGCTCAACGGGGCACCCAAGCATCAGGGACCAGGTACCCGCACGTCGCTCTTGCCGTGGCTGGATTCAAATTTATCAGGAAGCTTTGTGATGTCTCTTGGCCCAGTCACTACCCACGGTGTGCTTTTTAAGCACACAAGTGTGATGTAAAAGTTACACAGTACAATTTAGTTTAGAAGCACTGGACATCTGTGTGTAATAGCTGCTGATAAGAAACCCAGAGGAAGCTCAGGGCAGGGAAGAAAATACTGGATTTATTGCTGGGAGTTACGTATCCCCAACAGCTGTGATAGATTCCAGCCACTGATGCAACCTGAGGTTCGCTGGCAGCACTAAGCAGCGTGGCTATGTTCTGCCTTCCACATTCCGCAGATGTGGCTAACAGGGTGACACCAAGAGCCCAGGGAGCCTGCTCACGTCTGAAAGCCGTGGTTTCTGCTCTGCAGCCTCACCTGGGGAGCTTACTGAAATGCAGATTCCCTGTTCCCTCCTGCACTGACCCTGAATGGGGCTGGGTGTGCTCCAGGACAAGATGGACCTTCCGGGGACGTGGAGCCTGGGGAGCAGGGCTCCCACGCTGACAGCAGTGAGACAGGAGGGAGCTCCTTTCCTGGAAGTCTCTGACAGAAGACATTCTGGAGAAAGAAGCTGTCGGATGTTCGGAATGCATGGGCTGGGCTGGCTCAGCAGAGCTGGCGGAAACGGTGAGGGCCCAGCTGCCGTGCCCCTCAACGACACTGTCAGGTAACTGCTGCCAGGAGCCTTCCAGATGCTCAGACCCCAGAAGCCACTTTACCGGCCCCCTTTGGCCTCAGTTGCTTGACCCTCCCCTACAAATTTCCAGGTGCATGACCTTGAACCTGCCTGTGTCCTGCGTGGGCCTTGAGGCATCTCTAGTTTGATTAGGACAGACGTGTTTTACACATGGCTGTCAAGCAAGTTTCTCTTGGCCTAATTGTTCCTCTGGCAAATAATCAATCCTGAGAAGTTCCTTTACAAAATACCTAAAAAGTAGACTGTGCCAAAAACGTGGGGTGAAATGAGGTGCCCACGGCATCCTGGGGACGTTCTTGGCTGATGCGGACCTCCGTGCCCCACTGCCAACTGAGGGGTGGGACCTCTCTTCTGGCTCCTTCTTGCCCTGCCCTCTTTTCAGATTCTGGAACTTCCCAGGTCCCAGCCATCCTGTACTCTCCATCCGTTGAATGAACCAATCCTTGCTCCGCGTGGGCAACACCCGGGCCACCCAGCCACAGTCTCTCTTTGTCAAAGCTGTCACTTACACATGACTCCCGCTTGAATATTCCTGAAGTTTGGAATTGGTGGATCTGCAAAATAAATCACATCTCCAATGGATTCAGCCACTTTAAGGGGAAAAGAAATCTAAGGATGGCTGGAATGAAACTGCATTTTCTTTCCTTTTTTGAGACGGAGTCTTGCTCTGTTGCCCAGGCTGGAGTGCAGTGGCGCAATCTTGGCTCACTACAACCTCTGCCTCCCCGGTTCAAGCGATTCTCCTGCCTCAGCCTCCAGAGTAGCTGGGATTACAGACAGGCATCACCATCGTTGGCTAATTTTTTGTATTTTTAGTAGAGACGGGGTTTCACCATGTTGTCCAGGCTGGTCTCAAACTCCTGACCTCAGGTGATCCACCTGCCTCGGCCTCCCAAAGTGCTGGGATTACAGGCACGAGCTACCGTGCCTGGCCTAAACTGCATTTTCTAAAAAAATATGTACTGCTTATTTTGTTAGCATACTTTTAATTATATTCTTATTCTTTCTACCCCTCTCAAAATGTATTTTTCCAGCTTGCCATTTAATTGGTAAACAGCTGTAAAGTTCAAACGTGAAATTCTTAAAGCTCCCTAGAGACATACACAATAACTTCTGTGGCATGGACTTTTCTCGGCATTAAAAAAATCTAGTACCTCTCTTGGCCAGAACCCCTAATTTTACACTTTATGGTGTTGCGTCGTTTTTCAAAAAAAACAAAACAACAACCAAAAAACTTACTGGCAAGTTTTTCCTCCAAACAGTTTTCTAATCAAGTCTAATAAGTTTGTGCAAGAGAAAACACATGGGGATTCCACTCCATTATTTGATTTCCACTAATCAGGATAAAGTCTGTGAAATTCAATTACTGTTGTTTGTGGAACAGACTGTTGAACAACGATTTATTCCCAATGATATCGAGTGGCACTAGTCCAGAACTTAGAACTGAACCACACGTGGCAGCTCCACCAAGCAGGGACAGGGAAAGAGGAATTTAACAAGTTTGCACCCGGCGTATTAAATAATTAAATCCCTCTTCACCTCTTAAATGAAATGATGGAATCCCCAACTCACAATTGCTTTTCAAAATCTATTACCCAAAGCACTGCGGAGTCACTAATGCTGTCTTCCTGGGAACTACTTTCACAATTTTGAACAGTAACTGACCCCAAATTTATCTCCAACCAAAACCTCTGTGTTTCACCATGAATCAGGCAAGGTCCTTCCAAGTGTTCAGAAGTGGAACCTGTTGTGGAAAAACACTCCCCTCGGTCACACACAGGGCATCTGTTTCTTGAGTGCTAAGTACTTGGTTTTGGTTCAGGAGAAATACAAAATAGTGTACAGTATATGCTGGGAGATCGGACACCAATCACTTGTGGCTCTTTCAAATTCCCAAGAATAAAAATAGAATTGGTCCCCATCTTGTTTCTTGCTATTTTTAATAAATGGTTTCAGTTACTGAAGGCAGGATTTATTTCAGACTTCCAAAGAAGTTATCAAGGAAATAAAGCAGCATCTATTCATTTCCCATCAGACTTGACAAGGTTTCTGATAACAACCTAATGCTAAGTTGCACCTTTTCAGGCAAGGACCGTCTTCCAGAATTTTCCACAGTGTATTACAAGGTAAAAATGACACCCTCAAAGGGTTGTTAATTCCTTTCCTGTTCCAAGCAAACCTCCTTGAAAGCTTGCCAAGCTAAGCATCAATTTGCATAACTGGAGGAGGTGGGTGTCACTAACAGGGTTTTGACTGGAAGTCCGATTCTCAGCAGCAAGACATGCCAGAAAAATGTCCCACATTCAATTGTCTATCTCATTCTTGTTGCGAAGTTATGCTTTTGTAGTTTCAGTATTTTCATCAAAATGTCACATCCAATGACATGCGATATGAAAAGATAAAGAAATCTGATATGAAATACAGAGCATGACGGCAAACTTCATTCACCTACTCTACCTGGAAACCTCACTTGTTACTTTCCTGTATTTTAAGAACTATGCCTGTTCATCTGCTGCAGGAGGAAGCTCCCCGCCTCTGAAACCTAACACAATACAACGGAACAGAAGATGCCTGTATGAAGAAATAAGCAGGAAAACTAATCAGGGCATGTCTGCGATTCCCTCCTCTTATTTCAGGGCTTTGAATTTTTCACAGCAAGGGTGAAGGCACAATCTAGGGGTGTTGGCTTCACTCCTGTGCAAAGCGGCCCACAAAACAGCAACCACGGAAAAAGCCAATGGGATGAGAATTGGACTTCCAGACATCTCTCCGTGTGAAATGCATTCTGAGATTATGAGTTTTCAACAAGCTGAGAGCGGATGTGACAACGGGCCCTGATACAAGAGCCCCCTCCTCCCGTTCCGTGCCGTCATGTTCTTTCCAAGAGGCTGCAACTCAAATCTTCTCTAGTGAAAACAGCACAGAAGGTTCTTCTGGCTGCTGGAGAGTCTTCCAGGACACCATGACAAGCCGACGTGGCCTCCACGTCTCTTTGGCAGAGTCCTATATTTCTCAGTATGGTGGTGACCCGGGGACCCAGGGAGCAGAGCAGATGGCTGAAACATCCACACGTAGCCTACTGTGAATACAAACGATACTTCTGCAGGAGGGGACACTTAGCACTTTTGGTGGAATTCTGTAATATAGCCAACCCACCCCAAAAAAATGCAAAGGGAACACTGAACTTGGCACACAAGCAGGAGAGAGGGGATACTGTCTTTTAACTCTTCTCCTAATGACATCAGGTCATATAAGGCTATGTCAAGGAAACGGCTTCCACTTTTCTTTGGCAAAGGCCTCGATAAGTGACAGAAAGTAGGGACTGCCCCCCGAAATAAGGCTACCACTGCACAACTGTTACCAAAGATTAAACACCCCCAAAGGAAGAAGCACAGAGGTCAACTGCTGAACAATTTAAGCTGATTGGATGGGTATGCTTGAGGCTAACCAGTTCTGCAAAGGGAAACACACGGTTTCGAAGCACGGGGATAAGTAGACGTTACCTTGTGTCTTCTGCACATCTTGCATCTTCCTTCCCTGACAGCTGGTCAGAAATAGGGGCATCAGGCCATTTCCCTGTTTCCCAACAGGGTAATAGCCAACCTACTTCCAGAGAAGATTTGGAAAAAGAGACAACTAAGCTAGTGAAATAGAATAGTTTTTTCTCATCAAAACATGATTTATTAATTTTAAGCAAGAGTAAGCATATGTGATAGTGGCCAGCTTGGGGATAGAACTCTTCCTGGTTGATGCACAGTTCAGCACCTGTTGGGTCTTGGCTGTTGGGATGATAATTCTTTTGGGTGAGGGGAACAGCCGTGGTCAAGGCTGCCTGCACCCCCATCCAGGCACAGGACCCTGGGCAAAGTCTCAAAAGAGGTAGTGTTTTTACTTTCGCACCAACAATACAACATAAGTATTGGGTACAAAAGAGGAGATTTCCTTCCCCTCTACCTCAACGGGCAAAAGGCCTTCCATCTTCAGAAGAGGCTTGTGAGGACCATCGGTTGATGACCTCCTAGTGAATTCTGGCTCCCATTCAGAGCACAGAGAAACCCACAAAAGGGGCCTGTGGCTCTGGTTCCAGGTCTCAAGGGTACAGCTTGGTTACATCCCCAGGCCCCAGGCTGATTCTCCTGCCATCATACTGCAAGCCTTCCTGTACCACTTTGACCCAGGTTGAGGTCTGGCGGAAAATAACCTCAAAGGCAATTAATACAAAAAGCTTCCTGTAAGCTAAGAGGGGTTATCAACTATATGTACTTATTTTTCCAGAGATTGAAGAGAGAAGAGAACGAGCCAAGGCTTGGTTTTGTTTTATGTTGGTGGCACATGTAGACACTTTGGCATAACGAACCCCATAGAGCCTGCAGCCCAATCCACTCTGTTTTGGTTTAGAATGAAGTTTTTTTTTTAATTATTTTTCTTGGAAGTAGGGAGGATTTGAAAGCTTGAAAATCAAGAATCAAAAGACAGTGAATCTAGAAGGCATCTGGGAGCAGAACAGAGATTGAAGACGGGTGGGCACAGGAGAAAGCGCCACCATCGATCCCGGCTGCTGCCCTGGAAATGTGATTTTCTTAATAGCTGAGTTCATGGTTGCTTGAGGTCAGGCCTGGCTATTCATTTCCAGCGATGTCTGACCAGAGAGGACTCATCATTGACGACCTCAGGGTCACGGGGGCGACGCTGACACCGGAACGGCAGCAGCAGCAGGACGATTAAGACAAGGAGGATGGCTCCACAGACGCTCATGAGCGCATAGGACACAATCCACAAAATGGGCTCGCTCAAAGACTGAGCGGGGACACAGTTGCTGGCTACATCCTCTGTTGAGAAAGGCCCGGAAATTTCAGACACTGCAGCACCTGCAATTTCTGGGGAGACAGAAAGGGAAAATCCACAGCTGTGAAATGAGCGGTCCACCTCTCACATTGGACACAGACAGAACCCCTTGGTTTATTAAACCACAGTTAAAGTCCACTGAGGTCCCAGTGGCTTAGACAGCTCAGGAAGCACTGAGTGGGGTCACGGCTCAGCGTGCCTTTGGGGGTCCAGTCCCTGCAAACTGGAACGACGGCATGTTTTAAGGTGTGTGGGTACCGAGCCTAGGTGTGGAGGGGAACTGCAGCAGGGCACATATGGAAGCACCCTGTGCTTCATGGAATGCCAGCGACACTGCGGTACTACACAGGTGAGAGTGCAGGTCAGCACCTGGTCATGACAGCTGTGTGGGTTGTGCTTCCTCAGTGGAGATGAAAAAAGAGGAGAAAGAGAAGGAGAATTTACCGCAGAAAGCTCAGCTGGACCTGCCTACGTCATGGGGAATTTTCCCCAGTGGAGTCAACCTGAGTTCACTCCCTACCATGGATTCTACAACAGATAGGGACCTCATATCAACCTGACTCATAGTCTTAGTGGGTTGTGAGACCTCCGGGGGTCAGGCTGGCTTGAGAGACCCTCCCTGCCCCACTCTTATCCTAGGTCTCATCAACAGCCAGGAGCAGTAAGTGAATGCAACACCTAATTCATGACATCACTGGTGACAAAGAGAAACAGTTAAAATTCACCCGGTGACTTCTGCTAGAGACTCTTGAATAACTTCAAACCAAGAAGGAAGTTGAGATGATTTCTTAAAGCCGGTTTGTGGATTATCTGTAGACTTCCTTTGCCTACACTAGGCTTCTCTGCCCCTTTCAGGAATATGGGATCTTAAGCTTTACTTGCAATACGGAAAAGAAATAGGCCTCATTACCCATTTTTCCTATATTTAATCACAGAAATGAATATTTTGGCACCAGAAAATAACACTGCTAAGAATTTGATTTTTCTGTAACTAAAGCCTCAAGATCTTCAGAGCTGCCAAATAATACCCTTTTTGACTGAGGAAAGAAAAAGTCAAAATAACAATGCGATAATGACCTGAAAAGAATGGTTTTAAAATCAGAGGAAAACAGGCTTGATTACTTTGCAAAGTGACTGCATTTTCTTGCTAATGTGGATTCTGTCATAATATGGCTTTCCTAAGTGCACTGAAAAAGAAAGGCAATGAACAAGAGCCTGCCAACACCGAGAACAGAGGGATGCACCCTGCAGTCAATCTATACTCCCATTTCCTGGTTTGTAGATAATGATCTTCTTGCTGTGTCTTTACATGGTGGAAGAGACAAGGGAGCTCTCTTGGACTGTCTTTAATAATGGGCAGTAATTCCATTTACAAAGAAAAGCTCTGCCCTCGTGACCTAATCACCTTCCAAAGGCCCCAACTCCAAATATCATCACCTTGGAGATTAGGTTTCTGTTGCGGGAAGTCAGGGACCCCGAACGGAGGGACTGGCCAAAGCCATGGCAGAAGAACATAAATTGTGAAGATTTCAGACATTTATTAGTTCCTTAAATTAGTACTTTTATAATTTCTTACGCCTGTCTTTACTGCAATCTCTGAACATAAATTGTGAAGATTTCATGGACATTTATCACTTCCCCAATCAATACTCTTGTGATTTCCTATGCTGTCTTTACTTTAATCTCTTAATCCCATCATCTTCCTAAGCTGAGAATGTATGCCACCTCAGGACCCTGTGATGATTGTGTTAACTGCACAAATTGTTTAAACAATATGAAATCTGGGCACCTTGAGAAAAGAACAGGCTAACAGCAATGTTCAGGGAACAAAGGAGATAACCATTAGGTCTGGCTGCCTGAGAGCCGGGCGGAACAGAGCCATATTTCTCTTCTTTCAAAAGCAAATAGGAGAAATATCGCTGAATTATTTTTCTCAGCAGGAACAGCCCTGAGAAAAAGAATGTGTTCCTAGGGGTAGGTCCCTGAAATGGCTGCTCTGGCAATGTCTGTCTTTTACGGTTGCCGATAAGGGATGAAATAAGCCCCGGTCTCCCATAGCGCTCCCAGGCCTATCAGGACAAGGAAATTTCCGCCTAATAAATTTTGGTCAGACCAGTTGTCTGCTCTCAAACCCTGTCTCCTGATAAGATGTTATCAATGACAATGCGTGCCCAAAGCTTCATTAGCAATTTTGATTTCGCCCTGGTCCTGTGATCTTGCCCTGCCTCCATTTGCCTTGTAATATTTTATTACCTTGTGAAGTATGTGATCTCTGTGACCCACACCCTATTCGTACACTCCCTCCCCTTTGAAAATCACTAATAAAAACTTGCTGGTTTTGCAGCTCAGGGGGCATCACGAACCTGCCGACATGTGATGTCTTCCCTGGACACCCAGCTTTAAAATTTCTCTCTTTTGTACTCTTTCCCTTTATTTCTCAGACCGGCTGACACTTAAGGAAATAGAAAAGAACCTACGTGAAATAATGTTGAATTATCGGGGGCAGGTTCCCCCGATAGGTTTCAACATAAGAATTTTGGCAGGACATAAACATTGATTCTACAGCACTAATTATGCAAAGAAGCAGGAAAACACAGTTCATAATAGGGAGCAAAATCAATCAATTGGAACTTAGTAAGAAATGGCACAGATGATAGAATTAGCAGGCAGGATATCAAGATATTTATTATAACTGTATTCTACTCAGGATGCCAGAGAAAATGTTAAACATGTTAAATAGAGACACGGAAGACATTAAAGATCTAAATCAAATTTTTAGTGATAAAAATTATAATATGTGAGATGAAAAATATACGGGATGGTTGTAAGAGCAGATTATACACTGCAGAAAAACAGACTAATGAATTTAAAAAAAACCAAAACAATAGAAATGAAGCACAGAGAAAAAACTGAAAAAAAAGAGAGAGAGAGAACATCAGTAAACTGTGGACAATATCAAGCTGCTAAATCATGTAATCAGAGTACTCAAAAGGAAGAAGGGATTGTGAGGCAAAAAATATTTGAAAAAACCAAAAATTTTCCAAATTTTATGAAACTATAAACCCACAGACCCAAGAAGCCCAAAGGACCCCAAACACAAGAAACATGACATAGATTATAATAGCGCACTGCTGAAAACCAGTGATAAAGAGAAAATTTCCTAAAAGCAAGGAGAGAGAAAAAAGAAATATTATGTACAAATGAATAATAATAAGGATTACAGATGATTTCATGTTGGAAGCAATGCAAACTAGAAGACAATAGAGTAACATCTTTAAAGTACTGGGGGTAGAAGAAGCCCTGTCAACCGAGAACTCTATACCCAGCAAAAATATCTTAAAAATGAAGAAGAAATAAAAATATTTTCAGTCATACACAAGCTGAGAGAACACATCACAGATTTTCACTACAGAAAGTTCTTCAAGCAGAAGAAAAAGGACATCAGAAGGAAACTTGAATCTACACAAAAGAATGATGAACACCAGAAGCGGGAAGTATATAGTAGTTATAAAATCTTTACTTTTAATTTTAAATATTTACAAAGATAATCAATTAAATCAAAAATTATAACAATGTGCTGGGTGGCTTATAATATAGGCATAGGTAAAATGGATGACAATAGCACAAAGGACCGAAGGCAAGAAATGGAAGTCTATTGTTGGAAGGCTCTTAGACTATATGAAGTGGTAGACTGTGGTCAGTTAAAAAATTTACACTACATATTCTAAAGCAACCACTAAAATTTCACGATATAGAGTTATAGCTAATAAACTAGCCAAGGAGATATAAAGAAATAGAAAATAATCCAAAAGAAGGCAGCAAAAAAGGAAAAAAGGGAAAAAATGTAACAAATGAGACAAAAAGAAAAATAGTTTTCTTTGTTGTGTTACTGGTTAAACACAGACATATCAATCATACATTAAATATAAATAGTCTAAACCAGCATTTGGCAAACTTTTTCCGTAAAGGGCCAGATAGTAAATATGTTAAGCTTTTTAGGTTAGCTTCTTTCTGATTTTTTCAACCCTTTAAAAATGTAAAAACTATTCTTACCTCACAGGCCATACAGAAACAAGCCACATGCTGGATTCAGCCTATAGACTGTTGTTTGTGGATCTCTGGCCTAAACATCACAACTAAAAAACAGAGACTGCTAAATTAGATAAAAAGCAAGATCCAAGTATATTCTCCCTACAGGAAACTCACTTTTAATGTTAAGACTCAAAATGTTAAAACTAAACAGATGGAAAAAAACTATCATATTAATGCTTATCAAAAGAAATCCAGAGTGGCTATATTATTAGACAGAATAGATACAGATCAAAAAAATTACTAGAAGTAAATATAGTAGTTTCATAATGATAAACTGTTTCCTTCATAAATAGGACATAAAAATCCTAATGTTTTTTTACCTAATAACAGTGTTTCAAAATACATAAAACAAGATTGATGAAAATGCAAAGAGAAATAGACAAATCCACAAATATAGTCAGAGATTCCAATATCCGTTTCTCAATAATAGAGCAAGTAGACAGAAAATAAGTTATGATATAGAATACCTAAACAACACTATTAACTAACTTGATCTAACTATTATAAACTAATCCACCCATAATAGCAGAATATACATTGTTTTCAAGAGCACAAGAAATATTTACTGTGATAGACTATATTCTGGACAATGAAATAAGTTTCAATAAATTTCAAAAGATTCAATTCATAAAAACTATATTCCCTGCCCACACTGAGGTTATATTAGAATAACAGAAAGCTTCTGGAAAAATCCCTAATTATTTGGAAACTAAATAACACATTTGTGGCCAGGTGTGGTGGTGGCTCATGCCTATAATCCCAGCACTTTAGGCGACGGTGGTAGGAGGATCACTTGAGGCCAGGAGATGGAGGCTGCAATGAACTATGCTCACGCTACTGTACTCTAGTCTGGTGACAGAGCAAGACCCCATCTCCATTATATATATATAAAATCTTTGTGTCCTGGGGTTAGGCGAAAAATTTCTTAGCTATAGTACCCAAAAGCACAATTTGTAAAAGGAAAAAAAATGGATTTTATCAAAATTAAGTAAGAACTGCTCCTCTTTAATAGAAAATATTAACAGACTAAAAAGACTTGGCAAAAATATTTGAAAGCCAAATTTCTGATAAAGGACTTGTATTCTTCATATATAAATAACTCTGAGGACTCAATGAGAAAACAAACAACCCTATACAAAAATGGGCAAGAACATTTGAAAAGACATTTCATTTAAAAAGATGCATGAATGGCAAAAAAGTACATGAAAAGATATTCAGGATTATTAGTCATTAGGGAAATGCAAATTAAAGCCACGATGAGACCGCTAAATATTAATACCTATTAAAATGAAAATACTGACCATACCAAATGTTGGTGAGGATGTTTAACAACTGGAACTTTCATACACTGTTGGCAGGAATGTGACATGATAAAGCCAACTTTGAAAATGAGTTTGGCAGCTTTTTAAGTAGTAAAACATACATGTTATGTAACTCAACGATTCTACTCCTAGGTGTTTATCCAGGAGAAATAAAAAACAAAATATATGTCCAAGGACTTGCATGCTATTGTTGATAGCAGCTTTATTTATAATTGCCAAAAAACCCAAAACTTGGCAACAATCCAAAAGTTCATCAACAGGTGTATGGGGATAAAGAAACTATAATGCCTAATTGATCTGCAATAAAAATGAACTTTTGAACATGAAACATTATAGATGAACCTCAAAATAATTTTATTGTGTGAAAGCAGTCAGACAAAATGGAATACATACTGTATGATTTCATTTATATAAAATTCTAACAAATACAAACTAGTCTACAGTGACAGAAGGCACGTCAGTGGTTTCCTGGGAATGGCATGGGGTCCACAGGACCTGGGAGGCAGGGAAAACAGCTCAGTGCATATGATCACTACCTTGTTTGTGGTGATGGTTTCAAGGTGCGCACACATATAACACTTATCAAACTGTATCCTTTCAACATGAACTGTTTATTTTACACCAATTATATCCCAACAAAGCTGTTTCAAAAAGTCAAAAGAATAAGATAGTCAAAGCATGTCAAAGAATAGCACATCTGTTATAATCTCATTGAGATTAGAAAAGAAAAACCGAGGCCAGGCTCGGTGGCTCATGCCTGTAATCCCAGCACTTTGGGAGGCCGAGGCAGGTAGATAACCTGAGGTCAGGAGTTGAAGACCAGCTTGACCAACATGGAGAAACCCCATCTCTACTAAAAATACAAAATTAGCCAGGCGTGGTGGCACACGCCTGTAATCCCAGCTACTTGGGAGGCTGAGGCAGGAGAATCCCTTGAACCCGGGAGGCAGAGATTGCAGTAAACTGAGATCACGCCATTGCAATCAAGCCTGGGCAAAAAGAGCAAAGCTCCGTCTCAAAAAAAAAGAAAAGAGAAGAGAAGAGAAGAAAAAAGAAAAAACAAACCAACCTCAGTCACGCTGACTACATGGACATTGATTTAGTACTGTTCTTCCAGTTGAATGCCTGAGTTCATACCCATTTTTTCATATGTGCTGTGTGTGCTGTGTATAATAAAAATGCAAAAAAACCCAATAAAATTAATTTTCTTCAATGTAGATGTATTACTTTTTATTTTTTTGAGATAGGGCCTGGGTATGTTGCCCAAGCTGGAATGCAGCGGCTATTTATAGGCATGATAGTAGCATACTGCAGCCTCAAACTCAAGCCATCCTCCCACCACCTCAGCCTCCCAAGTAGACATGTATCACTTTTATAATTAAAAGAGTCATGGATTTTGTTTTTAAGTTTTTGAAAAACAGCGCCAGTTTAAGATGGTCAGACATAAAGCATTATCTGGGAACAACTGTATTCTCATATTTGCTAACTAGCTGCTCAAGATTAGACGAAAGCTGATTTAAAATTCCTTCTGGGGGCTTTTTCCAGGAATGCCATTCACTGCATGGTCTCTGCATTTATTACTTACGCTACTAATTCTATGGTTTTAAAGCAGATTCTAATGTTTTATACTGGATTGATTTATGAGAGGCCATTGTATGCAGTGGGTGAGAGCATGAACCTGGGGCCAGACTTCTGGGGTTCCAATCCTAGCTCCCACATACAAGCTGTGTGATCTGGGCCAAGTTACTTAACTTCTTTGCCCCCCAGTTTTGTCATCTATAAAATGAAGGTAATAACAGCCCCTACCAGTCAGTCTTGTAAGAACAATCAAGTTAATAGATGTTAAGCACTTAGTACAGTCCTGGGCTAAGATCGGTGCTACGTAAGTGTCCGCTGTTACTAAACTGTTACTTTTAACTCTTTCATCAATGTCTCGAGTTACAATTTTAATTGTGTATTTTCTCTGAAAGGTCAGGATCTGGTTGATAATGAGTGCCTGTGGAAGATCTGTAATTTTACCAAGGATAAAAATTATAATGGTCAGGTCTTTTTCCCTATAGCATACAAAATAATGAGAACTGTCCCGCCACACTGATTATCTGGTACTGAGATGCTTTCTGAGTAGGCATGGTTTACTTAGAAAAACATTCTGGAGTTTCAGGATAGGGGTTCTGGACCCAGAGCCAGATTTTTTTTCTGCAACCATGTGAAAGCTACGGAAAATCTGGGGCCCTCAGTGTTCTCTTCTGTAAAATGAGGAAACAGAGCAGCCTGATCTACACCTTTGGGGTCCCCTGGCTTTGGTATCTTTTGATTGTAGTCTAAGTAGATGGCAGAGGAGTATCTCTGAAACTCTTCTCTTAACAGCTAACTCTGCTATTTTTAAACATGAGCATGTACCAGATGATCCACTTTCAACCTGCAGCAAGAAAAATTCACAGTCAAATGGCTGCCATAATCCATCATGTGCCTCAAGTTGTACAAGCTGAGATCTATACAGCTCTTGGGTGCTAAATGTCTCAATCTATAAAAAGAGATGGGTGGTATTTCATAAGCTTTGGATACACTAAAATAACAGAGAGTTGTCAATTTTAACACTCTATTATTTTCGTAGCCGTAGGACACTTGGCCCAGCAACACAGAGGTGGTTGAAAGTGCTCCAGTCCCTAGTATCCATGTCAGATATGAGACGCTGGCCCGAGCCATAACACACCCTGACCTCCAGCCAATCTGACTGCAGTAATGATTCTCAGCAGGGGTGGGAGTGGGCTGAGGAGAGGCAGGGGAAGCATAAGAGAAGCATCTGGGGAACTTTTTCCAAAATACCCATCACCTTCCCACCCACCGCCATCCTGCTGTGCCTTCGCTGGAAAAGGGCGTGAGGATGTTGACCAGGTGTATTTTGAAAAAGTGTCCCAGGAGATTCTAATCAAGGAGCTCCCACTCACTGCTCCCCCCACCCCAACCCTTAGGCTAAGTGTCATCGGACAAACACAAATGACCATGAACACACACACACACACACACACACACACACACACAAACACTGTGAGAGAAGGGCAGCTTCCAAAGATGTGGGGTCCTCAAACAGTGACTGGTGTGAAGGTAGAACCTCTTCCTGCTGCAACAAAGAGGAATGAGGATAAAATATAACTTTTTAACTCTATAGCTGAGTCCAGAAGTAAGAGACATTCCTCAACCAGAAATGGGCCCTAAGGCTGGGGTTCCCACGACCAGGAGGGGTGAGAGACTTGACCCTGGGCACCAAGGAAGTAGGCACTGGGGTCAAGATGCCTGTGCAAACCTTGCCCATTGGTGAAAGGAGCCGGGAAATTCTGCCAACAGAAGCCTGGCTCAGCTCAGGGGCTAAGAGGTTGGGGGAGGAGGGCAAGAAACTCTCCCATGAGAAATGGAGCCCCTAAACCTCCACCTCAAACGTGGCTGGCATCTAAATTCGCACAACCTGGTATGCAAATCCCAAGATTCTCATGGTCTGCGGACACTCAGCAGAAACATATGCAAAATTGCTTTACAGCAACACTTTACAGCCCAAGGCACACTGCACTCTCTTGGAAGAAAAAATGTGCTCCCTCTAAATATAAGCTCACAACAAAAAATTGCAAAGCAAACGAGAAAAAAGTCTACTATGAGAGAGCAGCCAGCAGACACAAAAACAAGATGAACTCCCCATCGGTGATGGAAAAATAGAACAACGTGCACAAGATTATACCATAGCTGTGTTTAAAGTGACTAAAAACCCATTAAAGTACAATTTTTTTAAAACTAAACAAGCTGGCTCAAAAGTTCATAAAAGAAAAGAAAAATTAAGAAAGAAGAGTTGGAAATTCTGAAAAAAGAATAATGAAAAGGAACTAATACTATAAGATATATCAATGGAATAGTACAGAAAATCCAGAAACAGATATACATCTCCCAAATATTTACTAGAATTTGGTATGCAGTAATTTTAGGATTTAAAGTAAAAAAAAGTAAGTTATTTGATAAATGTTATAACAATGGGGGTAGTTATCCTAGAGGAAAGAAGTTTAATCCACACATTCTATGCCAAGTTAAATCAAACATGAAAGTACTTGAATAAGTCACAAAACACTTTTAGTGAGGAAAGCCATTTAAAAGGTAACAGTAGTCCCAAGACCCTTAAAGCAAAATATCAAACTATTTAAATATACAAAGTAAACATTTTTTACACTAAAACATGTCATAAGCAAAGTTTTAAAAATGTACAATTGAGACAGAAATTATAGGTTCTTTTTCCTCCAAGCATATGGTTAATTACTCCATTACATAAAGAGTTCCTACAAATTAATACAAAAAAAGAATCCAACAGAAAACAATGGGCAAAGATATGAGTGGGTAGTTCATAGAAAAGGACAAACAGTGACCTTAGTCATTGAAAAGAAACTCAATCTCACTCATAGAAAGTGACACAAATTAAAACTACACCGAGATCATCATTTTTCACCTGTCAGATGACCAAAATTTCCAAGTAGGTTATCATCTACATTACAAGAGATGGTATGGCCAGGTATCGATGAATATAAGCTCTATGGAAGGTAACGAAGTGATATTCATTAAAATTACAAATATGTATACCTTTTAACTCAGCAATTCTAATAATTTAACCTAGATGTATACTTTCATATATGCAAATGATATATATAAATGATGTTCACTGCAGTGTTATTTGTAACAACAAAAGACTTAAAACAACCTAAATGCCTATCAATAATGAACTGGTTAAATAAATTAGGTGCACCCATATAATAAACTATGAGGCTTGAAAAAAAAAAAAAAGGAAGGACTTTAGGCATTAGTATGATTACCTCTGAGGGAGTGGGACTATGTGCTATATCGTACCTTCTAAATATTACCTAGCCTTTTAAATTAAATAAAAACTAAAAAGAAGATAAAGAAAATCCAAGTCACAATAAAATTTTACACAACACTATAGAAAAGTTAACTGGCATATTTATTTATTTATTTAGAGTCAGAGTCTTGCTCTGTCTCCCAGGCTGGAGTGCAGTGACATGATCATGGCTCTCTGCAGCCTTGACCTCCTGGCCTCAAGTGATCTTCCTGCCTCAGCCTCTTGTGTAGCTGGAACCATAGGTATGCTCCACCATGCTTGGCTAACCTTTTGATTTTTTGTGGACAGGGTATTACTTTGTTGTTGATATGGTTTGGCACTGTGTCCCCATCCAAATCTCATGTTGAATTGGGATCCCAAGTGTTGGAGATGGGGCCTGGTGGGAGGTGACTGGATCATGGGGGTGGTTTCTAATGGTTTACTACCACCCCCCAGTATTGTCTCATGATAGAGTTCTCACAAGATATGGTTGTCTGAAAGTGTGGAGCACCTTCCCCTCTCTCTCTCTCTCCCTTGCTCTGGCCACGTGAAGACTGTGCCTGCTTCCCTTTCTTCTTCTACCACAATTGTAAGTTTCCTGAGGCCTCCCGAGAAGCAGAAGTCTGTATAACCTGCAGAACCATGAGCCAATTAAACCTCTTTTCTTAATCAATTACCCAGTCCCAGTATGTCTTTATAGCAGCATGGGAATGAACTAACACAGTTGCCCAGGCTGGTCTTGAACTTCTGGACTCAAGCGATCCTCCTGCCTTGGCCTCCTAAAGTTCTGGGATTACAGGTATGAGCCACTGTGCCCGGCTATGGTATATTTGGAAAAGTATGAGATACAATTTCTAGAAATGAAAAATATAGTCATCGAAATGAAAAACTCAAAAGAAAAAAAAAAGACCCCCAAACCAAAGACAATTAAAGAATCCAAAAACAATAAAAATAATAAAAAGTAAAAGTATTTTAAAAGACTCAATGAATATGTTAAATAGTAGATTGAACATAGCTGAACAGAGAATTAGGCCAATATAAAATGTATCTGAAGAAATTACACAGAATGCAGCAAAGATAGAAAGGAAAACATAAATGAAGGGTCAAGGGACCTGAAATAAATAATGAGAAATCTCATTACTTGAAATGAGAGATCCAGAAGAAGAGACTAGAAAGAATGTGCATGAGGCAATAGTGGAAGAGTTAACAGCTAGGAATTCTCTAAGATTGATGACAAAAGTCATGAGTTGTCAGATTCAGAGAGTGTAAAGGGTATAGCACGATGGGAAAATACCCTATACCTAGACACATCATGGTGAAACTTCAGAACACTATTCAGAACACTGGAAATTTAAAATAAAAGCAGTCTTACCGGTAACTAAGGAGAAGCAACAGATTACCCTTAAAGGTACAACAGTTAAGACCAACTAGGGTCTTTTCTTCAGCAATCATCACAGCCAGAGGACAATGAAACTGAATCTTCAAAACACTAAGGGAACACAGGCAATCTAGAATTCCATGTATAGCTAAATTGTGATTCGGAATTGAGGCAAAATAAAATTTACCTTTCACAGTCTTTTATAAAAGACATCCAAAAGCACACTCTTCAGCAGAAAGAAAATTGCTGGCAGTGTTCCACTGAATGGCAAGTCAACAATTGTTCATCTGTTTTCCTTTGGTTGACTTTTGGGATGTTTCTATTTTGATAAAAGTGATGGTTTTATGTATTTATGTAACTACTAAAGTATGTATTACTTAAGTTATTTTATGTGTAAAGCTGTTATGAACCTTCTGGTTAAGTCTCAGCACACTTACATACTCATTTCTCCTTTGCATACACCTAAGAGTGACAACTGCTGGATTCTAGAGTAGGCATATGCTTAATGTTGAATGTTGATTATAGAGTAGGCATATGTTTAATGTGGAAATTGTCAAAAAGCTTTTCCATTCATACTGAATACTTTTCAGAAACTGGAAATCCCTAAATTTAGGACTGAGAAGGAAATTCCACAAACCTATCCTATGCATAATGCTCCATGGTACGAAATGAGAAATATTTTCTTTAAAGTAAGAAAAAAGACAAAAAAGTCCATTATCACCATTTGTATTCAATATTGTCTCAGAGGGCATCACAAAAAATATAAATAAAAGATATAACAACTACAAGTGATTTAAAATATATGATTTGCAGATTATATGGCTGTTTTGATAGAAAATTCAAACGACTCTAAAAACCATTTCTAGAAAGGAGAACTTAGCAATGTGGCTGGATAGAAGATTAATATATAATATATAAAAATTGCATACCCATATTCCCAACAACTCACAAGAAATGCAATGTAAAATAATCTCATTTGTGGTAAGAACTAAGAGGTACATAGGAATAAGTCTATGTGTGAATCTTTTTGGACAAAATTACAAAATACTGGAGTAGGACATAAAAGAAGACCTAAATAAATGAAAAGATCTGGTACATTCATAGGGGAAACTTGATATGGTAAAGATTTGGTTTCTTCTCAAGTTAATTCTGTAAGTTCAATGCAGTTCTAATAGAAATCCCAACAGGGTTTTTCAGGGATCTCGACAAGTTGAATAAAAGGGCAAAAGTAGCCAAGAGAACTCTGAGGAAGAATAAGAAGGGTCAAGTCCCTGCCAGATATTGTCCTATAACTAAAAAAAAATAAATAAAACTATATAGCTTAGCCGAGGGATAGACAACTTGACCAGTGGAATGGAACAGAATGCTCAGAAGTAGGCTCAGGCATAAATGGGGACTTGGTACATGACAAAGATGCTATTAAAATTCATTAGATACCTTGCAAAAAAACATTTAACTCAAGTCTAATTAAGCCTCTAGACTTAAGTTCAAGGAAATATGATGCAAAATCAATGCGGTATATCATTAGGGAATAGATAAAACTGAATATGATACATTCTACAAGAGAACTGGCCTTCCAAAACAAAATAAAAAGCAAAACAGCTAATGAAAACATTCTGGGGACACCTGGGGAAATATGCATGTGGTCTACATAGTCATGATATTTAGCAAATATTATTAATTTTTTAGGTGTGATTATGGTATTGTGGTTATATAGGAGAATGTCCTTACTTTTAGAATGCATAATGAAATATTTAGGGGTGAAAGTCATGATATCTGCAACTTATTTGCAAATGGCTCAGCAAAAACTACATACTCACCTATATACACATACTGGTATATGGCAAAATGTTAAAAGTTACTAAATCTAGATGGTTGACATGCAGAACAGCATGGTATTATTTTTAGTCTTTTCTGTATATAAATTTTTTAAATAAAAAAATTGGAAAAATCAGAGGGGAAAACATTATATATTCAATAAGGATGCTGAGAAAATGGAACGTCCTTATATAAATTAATTTCCTAATTCACATTTTGGAAGAAAATAAGAAAAAAGTATACAGTATCTTTAGAAGAAAAAAATCCCTATTTTCTTGGATTAAAGAAGTATTTCTTAAATAAGGCACAGGGCATAGTTCATGAGAGAAATACTGGTAAATTTGATTTCACTAAATTAAAGATATATATAAATATAAGGCACCAAAACAAAGTAAAAAGTCAGGGAGACTAGATAGTATAACTCAGAAAAACTAATACCTCAGAAATATAAGGAACTCATGTCTATCAGTAAAAAGTATGGGTAGAAAAATGTGCACACTATATTAGTAGAAAAATTCACCCTCAGAGAAGAAGCTCAAACATCCCAAAAACATATCCAAAGTTGTATGATCTTGAAAGTAATCAACTAAAATGTGACACTATTGCACATACATGGATTAGCAAAACACAAAGACAAAACAAATACAGTCATGCTTTTAGGGAATGGAAATTCTCATATAATGCTGATGTTTCAGCTACTTTAAAGACAAATTTGACTGTAGCCAATAACACTGAAGAGTTGCATAATAAATCATTTAGAAATTCCATTCCTAGGTGATCTCATTCATCTACACAAAGACGTTCACTGCAGTACGGTTTATAATTGCCAATACAGAAATAATCCAAATGTTAATTAAGATAAAAATGGGTAATCTGGGTACATTCATAAAGTGAGATAGTATGCAGTCAAAACAAATAACCTAGGACTCATATCAATATGGAAAATCTATAAAATGTAATGTCAAACAATAAAGTCGAGTTGACAAAGGATACACACTACCACAGCATTCCTATAAATTTAAAAATAAAAAAAAATAAACCAAACAAACAAATCAACCAACCTAGGTTTTGTGATAAGTATACGGTAGGATGTTTCCAAGATGACTGCGGATGACTCCTGGCATTTACCTGCGTCGTCCCCTCCCACATCATATCAGGGTCATTCTGTGCGACCAACGGAGTGGGGCAGCAGTGAGAACATGCTGCTTCCAAGATTAGGTGATGAAAACCTGGGGTTTCTATCCTGGGTGCCCCGTCATGCTCTCTCGGATCACATGTTCAGGGCTGACCAGAGGACATCAGGCAGTCCTGGAGTGAGGTCCAAATGGTGAGGGAAGCAGGGCTCCTGCCACCACAACAGTGAGCTTGGAACCAGCTCCTACAATGGACTTCAGACAGCTGCAGCCTCATGAGCAATGGTGGGCCAGAGACACCCGGCTAAGTGCCTCATCAACTCCTGGCCCTAAGAAACTCCACAAGATGGCCAGACATGGTGGCTCAAGCCTGTAATCCCAGCACTTTGGAACACCAAGGTGGGAGGATCGCTTGAGCCCAGGGGTTCAAGACCAGCCTGGGCAACGCAGCAAAACCCCATCTCTACACAAAATACCAAAAATTTTCTGGGCATGGTGACACATGCTATAGTCCCAGGTACTTGGGAGGCTGAGGTGGGAGGATTGCTTGAGCCTGGGAGGTGAAGGCTGCACTGAGCCAACATCATGCCACTGCACTCAAGCCTGGTAAGAGAGTGAGACCCTGTCTTTTAAAAACAAAACAAAACAAAGACAGGCTGGGTGTGGTGGCATATGCTTGTAAACCTAGCACTTTGGGAGGCCACGGCGGGGCCGGGGGGTCAATCACTTGAGCCTGGGAGGTGGAGACCAGCCTGGGCAACATGGCAAAACCCCCTCTAGAGAAAATACAAAAAATTATCTAGGGCAGTGGTGCACACCTGTAGTCCCAGCTACTCAGGAGGTTGAGGTCAGAGGATCACCTGAACCAGGGAGGTTGGGCTAAAGTGAGCCCTGATCATGCCACTGCACTCTACTCTAGCCTGAGTGACAGAGCAAGACCCTGTCTAAAAATAAAAAATAAAATAAAAAAAGAAAAAAAAGAAAACAAAAGAAAGAAAGAAACTGCAGAAGGTGATAGAGAGTTGTGACATTTGGGGGTAAGTTGTTACATAGCAATAGATAATTAATAGAAGGTGCACATGCCCATCTAGTAAAATTATAAATGTATAGTAATTCAGATAAGAATATACACTAATCTCAGGATAATGAGTAGTGCTGGGGGAGGGGGTGGGGTGAAACTTTAGCTATACTTGGTTTTTTATTTCTAAGACAAATTTTTAAAGAAAATATGACAAAATATTAAATCTAGATAGTCCATAAATGCACACATAGTATATGATTTTCTGTAACTTAAGGTTTTTTTGTTACTTAAACATTTTATAATGAAAAATAAATACTTAAAAAAAAAAAAGAAAGGCAGCATAGCTATTCCATTTATTAGGGTTCTATCGAGCACTGTCTGGGCCGTTAATTGCAGCCCTGAGGAAAGTAATTACTTTAATGGCGAAACAATCCACATGGAAGAGGGGACATATATCAGTGTATTTTCCCATGGCTGGTAAAATCTAACATTTAAATACCAAAAGCTCAAGTACATTTTTAAAAAAGGAACAAAAGCTGTATATAAGAGCATCTAGCAAATAACTCACAGTGAAATTCAGGGAAAAAAAAGTTGCCCTGCCTAGAGACGCCTAATATTACACCATTTCCAACAGTAATTCACTGAGAAAACAAATGGTTATTAGATTCTGCAGTATTAAGTGGACCCTCTAACAGCTGTTGCCATAGTAGCCTCTACTTTAATGATATTTAATGAGAGAACAGAAATTGTGGACAAAATTGCCTAAGTTCTTAGATTCTCTTGGTTAAAAAGAAGTAAAACAGTCACAGTTAGGAAATTCAGTGATATTTCAGTCCCACCTGCTGCCACAGAGAAAGGTCTCACTCAATGATAACTGAACAGGCTAAAAGAGTTATTGCACATACATAAGGTAAACATTTACACATAGCAAAGATAAAAAACATGACAATGGGAAGGGTTCCAAGTCTGCTCACAAATGCAAAGCGAAATACGTCGGCACAGATATTTATGAAGACATGTCATGATGTGTCATATACATACACTGGGTTGGATGATTTTATTTATACAGAATATGAATTGGCCTAATAGTCCACTGCAATCTTTCCTTTTAATATTTCTGTTCTCTAAATTGTTACTTTACTTTTCTGAAAGGCCACTCTGCTAAAGTCAGCTAATGAAGCATCCTTTATCTGCTTTATTTACCAGGAGTCCTGTTTTAAGACCATGTTTTAGGTATTAAAAAATAGTAACTGAAATCTCTCCCTCCTGGAATAATTCAGCTGTGATCACTTGGCATTTTGCCTGTGTACCTCATCCTGGCAGCTCTTCACCTGGGTTGAGATCAGAGTGAAGGTCTGAGTTGAGGCTTCCAGGATGGCCCAGCAATCTCACCTGTCCTCCAACAGCGTCTCATATCCATCAAATTCCTACAAAACCCCCTTTCCTTCAACCACATGGTGATCTTGTATTTCCCTATCGATTCCCAAATTTTGTTCTATTCTACCTCATTGTCATCGATTCTTTTTTGACCTCACACTTAATTTTTCTCTCCTTTCACATATCACCAGCACAACTTTGGAATTCCATTCTGCTCCTGACTTCAAACCCAATGTACCATTTTTTTTTCAGTCTCTTGACATCTTGTTTTGAAAGGCTGCCGTTCTCCTGACCACTTTTCTGATTCAGGCTCTTCCTCCACTTGTCTCCGGCAATTCAATCTCATGCCCACTTCTGTGATTTGCCTCTGCCTTGCAGGCTTGGACTCTCAGTCAGAAATACCTAATCCTCCCATTAAGCCGTGTGTGGTGTGAGCACTCCGTTTCAAGCAAACCGTGAAGTCTGAAGACATTTTCAAGCTTATGGGGTTTATCTATCCTCTTGACTTTCTCATGCTATCCTGGTTTCTCTGAAGACCTGCCAACCCTCCAGCTAGACTGCAGAGTCATGCTGCGGGCTGCCCTCACACATCTTTCAAAGGAATCCCACGAGAAACAGGGGCTCCTTGGTCTCATTATATTAGGATTTCAAGAAATCGCAACGATAGGTGTTCATTTCCTATTTCAAAATGAGGACAGCTTTATGGACAAATAAATGTACACGGCTTATGTGTGAAATTTCTTCCTTACTCATTTTGCTTAAACTGTCGAAAAATTGCAATTCAACTCCAAGGTTTCACGGCATATTTTTACTCCTAGTGACTATCAGGACTCACACTCAGTAAGCATTTCCCATGTGCCAAGCACTGAAGTTTCACATGGATGATGTCATTTAATTCTCTCAGCAACCCCATGACCCATTTTATTGAGAAGATTTTGATCACTGGTGATAGGAATGAGTGAAACAATTCAATGGTAATTGAGTTGCCATCAAGAATTGCTTCCAAGTCAGCACATTTACATAAAGGACTCTTGTCGGGGATCCCTGTTCGATGCCAGAATCGCTCACCTGCACAGGGGCTCGCTGCGAAGCCCACCCTCTTCTGGGCTCTGTCGAAGATGACGTAGAAGCCCTCCATCACCGTGGCACCGATCACCAGCGCATTTGTGGATGGGGAAATGCCGAATCGGTAACATTCATAATTCAGGCCGGCCCCCATCATGGGCTGAATGTAAAGCTGTTTGTCGGAGAGGAGAGAGCAAACAAACAAGAAAAAGCACAAATCAGGCAGTATCACAAAATTGCTGAGGTCACACGCATGCTCAGGACCCTCCCAGGCGCTGGGGGGAGTCACGGGAGAAGAAAGATGATCTCACCCTGCCATCCAGGAGGAGAGAAGATCAAAAGCATGGTGATCAATATTATTGATCAGTGACAGCACAGGTGACCCACATGCACCACCTGGAGTTACACACAGGTGCACACACCCAGAAGACGTCTGTCCAACTGTTTGCTGATGAAAAGAGTCAAACTCTGTAAAATATTTTGAAGAGATTTATTCTGAGCCAAGTATGAGTGACCATGGCCCATGAGACAGCCTCAGGAGGTCCGGAGAACATGTGCCCAAGGTGGTTAGGGCACAGCCTGGTTTTATACAATTTTGAGAGACATGAGACATCAATCAAATACTTTTAAGATGTCCATTGGTTTGGTTCAGAAAGGCAGGACAAGTCAAAGTGGGGCTTCCAGGCTAGAGGTAAATTAAAAATTTTCTGGTTGATAATTGGTTAAGTTTATCTAACCTGGGATCAATGGAAAGGAAATGTTTGGATTAAGAGACCAAAGTTTTATTGTGCAGAGGAAGCTTTTAGTTAGCAGGCTGTGAAGAAAAGAGGTTGTGAAATGTGTCTTACAGAATTTAAAAGGGTGCCTTCATATATACCATGGAATACTATGCAGCCATAAAAAAGGATGAGTTTATGTCCTTTGCAGGGACATGGATAAAGCTGAAAACCATCATTCTCAGCAAACTATCACAAGAACAGAAAACCAAACACCACATGTTCTCACTCATAAGTGGGAGTTGAACAATAAGAACACATGGACATACGGAGAGGAACATCACACACCAGGACCTGTCAGGGGGTAGAGGGCTAGGGGAGGGATAACATTAGGAGAAATACCTAATGCAGGTGACGGGTTGATGGGCGCAACAAATCACCATGCCACCTGTATAACTATGTAACAAACCTGCACATTCTGCACATGTACCCCAGAACTTAAAGTATATATGTATTAAACAAAAAAAAACAAAACAAACAAACAAAAAAAAAAGGTTGCCTGACTCTTAGTCGATTATCTTCTAGATCTGGAAAGAATAAAAAAAGGGAAAAGGGGATTCTCTATACAATGTAGATTTTTCTCACAAGAGACAACTCTGCAGGGCAATTTCAAAATATGAAAAGGAAATATATTTGGGGTTAAAATATTTTGATTTCTTTCCTTATTTGTTATGTGATGTTATGCCAGAGCTAGGCTGGAAAGCAGGCCATGTTATACAAGGTTAAATAAAACCCTTCTGGTGAAACTTTATGGTGTGTAGAGCGGACTCCCCAGGCCCCTTAGGTAGGAATTTTGGGCAAGAGAATTAAAAAAAAAGTCAGAGTTTAGTCCTCATGTCCATCTGGCTATCTGCCCAGCAGTTATCTGCTGAGGACTTCACATGGCTCAGGTGCTGCTCTCTGCACCAGCACTACAACGGTGAATGACACACAGTCCCTGCTCCCTCGAGGCTTCCAATCTAGGGGGAACCAGGCAGTAACCATAGGGCGGGAAGTGCCCCCACAGACACCCTCTATGGGTACTGCTGACCACTAATCACTTCGTCCGTGTGGACGCTTTCTTCACTTGGACTCTAAGAGGGCTGCATTCTTCTCCCTAACTCCCTGGCTGCTCCTTCTCAGGCACTGTATTGGATTTCCTTCATCTTCCTCCCCTGCAAGCATCGGAGCACTCTCAGGCTCTGGCCTCCTCTCAATCTTCCCTCCTTGGGTGACCCATCTGGCCCCACCCCATGGCCCTAGGTCACCCCGTGATCTAGCCTGAGACTCCCAACTCCTCCTCTCCAGCCCAGACCTGGGCCACCATTGCCACATGCTTGTGTCCGCCTGCCTGCCCACCTCTCAATCGGCATTTCCCGTGTAACCTGTAAAACCTGAATGCTGGCTGTTCCCCCCAAATCAGACCTCTCCCACAGTTCTCTGTCTCAGTAAATTCATGATTCACCCAGTTACTCAGGCCCTATAGTGCTGGGCCAGTCCTTTTCTCTCTTAGCCTGCATGGAGACTGTAACCAGACCCTTGTGAGCCTTCCTGTGAAACCGAAGCGGAATCAAATCACTCCCTCGCCCAACTCAGGCCAAGTCCTCACTGTCCTCGTCTCTTGGGATCCACTGCAATGGCTCCTAGCTGGCCCAGAGCTCATCATGCGCCCCTCGGGCAGACAGAGTTTTAAAAGTAGGCAGCCTGACGGAGGCAGGACAATTTCCTCAGTGAAAAGAGGAAGAAGTAATCAACATCAGAGAGAAGACAGCATCTGTGGGTCAGCAGTTCTGCTATTCAGGAGGGCCAGTTCCCACAGGTGCTGTGCAGTGTTAAATGAAGATGAGTCGGCCATTGATATCCCTGGAGCCAAGAGTATGTGGGGAAATGGGTCAAACCTGAACACAATCAGTGAGCAAATCAATATCCTACCAGCAGTAACAATTTCTTGGCTTTTGGATAGCAAATAATTCAAATGCAGGCAATTAGAGAGTACAGCAGCTGAGTATGACAAAATGCCCCTGTTTGGAGAAAAGCAAGAGTGCAAAATGAGTAAGAAAACGAACCTTCCTGTGAGTAATGATTAGCCTTAAAGGGCAGAGACAGGAAGAAAGACTTGGATGAAACAGGCAGACACACGAATACACAGAGTCCTGGGCCTTCTGGCTGTAGGGGGTTTGAGGGACTGTGAGGGGTGATTTTGGAGGGAGCAGAAAAGACTGAGAGGAGACCAGCAGGGAGGGGCTGCCATGTGACCACACTGAAGAGCAGGTCAAGTAGGGATAAAGTAGAAGCTGTGAAGAAACCTTAGAGCTCCCCTGTGGGCTGCCAGCTGCTGTTTTTTAACAGGCCACATAGGATTCAGCCCATGGGCTTTTGGAAAATAGTGTTGGGTATAGACAAAGTTTAAAGTAATTGCTTTCGAATTGACTCTTTTCTGCAGGAGCAATCGTTTGCCCACTTATTAGGGCTCATGTTTGAGAGGTCCCAGGTAGGGCCCCATCCTAAAACTCTGAGGACAAGAACCCTGGCGGTTTCCCCTGGTGTTAGAAAGGCTGCTGGGCAGAGCCTTTCTGCTGGGAAACATGGAGCGTGTGGGGTCTCACCAGGTGATCTTTCCCAGCTTCCTACTGGAGTCCCCTCCCAGAAAGGGAATGGAAAGCAAGTGGAATGTGATGCTGAGTAAGAAATCAGGAAAACAGCAGGCAAAGTGGATTTTTAAAAATAAAAAATCTGAACATGTCAAAGACAACCAAAAAATATCTACCATTATAAGTGAAAGCAATAATGAATTCTTATGCAGAGATGTGCAAATGAGATGAAATGCTCCCAAACCCCTCTCATTCTGCTCCTGAGCTTGCCCAGTGCTGGGTCCTAAAAGCTATTGAGGAAGCCAAGCAAGCCTTCCCGGCTGTGACCCACCTGGACTGAGGTTTCCCCCTAATGCCTGCCTTCTCCTCCTGCTTCTTACGAGTCCTTGGTGCCTGACATTTATTCAGCAGTGCACACCTGGGTCCTCAAGCTGGGTTTTGACATTATTACACACCACACTGATGAAATAATGTCCACATTTTGCCGCTCTACTAGCCAAAATGTAATCATCAAGAGCACGTGATTTTTTTTTTTTTTTTTTGAGATGGAGTCTCACACTGTCGTCCAGGCTGGAGTGCAGTGCCACGATCTCAGCTCACTGCAACCTCTGCCTCCCAGGTTCAAGCGACTCTCCTGCCTTAGCCTCCCAGGTAGCTGGGATTACAGGTGCCCGCCACCAAGCCCAGCTAATATTTTTATATTTTTAGTAGAGACTGGGTTTCACTGTGTTGTCCAGGCTGGTCTCGAACTCCTGACCTCGTGATTCACCCTCCTCAGCCTCCCAAAGTGCTGGGATTACAGGCATGAGCCACTGCGCCCGGCCAAGAGCACATGATTTTAAAGATGATTTAAAGATGCTGAAAACATAGCATTGTAATATCATTCAGTGCAGTGCCATTCATCCAAGGATACTGCATTCTTCTGAAAATGTCTTTGGTAGGTATTATTGTTTCTCCTTTATAGTTAAAGAGACACAGGCAGGGCTAAATGCTTTGCTCAAAGTTACGGTGTGAGGGAAGGGCAGTGCTGAGCGTGTTACTCAAGCCTCTCCTGAGAGCGTGGTATCTCCTGTCGGCCTGAATTTCTCCTGGAGCTTTCAATCCTTTCCCCAAGATCTCTCCTTTTCTGGAAAGCACATCCCCACAACGTAAAGATGAAAATGGGAAAAGGCAGTAGTACCATTTACTTTTTTTCTCCTGAAATTACGCCTCCTTCCTTGTCCCTGCAGTCCAATTCCCTTTATCTCAAATTCATCAATTGCAACAAAGACATATTGATGTGTCCATTCCACAAACAGTTCTGATGTACTTTCCCTCCACGGCCTGGTGGCGTTGGGGAAGGAAGGACAATCTTTTACCCCCACAGCTCTCACCTTCAAGGAATTTATAATTAATTGAAAACGAAATAGAAGTTAAGAAAACAGAAGTCAAATGAAAAAGGCAACAGCATAAAACGTACCCTAAAGATAAGATTCCATGCCAGATGAGCAGACCAGAAAATATGCGTGCTGAGTGGGAGGTGCAACCTCACAAATGGGTTATTCTGCTCGGCATGGTTTCAACAAAAGCTGGGTTGTTTGAGTTGAGTCTTAAAGGATGGGAAGAATCTGGATATATGGGCGGAGTAAGGAAGGGAGGGCATTTCAGGCAGGGGGGTTGGTGGAACAAAGGTTAGGAGACAGTTGCAGGCAAGAGGCCTTGAGGGTCAGTGGCCACCCAGCAGAGGGTTGGGGTTCAGTGAAAACACTGAGGAACTAGGAGGGGTCTGGTGGGAGGCCATGGACAGCGATGCCAGGAGCGAGCCCTGAGCATTTAAATCATGGGGACGCACTGCTTACTCATAGCAGGGGAGGCTCGGGTGAAAGTGGTGGTTTAGGAAGACTGATCTGACAACAGTTTCAAAAAGAAGAGAGGGTGGGGGCTCAGGAGCACAGCAGCACTCTGCAGGTTACAGAAGTGCTGGTGAGAGCCACACGCGCAAGGGCTCAGTAACGGAGGGGAGGAGGAAGAGGTGAGAAATGGGACTGAGGAAGACAGACGTGGTCCATTTCATTAGACGTGTAGGATAAAGAGGGAGTCAGTGGGTACTGGGAGTATAGGAAAAAAATGATGTCTTCACCTTGGGCAATCTAGTTTTTCTTTTTCTTTCTTTTTCTTTTCTTTTTTGTTTTTTGTTTTTTTTCTGAGACAGAGTCTCACTCTGTCGCCAGGCTGCAGTGCAGTGGTGTGATCTCGGCTCACTGCAACCTCCGCCTCCCAGGTTCAAGCAATTCTCCTGCCTCAGCCTCCGGGGTAGCTGGGATTACAGGCATGCACCATCACGCCCGGCTAATTTTTGTATTTTTAGCAGAGACGGGGTTTTGCCATGTTGGCCAGGCTGGTCTCAAACTCCTGACCTCAGGTGATTTGCCTGCCTTGGCCTCCCAAAGTGCTGGGATTACAGGCGTGAGCCACCGCACCCAGCCCACTTTTATTCTTTATACGTAAACAGGAAAAATGTATAAGGGTGATGTGGTAGGTGTGACAAAAATGTCTCCAGGTCTTCCCTTTTCCTTGTAGCCACACCCTTGGCAATGCGGCTCCATGGCTCCTCCCAGTGCGAGGGGCATCTTTTCCCTCATCCTCGGAATCTGGGCTAGCCTTGGGCTTGTTTGGGCAGCATCATGGAAGAGATAGTGGCTAGTTCTGGGCTGACACTTCAGGAGCCCCTGTGTGGTTCTTTTCTCTCTCCCAGGTCCCTGTTACCACATGTGACTCAGACACTGAATGGAGAGAAACGCATGGCTCTGTTCCTCCATCCACCTCGCCACCAGATATGTGAGTGAGACCATCCTACACCAGCCTGGGTGGAGGCCAACCGGGACCCAGCCAACCACCAGCTGAGTAGAGACACGTGAGTGAGCCCGGCCAAGGGACACCGCCCTGCCTGGACTCAGGAGCAGTAATATGTGTGGCTGTCTTTTGCAGCATTATTGTGGTGATAGAGATCTAATGCAGGTGTGACATCTAATACACGTGTCATGCATGGAGTGCTTTCTCTTTTGCATGATAAAAAGAGCAAAGCACAAATCCAAGTTCATACCTGAGGCAGGATTGTGATACGGAATGACCTGCTGGAGTTCTCGTCTCTCAGGTAGATGGAGATTTTAGGGAAGTAAGACCAAGGTGTTTCCGAATTCGTCCAGCACGCCAGCTGGGACCCAGTCCAGAAACCATCAGAGAATTCTGGAATCTAGACAAAACAAGATCACATCAGAAACCATGACTAGTCTGGCACGTCAACAGGAAACAGCTCCAGGCTTTCCTAGCCACCTCGCCAGATGCCCACAGGGATAAACAATGTTTAATTTGGACAGAACAGCAGGGACATTAGTCCCCTGGAAGAGTGACGGTGATGACAAAATAATAATGATTAAAATTGTCAAGACACATGAAGTACCTACTAGTACTAGTATTAGACACCCTTATAAGCCCTTTGCAGCAATAATTACTTCAATTCTCAACCAGTGTGATAGCATTATCCTCACCACTTTACAGATGAGGCAACCAAAGCACTAGAGGTGAAGTAACTTGCCCAAGGTCACACAGCAGAGGGCAGAGGCCCTTTAGAAGACAGAAATCCTAATTGTGGCCCCCAAGGACTTTCTGCTTATCACTTGCCCTCTGAATTCCATAAGCCCAGCAAGTTGCCTCCTGGTGCAGAGCCTAGGGTGGGCTCTCTGCTCTTTTGGGACATTTTTCTCCTCCTCCAGATCCCAGGTCAGATGCCACTTCATCCAGGAAGCCCTCCCTGGCTTCTTCTTGTAACACTAGAACACCACCATGCCCCACTCCTTCCTGGCCTTTCTCCTTGTGGCAGTTAACAATTTACACTGATTGGTGTGATACACTTCAGTCTCCTGCACTAGAATCCAAGTCTTCTCAGGACAGAGATCTGTGGCCTGGCCCCCGCTGCAGCCCTAATACCTTGCACACAGAAGAGACCTGGGAAATATTTGTGGAAAAAAATAAATGGCATCCAGGGACAAAAGGTGGCCGGCAACACAGGACATCCACCAGTACCTCTCACCAGGGAACCGGAAGGAAGGTAGCATCTGCCCATATTCACTAGTTGCTGAGATGGCAAGTTAACGACACCTGTGTGACCTCACAGGCAGGCCCCGAGCAGTCCACCCTGGGTCTGCCGGCTGCTGAGGAAGGACTGTATCTGATGTGTCTATTGTAGCACATCCAGGGCAGGGTCCCGCGTGGGGCAGAGCAGGAAAAAGCCATGGCTGGGAGGAGGGGGTGTCTGTCCAGGGAGCTTCCCCAAGGAAGAAAGGCGGGAGCTGGGCTGGAGGGCCAAGCAGGCGCTGGGGAGGTGTGTGGTCGGGGGTGCTGCAGAAGATGCTGCGGTGGAATCTGCCGGCTGGACATGGCAGGTGCTGAAGACAGACAAGAATGGGAGATGAGGTGGGGAGGGAACGAGGGGTGCCACTGTGAAGGAATGCCATGACCACATTTCATCTGCAGAGGGCTGAGCTCTGCAGCACATCGATGTGGTTCACGTGTCCAAGTGTACATGTGGGGCTCACTAATCCTGAGTCCCCTGAAGCCAAGTGTACATGTGGGGCTCACTAGTTCTGAGTCCCCTGAGGCCAAGTGTACATGTGGGGCTCACTAGTCCTGAGTCCCCTGAGGCCAAGTGTACATGTGGGGCTCACTAATCCTGAGTCCCCTGAGGCCAAGTGTACATGTGGGGGCTCACTAATCCTGAGTCCCCTGAGGCCAAGTGTACATGTGGGGCTCACTAGTCCTGAGTCCACTGAGGCCAAGTGTACATGTGGGGCTCACTAATCCTGAGTCCCCTGAGGCCAAGTGTACATGCCCACTAGTCCTGAGTCCCCTGAGTTCCAGGGGATGGGCCTGGGCTAGACACACACTCCAGAGGCACTGACAGGTGAGCAGGAGGTATCGATGAGGCTAAGGATGGGATCACGTAGGAGGGTGTGCAGCAAGAACAGGTGGCTCAGGCCAGAAGAAGAGGCTCCACGAGGAGGGGCACAGGGACAGGGAGAGTCCAAGGAGGAGGGAGAAGAGTCTTATAGAAACCAAAAGGATAGTTAGAACAGAAGACAGGAAAATGGGACAGAACGCTGCCAAGACCACAACTGAAAAAACATGCGGGTGCCCCTGTATGCATCTGCCGATGTCCACGCACTGAATATCAGGGGTGGTACGTGCCACGTAACCACGCGCACTGCAGACACCTGCCCTCCTCACCAGGGCGTGCAGCTGGGGAGAAAGCACCCTGTGGTTGGTTCATCCATCCCATGTTCTCCACTCAGACCATTTGTGATTGATTTGTGAAATTTCTAATGCTGGCATTAATGCATCTTTGCTTTGTGAAAAAGCGAAGTCTACTGAAGATGTGCATCACAGGGAGAGCCCCTTCTCAGACATGCTCAGAAGAGGTGGGATGGTCATTTTGCTGGATTCGGGGAAGAGTTTCGGTGGCCAGGTCTGCAGCGGGACACGGGGTACAGAGCTCAGATGATAGTGCCATGACCAGCTCCAACGGCAGGTGGACAAGGAGGTTCCAAGGGGCCAAGTGACTGGCCTGGGGAGCTCACCTCAGATTCGGATGTGGGACTTACTGTCCCCAGAGCCATGGTCCTTAACCAAAAGTCTGGCAGCCTCCCTGGGGGTGAAGCCACGTGTCCTTGGGAGCCAGTTTCGACCCTCAGATCACAGAGTGTTAAAGTTAGAAGCCATTTTCAAGCGGGTATTATTTTGCGTCTGGATTTCCTCCGTAGAGAGGCGCTGGGCCTGAGCCAAGCGGGCACTGCGGCAGGGTCGGAACGAGCCCAGGTCTCGGTGCCTCTGCATGGGCTGCACCTTGTACAACACTCCCCGCTCCAGGTTCATTTCTAAATACAGAACTCCAAACCCTTAATTTCTAGAATCCCATCTGAACAATCCATGCCAGGGGACAGAGCTCCACGTTTTTATTGTCTTTCACTCTCTGAAGCCAGCCCTCCCCTTAACCAGAAGGAAACCCACGCCAAGAGGTTTGGCTTACTGGAACTGGTAGATAAGAAAAACAAACACAGCTTTGGTCCAGAGACGGTAAGCCAGACACACAACGCGCCCTTGTGATGCTTTCCCTGCCCAAGACAAACAACCTTCCCATGTTTCTCCCTCCTGACGCAGGCACCGAATGAAATCAGAGGATAATTTTAGACAACGCAAACAAATGTTGTGATCTCATTCCCTCTACCTCGTGGTTTTCGGCTCAGCGCATGCCACGATGAGCTCGGGAGTGCGAGCGCCCCACGGCCCCGCCGCCCCGCCTCTCACGGCACAGGGGTCTGGCCGGTCCACGACGTGCTGGATTTTCACACTGCGCTTCAAACACGTCCTCGGGATGGTGGACAGACTTTTCCATTCAGGATATGAAGTTGGAAGATACTCCCGTTAATTCTGCTGAGGGCATTTTTACTATTTAAGAAATGAGGGTATCGCTCCTTATTTTAAGTAGGGTCTGATTTTGAGCAAGCGTTCTAAATTTAAGGCACTAAAAATGTTGCCTGCCACTTTCTCTGATTCAGCAGATAGTGGGAAGGATGGAGACTCTGCCGTGGCTTCAGCTGCAGCTGCGCCAGTGGCTGGCCGCCTTGAGACCTGCTGCTTCGAAAAGAGCCCGCGTCCTTTCCTGCCTATTCCCCCTCTGTGTCCGTTTCATCCACGTGCCGCTCTTCCCGCAGCAGTTACAGGTGTTTGAAGTTCAGGACAACCCAAAGCCCTCTCCCGCTTGTCACGTTTCTGCTATGAGCTGTTAACAAGGCACCCACCATACGTGCTCCTATCGGCCACTCTTTGAATTCAGCCATCACAGCAGAGTAGCGGGACAATCAGCCCCACGCCAGGGCCGCAGTACAGGCTTTGTGCAGGAAACACTTTCTGACGATCTCACAAGGAAGGCCCAGATGCTATGAGAACACTCAGGCAGCCAAAAGTCATGTTCCTCTCGCATCTGAACAAATAGCAGCAACGCCGTGGTTGCATGTTTCATGGAAGCTCCAAGCATCTACTAAACACCAAGCATTTGACCCAAAACTCACAACCACCCCTCAGTTGAGAAGACGGAGGCTCTCAGAGGGCACAAAACCCCTCGCCAGGCATCCAGCTAAAAGTGGCAAAAACTACACTAAATTTAATTCTATTTCATCCCCAAAGCTGTCCTGTATCCAATGTTTATTGCCCTGAACTGACTGGAAAGTTGGGGTCACACCAGAAATACCATCAGCCAGGTCCCGAAAAGGCATATTGTCCACAATCATAATTTTAATTGTATTTCAGAGCATGGCCATAAAATAATTATTAGATTGGCTGATTGTTCTTTGTCTTCTGTGAAAAAATGGTATTCTTTTATACAAACAGAAGTTAAGATACCAGTGCAGGGATGAAAGCCAAAAAGGAGTAAAATTTTTGGTTTGTTTTGTTTCAAAGGCTATAAATTTATTCTCGATTTATTGTTTACTCTAACATAGCTATATTAGCAAGTATTGTTTTTTGCAGATTAAAAAAATACTATACCAACTGAACTATTATTTGAAATACTAGAGGGCATTGCACATTCAGATCCAAGTCCTCTGAGGTTCATGAAGGTACTATTTGCTAACATCAAAGAAAGGGACTGTGAAATTAACAAGTAATAGTTGAAACAAAACCCTTCAAAATATAAAGATTTTAAATACATATAAAATATATTTACATATTACACCTATACTATTACATATAAAATATACAAATACACAATATGAAAATTGGAAATACATGGCGCAATAGTTCAGAGATGCTCAGAACACGCAGTGCTGCTCCTCAGCAGGTGACTGTAACTCAGCAACTCGGGGACCCGTGAGTGTCCCGAGGACTCACCAGAGATGCGCGGGCCACAGCTTCCACCACCGCATCAAACACCTTCTGGGGCAGGCGCAGCAGCGTGGTGCCACTGTCCACGATGGCCTTGTCTGCGTTATACTTGAACCGGGAGAGAAAGGGAAAGGTGCGTGAGTGACAGTGGCGCTCCCCGCCCCACGTGGCTCTAGCCGCCATCACCATCTGTCTGTTACACACAAATCCAGGCAGCCACACCAGTCATCATGGACTGTGTAGTTCATTCATGTTCTCAGAACTGGGGAACCAGGGGTCTTCCAACCCAACACGCTCACTTCAGAGACAAGGAAATGGACCCAGGAAAGGGAGGGGACACGGCCCAAATTAGCAAATCAATAGCCCTCCCAAGGCACAGCTCTTTCCTTACTCAGAGGTGCCCAAGTTCCTTCATTGAGGACCTGCACTCCTGCCCCAGGGCAGAGGGAAGACCTATTTGTCTTTTGAGGCTGAAATATATTAAAAGCCATTTGTACAAACTGTACACAAATCAATTCTCTATGACCTCACTAACGAAGAGAAGGATGGACAATTTTTCAACAGACATCCCATATTTGCACTGGGAACAGAACCAGGGCCACAGTGCATCATAGACTGAGACACACACAGGCGCTGCCAGCCCTGTCCTCACCTGCAATGTTCTTCATGTGGCAGAGGGAGGAGAATGGACACCAGTGGCCAACACCAGATGAGCCACCCCAACCACTACGGGCACAGCTGCATAGGCAAGTCTACCCAGGGATGGAATGAGTCCTGGGTGACCTGATCCTCCTGCCTTAAGGCAAATCCATGAGTCACATGACCAATACACCAATCGGGTCAAAAGGAAATAAGGGAAGAGGGGTTCAGAATTTTAAGAAAATGAAATATACCAATGTATTAGTATTCTTCACAAATATTAAATTATTTTCAGTGTAAAAACAAACTTAATTTAAAATCTAACTTAGCGTGTTCATAAAATTTTCAGTTTTTTAATATGTAAGAAAAGTAAATATGTAAAATATGCAAACTGAAATGTTGCGCTAAGATGTCCTGGGATTTGTTGTTTGTTCTTTTGTGGGGTGGGTGCATATGGGGTGGGCAGGAAAGAACCTAGAATCTAAGAATCACACCTCCAAATACAGGCTTTTCCTCTCTAATACACACACACACACATACACACACACTCACACACACACACACACAGAGGTTTTGTATTTTGTTTTACATTCGGACATTCGATTCTACCACTGGGTTCTTAATTGACAAATAAGTGCCTCTTGACAATAAACACAGATTTGCAATAGAAGCGACCATCATTTTTATAATCTTTAGTTTCTCAGAGGTGTCAGGCCTCTGAGCCCAAGCTATGCCATTGCCATCTTATCCCCTGTGACTGTGACCTGCACCTATACGTCCAGATGGCCTGAAGCAAGTGAAGAATCACAAAAGAAGTGAAAATGGCCGGTTCCTGCCTTAACTGATGACATTCCACCACAAAAGAAGTGAAAATGGCCAGTCCCTGCCTTAACTGATGACATTACCTTGTGAAATTCCTTCTGGCTCATCCTGGCTCAAAGGCTCTCCCACTGAGCACCTTGTGACCCCCACCCTGGCCAGCCAGAGAACAACCCCCTTTGATTGTAATTTTCCACTACCTACCCAAATCTTATAAAGTGGACCCACCCCTGTCTCCCTTCACTGACTCTCTTTTCAGACTCAGCCCACCTGCACCCAGGTGAAATAAAAACCTTGTTGCTCAAACAAAGCCTGTTTTGTGGTCTCCTTACATGGACGCGCGTGACAAGAGGTACCTGCATATATGAGAATTGATGTTGGGATGTGATGGGTAATACGAACAGAAGTGCTAACAGGTTAGAATATAATGACATCCCCATGGTTTTTATAAAGCATTCTAAAAGTGCTATAGAAGACTGAGGCTCTCACAAGTCATCATAATCATAATGTCATAATGTGTCACGAACAAGCCAGAACTCAGTGAGAAGGCATGAACATGGTCCTGAGGTTTGGTGTCAGAGCTCTGTATGTGGCCACTTTAGCACTACCAAGCCACACACATCTATACAGCATGACCGTTTTTTAGGGAGAATTGGGTACTCTGGGGGCCAGGCTAGCTGTGAATGGAGGATAAAAGCTGATGATCTTTTCGGTTTCATTTTGCTTAATTTTCGTCCTTCTCTGTCCTACACTGATTAAAAATCTGTTTATTTCAACCTCTTAAACTGAGCTTAGGGACCATCAATCCAAGATGAATGAATGGTGAAAGGTGTAGCTCAGATAGTCCTCTTCACTCACCATTTAATGGTAATTTTGCCCTATGAAGATAAGTGGTTGGGAGGATGCAATATTTGGGGTGGGGAGGGAGGACAATTAATTGATTTCAACTTACTGTACAGCAAGGCCCTGCATCTTTTCATGTAATGAGCCTTTATCTTACGAGGTAATGTACCTTCTATTGGCATCTACGGGTTCCAGCTGGCATATTTAAGGGACCCAGACATACACAGAAAGACACAACAGAGACCATAGCATAAATACCTCTCTGCAGTCCAGATTAAGGCTTTGGCCTCCAATTTCCAATTTCAGAATTTCTATCTGGTAGTACCACTCTTCCTTAATAGGGGTATACCAGATGTCTCCTTTATACAAACTTGGTTCAATTCCACCCAAGACCTGGGACAGGAAATATTTACAGGTATAAGAGAAAAAATACACAGACATATCAACAGGTTACACAGAGAAGCATGCACTTGTAAAGAGAAACTTCACTGCAATCAGGGCTTCTACTTCGTGACAATGTCATGAAACAAATATCAATGCTTAAAAAATAAACAAGGAGCCAGGCGCGGTGGCTCACGCTTGTAATCCCAGCACTTTGGGAGGCTGAGGTGGGCGGATCATGAAGTCAGGAGTTCGAGAACGGCCTGGCTAGCATGGTGAAACCCCATCTCTACTAAAAATACAAAAATTAGCCGGGCAAGGTGGCGCGCACCTGTAGTCCCAGCTTCTCAGGAGGCTGAGGCAGGAGAATCGCTTGAACAGGGAGGCGGAGGCTGCAGTGAGCTGAGATCGCGTCACTGCACTCCAGCCTGGGCGACAGAGCGAGACTCCATCTAAAAAAAATAATAATAAATGAAATAAAATAAAATAAAATAAAACAAGGAATTTTATGGGTCCACGTCTGCAAAGGTCAGATGGTATTAGGCCCTCATCTAATCAAGATGCTTTGGAGGTTTCTCTTATCCAAAGAAAGTACATACAAGTTTAGCTTTACAATATTGAGATTTTTCCTTCAAAGAAATGCAATAAAACAGTTAACCACACTGACTGACAATTATTTAGTTCCTTGGAGGTCAGAGAACAGAAGATCAAGCACTTCCCTGATCAAAGCTTCATTGTGCAAAATCATAAAACATTTCCTCATAAATCCTATGCTGTCCTCTGCCTGGAAATGGTAGCAAATGAAAGTAGCTGAGGACCGGGGTGCAGATCCTGCCTCTCATAGTCAGACAGCAAAGGGACTGGCAGCACCCCCTTCTAGTGCATTCTTCCTGTCCCCTACTACTTTTGACGTCTGGGTGCCGGCCCCTGGAGGGAAGCTCAGGCTCCAGCACCTCCGTAGTGCTGACGGCCTTGATTCTGTTTCAGCAGCAAACACTTGTGCTGTGGTGCGTGTGTGCCTGTGTGTGTTGAGAGAGAGAGAGAGAGAAAGGATCTACAAGGGCCCCTGTTTCCCTGCCAAATTTATGAACTCTCCTTTGGCCCCCTACCCACAGTCAGGTCCACTCACCACGCCCCCCACCGCTCCTCACTTGTCCCTCCCCCACCCACAGAAAGCAGTGCCCTTCCAAGGGCGGTAAAGAAAAGTTTTAATGGAATTCGGAGAAGCGATGAGAATCATCCTTCCAGATGGCAGGATGACATAAAGGATTGCCTAATTTTAGCCATTTCTAAAAAGATCTACTACAAGGAGGATGAAAGTTTTACAGTACCTACGCACACCTACATGCCTAATATTTCTGCTCAGGTGTTTAATAAAACAGAAAAAAACAGCCCATCCATCTGTGATTTTTCGCCCCTTTAAGACTAAAAGATACCCACAAGACTACCTCCGTTGGTCCCAGATCCAGCAACGGGCAAGCCGGCTCCACACATCTGCATGGAGAAAACGTTGGGGATGTTTGCTTGTGTCACCAGGGAGTCGAAGAAGGTCTCCAGAGAACTTGATGGCTGCGGGAGGGCGACAGAGAGGGGCACCCGCTTAGGACTCACAGTGTAGACATGGGTCACCCAGTGTAGACGCCACGCGCCACAGACATTCCTGGTGTTTATACTCAATTTTTTCATGGTTCAACAGTACACCAGCTTGTGATTGGGTCTAGGAATTCAGAAAGCCCCAGCAGAGCTTCCCACTGGTTGGCATTCTTCCTTTGGGCACGGCTCTGTTGTACAAATAAGATCATATTTCTGGAAGCCATTCGACGCAGTCACATCTATCATCATGACTGCCTTGTGAGGGGGTGTGAGAAGCCGTGGAAGTAGGTTACCGTGGCAGGTGGTGGATCCTAATCTTAGGCATTTGAGAGTAAGGAGAGAAGAGTTTCTCTAGGAGCTGCCATGGCCGCAGACATCTTTGTTTGCCTGTCAGCCGCAGCTGTCCACCATGCAAATGAGAGGTGGCTGACCTGGGAGGACAGTATCCCCCGGACCCCAGAGCCTGGGGTGAGGCTTAGCTCTGCCAGATGAACTCTGGCAGGAAAGAAGCAGGAAAGGCACAAATCTATACTCCAGAAGCATAAAAGGCTTCTTATTCCCCCAAGGCCAGATTTCAGAAGCCCTCGTGTGCTCTGTGTCTCCCTCACATCCAGCAAGACATACAGAGGATGCCCTCATTTCTCCAGAGAGACTCAAAGGGAAGCGGGAAGGTCCGTAAACAGCTGTGAGGTGCCGGTGTGCCAGGGGTGCCGGTGGTCATGTAGGAAGTCAGTGATAGACCTGAGTTTAGATTTTGGCTTTGACAACTGGGAGACACTGGAGTTGGTGACCATGAGTTGTTAGTTTTTGATGAAAATGTAATTAACTATAGTAGCACAGACGCTATAGGCATCCCCTGGGTGCCCATGGTCATTCACAGGAATGATTATTTACTATCCGTGAGAACTAAAACTGTGATTCCAGAGGGAGTGAGAGGGGAACTCCACCATGGAATAGATACAGATCTTCCCATTGGTGTAGTCCATTTGTGTTTGACCTCCTACTTGTTTCATCTCAGCTTCTGCAGAATTCCGAGGCAGAATCTAGCACGATTTCCATATGCAATCTCTGTCAGAACACTTGTGGGCGTTTGGGTCAACCAGTGAGACAAAATCACCTCTTGGGATTATAGGGTGGGCCTGGGGGTGCCCCCAGCTGGTGTTCTACCCACCTTCTTGAGAGGCGGTAAAGCAAAGCAAACACGATGGGAGACAGGCTCTGCCACTTGCCAGCCGAGTGACTTGTTCCTTTGCTTCCTTCCCTGTGAAACAGGGATAAGGGCAGCTGCCTGGAGCCGCTCTGGGGCTTAAATGGGCCAATACCTGTAAAGCACTTGGAGCAGTACCTGGCACACGCACACAGCGAAGGAGCTGCAATCATTCTGTCAAGTCCTTCACTAGGGCTGTGCCTCGGGATCCCTCTAGGGATTAAAAGCATCCAGGTGCCCACAACCAACCCTGAGAGAACCTGATTCAGCAGCAGTGGGGCCCAGGCAGCTATAGTGTTAGAAGCCCAGTAGGTGTTCCTGACACAGCCTTGACAGGAAGCCCCTGGAATGGACCAGGGGCCACCACACAACCTGACCACTGCAGAGCGCTCAGCCCACCTGTCTCAGAGACCCCTGTGGGCAGTCTGCCCAGCTCACCCTGCAGGCCCTGTTCCCAGCCACATTCTGCTTCCTATGAGTCCTACTGCTGTCTCCTCAAACCCTGGAAATGGGAAGCCAATTGTCAGTAATCTTGGAATTTCATAAATGAAAAGATAAAATGTCGCACGGAGAGTCAGGAGGTCTGAGCAAACCCCGAAGGGGTCTGTTCTCACAGAATCTTTACATATTATTAATTCCAGGCAATTTAGGTTTACTCTATCATCTTCGGAACAATTTGCATAAAACCAGTCATATACATCTTTCATTTCCAGTCACATACAGATAAAGCATTTTGAAAATGTATTTAGGAACGGAAGTTTTCATGCGTCTGCAATTATCTATGATACAGAGGACAAAAGGTTCATGAGCCAGCCCTGGCTCTGCAGACAGTGAGAAGCTCCATGCCTGATTTCAAAGGGGCAACAGCTCACTGATCCTCAATCCCCACATCTTGAAAATGGGGGGAATAAGGCCAGGCACGGTGGCTCATGCCACAATCCCAACACTTTGAGAGGCTGATGTGAATGGATCACTTGAGCTCAGGAGTTTGAGACCAGCCTGGCCAACATAGTGAAACCTCATCTCTACCAAAACTACAAAACTTAGCCAGGCGTTGTGGCATGTGCCTGTGGTCCCAGCTACTTGGGAGGCTGAGGTGCGAGAATCACTTGAACCCGGGAGCTAGAGGTTGCAGTGAGCTGAGATTACACTGCTGCACTCCAGCCTGGGAAATAGAGTGAGACTCTCTCTCAAAAAAATAAAAAAGTAAAAAGAAAAAGAAAATGGGGAGAATATGACCTTACAAAGTATGCCTCACAGGGGAGTCCTGAGCACTGAGTGACCCACATCTTATCTTGTATCTTCTCAGCCTAGGGCCTAATAGGCTCTCAGTAATTGTGATTCTGTCTCCTTGGAGGGGCCAAGGGCTGTAAACTTCCTCTTGCCCTCCCCACCCCACCCCCATCTGCTCATAAACTTGAGCTGGAACAAATGTTCTTCCACGATGGGAAGATTATCCTCATGGGACAGTGGGGGCCTATTGCTCCAGCAATCACTTCTGTTCCCTTCCACACATAGCTCTGGTTCCAAGCCTAACGCTGAGCAAGGTGAGGCCAGGGCGTGGTACCCAGGTACAGGGCCAGGAGAGCTGGTCTCCTTCTGCAGTTCTTTTTTTTTTTTTTTTTTTTTTTTTAATTATACTTTAAGTTTTAGGGTACATGTGCACATTGTGCAGGTTAGTTACATATGTATACATGTGCCATGCTGGTGCGCTGCGCCCACTAACTCGTCATCTAGCATTAGGTATATCTCCCAAGGCTATCCCTCCCCCCTCCCCCCACCCCACCACAGTCCCCAGAGTGTGATATTCCCCTTCCTGTGTCCATGTGATCTCATTGTTCAATTCCCACCTATGAGTGAGAATATGCGGTGTTTGGTTTGTTGTTCTTGTGATAGTTTACTGAGAATGATGATTTCCAATTTCATCCATGTCCCTACAAAGGACATGAACTCATCATTTTTTATGGCTGCATAGTATTCCATGGTGTATAGGTGCCACATTTTCTTAATCCAGTCTATCATTGTTGGACATTTGGGTTGGTTCCAAGTCTTTGCTATTGTGAATAATGCCGCAATAAACATACAAACCCATGTGGACTCCAGGAGCCCTGCACACACCCCTAGCGTCTACTCCCGCCTGCCTTTGGCAATGCCTCCAGGTGGAAATTCCCCTGCCTGCCTCCCTCCTCCTGCATACAGACATATTTCCTTTGGGTAGGCCCCAAGTACAAATATTTGGTGAACATCCAATTCTGTCTTTCCCCATGTGGGGAGGCTCTGGTGATGGCAAGAGCAGGGTTCCACAATTCCTCTGGGGCTCACCACCACTGGGAAGGGCTGGCTCTCCCCAGGGCATGCCTTCAGGCTGCCCATATTCCCATGCTGGGTGTCTCCTCGGAGGTGTCCCCTGCAGAGCCAGGAAAACAGGCCACGTCCCAGCCTGGCGGAGGGCACCACCCCCTGCCTGCATTCCAGGGCCGTCTGCAGGCTCCATCTTCACGCAAACGTATGAATTTAATAAATGTGTTTTCTTTTAATCCCACCTTAGTAAAAACTCCTAAACACACACCACAATCTACATGATTCAAATTCTGTTAACATTTTAAACTATAAAACGAAAATAAAACAAAAAGTTAATGCTATTGCCTGTCTTACAGGAAGGTTCCAAGAATCATGCTGTTTACCTTCAATTTAAAAAATGCTTGGAAATATAATTGTGTGAATGCTGGTCTGTTTCCACCACGTGGTTCTCACTGTCTCCAAGAACAGCCCAAGACTCATGTGTCAGCCCTTTAATGACTGATTTTCAGAATCTCATCCTGTTATTTGATTTCCTTAAATCCATGGATTAGCCTTACCTTGGCAAGTGTGGCATAAGCTAGGCCAAGTATTCCATTCCATTTAATCCCAGGCAAAAAGAAATTCTCTGATTCAAAAATAGTGGCAATGTTGACAAGAAAAGAAGTATTGAAGCCTTTGGGGATGGTGACGAGGTCTTCCCCAACGAAGCCCGTCCAGCTTCCTTGTGTGTACTTCACTGTGACGTCAAAGCCCTTGGAGCGGTATGTGCTAGACCTGGAGAAAGAAAAGAAAAGCATATTGTATTCATTTTATTTTATTTTATTTTTATTTATTTATTTTTGAGACGGAGTCTTGCTCTGTCACCCAGGCTGGAGTGCAGTGGCGGGATCTTGGCTCACTGCAACCTCCGCCTCCCGGGTTCAAGCGATTCTCCTGCCTCAGCCTCCTGAGTAGCTGGGAATACAGGCACACATCACCACGCCCAGCTAATTTTTGTAATTTTAGTAGAGACGGGGTTTCACCATGTTGGCCAGGATGGTCTCGATCTCTTGACCTTGTGATCTGCCTGCCTCGGCCTCCCAAAGTGCTAGGATTACAGGCGTGAGCCACTGCGCCCGGCTAAGCCCCTTGCATTCTCTTATGTATCCATGTTCCCGAACCATGAAGATAAGGTTGCCGTGTCCAAGGCAGCTATCCTAAACACAGAAAGTCTACTGTAAGCCTGTAAGCCATTCTTTATCATGAACAGCATCAATGTTAACAAAGTGACAGCTTCCCCCAAAAACATAATCGCTAATGTTTTGGTAACAGTGTTTTCCATGTCATGTGGAAGGGACGCACTGGTGTAAACATGTGGCTGGAGTTTAATTTTTCACTATACCCAAGTTAAACCCTATAAGTCAGGTGCTTTGTTTGGCCACCGTAGGACACGACCCTTTGAAGGACACAACCCAATCTGGCACCTGCCTGGCCCTCCGGCTTTGCAGGGCTGCTGTGCTGCTGCTGTGTGACACGGGTAGGTGCCGGCATCCCAGAGGGAGGCTCCACCAGCCTGTGCCCGCAGCAGCTGGAGTTCAGGTTCACACATACAACTCATGTGACAAATAATGACCAAGCCCTACCTGCTGAAGCCCAGGTCCTTCATGTCACAGGTCCTTCTCAAGGTTCTCCCCCAATGCCCCAAAGGTGATTATACTCTCACCAAAATATGGGCAGTGACGCTAATGGCATGCCAGAACATGAATCACTGTGACATGACCGAGAGCCTGACACTCACGTGGCCCTGGAGGTAAGAGCTACTGACGCAGAACGACATTCACAAGATCAGACGAAAGTCCTGCCCCCTCAGTTTATGCTGCAGTGAGGAGAGATAATGAATGCGGGAATGGTGGTTACGGGACGAGAGCCACCCAGGGAACAAAGCAGGCAAGGGGACCTCAAGTGACCCAGTGGTTGGAGAGAACTCTTGGATCCAACCATGTTTGCATGAGACCTGAATGAAGACAGTGAGACCTGGGGCTCTCTAGGGGTAGAGCACTGTGGAGAGAGGACAGCAGGTGTCATGGCCCTGGGGAGTCCCACCCTATAAGGTCATTCCTATGCCCATTTGAGTTTGAAAACTGCTGGAATATAGGAAGGAACCTAAGAAACATCTCTAGGCAAATGTCTATGAACTCAAACCATGCTCCTCCTAAGAAAATAATCACAATTCTAAGCTAAATATCAAATCACCCAGTAGATCATACTAAAGCGATCCTGCTCACCTGCAGGCTTGATTTCACTCTGTTTTAATAATCAGTCTGTGAACATTAACACGTGTTAATAAGTCTTTGTTGTGGGATTACATGAACTAGTGCAGTCTTGCTTAAGGTCAGTAAAGAAGTTTGGAGATGACATGATCATTTGTTCATTCATTCATTCATTCATTCATTTATTATTTCTTTTAAAGAAAAGGTCTTGCTCTGTCATCCAGGCTGGAGTGCCATAGCGCAATCATGGCTCACAGTAGCTTGAACTCCTGGGCTCAGGAGATCCTCCCACCTCTGCCTACTGAGTAACTGGGACTACAGGTGCACACCATCAAGCCCAACTAATATTTTTCTTTCTTTTTTTGCCGAGACAGGGTCTCATTATATTGCCCGAGCTAGTCTCAAACTCCTGGGCTCAAGTAATCCTCCTACCTTAGCCTCCCAAAATGCTGGGATTACAGGCATGAGCCACCCTATCTGGCCTTTTATTCATTAACTCATTCTTGGTATATCTCATAAGCATCAAAAATGTTAACTATCTTTAATTCAGTAACTGCACTTCTGAGAATCTGACCCTAAGGAGACACCAGGAAGCAGACAGAGGTTCATGTGCCAGGATGGTCGTGATGTTTTATGTATAACAGCAAACAGCTGGAAACCATCCAAATGCTCAGTAACAAGGAAACAGTTCAGTAAATTACAGCATATCCATATGATGCGCTATTATGTGCCAAGGGAAAAATGTTTCTTTTTCTAAGAAATTTTAAATGATGCAGAGAAAAAGTTAAAAGAAAAATACGTCAATGAGACAGACTCTCCTTCAAAACTATTTATTACACTCAAATATTAACAGTGGCCAGCTGGGGTGGCAGGATTGGAGGTGGGAGGACTCCTATTCTTGTGGTTAGGTCCCTCCATGTTTGCATGCATTATTTTTATAATCAGGAGAAATATGTTATTTTACGAAGGTCTGGCAAACGGATTTGGGGGAAACAGCTGATTCTAACTTCATAATGGGGTACAGAATATAAAGATGGTTGGCTTTTAATATTTGCCTACTATCTTGGTTCACTCCACCGTGATCATAAAGTAAGAGAGGCATTCAGTGAATGTTTTCTGTGCGCAGATCTCCCGACAATGGGCAGGTACAAAAACAGAAAAGTGACCACAGAGGGTCCTTAGAGCACTAAGGGATCCACCAGAAATTACCCAGGTAACATGCAGTCAGGTCTTTGAAATGGGGTATTTGAAGATTGGCGGAATGCCAAGTGTTAGTGCCAATATAAATTCAGATGTGCCTGCCACATGGGAGGAGATGAACACGCTTATGTTGAATAGCAATAAAAATACTGAATTATTCAGTCCATTTTGACAATTTGGGTTCATTCCTCAAGTTCAGAAATATACAAAGACTAATTATCTTGAAATGCTTGGAGAATAGGATCTAGAACAGAGGTTGGCAATTTCTTTCCATAAAGAAACAAATAATAGACGTTTTAGGTTTGTAGGCCATGGGATCTCTGTGATAACTACTCAGCTCTCAAACGTAATGTGGAAGCAGCCACAGACAATGTGTAAGTAAACTTGCATAGCTGCATGGCTGTGTTCTGATAGAACTTTATTTACTAAAACAGGCAGCAGGTCAGATTTGGCTCATGGGCTAGAGTTTGCCAACTCCTGGTGTATTAGTCTGTTTTTACACTGTGATAAAGGCATACCTAAGACTGGGTAATTTATAAAGAGAAAGAAGTTTAATGGGCTCACAATTCTACGTGGCTGGGGAGGCCTCACAATCATGGTGGAAGGTGAAAGGCATGTCTTACATGGGGAAGGGAAGAGAGAAATGAAAGCCAGTGAAAGGGATTTCCCCTTATAAAACCATCAGATCTCGTAAAACTTATTCACTGCCACGAAGACAGTGTATGGGGAAAAACCGCCCCCTTGATTCAATTATCTCCCACTGGGTCCCTCCCACAATACATGGTAATTATGGGAGCTACAATTCAAGATGAGATTTGAGTGGGGTCACAGCCAAACCATACTACCTGGTCTGGTAGAGTAATCGTTTGTTGTTGCTGAGATGGAGTCTCGCTATGTCACCAAGGCTGGAGTGCAATGCTGCCATCTCAGCTCACTGCAACCTCCGCCTCCTGGGTTCAAGCGATTCTGCTGCCTCAGCCTCCCTAATAGCTGGGATTACAGGCGCATGCCACCATGCCCAGCTAATTTTTGTATTTTTAGTAGAGATGGGGTTTCACTATGTTGGTCAGGCTGGTCTCAAACTCCTGAACTCAGGTGATCCACCTGCTTCAGCCTCCCAAAGTGCTGGGATTACAGGCGTGAGCCACCTTGCCCAGCCCTGGTAGAGTAATTGTATCTTTCCTAAACAGTCTAAAATGCTATGACTTCCTTTTGAAAAGTTTAGTTTCACTCTGTCCAGGCTATAGAAAACTCTGTAGAATTTGTAGTGTTAGTAAGAACCTGAACCAGCCTGCATATCTATTTAGCATGTCTTCTCTAGTTTCCTGCTCAGGTTGCTGGTCTCCTTACAGAGGGAGCACTCTGGATATTTTGGTGTCATTTCCAGAGACAGCAGAGGCAGCTGGAGTTATACTGCCTGGGTTCAAATATGAGTTCAATCCCTTATTAGCTGTGTGACCCAGGGCCAAGTTATTTATTTCTCTATGCCTCGGTTTCCTCAACTAAAAAATGGTGATAATATAATACCATCCCTCGTGAAGTTAATTATGCAGATTAAAAGAGTTAATATTGTAAAGCATGTAGAACAAAAGCTTGGAACACAGGAGATATGCCACAAAATAGCTGCTATTATTATAATTAATCATTTGCTGCCTTTTTTCAGGCTATGAGTTATTATTAGAAAATTCAAGTCTGGTAATCCCAGCACTTTGGGAGGCGAGGCAGGTGGATCATGAGGTCAGGAGATCGAGACTATCCTGGCTAACACGGTGAAACCCCGTCTCTACTGAAAATACAAAAAATTAGCCAAGTGTGGTGGCGGGCGCCTGTAGTCCCAGCTACTCGGGAGGCTGAGGCAGGAGAATGGCATGAACCCGGGAGGTGGAGCTTGCAGTGAGCCGATATCGTGCCACTGCACTCCAGCCTGGGCAACAGAGCGAGACTCTGTCTCAAAAAAAAAAAAAAAAAATTCAAGTCTGTTAGGCCATGTTTGCATTGCTATAAAGGAATACCCAAGGGTGAATAATTCATAAGGAAAAGAGGTATGATTTTGGCTCATGGTTCTGTAGGCTGTGCATGAAGCATGTTGCTGGCATCTGCTTCTGGTGAGGCCTCAGGAAGCTTCCACTCAAGGTGGAGGGCGAAGGGGGACACAGTACATTACATGGTGAGAGCTGGGGCAAGAGAGAGAGGAGGAGGTGCCTGGCTCCTTTAAACAACCAGCTCTCATGTGAACTAACGGAGCAAGAACTCACTCATCACCTTGATGAGAGCAACAAGCCATTCATGAGGGATCTGTCCCCATGACCCAAATGCCTCCACTGAGGCCCCAGGTCCAACACTGGGAATCACATTTCAACATGAGATTTGCACCCAAAGCATATCATCAGGATGTTTTTGTTTGTTTGTTTGTTTTCTGGAAAATGCTCCTATAGAGCTACTCTTACTGAATCTAAAGCTGTCTCATTCTAAAGTCCAACCACCCCATGAAAGGAGCAAGTGTGTGTGGGGTGTCTCAGCTAAGGAGGTCAAGGCGAGGTGGTGACGCTTCAAGCTCTTGTGCAACCGGTGTCTAAACGGCAGAGTTCCTCTCTGCCCTGCACCAGCGCTGTCCAACAGAACCTCCTGTGACGACAGAAATATCCTGCCCAATACGCTGGCCGCTTGTGACTAATGAACACTTGAAATGCGATTATAGTGCAACTGAAAGACCGAACTTCTATTTAACATTCATTTAAATTTAAATAGCCACATGTGACTTGTGGCTAGCCTTGTAGAAAGCACAGTCCTAGATAATGTTAAAAAAAAAAAAAAAAAGGTAATTCTCAGTTCATATTCATATTCTCTGGGTTCCTTGAACTAAACCTCTGAGTAAAACCCCAGAGAAGAATCATTCATAAGTGACTCTAGGGGTTATTATTAGCGTAGAGTTTCCAGCACTTTAAATGAAAAACATGCCTTCATCTTCATTTTCTAACGTCCCACCTCTTGCGACTAAAATGCTTTGGCTCTCAATTGCTCTGCACAATAATTAAATACATGGAGCAAGAAACCTGGATGGGCTTCTCCTTGGCAATGTCCATTCTGGGTGCTCAGAAACAGCAATCAATCAGGGATGTGGGTGGCCAGGAAAAAGCCTGCTCACAGTAATAAAAACACTTTGAACCAAATTCAGAAGATGTTCTGCCTCTGATAAGAGTGCTCAGGGAATGCAGGATTAAAAAGTGAAATCAATTGAACTGAGGGGAAAAGAGCTACAGAACGTTTTATTATTTCAAAAGAAACCTGCTGTTGGTTGCAGAGAACACGAAAAGAGAAGGTGGATGTGCAGAATTCTAGAGTTCAATCCTTGGGTCAGCTCTGGTTCTCCTAAGCCATTCGACCCAGGGAATGCTGAGTCTCCTAAAGAATTCTGCTCAGGACTTCCCTGGGGCTCTCAGGGTCTGAAATCTACCCGTGGGCTTACTGTCCTGGCCCAGGTGACCGGATGCCCCTCTTAATCTTCTGTGATTCTCGAAGTCACCAGACCTGAATGCATGAGACCCCCTGAGGTTCAGGGTCAGCTCAGCCTGCCCAGCCTGGCGGTTCATCAACATCCTCAATAACGTTAAATGCTCACAGGCTCCAAAACAGCAAGTCCCCTTCTACTAGGCAAATGATGGACATGCTTGAGAAATGATCTCAATAATCAGGTAAAAATATCTGTCCTCATTGAATGGAAAGCCATTTGATCTGTATCCAGTTTAGCCTCCTTAAAGAAGTCCCTTACAAACATTAGTTGAGGAAAATAAATTGGTCTCTTGCTCTGTGAGCTTCAACCCGGATATAGTACAGAAGTAAGGAGACATTTTAATGGAAATATACTTAATCTCCTGAATAGATTCGTGGAGGGTCAAGGGATGAGTATACTGGATCTCTCTTCAAGCCAACTAGCTGGAGGTGAGATTTTATTGGCTAAAAAAGATGTACATTTAAAAAATACATGATCTTTTCTTTTCTTTTTTTCTTTTTTTGCTCTATAGTAACTCATTGGAACATTCACCACCATGAAAAGATGGATTCTGATAAAGACGAGCTCACAAATGACTAATGGTAGCCTGACATCTCATTCCATAAATCAAAGAGATCTTGTCAAAGAACCCCACGCCAAATCTCCAATTACTGTAACATGTTTCAGGAAGCATTAGACCTGAATATCCAAAGACTGAGGACGTGAATCAGAGGCGGACAAACCCAACCAGAACCTTATTATAACTAAGAGAGATCAGAAGCACAAGCAAATACAGACACATCACAGGGCAGAGAGCTGCAGCTCAGAAAAGAAACCTTTGTCAAAAATTGAGAAGGCAAAAGGACAGTCTCTTGGCTCCCATCAAATACAATGGTTGAAAGTATAACTTAGGCCAGCTCTAAAGTTACACGAAAGCATTAGACAAATTAATTATACATAATTGACATTGAAAGAAAATATTCATATCTTTCAATCATAAAGCATATCAACCATAATAAAGCATGTAAAAAGCAGATAAAAGGAAACAAGTTAATATCAATCTAAGAATTTAATCTGCAAAGCAAGCATGGTAGCAGGGATGCAGCTGAAGGAATAGAACTCGCCTCAAACGCAGAAGTGGGATGCGTCACATCTGATTCAGCCAAGAAGAAACCTTACAGTTCTGTTGAAGAATGGTCTCTTGAAAAGAAAGGCGGTACCAGGGTAGACACCCAAAAGGTGCGTGATGTGTTATATGTAATAAGTCAGTCTCTGCAGTACTCGCAAATAAGGAAGGTACACTGAATTTGAATGGTGGAAGTGGCAATGGGGTGAAACCAACCATTGAGGGGCTTTCCCCAGACACTGGTGTGTTCTTTCTCTTTTTATTTACCCACAAAAGAAGAAACAGATCAGAACCTTGAGTGGTCAGAATGGTGGCAAGAAATCCTGAATTATCTTGTGAGATTAGCAGGAGGGAAGGCTTAGTCATCAAATGAGTTCTGGATGATCCCAGTTTTCATATTCATCAAATGCATATGGACTAGAGAAGCCCAAAGGATGGAAAACAGGAACCATCTGCCACTTGAATGCAAAACAGGGCTAGCAGGTAAGTAAGAGAGATGTGTCCCACGGTAGCCTGAAAGAGAACCACAGCTCAACCAAACACTGAACACAGTTGAAGGGAGCTGAGAAAGATGCGGTGGGTTGTCTACGGTTGATGAAATATTGCACATAGTCTTGATAATGCAGAGTATTATTTACCCTTGAAGGTTTCAACAATTGCCTCTGCATAGCGAAAGGATGTGTGGATTGAGAAGCATACTTTGACCTTGATGGACTCTGGCGATGAGCGGCTGCCACAGAACTGCTATTTATCTGCCATGAAAAAAGTAGCCATCCACAGGGCTTGACTTGCATGGTTCCCTTTAAATCTGGAAAGTCACCATCCACATCACCCTAACCTTGACTTTACTGTGCTTTACTGCTTCTTTCTGTTGTATCTTGCATCTACAGATGATGAGAGAAAAACCTATTCTAAGTGGGAAAGAATTGCTAAACGAGGAAATGCAAGCTCCACGTGTGTTGGTTCTGCCCCTGTGTGCTGAGCCCCAGTGAGGGGGAAACGTGGAAAACGTGTCGTACAGACTAGAGCCCAGCAGTGGAAACAACACAGGGCTGGGACTATCAGGGACTATTCAGATAAGCGGTTCTCAATGGGGAAGGTCCTGTCCCCTAGGGGAAGTTTTGGAAACTTTGGGGGTGTGTTTGATAAGCATGCTGGTTATCCTGGAATGTGAAGGGCAGTCATGCAAAATGAAGTATTGTTCCCATCCCACACCACTTTCCAAAGTCGCTCTGGGCATCAACATGGGTGAAATCTGCTGGATCATATGAGCACAGAATGCACCTCCCATTCACATATGCATACCATCTTTTCTACACAGGTTTAGTATACATTGCATATTCGCTACTATGGAAATCCAGGGAAGCTGATTCTCTTTCTGTTTTTCTTGGAACTTTCCTAAGATTCTTGTCCATTCTGGAAAATCACATCAGCAACTGATAGAGTTTGGATATCTGTCCCCTCCAATTCTCATGTTGAAATTTGATCCCCAGTGTAGGAAGTGGGGCCTGGTGGAAAGTGTTTGCGTAGTGAGGTCGGATCTCTCAAGAATGGCTTTGTGCCTTGCCCATAATAATGACTGAGATCTCACTCTGTTAGCTCCAGGGAGGGCTGATCGATTGTTGAAAAAAAGTCTGGCACGTCCTTCCCCTACCCTTGCTTCCTCTCTCCCATGTGATCTCTGCACACTGGCTCTGCTTCACCTTCCACCATGACTGGAAGCAGCCTGAGAGCCTGGCACCATGCTTCTTGTACAGCCTGCAGAACCATGAGCCAAATAAACCTCTTTTCTTTATAAACTCCCCAGCCTTGGGTATTCTCTTATAGCAGCACAACAGTCTAAGACAGCAAGCTGAGCTGCTTGGGGTGTGTGAGTGTAAGTCAGCTTGCCTTGATCAGTCTACACTGGGTGTACATGTCCATGGTGATGTTAACTCACCTCCAGCATCTGCCTACTGCGTGGTCTACCAGCACCACGGAGCCAGAGTGTTCACGTACTGAGGTACTGATTAGCCGGTTATACATTACTTCCCTTGTATTCCCCCCATATGACGTCAGGGCACTTTGAGCTGTGTATGTAGATAAGTCATATGACCTTTGCATTTACTTCAGGGAATGACAAAGCACTTGTTATAAAAAGCAGGTGTTGGCTGAAGGTTTGGGGACTGCTGGCCTCAAAGCTTGAACTTGGGCAAGTCCCCTGTCTCTCTGAACTCCTGTGCCGCAGGAATCAAAATGAGGGGTTTGGACCAACTCCAAGTCCTGTTCCATGATGAGCAGTCCAGAGTGAACAGTTGGAGGTGAGGGCTGTTTGGGGACTGAGGACTTGGATGAATCACAGATCTGAGTGGGACGGGGCAGCATAAGCCATCGTAAACCAAACCTCTGCTGCACACACAGAGAGAAACACCACCACGACTTCTACACACGTTTGTGGTTATAGCAACAGCTGGGCACATAGTGATCATAGGCAGGAGTTGTATCCGGGAATATCAATGAAGAAAGCTTACCAACACATGAAGCCATAAACCAAGCTATAGGTTCCTTGAGGGAGGGGCCAGCCATATTTTTCTGAAGCCTCATAGAGCACTGGCCACCACAGCCCTCTCCCCAGCAAGCACCTGCAGCCATACGTGCAGGAGGCCCCATCATTTATGGCACCAAAGTGGAGCCCAGGATGTGGTGTAGGTAGCATAGATATACAGGGTTTCCTCTATGCTTTCTTTCATACACAGCAAATCATCTGGCTTTATTAAATTGCCTGGCATTTTCAGAAGACTTCAGTTATTCTTTCCCCCTCCTTTTGTCCCCAACTAGAGCTGGCCTTTATTTCCCGGAACAAAACACTGAGGATAAGGAAAGCGAGAAAGGGAAGTCAGGAAAAGAATTTACAGTAGGGAAACCTAATGTGACAGTTCCGAGCCTCTAGAAGGTTCATGACCCTAAAAAACAAACCAGCATGTCAGCTTACCTGTTCTGTCCGTTGAATTTAAATTTACCTGTTCTGTCCGTTGAATTTAAATTTACCTGGCTGTCTGTTGAATTTAAATTTCAGAATCGTAAAAATAGTTGTGACATCAAAACGTGCACAGCATTAGAGCAGCTTCCAGTTCACAGAGGGCGGTGACTCTAGACCCCACGGGCTCCTGCAGAGCTGAAGGCTGCCACAAGCCGCTGGGGGCCTCCCCACAACCCCACCCAGGGCTGCTCGGAAGCCTGCATGGGCAAGGCTTGTTCTATTCCAGAGACCTCCATCAGGCTACACTTTTTTTTCTCAACTCCACCCCATAATTGCTCATGTGCAGCCCCAGTCTTGGCCCTTAATACTTTGTGCTCACAAAACTCACTCTTCCAAATGAGTGTTGCAAACCAACCCACAGAAATGGCTTCCATGAACCACACCGTAACCCCTACTGAACTATGCAAAGGTGGGTTTCCATGTATCCCTTCAGCTGAGGAAGCAAACCCACACCCTCGGCCAGAGTGGCCTCACAGACTCCCAAGACCTCGTCCCCTGCTCCAGCCCACCTCCACTGCAGAACTAAAGCTGCTGCAATAAACACCAAAGGGCCACAAGCTCCCTGCGACTTGGGATAACTAAAGGAGTTGTGTTTGACTTGGATTTTTAGAAAATGAATCTCATGTAAATGCGTGAAGGCCATGAGGAGACTCCTGCTGTGGATTTGTGGATGGAATGAACATGTACATATGCATACACATGTCCACATGTGTGTATACATACACATACATATTGGTATCCCCCTTAAAATGAAACAGCTTTCTGGCTGTCATGCTCTGGTGCATTTTGAAGCATGTTGATCATGCAGTGCCCCGGCCCAGCACACCAGCCAAGGGGCCAGCGCTTACCTCTCTGTGTCAAAGTACGTGTCTATGTAGGAGTGCGGGGTTCCTGCCACGGCAAAGTTACTGCTTCCAGTGTCAACGAGAATCTGTAGCTTTTATGTTTTAAGGAGAAAAAAAAAATAGAAAGCATCAAGTTATTTTAATAAGGCAATACTCTTGAATAATGTTTTTAAAACTAAGTAGCAAGAATAATTTATCAGTTGGAACAAAAAAAAAGTATACTGACGAGGAGAATAGAAAAAGCTATTATAAAATTGAAATCTGAACAAAGTCCATGAAGAAGCTTGCACTGGAGAGGGGAAATGGTCCTGTCTCAGATACACACTGAGCCTTAAAAGAGAATGGATTCTGTTAAATAACTGGGTTTCCTTTTTAGGCCGTTGGTGCTTGAAACCAAGGCTGAGCTCTTTCTTATCTCTGGGCTTTCGGCCAGGTTTAGCCCTCCACTGGGCTCACCCTCCCCTTGCTTTTCCAAATCTCGCCTGGAAACCCCGATCCAACGTGACCTCCCCTCCCCAGGATGCCTCCCAGCCTCCTCCTGGCATGTGGTGGCCCCTCACCTCCATGCATGGCACCTGGGCACACCTGTCACAAGCATTGTTTTTTAGGTTATTTGAGATATAATTTGCATATAATAAAAACGCAAGATCTTAAATGCTCACCTGGTGAGTTTTGGCATGTGTGCCAAACCAAGATGCAGAAACTTCTATTCACCTCAAAAGGTTCCTTTATGCCCCTTTCCCTTCTGGTCCCCAGAAGCAACCACTTTCTGGCTTTTGTGACCACGGACTGGTTTCATCAGTTCTTGAACATTCTATACATGTAATGATGTAGGCTTCTGTGTGTTTGTTTTCTTAGCATAGCTTCTTAAGTGCAACTTGTCTTTGAGACGTCCTCATGTTGCATCAGCCCTTTGTTTCTCTTCACGATGCAGGGACACACCATGATTTGCCTCTGCTTTCGACGGGCCCTTGAGTTGTGTCCATTTTGAGGCTACTATGAATAAGACAGCTATGGACACACTGTACAGGTCTTTTTGCAGACATATATTCTCATTTCTCTTGGGTAAATACCTAGGAGTGAAACTTTTTGGATCATAGACTAGATATTTTTTTTTTTTTTTTGAGATGGAGTCTCGCTCTATCGTTCAGGCTGGAGTGCAGTGGCACGATCTCGGCTCAGTGCAAACTCTGCCTCCCAGGTTCACGTCATTCTCCTGCCTCAGCCTCCTCAGTAGCTAGGACTACAGGTGCCCGCCACCGAGCCCGGATAGTTTTTTGTAATTTTAGTAGAGACGGGGTTTCACCGTGTTAGCCAGGATGGTCTTGATCTCCTGAAGTCGTGATCTGCCCGCCTCGGCCTCCCAAGGTGCTGGGATTACAGGCGTGAGCCACCGCACCCAGCCGACTAGATACATTTTTACTGTTTTAAAGAAAATTGCTGAACACGTCTGCTATGTGGGTCCACCAAGTTATATTCCCATGAGCAATGGGTCCATGGGCCATTTGGTTTATGTGCTCTGTATCCTCCCCCAAATTTGGTGGTGTTGGTCTTTTCAATGTGAACCATGCTAACGGGTGTGGAACGGTATTTCACTGTGGTTTTAATCTGCAGTCCCCTAGGGACCAATGCTATTGGGCTGTTGCCCTGTATCCCACTGTTTCACTCATCTTCCCCAGTGAACGATGTCTCAGGGCAGGTGTGTATGTTACTTATCATTTTATGCCCAGCATCTATCCCAAGTCCAGACACATGCCCAGTTGTTTACAGAATGAACACTTCTTTTAGAAATAAACACAGACCACGTAGATATAGCCCAAAAGGTTGAAAAACAGGTTTAAAAAGCTATAGACTAAAGAAATCAAAATCGGATGGGCACAGTGGCTCACGCCTGTAATCCCAGCACTTTGGGAGGCCGAGGTGAGTGGATCCTGGCTAACACGGTGAAACCCCATCTCTACTAAAAATACAAAAAATTAGCCGGACGTGGTGGCACACGCCTGCAGTCCCAGCTACTTGGGAGGCTGAGGCAGGAGAATTGCTTGAACCCAGGAGGCAGAGGTTGCAGTGAGCCGAGATCGCACCACTGCATTCCAGCCTGGGTGACAGAACGATACTCCATCTCAAAAAAAAAAAAAAAAAAAAAAATCAAAATAGGCAAGTTTTTGCCTAGGATTATCTTACCAACAATTATAAAATAATTTTGCCAAGGACCTCAGTTTAGCTGGGACCAGTGTTTGTCTCTGAGCTGACCCATCAGCAGGATCTGACTCAGTCTCGCTCCCTCTTCCTGGAAATATTCTTCACTCTGGATCCCGGGGCCCCACACTTTCCTGATTTCCTCCTTCTCTGACTCCTCACTTTAGTCTCACGGACAGGTGCTTCTCATCTCCCCACCCTGCTGAACTTTCCCGGGGCTCAGCTCAGGAATCACTTCTGGGATCCATCCACTCACACCCTTGGGGTCCCCACTGAGTCTCAAGGCTTTAAATGCCATCCGCATGTTGACGAACCCCAAGTGTACCTCTCGGCCCCGGGCTGCGCATGCACTCTGGGCTCTACCTATTCAACACCTTTCCCTGGCTGGCTAATAGTCATCTTTTATGGGTTGAGATGTGTTTTCCAAAAAGAGATGCTGAAGTTCCTAACCCCTGCACCTGTGAATGTGCCCTTATTTGGAAAAAAGGTCTTTACAGAGATAATCAAGTGAAGGTGAGGACCACAGAGGTGAGCTCTAATCCAGTATCACAGGCGTCCTTCCAGGGAGACGAAAATGCACGGAAAGCAGACACACGGGGGGTGCCAAGTAACAGCAGAGACAGGGATGGGAGTGACGGAGTCACAAGAATGCCAAAGGACTGACAACCATGGCCAGGGGCTGGAAGAGGAAAGGACGGCTCCACCTGGAGTCTCAGAGGATGCATGGCCCCACCAACACCTTGATTTCAGACTTCTTGCCTCTAGAACTGTGAAAGAATACATTCCTGGGGTTTTTTTTTTTTTTGACAGTGTCTCACTCTGTCACCCAGGCTGGAGTACAGCAGCACAATCATCACTTGCTGTAGCCTCAAACTCCTGGGCTCAAGGGATCCTCTCACCTCAGCCTCCAAAGTAGCTGGGACCACAGGCGTGCACCACCATGCCTGGCTAATTTATTTTTATTTTTTGTAGAGATGGGGTCTCACTATGTTGCCCAGGCTGGTCTTGAACTCCCGGGCTCAAGTGATCCTCTCGTCTTGGCCTCCTAAAGTGCTGGGATTACAGGCATGAGCCACTGCACCTGGCCCATTCCTGTTGTTTTCAGCTCTCAGTTTGTGTACTTAGTTACAGCAGGTCCAGGAAACATCTTGAGATGGGACATCATCTCACGCCTGGCGTGTCCCGAATTGAGCTCCAGCTGCCCCCACCCCTGCTCTCCTGGTGGACTTGACCATCTCGGTCGACAGCAGCTCCATCAGGTCAGGCCAGGCCATGCCGGAGGTGATCCCTAGGGCTTCCTTCCCCTCATGGCCCACATCCAGCCACCAGGAGGTCCCGAGGGCTCCACCTTCAGGTTCTGGCCCACACCGGCCCACCCCTCACCTCCTCCAAGGAGTCTGTGGGGGTCCACACCACTGTCATCCCCTCCTCGTCCTCACTGGTGTCCCTGCTTCCTTCCTAGGCCTACTTCCAACCAGCAGCCACCACAGTCCTATTACAGTTAAGTCAGAGGGAGTCAGCCCTCCACCTCCCATGGCTCTCACGTCACCCAGAGTAACTGGCGAAGTCCTCACATGGCCTGCTGAGTCACTCGCCATGCCCTGACATCACTCCTCCCAGCCACGCTGACCACCAGGCCACTCCGTGAAAGCCCCAGACATCCCCCAGGGGCAGGGCCTTTCCCCTGGCCACCTTGCTGGGGTGGGGGCTCTTCCCCAGGATACCCAGGTCCAGGTCCATGTGGCACGGCCCATCGCTCCCTTCCAGGCTTCCTTCAACGCCACCTTCTCCACGAAGCTGACCCTGGCTGGCCCTTTGGGAGAACTGCTGTTCCCAGTCTCCTGCCGGCCTGTGCATCCCTTTCCCTCCCATAACACCACACCTTTCACATAACAGTGACAGCAGACACTGAACACCGCCTGCAGTGGGCTGGGCACTGCTGTACGTGCTTCCTATATCCATTAGCTTATTTCAACCTCATAACAGAGCTCTGAGGGCAGCACAGTCCTCACTCCACGTCACAGATGCAAACACTGAGGTGCAGAGAGTCTGACTTGCTCAACTCTACAAGGGTAAGTGGCAGAGCTGAGGCTGGAACCCAGAGTCAGACTCCGAGCGCATTCTTGTAACCAACTCAGCCACTGCCTGGGCCCCGTGCGCAATCATGCCATTCACGGGGTCCCGACAGCTCCTGCTGCCTCCGCCCCACCAGCGTGAAGCCTCCCTCTGACAGGGATTTTTGCTGTTTGCTGCTCTGTCTGCCGTGCATGCCTGTAACAGGGCCAGGCACACAGTAGACACTGACACTTTTTTTTTTTTTTTTTTTTTTTTGAGACAGAGTCTCGCTCAGTCACCCAGGCTGGAGTGCAGTGGCTCTATCTCAGCTCACTGCAAGCTCCTCCTCCTGGGCTCACGCCATTCTCCTGCCTCAGCCTCCCGAGTAGCTGGGACTACAGGCTCCCGCCACCACGCCCAGCTAATTTTTTTGTATTTTTTTAGTAGAGACGGGGTTTCACCGTGTTAGCCAGGATGGTCTCGATCTCCTGACCTCGTGATCCACCCTCTGCGGCCTCCCAAAGTGCTGGGATTACAGGCGTGAGCCACCGCGCCCGGCCGACACTCACACATTTGTGGAATCGACAACAAAATTATTTGCAAAGGTAAAATCAAAGACACTCGTTTTGCCCTTGGTACAAAGATAACAGATTCCAAAATAATAAGCAAGAATAATGCAGTCTGTGCACACAAACCAGCTGTGTGTAGGTTCTGCACACACAGTTTTCGAGCTGTTGGCAGAAACTGTCAGACTCCTACTTCCCTAATGTACTAAGTGCCATTGCCCCTTCCCCTGCAGGAGGCCATGGAAATAGTGGAGAGGAATGAACGACAGTCCTGGGCATCTGCCAGGGGCAGTGCTGTAACCTGTGGTCACACCCCTGTGTTTTCTCAAACGAAAAGCTACTTTGTGACTTCAGAGAATTCCCTCCCGACCAATGAAGATCATGTTCACAAAAACTTTGTAGGAATGGTAGGGAAACAGATTTGGGGGATGAAGGTTTGAAGTGAATCTAAAACAATGGCAAAGGCACTCTACTGTTTTTTTTTTTTTTTTTTAATATACTTTTTTTTTGAGATGGGGTCTCACTGTGTTGCCCAGGCTGGTCTTGAACTCCTGACTTCAAGTGATCCACCCGCCTCAGCCTCCCAAAGTGCTGGGATTACAGGCATGAGTCACCACACCTGGCCAGCAAAGGCACTCTAAATAATGAGACTATAAATGTTACTTTAAACCTCTTCGTTTTAGTAAATGAATGCTCTATTCTTAATTTCGATTTACAAATACACAGCTCCTAGAAAATGTGTAAGAGCTTGCTCCTTTACAGAGGTGTTTGGGTTGATTTCAGATAGAATGTAATCTCACATATATAAAAATATATTTACATATATATAATGTATTATATATAATAATTTATTATCTGGTTCTTCATCCAAATATTAGATGCTCAACAGCCCCAAGTTTCAAAGCCACAGTTTGGGTTAGATTTAATCCTAATTTCTCATAAACGTACAAAAGGGCATGAAAGATTGTGAAATACGTATGTGATTTCATCCCCATTTCCTGGCATACAACTCCTAAAATCTCTGGAATCTCCAAAGTGATGTGTTTTTGTATGCTGTGAGTTGACTGATGGCTGGCAGCCCCTAGGTAGCTTCGGGATGGGGGCTGGTCACCAGAAAGAGCAAGGCGGGATTAGAGGACTGGGACTTTCAGCCCCACCCCCAACCTTGGGGAGTGGGGAGGAGCTGAAGGTTAAGCTGATCACCAATGGCCAATGGCTTAATCAATCATGTCTACATAACGAAGCTTCCACAAAACCCCAAAAGAACAGGGTTCATTAAATTTCCAGACAGCTGAGGTTCCCGGAGGGTGGCGTGTACAGGGGGGGCACGGAAGTTCTGTACCTGTCCCCCTATACCTCAACCTACACATCTCTTCATCTGTATCTTCTGTAACGCCCTTTATAATAAACCAGTGTACATGTCTTCCTGAGTTCTGTGAGTAAATCTAGCAAATTAATCAAACCAAGGATAGGATCCTGGAAATCTTCCATTTGTAGCCGATCGATCAGAAGCACAGGCAATGACCCGGAGCTCGCAACTGGCATGGAAGCTGGGGGCAGTCTTGGGGGACTGGGCCCTCACTCTGGGGTCCCACGCCATCCCCAGGCAGACAGTGTAGGAACTGAACTAAATTAGAGGATACGCAGCTGGTGTCTGTCGCAGAACCGATCGATTGTTTGTTGGTGAGGAGAAATCCCCGCACATTTGGTCCCGGAAGTCTTCTGTGTTGATCGTTGTGGTGTGAGAGCAGAGGGAAATCAGTGTGTGGTTTTTCCACTTAGAGGACACCAAGCAAATCTGCATTTACATGGATTTCACAGGAGAGAAATTGTTGGAGGCTGAGTAATTCTTGCATGTATCAAATAGTCAGTAACAGGTCAAAGTAAGTGAAGGAGATCCGTCCCTAGGTCAGTCTGGTTGAACCAGATATTCCTGAAGGACAGGGTTCTCTCTTTTTCTGCTCTTAAATAATAAACACTAAGTTATCAGTAACTCACCACAACCTGATTCTCAAAGGGGGCAGGCATATCAGAATCCCTGCACCATTTTTAAACATTCCCCCAAACTGAATTATTTTAAGAGATGAATTTATCAATTTGCATCCAATTATACACATTTTTCCTCATCCTATCTCTTCCTATGTGACACTGTCTGCTATAATGTTTCTTCTTTTATTCTTTTCATCTTTACTATACAGATTTCTGGTGTTTAATAATTGTTCTGGTGAACTGCAAGCTTTACATCTATTTTTAAATTATTCTAGTCATTTTCTTTACAATTTTATGTGATATATCTTAACCTCTTCTCTTGATTTAGCAACTTAGAATGATATTTTTGGGATCCCCACTCTGCACACTTCTAAAAAAATCAAGAATTGGCTGGGCGCGGTGGCTCACGCCTGTAATCCCAGCACTTTGGGAGGCCGAGGCAGGCAGATCATGAGGTTAGGAGATCCAGACCATCCTGGCTAACACAGTGAAACCCCGTCTCTACTAAAAATACAAAAATTAGCCGGGTGTGGTGGCGCACACCTGTAGTCCCAGCTACTCGGGAGGCTGAGGCAGGAAAATCGCTTGAACCCGGGAGGCGGAGGTTGCAGTGAGCTGAGATCACACCACTGCACTCCAGCCTGGTGACAGAGCGAGACTCTGTCACAAAAAAAAAAAAGTCAAGATGTTTGGAAGGGACAGGGGGTGCTCCAGGATAGGGAGTGATGGGAAGAAGTGCTGGATTATAACATTATTTTTACTTTCATGATATGCCTTTTTGTAATTTTACATAATGCATGAACATCTTTCTTTTTTACCTACCTGCCAATATTTTTTATTTATCATCTGTCAGAATTTCCTTCCATTAAGGAAGATGAGGTGGTGAATGTACCTATGTCACCAGGAATCTGAGTCCCACCAACCTCTCCATAGGTTACACTGTTGTTTATATATTTTCAAGATTTGTTTTTGATACCCATATTTCCCACAGTTGCTTAGTCATTCTATAAGGAAAGAGGTTCTCTCCTTCCTACCAGTCCTCCTGTCTCTGACTTCACCCAGCTCCCCAATGGCTAGGTTTTGTTCAGCCTCCCACGGGCCCCACCCAAAGTTGGACACCATCTTCCCCAAGGGCTTTCATGCTTGCGAGCACCTATCCATGGCCTTTACACTTGAAGAATGATCTGCCTGGGTTTTGTGCATTTGGGTCATATTTTTTTTCTTAACACTTTATATATATGTTTCTCCAGTGTATTTCAACAGTGAGTATTTGTGGAGAAATCTAAAGCATGTCTTATTTTTCCTCATTACACGTGACTTTTTCTCCTTGGTTACTGAAGAATTCTTTCCATAGCCACAAAGTTCTATAGTTGTATTGTTTATATTAGAACCATCGTTCTGTAGTTTTACTGACATATCTTAACATTGGTTGGTCTGATTCAAGTTTCCTGGAAAACGGGACTCACTTTTTACATTAATTTCTTATGGCTGCCTTAACAAACAGCCACAAACTGGTTGGCATGAGATAATATACATTTATTTTCTGGCAGTTCTGGAGGTCAGAAGTCCAAAATCTAGGTGTGGGCGGGGCTGCGCTTCCCACAGAAGCTCCAGGGGAGGGCCCTTCTTGTCTCTCCCAGTTTCTGGTAGGGGCTGGCAGCCCTCAGGCTGTGTCATGGAGGCGTGTCCCCAGGCCTCCCACTCACTTGCTGCTGGCCGCCGCCTTTACTTGCTCCGTCCATCTTCAAGGCTTGCCGGCCTCCAGGCCTCCTTGCTGCCTGCCGAGCTGGCTCTGTGACACCTTCTTTGCATCCAGCTTAGGATTATCACAAGAGCAAAAGCCACTTCTATGGCTGATGTGAAAAGAGCAAGGGCCGGGACCTAAACCATCACTGGGAGGGGGCTCCAAAGTACAACGTGTCCAGCACCCAGGCTGGAAAGCACCGAGGCTCAACCAGCAGATACCTCGCCAAAGCTGCCATGAGCTGCCACAGGGAAGGCACAGGGCCCTGAGTGTTCACCACTGTCTCTGTGTTGGGGATTTAAATGCTTTCTGGAGGCAAGATGAATTTGGAAGTTGCTTGGCTAAAACGGGGTAAAGAGGGAAAGGAGGGGGGTAAAGAGGTAAAGGAGAGACAGAAAACAAACACACAAAAATTCCTTTACAAGGCAAATCAGAGAATACTAGGGCTTGAGAAGAGGACAGTGTGGATGTTAGGCAAGAAACATCAATCGCCCTAAAAAAATAACTAATTGCACAACAGTAGGAAATACGTTTTCTTGGCCATTGAAAGTCACAGATAAGAACAGCTCTAGATTGGGCCGGGCGCAGTGGCTCACGCCTGTAATCCCGGCACTTTGGGAGGCCGAGGCGGGCAGATCACGAGGTCAGAGTTCAAGACCAGCCTGACCAACATGGTGAAACCCCGTCTCTACTAAAAATACAAAAATTAGCCTGGCGTGGTGGCACACACCTGTAATCCCAGCTACTCAGGAGACTGAGGCAGGAGAATTGCTTGAACCCAAGAGGCAGAAGTTGCAGTAAGCCAAGATCGCACCACTGCGCTCCAGCCTGGGTGACAGAGCGAGACTCCATCTCAGAGAAAAAAAAACAAAAAAAGAACAGCTACAGATTTCTGAACAAGACCAGCCTTCCTCCCTGTGCCCACTGTCCATCGTGGAAGCTGTTTCACAACCATTTCTGGGTCTCGCTGGCAACTCTGCACTCAGTAGCTCAGGAGATCCCACACCCGGCCGGTCAGGCTGGCAACGCACGTCCGCGCTGACTGCGACTGCGTAACTAGACAGGGCCAAGGCAGGAACAAGACTTGCCCTCCACACAGCAGCCCCAGTGACAGGGGGACTCTCTCCAGAGACGCTTCACCCTGCTTCCCTCCCTCTGAAGCTCCACCGCAGCCTCTGCATTGCCTCATGACCGGAGCTCGTTCTCACACGCCCAGACCCGGTCCTGCCTCTCAGGGGGTGTCACTCCTCCGCAGAGGCAGGGAACACAAATGCAGAGAAAGTCAGACCAAAGTGTGGACTGCATTCTTTTACACAGGTGATTTCTTCTCATTGCCCAGGCATTCAGCACAACCTTATCTTCCGTGGCAGTTCCAGCAAAAGCTAGTTTTCAAGAAGGTTCAACTCAGAGTCACAGCTTGGCAAAGCCAGTCACCACGATGGTCGTTCCTGGAGCATATGATCTGAGAGAAATGGCCCCAAATAAATAAGGCAGCCACAGAGTCAGGCAAGGGCTGAGTCTCCAGGGCACAGTAAACGCTCTGGGCTGTACATCACATCATGTGTCTGAGCGGCCCGCAGGAGCCACCACCATTTTCTGTGTGGTGACACTGGAAATGGACCTTTCTCGTGTTGAATTCTAGCCAGGACCATCACCCACTTTCACAAGTAGCCTCAACCACAGAGATAAAAATAGTAATGCCACCTGCTCTATAAATTTCACACGACGCGCTCTCAAACAACGGAAAACTCAAACACCCCGGCTGTGGGCTCCTTCCAGGTTCCTCACCTCATGCCACATGCTAGCAATTTAATCTGCCCCTTCCTTTATTCTAGGAATTTCCAAAATTATTTCCTGCCTCTTTGGGTTCAACCTCACGTGCATGTATGCATGTATTCACACACACACACACCAGCCTAGCCCTGGGCCATGTCCCTCCAGCTACATAAAAGGTCATTGAAAATATATATTCTCAAATTCAGGGAATGTTCTTAACTTCCAAGCAAAGCATAACTTAAAATGACTCAAAAGCTCATACGATAGACAGATCCCCACTTTACATCTGAGGAAAACAGAAACGCCTTGGAGATGTGAAACAGCCCATGGAGGTCCCGACGTCCCCGCCCCTGTTCCCTGCTTCCTTCCTGATACTAGGGAGCCTCCCATAGAAGTCACATTCCATTTTTCCAGAACACAATCACAACTAACAAAAACCGGTTTTCCAGCAGAAGCTGGATGGAGTCTTCTACCTTGAAAATCACTGGCTTTTAACTACTCCAACCCTGCCGCCAACATCAGCGGCCTCGAGGGCCTTTGCAGGGCAGATGTGGGTCTTTGCTGTGCTGAACCTGGGGCATGGGGTGAGAGCAGCAAAGATGATGGTGCCTGTGTCCTGGCCCCTGCAGAGTGCAGCATCTAGTAGGGAGAATGGCCTGTCCACCAGGACCTGCCCTTGAAAACCATCTGTGATCCAAGCTGCCAGAGACCTAAGGAGGTGGAACTGCAGGAACTCAGTGGCTAATTTCTTCTCGCCTTCCTAAAAATGGCAAAACCCAAAACACACTCCCTCCAGCTACTGTTCCTTCCCCCTTTGCGGTCAAGCATCCAGCAGTGGGCCACCTCCCGTCTCAATTCCTTTCTCTCTTTCTCTCCTCCACCTGCAGAGATGGAGCTTCTGCCTCAGCTCTCCATGGCCGGCCAAGCTCACCAGTGACCTCCCGTGCTCCAGGCCCACGGTCATCTCTGAGCTCTCCCCTGACCTGTCCAGCCTGCAGGCAGTGCTGGCCGCAAGTGACCAGGCCTCAGTGAAGCTTTGGAAATGCGCCCTCCTGGTTTGCCCCCCACAGTCCTTCCTTCTGATCTCTGCCCTCCCCCCATACCTCTTCCTCTAACTTTACATGGTGTTCCCAAGGCTTCTGTGCCCCTGTCCTGGGTGCATCACCGTCACACAGGAGCCTGTCTTCTCCAGATAATGTCCCCAGCACAGTGCGCCCTCCATGACAGCTGACAGTAGGGCCACATGTGGCTCATCTCTTTGTCACCAGTACCTCAGACAGTGCCTGGGAGCCTAGTAGGTGCTCACTAAACAGTTGTTGAATGAATAAATGAAAGTCAAGGTTAGAGAGACGTTCATGCAGTGAAGGGCAAGTGGCAGAAATGCACATTCCAGGCAAAAGGAAGGTGGCTTGTTCATTTCTAAAGCAAATCTCTTGAGCACCTACCAATTATACAGAAAATCTGAGAGTAAAAGAGTTTAGATGATCTATTCCAGAAGATGTGTGAAAATTCTATGCCCCCACGATGAAAACTGTTCGTCTTTGGCATAGACTTCCTTGACAATATGCCCCAGTTCCAGCAGCCCTGCCCAAAACCGCATCATCAGATTTTACAAAATAATTATAAAAGAGGGATGACCATTATGCACACATCACGGATGGGTAGGAACTAGACATGTCCTGAACGTGGACGTCTTCCTCCTGTGTCACAAGCCCTTTGAGAACAATTCTACCCTCCCATCAAACAAATTCTGTCCACACTTCACTGAGCAGAATGACTGAATGCACGCAGGGCTTGGGGTCCAATCTCCCTCCACCATTCATGTACCAGTGCCTGGCACCTGGAAGAGGTGGGTTCCTCTCCCCAGATCTCTCTGCACCCTCCCTCTTCTAGGAAAGGGGGTGATGACCATTCTCATGGGGTGCTTGTGAGAAGTAAATGCTGTGACACGTGCTCCTCATGGTGCTGGCTCACGGTGAGTGAGCAAATAAACACTAGCGCCGGTTCCACGTGCAATTTTAGCCAGCAAGGTGTGAAAACTGAGTAAACTGAGTTTGCCTCCTGGTGACCAGGGACACACAGTCCACAGCATCCCATGGCACTAAAACCTCTGGACAAGGAAAATGGCTGATTCTGGAGCAATTTGATTCTAAAGGATTTTTCAGGAAGAATCCTTTAGAACTGTTCTTGGAAACAGTCAAAACTTTCTCCCCATGCCGGGCCCTGCCCAGACAAAGCTTACTCTTTTTTTTTTTGAGACGGAGTATCGCTCTGTCACCCAGGCTGGCATGCAGTGGCGCGATCTTGGCTCACTGCAACCTCTACCTCCCGGGTTCAAGCGACTCTCCTGCCTCAGCTTTCTGAGTAGCTGGGACTACAGGCACCCACCACCAAGCCTGGCTAATTTTTTTGTATTTTAGTAGAGACGGGGTTTCACCATGTTGTTCAGGCTGGTCTCAAACTCCTGACCTGGTGATCCGCCCGCCTTGGCCTCCCAAAGTGCTGCGATTACAGGCGTGAGCCACCGTGCCCAGCCAGCTTACTCATTTTTTTCAACAGCATGATTTGTGGGGTTTGATATTCCTTATTTTGTTTTGATGCAAGTAGAAACCACCTCTCACCCCTTCTGCCTGCTGGCTGAGAGTAAACGATAAACCGTACAAAGGCTGTTGCCTTTGAGACCCATGCTAAGTCCTGCGTTCCCCAGAAGGCCTCCCAGCTGCAGCTCTGATTTACTCCTCTCTGACAGCTCATGCCCTGATTTTTGGTGTCTAGGGTTGTCTCGTGTCTTTTATTGTCCTCTAATGTTTCCCGGTTTCCTTTCTTTCCTCTCAATGAGCTTGTAAATTCCTTAAGGACAAAGCTCTTCTTCTTAGTCTCTTTTTGATGGTCCCCACAGTGCCTGCAACTAATAGGAATTCACTAATCACTTGTTCCTTCAGATGGGGAAGCATGTCCATGAGCCCCCACCTGGGAGCAGAGAGAATGCCAATTAGGTCAACAAACCTGCCAAGAAGTTGGAAGTAGCCGGAGAAAGTTCAACAGGCCAAACTCCTAAATCATGTGTGCAAAGAATTAATTTAGATTTTCTAGACATGGCAAGGGTAGGCTAAACTTAGTCAACTTCCCAGCTGCTATATAAATAACCACAAACTTGTCTCTTAAATGTCCAAGTATAAGCAAAGCTAGAAGCGAGAAGACAGCAGAGATTGCTGGTGGCCTACCCATATTCCTTGGGCACTCACTTCAGCTTCTGTAACCTCAGGAGTGAGATTATCTAGTGTCCAAGTCAGGTCTGACGTACCAGGGAGTGAATGCTCCTGGGAGCAGCCCTTGACCAAAAATAAACAGCTGGTGGGTCCAAACCGTTGCTCCCTTACTCCCCAGGCAAACAGTTTGGAGTGGTCTCTGTGTCATCCCCCAGAAGTCCTTGGTGGGGTTGAGCCCCAGATGTGCACTGCAATAGCCCACTCTGAGTGCACCCTGTATTGACCTCCTCCTCCCGCCTACCTCACTTTCCTGCCCCCTACCAGTGTCTCAGGGTAGGGAGAGTGAGAGAAGTTATACTCACACAGTCCTCACCTTATGCTCTGCTGTGCTCTGAATGTCTGTGCCCTGACCCCTAACTTTGTATGATGAACCCTTATTCCCAACGTACTGATATTAGGAGGCAAGGCCTTTGGGAGGCAATTAGATCATGAGTGTGGGGCCCTAAGAGATAGGATTAGTGCCCTTACAAAAGTACGTGAGAGCGCTCGCTCATCCCTTTTGCCATGTAAGGAGACAGAGAGAAGGCACTGACTCTATGAAGCACAAAGCCCTCACTAGACCTCAATCTGCCAGTGCCTGGGTCTTGGACTTCCAGCTCCCAAAACTGTAAGAAATACATGTCTGCCATCAATAAGCCACCCAGTCTAAGGTATTTTGTTATAGCAGCCCAAATGGACTAAGAGAAGCTTTCTGAAGGCCAAATATCCTTTAATGCAGAGACTATGAAATAAACAAGAAAACAGTGGTCGAGAAAGCTAAGAGCCTCCTCGGCTAGAAGCCATGGTCTAGCCACCAATCTGCCACCTGGATGAAACCTAAACAGACTGTGGACGTCTCCCACTGTCCCTTCTTAATCTCTGGTTGATGCACTGGGCAATAACCCTACAGAAAGCCATTTGCTAATTGCTGCAATAAGGTAAAATGTTGCATTAAAGGGAAAAACTGGGCGATTCATCTAGTTAGTGATTAGCAGCCTGAGATTTCTCAGATATTACTCTCTCTATTTCAGCAGGTTAATAGATAGGAAAATTAGCAGATAATTTAAATAATGGCTCATTTAACACAACGATTCCTAATTATATTAGCAGCCCATCTGCTGAAGTCTGCCGGCAAGCCGAACCCACAGCAGCAGTGGCCTCTGCAGCCCAGCCACGCGGGGCTGTTTGCCCACAGTTATTACATATGATTGTAGGCACTGATTCTGTTAATCAGGCTCTTTCAGCGCTTCAGTTCTAGAAATGAATCTCATTTACTTAAACACATCTTGTTGAAGAAAGCAAAAATAATTGTCATGCGCCATTTCTCCACAATCTAAAATTAAGGTTGTTTTTATAAAGGGAGGGGGGAATCATTTTCAAAGAGCACCACTTAACACAAACAGATGTTACAGAACTTAGCTAAGAGGAGCTTGATTATACAATTTATTCTGGCTGTGTGTGCATGTGTGAGAGTGTGAGCCATTTCACTATTGCTGTACAGGCTCCTACTAGAAAGACACATGTTGAGAGACACATGGATACCTGGGCTCCTCTTGGGAAAACCACAGCTGCCAAGTGGACGGTGGCAGTGAAGGGGGGAGAGGGATGGGGAGGGGGGAATGGGGATGGGCTTGGCTGCCTGATTCTGGAATGTGGTGGTTTTCCACCAAATGCTTAGCATTTAGCAGTGTTCACTTAAAAAAAAAATCAACACAATATTTATACATTTGGGAAGGTGAAAAGAATACCTTCTTATAAAGGTGCAAGGCGGCCATCCTGCAGTCTGGGAAGTGTGCCTTTGTGCAAGAACAGAGACAGGCACTTTGAAGGAGGAGGGGTTGGGGAAGGAGCTTTACGCTGAATGGGTTGGCTAAACATACATATTCAGCAGTTTACAGGAGGAACTATGAATATTCATGAAGGTGGTCCTGATGCACGCATATTGAACATCCATGTGACATGCCTCCTGTGTTCACTCTGGGCTGGAGTCTTAACATTTAAGTGTATCACAGTTAGGCCCTAAATGTCAAAAAGGTCTTTTCAGGACTTGAAGGCACTCAAGTGAGCAGCCTCTGTAAAGCAACCAGAGCCAGTCCACTGTCAGGGGTCTCTTATCTGGAGGAGGTTCCTGAAGTCAGTCTCCTGCCCAATCCGAGCTGCAGTCATGGCTGTGGAACGGGGTCAGTCTGCGTCTGTGGGCGGATGAGCTGCAGTCATTTGAATCTGGCTGATCTCCGGGCCGGTGAGTGTTTTAGCTGCTGGAGAAAAAGAAGACGCTGTGCCATGAGAACAGAATCCGTTCTCTAAGTGTAGAGTACGCGGCTCAACCCTTGCCTGGCGTGACCTGAGGTTGCTGCTTATAAGTTGGTATCTTGTTGCCACAAACAGTCTGTTCTATTCTCTATTTTAACATTAGTACTGGTCAGCCGTTGTGCCTAAACCATAAAAGGGAGAAAGTGTAACAAGGTGTGTCTGATCTCCTGTCCCATCATGGCTGAGAACTAAGTTTTTAAGGTTTTTTTGGGGGGTCTCCTTGGCAAAAAGAAGGGTCTGTTCAGTTGGTGGGGGGCTTAGGAGCTTACTTTTAGTTGACAGCAGGTTGATACCAACTGTGGAGGTTGAAGTTGAGGGAGCAGTATTTAGGGTGTAGGAGGCCCGTTTTAAGAACCTAAGAGATCACTCAAATCCAAGTCCCCAAATCCTAATTCTTCTGGACCTGGGAGCTGTCACTACCTCTGCAGCTGAAACCTCGTTCCTGGGGTGATAGGTTGGTTAGGGGGAAGGGGGACCTCCCTGACTGAGTTTTGAAACTTTCCAAATAACACACATCCCTTATGAAGAGTAGAAAGGACACATTTCTACAACGGGGAGAGGTTTCATCCCAAACCCATAGCCAACGCCCTTAAACATATTGGGAACTATGTCCTTTCATAACATTCACAGGATGCGAGTTTCACATTCATTTCCTAGCCATGGTCCCAGGATACACCTGTGTCTTCTCCATGCAGGAAAGGATAGTGACTTCAGGGTGTGCTGGACCGAGATTCTAACCCCAGCTCAACCTCTTGTTCGCTGCAGAATCTGAGGGTTGCCACCCTCTCTGAGCCTCAGCCCCCTTGTCTGTACCCTGGGTTAATAAAGAGTGTTGCTCTGAGCATCGTGCCTTGTCCTGCCTCTATAAAAGCACCTGGCACAGTGGTGTTTGAACTTAAAGAGGGGTAGTGCGGCTTTTTCTCGTTACAGGGCTGTTTCTCAAATACATCACTCTGCAGAAAAAGGCACGCATCAAATTATCCACCAGACTGGCATTCCTTATCTCTGCACTGAAACCCGCAGAGGTAGTGTCAGCCACACTCCCATGTCCAGAAGGCAGCTCCTCCCTCAGATGGACTCCTTATCATCTCCGAACAAACGGGGACCACACAGGCCTCCCCCTGGGAACAGCCTGGGCACCTCTGTTCCCTCTCTTCCCAGCCCGGCTCGGGCGAGTGGAGGGAAGCAGCAAGGATGGACTTTCCTGCTGATAGGATTTCACGCCCTCTCCCACCCCCAGAAGGCGCAGGCACCTGCAGTCACAGGGGCTTTAATCAGAATCAGAATCCTTATTGCTGCTAGTCTGGACACAGACCGGCAGTGGTGTGCACAATCTCCATGGCCTGGCGGTGTGTTCAGCAGTCCTCCCAGGGTGCACATGGGCTGCAACCCAGGGTGGACATAACCGCACGACAGAACGTTTGGGAGCGGCCTGAGTGTCAGCACCACCTGTACGTGGCTGCAAGAGGGCAACGTTCCAGCTGGGAATGCTCCAATCCAAAGGTATCCTAGGCTATGGTGAGGATGCCTGCTTTTTAATCCCACCCTGGCAGGTGGTTGTTCTGCCCCTGGCTGCCCAGCTCTCCTGATCCAGGTGCTGCCTCCACGGAACTCCCACCTTCCCTACCCCTAGGGGCTGTTTTTCTCCCTCTGGTAGCCACCTTGGTGTGCAACTGACATCTTTCAGTGATGGGTGACCCAGGCAGAGATGGGGAGCAGAGGGCAGGGTGGGGTGGCAGGAACTAAAACAAAACAAACACCCCCATCCTCAGCAGCCCCTGAGCCCTCATACCCTTACCCTGTACCCCTGCCATCCTGCCCCCTGCATCAGAATCAGAAGAATTCTGGACACGGGAGAGGCACTGAAACCCTCAGAGGTAGTGTCAGCCACTCCCATGTTCAGAAGGCAGCTCCTCCCTCGAATGGACTCCTTATCATCTCCGAACAAACGGGGACCACACAGGCCTCCCCCTGGGAATAGCCTGGGTACCTCTGAAGTCCTCTCTCCTCTCTTCCCAGCCCGGCTTGGGCGAGTGGAGCAGAGCAGCAAGGATGGACTTTCCTGCTGATAGGATTTCATGCCCTCTCCCACCCCCAGAAGGTGCAGGCACCTGCAGTCACAGGGGCTTCAAATACTGTTTTCACCCCTGCAGAAGACACCGTGCGGTCCTGCGTGCACTGCCCACATTCCCCTCTGGTGGAGGCCAAGGTGTGGGGAGAGCAGTCACTTGGAAGAGAAAGAGAAACTAATCCTGTAGGCCACCACCCTTAGAAAGGTGTGTCTGTGGGTTTTCTCGCTCTTGGTCACATTCTTACATGTGGGTCGTGACTTGGTTTGTTCCACTTAACATCCTAAGGCTCTGTTCCTCCTTAGGTGGCTGTGTATGGGAGACGACTTTTGCCTGCATTCCTCTCCCTTCCTAAGGCCCTAGCGGTATGAGCTTGGTTTAGGGCTGTCTGGCCAGTGATAGGCAGAACCAGGGCCAGAATCAGGCAACGTCACCATTGTAAGCGGGGCCACAGAGCAGCATGCCTGAAGACAGGGTGTCCCAGCTGAGAGCACTGGCTGCTTGCCAAGAGACTGCATATGACTGCGTTGCCTTCAGGGATCACCCCCGACCAGGGTCTGATTCTCACTCTGCCTCTTGGATGCAGAAACCAAACATGGACTGAAAGGGGAGCAGCCGTAAGCAGCCTCACTCCAACCAAGCTTCCGCAGATGTGGGCTGGAGGCCAGAGAGCCTGTGTTCCTTTGCAACAGGGGCTATTCAGTGACAGGTGAGCTGGATGTTTTCTTCTGCTCCAACAGTCCCTCCTGCACCAGGAGGGAGATCAGTGGGGCGGGGTTGGGGAGGCAGAGAGAGAGAACAAGGAGTGCTTTCTCTATAGAGCATGCCACTGTCCCACTCTCTCCCTGGGACTGGAGTTTCCCTGGAAGCCTCTGAGGTTACACAATCTGTCTTCCAGCAGGATGCGATCCTACTGACTAACGAATGAAGACATATTTAAACAGTCATGTGTGAGCGCATTCACTGATGCCAGTGAAAACAATGATCCTTTTCCCATGCAAGAGAAAATTCACACTCAACCACTTTTAAGAAAACAAACTATTAAAAAGGACAAAAGAGCTCTGACCTTCATACTTTGATGATAGTTGGGGAGGGGGATAAGTAGAATAACATTTCTATTAACAGGGCTAATTAGCTTCTTCCTTTCCCAAGCGACAACTAAAGCCACTCCGAAAGAACCCCTAAGAACCCATTATGCATTTCCCAAAATTTTAGGACATGTCATTTTACCTACAAATTAGTTCTTCCTGCACATTTTCTAAAGAAGTGTGAATAAATTCTTATCAAAGGTGTAATGTCTTAGTTCTCAAGATGTTTCTGGAGTTTCACTAAATGTTCTCTTTTGCTCAAGAGTTGATGACAGCAATTGAAGACCCACTCCAAACCTGAACTTACAGAAAAAGAACATCGTTAACTTTACCCTAGTTACCAACATTCAAATTTTGTCACAATTTTAAATAAACATAAAAAAAGAAAGAGATAAGGCATATACGCCTGCTGCAGCATCAGGCAAGACTTTTAAGTTACTGCAATTTATAAGATGATTACTCCTTGCAATTATTCTAGATATTAACATTCATTTTTTCTAAAATGTGGTAAATACACATAACTTAAAATTTACCATCTTAGTTCTTTCTAAAGGTGAAGTTCAATGGCGTTAAGTACATTCACATTGTTGTGTAACCATCATCATCACCCACCTGAGGAACTCACTTCATTTTACAAAACTGAAACCCGTTACCCATTAAACAACTCCTCACTCTCCATTCCTGCGGACACCACCCTTAATGTTTCTGTCTCTATGAATTTGCCTTCTCCAGGAACCTCACATAAATGGAATCATCCAGTGCTTGTCCTTTTGTAACAGTCTTCTATCACATAGCATAAGGTCTTCAAGGTTCATCCATGTTATAGCATGTGCCAGAACCGTCTTCCTTTTTAAGGCTGAATAATATTCCATTATATGCTGTTATGACCTGATTGTTTGTATCCCCTGCCTTTTGTTGCAATCCTAATCCCCAAGGTGGTGCTATTAGGAGGCAGGGCCTTTGGGAGGTGATTAGGTCATGAGGATGGAGCCTCATGGATGGGATTAGTGCCCTTATAAAAAGGACGGAGGAGCTCTCACCCTCTTTCTGCCATCTGAAGATGCAATGAAGAGCAGGCAGTCTGCAGCCCAGAAGGTGGCCCTCGTTGGACCCTGACCATGCTGGCACCTGGACCTTGGGTTTCCAGTCTCCAGAACTAAGAGAAATACATTGACATTATTTATAAGCCACTCAGTCTAGGGTACTTTGTTAGGGCAGCCCAAACTAAAACATAAGTATAGACCAGAATTTTGTTTATCCATTCAACTGTCCACAGACACTTGTGTTGTTTCCACCTTTTGCTATTGTGAATGATGCTGCTGTGAACACAGGTGTGTGACTATCTCTTCAAGACCCTGCTTTCAGTTCTTTGGGGGAGATTCATTTTTTCAGTAAATATTTATTTCTAATAAATATTAAGTGAGCAGCTACTATGTGCCTGAGTCATAGAGATGAAGAAGATACAGTGTTCCCCATTGAATTCATGACCCGATGTTAAGACGGAAGACCAGGCTTCTCTTTCATAACAGTTTTCAATTCCTGTGGAATTGGCTTTTGCACTGGTGAGGGATGAAGTACAAGCAACTACAGACAATTCATGTGAGGTTTTCCACTCAAAATTTCATTTCTCCTCGGCCACCCAACACGCTTAAAAAAATTAGCCCTTCTGTTTATTATAATATTTTTCAAGGCAACAGAATAATTATACTATGTAAGACACAACAGAAGTAGGAAGGTAAATTTTCTAATGGGGAAGCGAATTGCCAACCACACAATCTGTTATTTTCAATCACGCACAAAGATGACGGAATAATAATCATATTGTATTTAAAACTGACCTGCTGAATGGCCTTGCAATTTTACCACATTTTAGCCAAATGAATCTTCATATCTAGAATAATTGCAAGGAGTAACCATCTTATAACTGGGGTAACTCAAATGTATCTCATCTATGAAAACACATTATAAAATATTGATTAAGGTTAAGGGCTTTGAAAGCAGAAAATGTGACTTAATTTCTAAGTGTTGAAAAGGTGCAAACACTTCTTAGCAACAATGACAATTGTATGTGAGTATGTTAATGATAATGACTGATAATCTACAAATCCTAGTACTCACCTGAATGTGGAATGCTGTGACCTAGCTTTACAATGAAATCTTCTTAAAATCTAAAATTTCATCTTCGTTTTACAGTAATCTTTTTGCATGGGATCTGATCAGCCCAAACTGAATGCGCAACACAGAAAAACCATTGTGTTCAATTTGCTACCCTTCGCTAATTTCAGGCCAGCCATTTAAGAAACAGGCTATTTCTATGTGGCTCATATAAGGCTTTGATGTTTTTTTCCATGGTAAACCCACAAGAAAAAAAAAGTATTTTAATAGGCATATAGTGATCAAAGATATTATTCTCTTCTAAAAAGACTTTCTTAAAGCCCTTCCAAGGGAATTTCTCACAAGAAAGCATTAAATCTCTATTGACTGACCTCTACATTTTTATGGTGTCCAGATATTTTGAAAGAATGCTAACCCAGAAGAGAAATGACAGATGCATCCCTCTTTGGCTTCTATGGCCAGCAAAATACAGACGTTTGCTTTAATTATGGTATAGAAAAGTCATAAAGAAATCTTTCAGAACATTCTAGAGACAGGAAAAATGAAGAAGACTTGGAGAAAAAAATTGCAACATATTAACCTTGGCAAAGTCTTCAACATACGTGTGACAGCCCTTGAACGTGAGTGTTAAATATGTTTGCTGGAGCAGCAGTGGAGACAGGTACCACCCATGGTCCTAGCTCCAGCCCCTCTCCGTGGGCACTGGACCACCCCACTCAGTGCCCACTCAGGACAGCATGCCCCTAATTCCCTTTCTTCTGCATCATCAGTTTTTCCCCCTCTCCCAGGATCACTCCCGCTTATTATACATGGGACATCATATCTCCCATCTTGAGAAAGAAAATGCCAACTCTTGGCCGGGCGCAGTGGCTCATGCCTGTAATCCCTGCATTTTGGGGGGCCGAGGTGGCCAGATCACCTGAGGTCAGGAGTTCAAGGCTAGCCTGGCCAACATGTTGAAACCCTGTCTCTACTAAAAAAACAAAAAACAAAACAAAAACAAAAACAAAAATTAGCCGGGCATGATGGTGAGTGCCTGTAATTCCAGCTACTCGGGAGGCTGAAGCAGGAGAATTGCTTGAACCCGGGAGGCGGAGGCTACAGTGAGCCAAGACTGCACCACTGCACTCCAGCCTGGGCTTCACCCCACATTGTCCTCCAACCACAGCCCTATCTCTCTGTTCTCCTCCACAGTAAATCCCCTTGAAATAGCTGAGTGAGCTCACAGGCTCCAGGTCCTCTCCTCCCTTTCTCGCTTGGGGCCACCACCCCCCAAAAACAGCTCTTCTCTCTGTAGCAATGTCCTCTCCAGCCACGGCTGACCTGCTGAGGGGTTTGACGTCTTTCAAAACTCCTTTCCTCCCTGACCCATCCCCGTCTTCAGGTATCTTGCCTCACCAGGCTCCTCCTCCTTGGGGCCCTTTACTGACCCTTCCTCACCTTCCCCACCTCTAAGTTTTGGGGTGTCCCAGCGCCTGTGCTGGGACCTCACCTCCTCTCCCCAGGCTCAGTCCATGGGAGCACATGAATGCTACCTCTGTGTAGCACACTCTCAAAATTCAGGTGTCTCTGGGCCCAGAGGCATGATCAGCTGCTGCAGGTGCTCTCCCCATGGGTATTAGGAATGGCATCTCCATTTGGCGTTTCCAAAACCACACTCCTCATTCACCCTCGCAGCCAGGCAACTCTCAACAATAGCACTCCCCCACCTTCCTCAAGCCTTCCTCCCCACAGCTCACCTACCAGGCTCCACCACAGGCCGCCTTGGGTTCCTCCAGCACACAAGCACAGCTCCTCCTCAAGGCCGTCGTACTGGCTCTTCCTTCTGCCTGGACACCCTTCCCCAAGCACCTTGCTCTCCCACCCCTCCTTTTTCAGGTCTCTGCTCCAGAGCTCCCTCATTGAAGATGCCTTCCCTGGCCATGATAATTATGAACTTGTGACACTTCCCTACCGCTGATATTCCTTTGCCCGTGTGGTAATGTTCTTCATAGCATCTGTCACCATCCTTTCATAGTCTCTATCACCATGCCTACAACATGTTGTCCTGCCTGTCCCTTTCATGAAAGAGTAAGCTCCAAGAAGGCAGGATTTTTGGTGACTGTTGCACCTACTGGATGCTCAGTGCCTAGGACAGGACCAGACAAGTATCACGTGTCCATGAAATATCGATTTGCCAAACGTTTGCAGTCACATGTGGATTACAGTAACTTCTCCACCAAAACAATAACCAGACTCAGTCACTGCACTAGATTTTATGAAGAAACATGAAAATCTTGGGGGGTCATCATTTTGTCCTGCCTGATCACTGGAATCACCTCAGACACTTAAAAAATATATACATCTCCAGCCCAGAGAATGGTGCCTGGAATCCATATGTTTAACCAGGTCCCCATGTAACTGCTGATCAGCCAGGTCTGGGGAGCACCGATTGGTCCCGTCTCTCAGTGACCGCACTGCTGTCTATCAGCATGCAGAGGTGACAGTGTTTCTGCTGGGTTTTTCAGTGATGGGAAGTGCATTACCTTATGACTTGTTACAATGTTAGGGCATATTTTTCACCACGTTCTCCCTTTTCCAGTTTAATTCCATAGCATTTGTTGAGGGTCTGACCAGTGCCAGGAGCGATGGCCTATCCAGAAATAAACAGCTAGTGAAAGGGACTTGGTGCCTGTCCCCAGGAAACGTCCAGTTGGCTGAATACTTCCCATCCCCTACTGCTTTCCAGCAGACTCAAGCCTGTCCTCTGCAATAATGCCCTCTTCCACCTGGCTGGCAGCTTGTTGAGTGTAGAATGTTTCCTGCCTAGGACCCATGGCATCCCTCTGGGGTGGAGGTGGGTGGGCTGCATACCCCCTCGAAATCCTCCAAGCATTGGTCGTGTGATATGATTTCCTGCTCCTTCCTCATCATGGTAGCATCTCAAAAACTCATCTGGGGTCAATATCCAGCCCTCACACCACCTTCAACAATCCCCTAATCAAACATCTAACCGTCAGTTTCCGCACATGGCAACTAAGCATTAACCATAACAAATAACAAACAGCTCACTACGGTCATGCCTGATCATTTAGCACAAAGACTTTTGAAAATAATTTATAGTGAAAACTGTCTTACATGATTTCACAATTTCCTAAAACAGGAATTATACAAAAACCAATTTCAGACAAAGATGGGATTTGCACTTAATATTTTTTAGCATCCCAGTATGCTCTGTTCATCCAACACCAGGCCTCCAGTGGTTAGCATTCAACCAAAGTTTTGAAACAACCAAATTTTAATTTTAATCATTGAAAATGACCCTAAAACATGCTGGGTTTGCTAGTTTGGGAAATATTGATTACTGCTTAAAACCCTCATCAATTAACTCAAACATTATCTCCCTCCACTGTCAACACAGATTTTCTTCGGAAAAGGGCCTAAGTGCAAACTTTGAAAAAACCCATTTCACCACATAATTTCCTCACTTAGATTTACACGCACAACAGTCTTGCAGCTTTTTGGGAGGGTGTTCATATGTTCCCAACTAGCTGTGCGTTGCGCCTCTTGGCTCTTGGACCTAATAGGGATTTGAGCTGGCTGCTCCATCTTAAACCTTCTCTCCCCTGAGGAGCCTGCCAGGTTTTGAAGATCAATGAACTTCCCAGATGGAGGCGAGACAGTAAGAGTCACAGCTGAAAGCCTCATAGGTTTTAAGTGCTGGGTTTTGTACCAAACATTCCAATCCTTTTTGTTTCAAGTGCTCAGAAGGCAGGCAGCTCGATGGCTTCAGCCCTTGGATAACTGGCTATAAAAGAAGCTATAACTTTCAGGTTCACCTGAATGTCACGACTTTGCCCCAAGTGGGATGTGTCTTGATTTGTGAAAAACAAACTCAACTCTACTTAATGCATTTCTCTTTAAACCACCTCTACTACGATCAGAGCTGCGGGGCTGCTGGGACATCATGGATACTAAGTATGTGTCTGTTATATGCATTTACCAAAGAACAAAAGACTGCGTAAGATAAACATTTTGCATGGTCCAGAGGATAAGACAGGTAGGGTAAGACAGCAGAGGGGCAACTGTGTCCCTGAGGGCCTCCTTGTCTCCTCATTCCTGCCCATATAAAATGGTCTGGTGAGCAATGGCCAACTAAGAAGGCTAGGATCAGGATGCCTGAGCAGTGGAAGCTGCAGGAGGCTGTGAATGCGGACAGTGGCTGAGCTGGCCAGGCTGTGTATGCTTGAACCCAGTCAGGGCCTAGGTCAGAAGTGGGTTTGTGAGTCAGTGCAGGCTGCCAGAACAAAGCACCGCAGACTGGGCAGCTTAAACAACGGACACGTATCTTCTCACGGTTGTGGAGGCCGGAAGTCTCAGATCAAGGTGTGGGCAGGTGGCTTCCCCCTTGGCTTGCAGATGGCCGTCCTCTTGCTCCTCTTGCTGCTTCTTCACATGGCGGTCCCTCTGCGCACATCCCTGGTGTCTCTCTGCATGTCCTATATAAGGACACTTGTCAGACTGGATCAGGGCCCACCCTCATGGCCACATTTTAACTTCATGACCTCTTTTAAGGCCCCATCTCCAAAGATAGTCATATTTTGAAGTACTGGAGGTTTGGACTTCAACGTATAAATTTGAGGGACACAATTCAGTCCATCACAGGGGGCCGGGCTAGCACAGTGCAGGGAAGAGGTCCTGAGACCTGCAGAACATGGGGTTACAATCCAAGACCTCACGGGTGCACCTAATCCGACATCCATAGTAACAAGACAGCAATGAAGACAGCGGAGTCCACATTCGCTTGGCTTCTAAGTTTCTACAGCCCAGTCCATTCTCCACAAACCGAGGTAAACTAACATCTGAATTTAAATGATCGAAATATTTGGACAGACTCATAAACTAAACGAAATTTCATTCTGAAATAATGGTCACCAGCTGTATTTATCAGAGTCCAGCCAGAAAGAGAATTCTACTCCAGAGCTCCCAAGAAGAGGTTTTGGGTTTTTTTTTTGTTTTTTTTTTTAATTATACTTGAAGTTTTAGGGTACATGTGCACAATGTGCAGGTTTGTTACATATGTATACATGTGCCATGTTGGTGTGCTGCACCCATCAACTCATCATTTGACATTAGTTATATCTCCTAATGCTATTCCTCCCCCCTCCCCCCACCCCACAACAGGCCCTGGTGTGTGATGTTCCCCTTCCTGTGCCCATGTGTTCTCATTGTTCATGTCCTTTGTAGGGACATGGATAAAACTGGAAACCATCATTCTCAGCAAACTGTCGCAAGGACAAAAAACCAAACACCGCATGTTCTCACTCATAGGTGGGAAGAAGAGGTTATGATGGAAGGGCTATTTTTGGAGGTGTGAGCGGGGCACAAGGGACCTACAACAACGGCAGCCATCCCCGCCCCTGGCCTGAGGGGCAGGGCACACACCACCTTGCCTGCCAGTGAGAGCTGGGGCTGGGAGAGGCTCTGCTTTCAGAAGCTAGAAGTGCGGAGGGAATCGAAGCCCGGCTAGAACAAGTAGGAAGCGTGAGTGGGATCCATGCACTGGCTTTTCTCTTGCCCTTCTGAGCTGAATTAAGAAAAGGAAGCCTGAACCACTCTAGGAAGCTCGCCTCCCTAGCACAGGACAGAAGGAAGCTGTCTCAGGAAAATGCCCTACTCCTTGGGCAACCAACCACTCCTTGGACACTGGGTGGTACTACTTTCCCCGGGGCACCCAGACAAGACACTTCCGTCCAGGTGCTGGGCAGAGCCCCACTGCCACCCCCTGCAGCATCCTCAGCATCTTGCAGACCCCCGAGCAGCTGCCAGCAGAGCTCAGTTCTTCCTCCTCGCCAGCCTTCCCCTCCTCCCTGGGGCTCCCTCCAGAAGGAGGCAGGGAGGGAGGGTAGGAAGGCGCAGGTGGAGGAAGATGAGGAAGGGACTCCGGCAGCCAGCTCCTCCCCGGCACCACAAGGAGGAAAGGGGAAAGAGGAGCAGACGCTGGGCAGCACCTTGACCTCTGAGAGGGTTCCTGTTAAAAAAGAAGGCGGTGAACCATCATTCTGAGCAAACTGTCGCAAGGACAGAAAACCAAACACCGCACGTTCTCACTCATAGGTGGGAAGTGAGCAATGAGAACACTTGGACACAGGAAGGGGAACATCACACATGGGGGCCTGTCGTGGGGTGGGGGGAGGGGGGAGGGATAGCTTTAGGAGATATACCTAATGTAAATGACGAGTTAATGGGTGCAGCACACCAGCATGTCACATGTATACATATGTAACAAACCTGCACATTGTACACATGTACCCTAGAACTTAAAGTATAATAAATAAATAAATAAATAAATAAATAAATAAATAAAAAGCGTACAGAGATCCACCAACACATCACCCAAGTTGCCTAGAAGGGTGATGGTTATTCGGTTGAAGCTCCAGAAGCAGTCTGTTTTTGCTAGCAGTACTCATACTAAAATTAAAAACAAAAAACAAAACAAAACAAAAAAAAGGGCAGTGGTGCTGAAACTCGAGTGGGTGTGTTCACACCAGCCAGCTGGAAAGAGGAGTCAAATACGCCACCCGTAGAGTAGAGACTGCATGGAGACCCCTGTTGGAAGCTGATATTTATGCTTTAAAAAGATTGTTCAATTCTATCTGGAACTGCTTTGGTAGAGGAGCTTATTAAAGAAGGCAGCTGGAAAGCCCTGGCAGGAACAGACAGGTGAATGCATCGCTCCTGAGCATCTGTGATATTCTAGGATCTAGCCTGAGTACCCAGATACACTACGACTCAACTCAGAAACAGGCAATTTCTCTTGAATCAGACGAGGCCCATCATTCCCCGCAAGGCTTCAGAATTCTCAGTGACAAGTGACTTTGAAAATTTGGGGATAAACTAGCCCATCAAAAAATATATATTTTGGGGGCTGGGCACAGTGGTTTACACCTGTAATCCCAGCACTTTGAGAGGCCGAGGTGGGCAGATCACTTGAGGCCAAGAGCTCAAGACCAGCCTGGCCAACATGACAAAACCCTCCTCTACTAAAAATACAAACATCAGCTGGGTGTGGTGGGGCGTGCCTGTATTTCCAGCTACTTGGGGGGCTGAGGCACGAGAATTGCTTGAACCCAGGAGGCAGAGGCTGCAGTGAGCCGAGATTGCACCACTGCACTCCAGCCTGGGCCACAGAGTAAGACTCTGTCTCAAAAATAAAAATAAAAATAAATATTTTTGAGTATTTAACTTCTATGTGTGTATATATCTACCCCTTATGCATATCCTCCCTTTGTACATCACATACATTTTGAAATTTATAAAACACACAAGAGGCAGCTTAGTACACTGGTTCAGGGCACACAGTGGGGGACCAGCCAACCTGCTTTCAAATCCTGGCTCTGCCCTCATGAATGATGTTACCTCAGCCATATAGCTGATCTGTGCTTCAGTTTCCTCATTTGTAAAATGGAGATTAGGAATAGTCAACTTGCATATTTCCTAATGTCAATCAGTAACTAGCAAACTAACCGGAAGGTACGGCTTATTTCCATTTTTTTTTTTTAACACAAGCAAAATTATTTGGAAGATTTTTACATAGGTAGGAAATTCTGTCTCCAAGTTAAGGGTTCAAAAGTGTTTTATAGGTAGCCAACTTACTCCATTTTGGTAGTAGAAATCAACTAATGATGTAAACATGTACAGCTATCATCCTCAGAAGACCTCTCCACAGCAGGAGATGTTACGCTTCTCACTTAGCATTAAAATATCATCTTAAAGGGACCTGTTTTGTGTTTATTTTTTTCAATATCTACTAAGTACCATACCACTGCCAGTCACTTGCTAACACCATAAATGTCAGCAAATCTGGAACTGTGACTTTCTGAGAAATAAAATCATGTAACTCATCTTTAGAGACTGTATTTCTTTAAAAAAAAAAAAAAACAAAAAAAACCTGGCTGGCTGGGTGCAGTGACTCATCCCTGTAATCACAGCACTTCGGGAGGCGAAGGTGGGAGGATCCTTAAGCTCTGAAGTTTGAGACCAGCCTGGGCAACATAGTGAGACCCCATCCCTACAAAAAACTAAAAACGAGTTGGGTGTGGTGGCATGCACCTGTGGTCCCAGCTACTCGGGAGGCTGAGGTGGGAGGATGCCTTGGGTCTGAGAGGCTGAACCTGCGGTGAGCAGTAACTGTGCCATGGCACTCAGCCTGAGTGACAGAGTGAGACCCTGTCTCAAAAAATAAGATAAAATAAAATAAAAGACAAACCAGACTGATGCCATACAAAATCCTGGAAACCGAAGCCACCAGCAGGGTGCAAGCAAAAGAACATTCGAGGAAGCACCAGTTGTGCTCACTGAGCTGCAGAATCAGCGATCCCTAGACCCCAGACCTCTGCAGTGTGTCACCGTCAACGAAGACCAGGACACCCGGCAGGTGAACCAAACGAGGTTACCTGTGTTTATCACAACTTACCAAAGCCAAATTCTTTATTGCTTTAGGCAAAACAAATTCAGACATTCTAATTTCTTCCTGCATCCTCTAACTTTGGAGACCTTTGTCCTGGGAAGTTTCTTGGGAAAGACACCTCCATGTGCCATATGCTACCTTCTTAGGTGAACAGTGGTACACATCTATCCTCTTTTCTCTACCTTGCTATTCTCACTTGCAGTATCTAAAGATATTCTCAATCATTTATATCATGTTCGATGGTGTAGATTTACCATAGTTTAATCAACCAGTCCCCTTTTGAGGCACACGTGGGTTATTTCTAATCATTTGCTATGACAGTCGTGCCACGGTGAATAGCCTTGTGAATTGCTTTTCATATTTTTCCCCAGTGTAATGTTTGTATAGACTTCCAGAATTGGATTTCTCTCTCTCTCTCTTTTTTTTTTTTTGGTTTTGTTTTTTGTTTTGAGATAGAGTCTCATTCTGTCACCCAGGCTGGAGTGCATTGGTGCAATCTCGGCTCACTGAAACCTCTGCCTCCCAGGTTCAAGCAATTCTCATGCCTCAGCCTCCCAAGCAGCTGGGACTACAGGCATGGACCACCATGCCTGGCTAATTTTTATTTTTATTTTTATTTTTTTTAGTAAAGACGGGGTTTCACCATGTTGGCCAGGCTGGTCTCAAACTCCTGACCTCAAGTGATCTGCCTGCCTCAGCCACCCAAAGTACTGGGATTACAGGCATGAGCCACTGTGCCCAGCCCAGAAGTGGATTTCTGAGTCAAAGGATAAATGTATGTAATTTTGCTAGCCATTTCCAAATTCCTCTCCATAGAAATTATATGATGGAATAACATTTTAATAGAACCCTCTCTTGCCATACAACTGCTTTCTAACAAGCCATGTAAGTTATACTTCTCAACCCTTGAATGCTATCTTGGACAAAGTCTACATTTTTCGAAAAGCTTTGTGGTCATACATTTGATTTTAGGCATTTTGAGTCCAGTCCTATCTCATATCAAAGTTTCTATCTGGCATCCAACGTGACGGGCCTGCTTTAGGCTTGGCGGTCTATAGTCGGGGAGGAGAGGTGTTGTGGTTGGATTTACTGCTGTTTCCCCACCTTGCTCATGACTGTGCCTCTGACCTCACCAGGATTGAAACAGGGAGAATGGAGGTGTGAGGGGCAGGAAGTTTTGTATTTGACTGCACGGTTGGTTCACTCTGGGTGTGGCTGACTTCACTAAAATTGAAACACAGAGAATGGAGGTGTAAGGGACGGGAAGTTCTGTATTTGACTGCACAGCTGGTTCACCCTGGGCGTGGCTGGTGTCCACATACCAACCCTTCCCCTAATGGGTCCTCCATGGGTTCTTCTGAGCCACTGCCTGGACATCTCCCATCTGCAGCTTCCTGACACAGACAAAACCTCAGGTGGCCAACAGGGACTTATCACTCCCTCCTTAGTCTCTACCACCTGACAGTCTAACCCAGAGGTCAGCAAGCTTTTTCTGTATAGGGCCAGACAGTAAATATCATAGGCTTTGGTGAGACGGCATCTGTGTCAACCACTCACCTCTGCCATTGCAGTGTGAAAACAGCCTCAGGAAATATGAAACAAACCCCAGCATGGTTGTGTTCCAATAAAACTTTATTTATAAAAACAGGTAGCTGGCCAGATTTGGCCCACAGGCCTTCCTTTGCCTACCTCTGGTCAACCCCATATTAACTCCCTTTGGTGCTCTTCTCATGGTGAAGGCCTTGACCCGTTCCTGACGACCAGAGTCTAGATCCCTTTAACTGGGTCCGCTTCTTCCCTGCTGGAAATAAGTGCCCTGCCTGCCAATAACATCAACAAAAACAACAGTAAACAGACTTTCAGATGTGTCCTGCCATGCTTTGCTGATTTTGAAGAAAGGAAAAGAATGGCAAATTGCCTTAAGGTACTTTATTATTATTAAGCTATTTTTTTTTCTCAAAAAGTATGAGGGTGAAACATTTAGAATATTTTTGGCTACAAGTAAACAGAAAATTATAGATTTAGGATGGCTCAAATATGTAAAGGAAGCCTCTAGTGATATCAGACCAATAGCTCAAAAACATCAGCGACAGCATCACTGCTGTTCCCTGACCTCTCTCCCAAAGTCAGAAGTCAGCTATCTCTGTTGAGGGCCTTGTATTTTCATTAAAGTCAGAAAACGGGGAAGTATTATCTTGGCCACACTTGACAGTTTTATCAGGAAAATATAAGCTTTCCCTAAAGTCCCCCAGGAAACCTCCATTTAGGATCCACTGCCTACAACTGTGTCCTTTGTTGCAAAAGCAGCTACAGCAAAAAGCTTCAGGCCAGAGGAAAGCGAGCTGAGAAGGTGTTTTATTCAGTCACCCAGCTGATATGGTCAGGTTACGTGGAATCATTTTCCCTGCCATGTTTCAAAAACTAGATATGATAAGGTCAGGTGGGCACAGCTACCCTAATGGACAGCAGAGGCAAAGCAGCAATCAGAACAGTCTGGCTCGTGTAGAGCTCCGGCATTGGTTAATTAATCATGGTGTTCCTAGAAGTGAAATTGATAGGAAGCCCACTGCATTCCTACTTAATTTATACAAGCAGAAAACTTCTAGGTCAAATGGCCAAAACACTAATTTGAATTATAAAAACAGAGAATCATGGCTCTTCAATCAATTTCCAGACTTGAGCTAGTTTACAGACCCAGAACCCCTTGAATGAAGGGGAGGTCGGGTCCCCTTGAGGAAGGACCCCACTACATTACCGACAATGTATGCAGTGAATCTTTCTCCCATCCTTCCCCAAAGAGACCTCTGGCCTTTTATCAGGGTAACTGTGCACTGGGGAAAGGGAGATGATCAGACATTTCAGGGACTACTGGACACTGGCTCTGAGCTGACGTTAATTCCAGAGGACCCAAAATGTCACTGTGGTCCTCCAGTAAAGTAGAGGCTTACGGAAGTCAGGTACTTAAAGGAGTTTTAGCTCAGGTCCAACTTACAGTGGGTCCAGTGGGTCCTCGGACTCATCCTGTGGTCATTTTCCCAGTGCCAGAATGCATAATTGGCATAGATATGCTTAGTAGCAGGCAGAACCCCCACACTGGCTCCCTGACTGGTAGGGTGTGGACTATTATGGTGAGAAAGGCCAAATGGAAGCCATTAGAGCTGCCTCTACCTAGAAAAATAGTAAATCAAAAACAGTATCACATCCCTGAAGGGATTGTGGAGATTAGTGCCACCATCAAGGACTTGAAGGATGCAGGGGTGGTGATTCCCACCACATCCCCATTCAACTCTCCCATCTGGCCTGTGCAGAAGACAGACGGATCTTGGAGAATGACAGTGGGTTACTGTAAGCTTAACCAAGTGGTGACTCCAATTGCAGCTGCTGTACCAGATGTGGTTTCATTGCTTGAGCAAATTAACACACCTCCTGGTACCTGGTATGCAGCCATTGACTTGGCAAATGACTTTTTCCCCATTCCTGTCCATAAGGCCCACCAGAAGCAATTTGCCTTCCGCTGGCAAGGCCGGCAATACACCTTTACTGTCCTACCTCAGGGGTAGGACAGTAAACTCTCCGGCTTTATGTCATAATCTTATTTGGAGAGACCTTGATCGCTTTTCGTTTCCACGAGATATCACACTGGTCCATTAGTTTGATGACATTATGCTGATTGGATCCAGTGAGCAAGAAGTAGCAAACACACTGGACTTATTGGTGAGACATTTATGTGCCAGGAGATGGGAAATAAATATGACTAAAATTCAGGGACCTTCTACCTCAGTAAAATTTCTAGGGGTCCAGTGGTGTGGGGCTTGTCAAGATATTCCTTCTAAGGTGAAGGATAAGTTGCTGCATTTAGTCCCTCCTACAACCAAGAAAGAGCACAATGCCTATCTGGATTTCGGAGGGAACACATTCCTCATTTGGGTGTGTTACTCCAGCCCATTTATCGAGTGAGCCGAAAGGCTGCCAATTTTGAGTGGAGTCCAGAACAGGAGAAGGCTCTGCAACAGGTCCAGGCTGCTGTGCAAGCTGCTTGGCCACTTGGGCCATACGACCCAGCAGATCCAATGGTGCTTGAGGTGTCAGTGGCAGATAGGGATGCTGATTGGAGCTGTTGGCAGGCCTCCATAGGTGAATCACAGTGGAGGCCTCTAGAATATTGGAGCAAGGCCCTGCCATCTTCTTCAGATAACTACTCTCCTTCTGAGAGAGAGCTCTTGGCCTGTTACTGGGCTTTGGTGGAAACTGAATGTTTCAAGTCACCATGCGACCTGAACTATCATGAACTGGGTACTTTCTGACCCATCTAGCCATAAAGTGGGTCATGCACAGCAGCATTCCATCATCAAATGGAAGTGGTATATACGTGATTGGGCTCGAGCAGATCCTGAAGGCACAAGTAAGTTACATGAGGAAGTGGTTCAAATGCCCTGGTCTCCACTCCTGCCACCCTGCCTTCTCTCCCTTAGCCTGCACTGATGGCTTCGTGGGGAGTTCCCTATGATCAGCTGACAGAGGAAGAGAAGACTAGGACTTGGTTCACAGATGGTTCTGCATGATATGCAGGCACCACCCGAAAGTGGACAGCTGCAGCACTACAGCCCCTTTCTAGGGCATCCATGAAGGACAGCAGTGAAGGGAAATCTTCCCAGTGGGCAGAACTTCGAGCAGTGCACCTGGTTGTGCACTTTGCATGGAAGGAGAAATGGCCAGCTGTGTGATTATACACTGATTCATGGGCCGTAGCCAATGGTTTGGCTGGATCATCAGGGAATTGGAAGAAGCATGATTGGAAAATTGGTGACAAAGAAATTTGGGGAAGAGGGATGTGGATGGACCTCTCTGAGTGGTCAAAAATTGTGAAGATATTTGTATCCCATGTGAGTGCTCACCAACGGGGGACCTCACCAGAGGAGAATTTTAATAATCAAGTGAATAGGATGACCCTTTCTGTGGACACCACTCAGCCTCTTTCCCCAGCCACCCCCGTCATCACCCAGTGGGTCCATGAACAAAGTGGCCATGGTAGCAGGGATGGAGGTTACACATGGGCTCAGCAACATGGACTTCCACTCACCAAGGCTGACCTGGCTATGGCCACTGCTGAGTGCCCAGTTTGCCAGCAACAGAGACCAACACCGAGTCCTCAATATGGCACCATTTCTAGGGGTGATCAGCCAGCTACCTGGTAGCAGGTTGATTATATTGGAACTCTTCCATCATGGAAAGGGCAGAGGTTTGTTCCCACTGGAATAGACACTTACTCTGGATATGGGTTTGCCTATCCTGCACACAATGCTTCTGCCAAGACTACCATCCGTGGGTTCACGGAATACATTATCCACCGTCATGGTATTCCACACAGCATTGCCTCTGACCAAGACACTCACTTTATGGCTAAAGAAGTGTGACAGTGGGCTCATTCTCATGGAATGCACTGGTCTCACCATGTTCTCCCCATCATCCTGAAGCAGCTGGATTGACAGAATGTTGGAATGGCCTTTTAAAGTCACAATTACAATGCCAACTAGGTGACAATACTTTGCATGCCTGGGACAAAGTTCTCCAGAAGGCCGTGTATGCTCTGAATCAGCGTCCCATATATGGTACTGTTTCTCCCATAGCCAGGATTCACGGGTCCAGGAATCAAGGGTTGGAAGTGGAAGTGGCATCACTCACCATCACCCCTAGTGATTAAGTAGCAAAATTTTTGCTGCCTGTTCCCATGACATTAAGTTCTGTTGGTCTAGAGGTCTTAGTTCCAGAGGGAGGAACACTGCCACCAGGAGACACAACAACAATCCCATTAAACTGTAAGTTCAGATTGCCACCTGGACACTTTGGGCTCCTCCTACCTTTAAGTCAACAGGCTAAGATGGGAGTTACAGTTGGCCGGGGTGATTGACCCAGACTATCAAGATGAAATCAGTCTACTACTCCACAATGGAGGTAAGGAAGAGTACTCATGGAATACAGGAGATCCATTAGGGCATCTCTTAGTATTACCATGCCCTGTGATTAAGATCAATGGGAAACTACAACAGCCCAATCCAGGCAGGACTAGAAATGGCCCAGACCCTTCAGGAATGAAGGTTTGGGTCACTCCACCAGGAAAAAAAAATCACAACCTGCCAAGGTGTTTGCTGAAGGCAAAGGGAATACAGAATGGGTAGTAGAAGAAGGCAGTCATCAATACCGGCTACAACCACGTGACCAGCTGCAGAAACGAGGACTGTAATTGTCATGAGTATTTTTTCCTTGTTTTGTTAAAAACATGTTTGTGCATGTTTATACTTGTACTAAGAAAATATCTTGATTTTATTTCCTTTTTCCTTTAGCATGTGACATAAGATTTACTGACTTCAAATCAGCATTTAAGTATTGTTAACTTTATGTAATAGTATTTGGGTTGGAGACTGGTGTGTTTCAGGTTGTACAAAGAATAGTTGTAATATGTTAGGCATAATTATGACCTTATTATTGTCTTTATTTGAAGATTATGTATGATCTCAGATGTGTATGGGTTCAAGTTGACGAGGGGTGGACTTGTGATGGTTCATACTGAGTGTCAACTTGATTGGATTGAAGGATACAAAGTATTGATCCTGGGTGTGTCTGTGAGGGTGTTGTCAAAAGAGATTAACGTTTGAGGCAGTGGGCTGGGGAAGGCAGACCCACCCTTAATCTGGAGGGCACCATCTAATCAGCTGCCAGTGAATATAAAGCAGAAGAAAAATGTGAAAAGGAGAGACTGGCCTAGCTTCCCAGCCTACATCTTTCTCCCGTACTGGACGCTTCCTGCCCTTGAACACTGGACTCCAAATTCTTCAGTTTTGAGACTCAGACTGGCTCTCCTTGCCCCTCAAACTTGCAGACAGCCTACTGTGGGATCTTGTGATTGTGTAAGTTAATACTTAATAAACTCCCCTTTATCTATATGTCTATGTCTCTATCTCTATTATCTATATCTATCTCCTATTCTGTTCCCCTACAGAACCCTGACTAATAAAACAATGAAAATATTTTCTATACCTTGTCTCCATACAGTCCTTAACTTCCAATCAAATTTGAATGCTTCTCTTTTAAATATGAACAGACAGCCAATAATCATGAGATAGTGAGGAAAGCCTCTAGCATGAGACACAAAGACCATGACAAACACACTGAAACAAGGAACTTGGAGGAGACAGATAAAAAGCAGGAAGCAGAAATCAAGTGTTAAGCAAAATCATAATTTTCTCAGAGAAATATAAGAAGATGTGCAACTTTGAAACAGGAATAAGGTGAAAAACAAACAAAAACAGAAGCATTCAGAGAAAAAGAAAGTGATCCTGAAAACTAAAATGTGGGTGGCAGAAATGAAAATGGAGAGAAGAACCAAAAAGACAGACAAGGGAAGCAGAGAGACCAGACTAGAAGGTGCAACTTCTGAATAATGGGAGGTCCAAGAAGAGAGAACAGGCAATTACTAGACAATTTCTCAGACATGAACGTTATGAGTTTCTAGACTGAAAAGATTCACCAAGTGCCCAGCATTTTTTTTTTTTTTAAAGATCCAGACTAAGACACATCAACAAGAAATTTCCAAATACCAGGTCAAGAATACTTCACATGTTTCTGGAGGGAAAGAAAACAGTTCATATACAGTGAATCAGGAATTACAATTGCATCAGACTTATCAACAGCATCGGGAAGATAATGTGAAAATACCTTCAAAACTCTCGAGGGACACAAGAAGATGCTGCCTGGCCACAGGAGCGAGACTGCTGGCCTCCAATCAGTCTTCTGGGCAGGCCTCTGATGCAATTACAGGGCTAAGGAACCACGGTAACCAATGTGCCATTGGCTGTGCTAAAACCCAGTGGCCCCAGGAAGAATCCTGTTGACACTGGCTTGGAACATGAGGCTTAAGGTTGAAGTTGAGCAGGACCCTGTGGAGAGGCTAAAGCAACTCCATCCTTGGATTCCCACCACCATGTTGACTTCTGATTGACCCCAGTTCCTGGAAGGCTTCTAAGGTTTCTCTTATCTATTGTTCCTTATGTAAGAGAAAGTACTTATTGGTAAATCCTGCCCTTAGCTCAGGCAATCCTGCCCTTAGGCAGATTCACATAGGATTCTTGCCTTTTCGACTGCCCTAGACATTCCTTCCCTATGGTATGTAAGCCCTGGGTCTGGGGGGGTGATGGGTAGGAATCCACCATCTCGTCTTGCCACCACTCTAGACACAGGCATGACTTCCATTCATAAGTCCCTATTAAATATTTCTTTCTGAGAAACTGGATTTGGCAGCCTCTTCTTCGGCCTCTCAGCTTCCTTGGACTCTGGGGTGGTTTGCATAGGCCTGCCAACCATGGAACACCCTGCCTCTCCCTAGGCCTGAACACAAATATTGGGAGTTGTTTTCAATTCTCTACTTAGCCTCATGATTCATAAACCCAGGCAATGAGGCATATGTCCATGGATACAGAGATGAGCAGGCCCCAAGTGAAGCACCAGCTCTGACATGGAGGGGAAGACGTGGGTTCTGCTGGGCACAGAGTGATTCCACTCTCTATAAACACGGCCCACAGGTGCCTGCAGCCCGACCATTCTGAATGACACTGCCTTCTCTCCTATTTGGGTGCAAAAAGCAAGAAGGAGGGATCATAGAAGTTGCCCCTGGACTACAGGGTTAAACCAAAATGTACGTATATTGACTAATGGAAGGATGATAACAATATTACGTACTTTTAAAATGTGTGTGTACTTAAGAACTGACGTTATACAGAATATAAAGGAACTACTACGTAGTAAATTCTTATATATACAAAAGCTGTGGGAGCTATACTTTGGTAAACTTCCTGATGGATTACATGGAAGTGGTAGTGGGTCAGGAATTTAACACTTGCTTGCAACTTTGTTGTGCTGCCAGTCAACCATACAAAGCCCAGCCATTCTAAAGGGTTTGCAAGCTCTTAACGTTCAGAGCACTCAACTCTCAAAGGCGGTTTTGTGGTTGTTTATAACCTCAAACACGATCACCCTTTGCCCCCCAACCATTTTCTCTTGCTCAGTATCTACACATCACATCTTCACCTTCCAATAAAAGTTCAAGGAACTACACAGCAATGACAGGCACACTCCAAACTCACAGAGGCTTTCATGAGTTAGAGTCTAGAGCCTGCTAGCAGGTTAGGATTTTAAAGAACAGTTTTAAAACTCTGTTTTGTGATTCCTGGGCCAAAATAATGCTCTCAAATACGTGCAGTGGTAGAACATATTCGATCTTTCATTCCTCAAATATCATCCTAACTTGTGCCAGCCATGGTTCTAGCACACAGTGGTTGTTCTAGGCACACAGTAGCCACAGCAAACTGCCAGCCACACCCTTCCTGGGCACTTGACTCTACAGCCTCTAATGCAAGCACCTGTGACTCTCTGCAGATGGCTTCTTTGGCCAGCTATTGAGCCAGAAACGCTGAAGAGTGAACCCCCTGTGAGCTGCCCTCCACCCACGGTTGGCAGGAGGGAGTGATAAGGCCCAGCTGCCTTGCCCCCTAGTCAGCACAGCTGAATCTATCTGATGTCACCTCTCAGAGTTCCCCAGTGGGGAGTGGGTCTCAGTGGCCCACATTTATAACCTCCTCCATGACACACACTCTTACCTGCGACTCCTGGTGAGGCAGGAGGCGGGACTTGATTCCAGAGGCAAGGCTTGGACATAGGACCAAACTGAGCACTAGCTAAAACAGGTCAGGGCAGATGCAGTTTTCCATAGGACACACCCACCAGCATGCCATGTCGGTTTACCGTTTCCATGGCAACACCCAGAAGTTACCACCCCTTTCCATGGCAATGACCCAATGGCCCTAAGGTTACCACCCTCATCCTAGAAGTATCTGCATACACCGCCCATTAATTTGCATATAGTTAAAGGTAGGTATAAATATGACTGCAGAACTGCCTCTGAGCTGCTACTCAGGGCACACAGCCTATGGAGCAGCCCTGATCTGCAAGGAGCGGCATCTCTGGCGCTGCTGTGCACAGCTGCTTCCATGAAAGCTGCTGCCTAACACCACCAGCTCACCCTTGAATCTTTGGGCAAATCCAAGAACTCTCCCAGGCTAAGCCCCAGTCTTGGGGCTTGCCTGTCCTGCATCATCTGGCAACCAGCAAAGGGACAAGGACAGCGGAGATGGTGGCAATTGGCAGAGAGGCAAGACAGCAGAGACAGAGAGGCAGCAATTGGTGAGAGACAAGAGACAGCAGTTGGCAAGACAGCAAGAGACGGTGAAGCAGTCTGTGATTGAGGATGTAAGATCTGTAACACTGAGGAAGTACCAATAAAGAGCTGCTAACACTACCGAGCTCTAACCCTAACCAGTGCCTCTTTTCACAGCCATCATCTTTCCCTGGCAGGTGGTGAAACTGAGTGGACAGCCAAGTGTCCATAGTACAGCTGCCTCGTGTGGGACCCACTGCTCTAACGAGCCAGCCCCCGACACAGAAGCTGAGCACCCCCAAGCTGGGGAACCTAGAGAGACCTGCACCCGGGTCCCACGTGGAAGACTGGCTGGTGCCATTTTGTCTTCTGTGGATGGGTGAGAGTCCCCTTTGCACCCTCCCCCAGTAATATCAGGTAAGCTAGGAAATAAAAGCCTTTGGCTAAGCGGTCAGTTCCCCACGGTTTAGGTGCCTTGAAGCACATTCTTGCCACCCCTTCACCTGGTTCTTTCTCCTCTGACTCCATTTTATTGCTCCACTTTGGTTTCATTTTCAGTCCTAACATGTATGTCTTGTTTGGAGTCTTATGTTTGCTTTCGACTTTCTGTTAATTGTATTTGGGCAATTGTTTAAGGCAGGACACTTGGTTGTGAGAGGTCCCCTGTTGTGTTGACTCTGGGATACCAGAGTCACGTTGTCACGTTGTTCTATGTTCTGTAACCTGGTCTTGGGTTCACGGGGTTGGCCGCCCACTGGGTACCCCAGGGTTTTTGGCACTGCTGTGCACAGCTGCTTTGGCGAGGGCATCCTTGTTGGCTGAAACGCAGGCATTTTGGGTTCTCAGCATCGGTATTATAGGCCACCCTCCAGATGCTCTGGGGTTTTTAGCACTGACATTTCCTCTAGGATTGTGGGTTATACCCCTTTCGCTAGGCGAATATTGGTCTTGTCTTTTTCCACCCTGAAGTTAGGAGTATTATTTTCCTAATAGCCAATTGCAAGCTCCTTCCTGTGTACTGTCTTATAACTCCCTTGCCTAAGCTGCTCTTGGTCAAAGGAATTGGGAGCTCCCAGGCTCCTGGCCTGGCAGTCAGCCACCTACAGTGGTAGACAAGTGGCCAGCCCAATATTTTTTTCAGTATCTCCACTACTGGGTAGGTTCTTCAGCAAGTCAGAGCCTCTGAGGTCTCCCCTTGGGCAACGCTGTTTACCCCTTTCCCTTCCTCCATTTGTTTAGCCCCCTCTCCACCCAACTCTAGATCTCTATGGAATTTAGGCTCCACATTCGACTGCCCATTCGTAGCTCATAATCCATTTTTATAACACCTTGCTATCTATATTTACACCTTTAAAGAACACGGGAATTTAAGAGGGAAGAGTAACTAGGCTTTTGCTAAACTTGGGCTAATAAAACCCTCTGTAGAGAGATCCTTAATATAGGCATGGGGACAACAAGGAGTATCCCAAGGGACTCGCCGCTAGGGTGTCTTTTAAGCTATTGGAGCAAATTCAAATTTGGCTTAAAGAAAAAGAAACTCATTTTGTATTGCAACACCATTTGGGTTAAATACAAGTTAGATGACGAATATATCTGGCCTAAACATGGTTCTATATACTATAGTGATATTTTACGATTAGGCTTATTTTGTAAAAGAGAAGGAAAATGGGAAGAGATCCCTTATGTACAGGCTTTTATGGCTCTATACTGGATCACGTTACTTCCAGGCATTAGAATGCCATGCATAAGGGATCCCCACCTAGCTGCTCCCCATAGAAAGTTCATAAGCCTCCCCAGAGTCTCTTCAGTCCCCCAGTCCTGAGTGGGGGTTCTCGCCAATTCCCTAATGAGATTCCACCCCAATATCATCAGGCACCTTTCCCCCTTATCCAACTAGCCCTAGCCTATACCCTCTGCTGCCCAAGAAAATGAGCCCAACCAGTACACCAGGAGTGGGGCTCCATATCAGCCCCTAAGGTCAAGCCTGTGTCCACTGTGGAAAGTAGTTGATGGAAATGAGGGAACACTCAAAGAGTACATATGCCACTTTCCATGTCTAATTAGACCTTATAAAAGGAAAGAATTGGCCAGTTTTCAGATAAACCAGAAAAGCTTATACAAGAGTTTGTTACGTTGACTATGTTCTTCAAATTGCCACGATTTACAAATATTGTCATCCGCTTGCTGTGCTGTGGGGAAAAAAAAGTAGAGGAAAAAGTGTGTGGTTAAGCCAGTCAATTATGACAAGGTTAAAGAAGTAACTCGGGGAAAAGATGAAAATCCCGCTCTGTTTCAGGGTCTTTTAGTTGAAGCACTCAGGAAATATACTAATGCAGGCCCAGACACCCCAGAAGGGCAAGCTCTCCTGGGTATACATTTTCTCATTCAATCTTCTCCTGACATTAGGAGGAATCTACAAAAAGCAGCAATGGGACCTTCAAGTCCTATGAAACGACGCTTAAACATAGCCTTTAAAGTTTACAACAACAGGGACAGGGCAAAAGAGGGGAGTAAAAAGAAATAGCCAAAAAGTACAATTGTTAACAGTGACTTTAAGCCTCCTTGCCCCTCAGGATTACTCATCTTGAGAAAATGTTACAAAATTAGCATCTGGGATGCCTAGACAAGACTTGATGCCTGACTTGCTGACCCCTGGGCCAGAATCACTGCGCCTACTATACGCAAAAGGGCCCCTGGCAATGCAAATGTCCTAACTGCTCTGGTGAGAGAGAACAATAACAACAAAAAGCTTCCATCAATACTAGAGCTAACCTTCTCCTACTAGCCCCAGTGAGCTGCTTAGCTCAAGTAAGTTTACTGTCCCAGAGGACAGCTTTCCACAGTGGCAGATAAGCAGCCGCCTGAACATTTTTCTTTGGTATTTCCACCACTGAGTGTGCTCTCCAGTGGCGTGGGGACTCCAGAATCTCCTTTTGAGCAATGCAGTTTGCTTCCTCCCCTTTTTAGTTGATGCTATGGGATTCCCTGTCCTGCCTTTTCCTGTTTTCCATACCTATCGGGGCAAACAAAATTTGGCCAGGTAGATGGGTCCCAGTTCTGTAAATAACTTGAATCCAGTTGTCTTGTATAGGTCATTTTATTTAATATGTTTTTGGGTATATGTACATGTATTGTGATGTGTGTTACATCTAGCGTGCTGTCAAACTGGCTTATAGATAAAAGAACACTCATACATTCAACAAATAAGACTACTGAAAGCTTATTAGTTTGAAGAGAATCTTGTATCTTCTAAAATTTAACTTTAGGATTTTTACCTAGGTAAGTCACTGATGTTCATAGGCTTTAAAATGGTTAAAATGGCTTTAAATGGTGACCAGCTTTGCATGGTACCTTGGTTCTCGGTGATCTAGATAAAGTTAAAAGTGAAATAATTAAATACACGTAAATGGGATATGCTTAATGTGTGGTTTAAAATCATAAAATGGTAGAATGGTTCTCAGTTATAGAATGACAATGTCTAGTGTGAAGTTCATGACTTCTTCCTTCCTAGGTTTCCATAAAATGTGCTAAAGAAATGTATTCTTTATTGAGAAAAAATTTTTTGTCTAATCCGGAAGTTACTAAATGGGAGGTTCAAAACATGAGTGAACCAGTGAGTAGAAAAGAGAGATGTAAAGAATATTATGAATAGAAAATGTATTTTTTGTTTGTTTTGCAAGGAAGGATATAAAGAAAGAGTAATTTTATATGTGGAGGAATCCTGTATAGTAAATTCCCTATCCTAGAGTAAAATAACTTTAAGAAAGAGGTAGTATAGAACATGTCAGGAAATTCAGCTATGTTGTAGATGGTCTGTGTAAGTCATCTGCACAGTGCATGAGTGTGGAGGTGGGCGGGCACTCATTGGCCCTTGAACTCCTTTTGAGCAGTATGGAAGCCAAGAACTAGAAGCCAGGAAATGGGGTTGTAAAACTGATTTGTCTATGGATTTTATGTGTTGAGCTGCTGTGGTCTTGGCTTGTAGTAATTACCTATATGAACCTTCCCCCCTCCCCTTTAGAATTTAGGACAGGTTCAAAAGGCCCTCCAATATAAAAATAAAATACTGTCCTTCCCCACAAAGGAAAAAATAGCTCCCCGGTTCAACCAGGAGACTTAGTCTTGCTAAAACCTTAAAGACAGGGTAAAGACAGGGATACCCCAAGAATCAATTACAATGAAATGGAAGGGGCCTTATCAGGTATTGTTAAGTACCCCCACTGCTGTTAAACTTCAGGGAACACCTACTTGGGCACACAGATCCAGGACTAAACCTGTTTCTTATGAGTCACAGGCACAAAGGAAGGGCACTACAACCACAACCAATATCAGTAAAGCTTTGGAAGACCTCTGCTACCTATTTAAAATAATCAACACTCAGCCAGAAGAGGTAATGTAATGCTGTAGATGGGAATAGGAGCATTGATCTTGCTCTTCTTCCTGACTGTAGTACTTCCTTTCTATGGCTTTAACCAGCCACCTCCTCCTGGGAAACATCTCCTGTGGGCTTGTTGGGTATAGAAGCTACTCTAAGACCCAACCAGATACCATGATGCCACTGTTAATTCTGTTTGCTCTTCTAATTAACCTAAGCTAGTGTGTATGTGGACAGGGAGGGTGGACAAAATTCTACAGTAAATATTTCAAAAATTATAGCATCATAGAATCATCTTTATGGCTGCCAGATTTGTCATCAACACCCCCAGGATAGACAGTTTCATCTTCCGACCTATCTGGAAAATCTCAGGACCATGTCCCCAGACCTCCTAACTAACCATAGCACCCCAAAATACCCAAACCCCTATTGTGAAGTGGAACTCTTCCCCACTTAGTGGATCCCCCCTGGACCCTGCTGTCCCCCTGCCCTGACCACTATTATCGGAATCTGGGAAGTTGGGCATCTATATCTCCAGTGCACTCATAACTCTAACATTTGCATCCACTCTTGCATTAATGACACAAAAGTGGAAGCTTCCCTGCGATGCTCTGGTCCAACTCTAGTTGCCAAGTTTCCAAGACCACGGGGAGGTAAATGAGATTCCATTTGTGAGTGAAAAGACCATATATGGTACCTTCTCCCGGATGGGAACATACAAAGGAAAAACAACTGCCTGATCTGGGAAGGTGACAGTACTACCTTCTTCTAGAAAACAAAGATTGTTCAACCACCACCATGAGAACAGGTGGAAAATATCTCTATAGACCCAACCTGGCAATGAAGTATAAACATCGCACCCCGCAGGGCTTCTCTTGGTGCCCTAGTTGGGTTCATTTTTGTTTGTGACTATGAATGGGAAGAAGTCACACCCTGTAACCACTCCAACTCCCTAAGGAGTCACCTCTTCTTTAAGGAATAGCTTTCCCTTGTATCTAAAAAACTTGGAACTGACATGAATGAACGTTGGCCACTCTTACCCCTCCAGGGGTCACAATCTATAACGCCTAGGACCCAAGAATATCAGAAATAAGTAAGCAATAAAACTAATTCTGGCAGGAATCAGGGTGGCAATAGGACTAGCAGCACCCTGGGGTGGCTTTGCCTACCATGAGTTAACGCTAAAGAACTTGGCTCAAATCCTAGAATCCTTAGCCACCAACGGAGATCAGGCATTAAAGAGAATTCAAGAGTTCCCCAGACTCTGGAAAATGTAGTTGTTGATAACAGACTAGCATTGGATTATTTACTAGCTGAACAAGGTGGGGTCTTGTGCAGTTATTAATAAAACCTGCTGCACATATATTAACTCTGGACAGGTTGAGGTTAACATTCAAAAGATCTATGAGCAAGCTACCTAGTTACATAGATATAACCAGGGCACTGCCCCCAACTATATCTGGTCAACCATCAAAAGTGCCTTCCCAAGTCTCACCTGTTTTTCACCTCTTCTAGGACCTTTGACAACTGTCTTGTTACAAATGTTTGGTCCTTGCTTCTTTAACCTCTTAGTAAAGTTTGTGTATTCTAGATTACCACAGTTCCAGAGACAATGCTGGCACAAGGCTTCCAGCCCATCCTGTCCACTGACACGGAGAATGAAATCGTCCTGCCTCTGGGCTCCTTAGATCAGGTATCCAGAGATTTTTACTCCTCCAGTGCCAGGCAGGGCCTACGTCCATAAACTCAGCAGGAAGTAGTTACGGAAAACAGATCTCCGCCCTTCTGCAGCCCCCTTAAGATTAAGGAGGAGTATCTAATCTCTGAAGGGGGAATGAGGTAGGAGGTGGGACTCAACTCTGGAAGTGGGGCTCAGGCACTCAGACCAAACTGAGCACTAGCTAAAATAGGTCCAGGGCAGATGCTAGTTTCCATAGGACACACCGACCTGTGTCAAGTCAGTTCACCATGGCTCTGGCAGCACCCAGAAGTTACCACCCTCACCCTGGAAATGTCTGCATAAACTGCCCCTTCATTTGCATATAATTAAAAGTGGATACAAATACCACTGCAGAACTGCCTCTGAGCTGCTACTGTGGGCGCACAGCCTGTAGGGCAGCCCTGCTTTGCAAGGAGCAGCGCCTCTGCTGCTGCTGTGCACAGCCGGCCGCTTCAATAAAAGTTGCTAACACCACTGGCTTGCCCTTGAGTTCCTTCCTGGGCAAAGCTAAGAACCCTCCCGGGCTATGCTTCAATCTTAGGGCTCGCCTGTCCTGCATCACTGGGATCATCTCCCAGTAAACTAGCCACACTTACATCCATGTGTCAGGGACATTTCTGGAGAAAGCAGCCCAGGACACTGTTGAATAAAACACACAATAGTCTCTGTGGTCTTCTCCACCCCACCCCACACCAGGCACCCTCAGCTTGATTCTCCTTTTTAATTGCCTGTAAGCAGGGAAGCACAATGTTTTCACATTCTTTGTAAGGCCTTTGTTCTACTAAAATCTAACCTCAGAGCACAATTTTAAACTAGATGAAAGAGTTGCTGCGCCTGAAGCACTGCAAACACCTCCTCACCACACATGTGCACTCACCCTGGACACCCTCACTCACCCTGACACCCTCACTCCTCACCCTGGACACCCTCACTCACCCCAGACACCGTCACTCCTCACCCTGGACACCTCACTCTGCACCCTGGACACCCTCACTCACCCTGGACACGTTCACTCACCCTGACACCCTCACTCACCCTGGACACCCTCACTCACCCTGGATACCCTCACTCCTCACCCTGGACACCCTCACTCACCCTGGATACCCTCACTCCTCACCCTGGACACTCTCACTCACCCTGACACCCTCAATCCTCACCCTGGACTCCCTCACTCCTCACCCTGGACTCCCTCACTCCTCACCCTGGACACCCTCACTCCTCATCCTGGACACCCTCACTCAACCTGGACACCCTCACTCCTCACCCTGACACCCTCACTCCTCACCCTGGACACCCTCACTCCTCACCCTGACACCCTCACTCCTCACCCTGGCACCCTCAGTCACCCTGACACCCTCACTCCTCACCCTGACACCCTCAAGTCTTCACCTCCCTGGCTGCAGCCTGGGACACGCTTTCCCTAACTTCTGAAGGCTCAGTCCTCCTCAAGCCAATCTCATCTCAAATTGCACCTCCTCAGAGAGGTCTTCCATAACCGCCCTTATAAAGCAGGATTCTTTCACCAATACCCCTTCCCACATGGCACTGTCTCACAGCACTCCTCTAAAAGTCTGTTTACTTCCTTGACAATCTGTCTTCCTTATAAGGGGAGGTTCTGTAAAAGCCAAGACTCTCTCTGTCTAGTTGACTGTTGCATACCAGGGCTTAGACCAAGGCCCTGACATGCAGTAGGTGCTTAATATGTTTTGAGGCAAGGTCTTGCTCTGTTGCACATGCTGGAGTGCAGTGGCACAATCGTAATTCATTGCAGCCTTGAACTCCTGAGCTCAAGTGATCCTCCTGCCTCAGCCTCCTGAGTAGCTGGGACTACAGGCATGCACCACCAAGCTTGGCTAATTTAAAAAAAAAATTATATAGATAGGGACTTGCTATGTTGCCTAGGCTGATCTTGAACTCCTAACCTCAAGCAATCCTCCCACCTCGGCCTTCCAAAGTGCTGGGATAATAGGCATGGAGCCGCCACACCCAGCCAATGTGCCGAAGAAAGAAAGAAAAACATGCTCATCCTTTGAGTCAGGTTCAAATTTTTTCTCCTCTTTAACCCCCAGTCACTCCAGTTATAAGTGATTTTTAACTCTTCTCACACTTTAATGCATCTGGCAAGAAGATCCACGTGGTGTTAGGAACAATACAGGACCTTAAGGATGGGGGAATCAGCAGGTGTCAGCGTGCCCTGTATGCTCAGGGCAGCTGTTTCCACTGGACATTCTCCCTTTGCCTCTCTGGGCAGCAACTCCTAGGCCAGCCGACCTGCTGTGTCGAGTAACCAGGATTTCTCAATCTTGGCATGGTTGCCATTTTGGACCAGATCGTTCTTTGTTGTGGGGGCTGCCCTGTACGGCAAAGAATGCCGAGCAGCACTTCCAGTCTCCACCCACAGGACGCCAGTAGCACCCTCTAAGTTGTGAGAACTCAAAATGTCCCCAGAGGATGCCAGATGTCCCCTGGGGTGGGGACACAATCACCCCAGGTTGAGATCCATGGAGCCAGGTCTGTTTGCCACCAAGGGGTAAAGCTCCATTCCCACCTTAGGAGGGCTAGGAGGCAGCATCGTGGGGCCACAGAAGGCCTGGGTTTGCAGTCAGAGGACAGGATGCACATTCCTTCAAGATACAGACCCAGATTGTTGGGCATCTAGTTCTTGGGTTTTCTGTTGTTGCTGTTCCGTTTTGTCTGTCTTCCCTCCTTTGTTTACTAGCAGCCTGGAATTTGCCACTTTTTCTAAACGAAGATTTATGGAACACTTACCACACGGCTGACGCTGCGCGAGGCTAAGGTTCTAATACACCGCAGCTCACTTAACTCTCGCAATACCATAAACGCACACTGTTTCATCTTGACCCTTTCTTGGGAAGGTGACAGAGAGGTAGGAGGGCAAACATCTTGTGTGCCCCGTCCCAAGGGTATTACTGGTGGAATAATATCCGCCCCCCACCCCAGTTTCTAATTTGCTGTAGGCTGTGACGCTGTGGGGCAAGACTAGGAGTCCTGTTGAAATTAGGAATAAGTGTGCTGTGAGGGAAGGGCTGCCTTATTTTAGAGCACAGATTTTCTGAATATCTATTTTGACAGGTTCGATCCTCTCCCCTTCCTGCCTTCCTTCTGTCGATTTTCAATGTCTTGATGGTGTCCCACCTGAGTGGCCTTTAGAGATGTGAGTTGTGAGGCACTGGGGAGGCAGGCACACGTCCTCCAGCCCAAGACTGCCTAATTTAACAGGGATTTCTGCATTCTGGAACAAGCCTCCATTTTCCCCAAGCAGGATTACTCCAGAGGGCAAAACACAGCCCAATAGTATCACATTTCCTTTCTGCTTTAGCAAAAATAACCACTGTCTCATTCATGGGAAAAGGCCGCCAAACAAATTTGTTACTGGAACCATTTGTAACAACTTCTAGTTTGCACTGCCTTGGAGCAAGCACACTTTGTAGAGGAGGGATTTGCAGTTACTTGGGCAACAAGGTAACCACTGATCATTACAGGAAGCTTCAGAAACCGTGGGACCAGTGTAGAAGAATGGACTATCTGTCCAAACTAAGAATAAAAAGAATGACACTTGTATTTTGTATGTCTTTTTCACTTTGCCTTTCTAGTAATTCATTTTTCTTGATATTTACACCTTGTGGCCCTGTGATAGACTGGAAATCTCAAAAACACACGTTCAGCACCAAGATTTTCAGCAGCACCGCCTCAGAATGAGACCCCTAGAAAAAACTGCGTGTTTTCCACTTGCCCAACACGAGGAGTTTTTGGAACACGACCTGCTTGAGGTGGAGATTTTCTAGATGGGCAAAGAGAAGGAAACACTTAACCTAGGAAGAGTATTTAGGAAGAAGAAAGAACACAGCCTTTCTGCACAGGAAACCGCCGAGCAGAGGGGCATCTGGCCTCTGCAGTGGCCTCCAAATAGAGTCCAATGGCTGGGGCCAGCGTGGCTGCTTAAAGGGGACTCAAGGGATATAATAAAATGCAGATTCTCAGGTCCTAGTGCAGACAGGCTCACCCAATAAGTCTGGACTGCATATGGGAATCTCTATTTCTAGGCCCTTCTGCAAGGTATTCCTGCTCTTTCCAGGAACCATCGGCAGCTGGTTTGGGGAAAGAAGCAACGACTCCAAGTGTGACCTGTGAGCTGGCAGCAGCCACCCTCAGCTCTGCTCTCGGTCACTGAATCCGATTCTGCATTTTAACAGGACCCCAGGTGTTGCACCCACACAAAGCTGAAGCAGATTGGTCTGGGGGCAAAAAATTAGAGCTATGGAGATTCTCTCAAATGAAATAGATGATATCATTGACTGTTAGAGCTTCTAGAAGGAATCTGAGGTCACTTGTTCAAATTCCCTGATTTACAGATGAGGAAACAGAGGCTCAGACAGCTCAAATGACTTCTCTCCAATACCCAACATTCGACAAGTAGCAGCTCTGGGACTAGTACCCAAAGCACCTAGCTCTCCAATCACTGCGCAAGCCACACAATTCTGTCTGCTTGTCAGTGGCTTTTCTGATTCAAAAAAAGCTTAGGAATTTCCCCAGGAGGCAGCACGATGTAGTGGGAAGGGCTCTGGATGTCTCTCCAAGGCTTCTGGAATTCATGCCCACCTCCACCAAGAAGCCACTTTCCTGCCAGCTACAGGTGCTCACCTGAAAAGCAAGCCAGACCATATTAACCCTGGCATTGCTGGTACCTGGAAGACTTTCTGATTCAATGCTTTCCACCTCCTCCTACCCCTCACCACCCCCGTGGCATGAAATCCTGGGGGCTGCTTTAGAAATTGTTTTCTTTGGCTGCTGGTGGGGGTGCTGCTGGTGGGGGTTTGCACAGCTGGCACACTGCACCAGTCTGGTGGGGGTTTGCACAGCTGGCACACTGCACCAGTCTCCTGCCTGCTGCCAACAAGGCCATTTCCCAAGCACTGGCTTTGGAGAAGTTGGGGCTCTGAAGTGGGAACACAAGGCTGCCTTTTGCAGGCCAGGTGTAAATTCTCCCCCTGCCACTTTCAGCCTAGCGTGAAACAGATGGAGTGTGCATTCCCACTTCCCTTTATGGTACCCTGGAATGATGGAGCTGCCCAGGGCATCGCCACGTTACTCTCTAGACAGTCTCTTTGTCTTCCTGCAATGGCAGCGCCGAGGTTGTATATTTCTAGGTGCAGGTATATGATTGCCATATAATAAAAATCTGAAAACATCCCACCCGGGGCCTGGGCTGGACAGCAAGCATTAGCACAAAACAAACACACTCATTTCATTTCCTTTATGTGGTTAATGTCAGCACTCCCAGAGTATTCTCTCTTCTTTTGAGAATTCTAAGAGCAAAAAAGTGACCACTTTTTTTTGTATTGAGTAGCAATAGTCAAATATCAAATTAGTACATCTAGGCCAAGAGAGGATGAAGGGGAGCCAGGCCAGGAAAGTCACCCAGAAGAGGTGACACTCTCTTCCTCAGGTTCCACCAGAAACATGTTTATACCCAGGGAAATTACAGAAGGGGTGCCAGGCTGCCCACCTGCCTCACAGGTATGCCCTATTGTCCGGGTAGTATCTGTTACCTTAACATACAATGAACCCCAGTGTCTCACCAAGGCTGGGCAAACAGGGTGACCCAGAGGAGGGATCCATGACACACAGCAAGGGACTCAAGGACAGGCAGAGGCTCACAGTCAGTCATAGGAGCCTCAGGTCACCTGGAGAGGGACCTCACTCACCAGCAAGGAGGACCACCACCCCGTTCCTGCTGTACCCAGTGTGGGGTTGGGGCAAGAGTCAGTGCCCACTAACCCCCCACCTCTTCTCCAGCACAGGTAGACCCTGAATTCAGGGGCCAATGCTTGACCTGCTCTAGTCTATGAATGAGATGTTACATAAATCCCAAGGCATGCTGTCAGATACTAGGGAGAAGGAGAGAAACACCACCTTTAAATTCCTCCCTCTCCACCCCTGGGAGCAATGCAGCTACGTACCACCACCACAAAAGAATAGCCACTTGGCCGCGCGGTGGCTCACGCCTGTAATCCTAGCACTTTGGGAGGCCGAGGTGGGCAGATCACTAGGTCAAGAGATCAAGACCATCCTGGACAACATGGTGAAACCCCGTCTCTACTAAAAGCACAAAAATTAGCTGGTTGTCGTGGCACACACCTGTAGTCGCAGCTACTCAGGAGGCTGAGGCAGAAGAATCGCTTGAACCTGGGAGGTGGAGGTTGCAGTGAGCCAAGATCAGGCCACTGTACTCCAGCCTGGCAACAGAGCGAGACTGTTTAAAAAAAAAAAAAAAAAAAAAAAAAGGCCACTGATCACAACAGCTATCCTTATCATTTTGGGATCATTCCAGGAGGAAAAAGGAAAAATGGGCAGGCAAGGGGAGGTGAAGCCAACTTACCTACAACAAGGAGATCACACAAGGAGATCAGGGATGAGTATGGCGGGAAGTATGGGGGGAAGCACCTGTTTCATATTAAATATATCCTGATTGATAAGGGGGTTGCCTTATAATGTCTTTAAAACATGAAATACTGAAGCTTTCTACATCCATCCCAACATAAGTGTTTATTACTCATAGGTATTTAAATATCATTGATCTAATCTTGTACACATTGGATTTCTCTCATATTATACATTAATTTCAGCAATTCTAGAATTAGTGCAACATGACATGGGACATTTTAAATTCTTTTTTTCGAGACAGAGTCTCGTTCTGTTGCCCAGGCTGGAGTGCAGTGACACGATCTCGGCTCACTGCAACCTTTGCCTCCCAGGTTCAAGCAATTCTCCTGCCTCAGCCTCCTGAGTAGCTGGGACTACAGACATAAGCCACCATGCCTGGCTAATTTTCATATTTTTAGTAGAGATGGGGTTTCACCATGTTGACCAGGCTGGGTCAGGTCAAACTCCTGACCTCAGGTGACCCGCCCGCCTCAGCCTCCCAAAGTGCTGGGATTACAGGCATGAGCCACCGCGCCCCGCCTGACATTTTAAATTTTCAAGCAGTTACTCTCCAGCAGGAAAAACAATACAGAAGTACAGAAGGGAAGCAGAAACACTCCTCTCTTCCTTCTCCCACCCTAAGCCCCAGGGCACTCTCTTGCCGCAGGCTTCATATCAATACAGCACTAAAATCGTCATTTGTGTATTGCCTGTGATAACAATTACACTTGAATCCCAAATTGAAATTATTAACAATTAAAAGGTGAGGTAGAATCAAAGAAAAAAAATCCATAGAATGAAAAACTTAGAATGAACTTGTTGTGGATTAAATCATGTTCCCCAAAAGATATGCTGAAGACGTAACTCCGGTACCTGTGAACTTAACCTTATTCAGAAAGTGGGTCTATGCAGATGTGATGAAGTAAAGATGAGGTCAGGTTAGAGGAGGGCAGGCCCTAATCTAATGACTGGTCTCCTTATAAGAAGAGAGGAATTTGGCCACAGAAACTTACATGGAGGGGAGAGATTGGAGTCATGCGGCCAAGGGTCAAGAAATGCCAGCAGCCATCAGACACTAAGAAGAGGGAAGGAAGGATCCTCCCCCAGAGCCTCCGGAGGGACAGTGTTTCTGCTGTCGCCTTGCTTTTTGAACTCTGGCCTGCAGAATTATGAGAACAAGTTTCTATTGTTTTGAGACCAGGACATTAATGCAGAAATTTGATTCTCCACAGCTGAGGAAAGGGAAGATGAGGGAGGTTACACACTTGCTCCTGGTCACAGGTGTGACACTACAGTGCTCAGGACCTGTAATCACATCAGGATGCTTCCTGTCAAACCACATCATCTCCAGAAGCATGAAGATGGTTCTTCTTAAAAAGTTACTGTAACTAAAACACTGCACCTAAGGAGGAACGGCAGTGACGTGCAAAGACTGAGCTGGGCTGACCCAGATTGACAGCTCCACCCTGCTTTGCCTTCACTAGTGTGGCCCTGGACAAACTACTCTGCCTCTCCAAGCCTCGGTTACCCTGTCTGAAAATTAAGTCACATTGTTGTGCACATTTTCCAGGACGTTGCAAGGATACAATGAGGTGAGCCACGCACAGGGCTTCACGTGCCCTTTGAGTGTCCAACACTCCATCAGCAAGAAATCAAGGTCAGCTCTTGATCTTATAAACTATTTCTCAGACTCCTGTCCCTCCTTGTTGTTTCAAGCTGATTTCTTGGCTCACCTTTCCCAGTCCTCTGTAATACAGTCTTTGATGAATTCTTTCTCTAAAGCCCAGAAGCTGCCACTTCTCACTCGAAGGAGCTGGTGGCAAACTGGCTTTGACTTTCTTGTTCTTTCAACCTCAGTAATTGTTTTTTCTCATTGTCTTTAATAGTTTACCATTTCAAGTGGCTCCATCAGATTTCTTCTTGCTGGGATTGCCTTCTTGTTTTCAGCCTCACCTACAGTCAGCTTCATTTGGGGAGCCTGGATGGCTTCTTCTGAAGAACACAAACTCTTATTGCATATGCTGGATCCATATTTTCAATACAAGTCTTCCAAATAATTGTGTACTAAGAGGCTGATAATCAAGTGAATGCACCATGATTAAAATAGGATTCGCCAAAATAATTAGGTGGCCCTTTACATTCAAGTGTTCAGGTATGAGAATAGTTTTGCTGTCTGCTTTACCTATGTTAGTGGAGATGACAGAAAATCTTTCAGAAAAAGAATCCCAAAGGCTTTTTTTGAAGCTACTACAAGGTATATGGCTGCACACCTTCTCCTGTCTTCAGCTGGAGTTATTGTGTTAACATGAAAGTCTCTTTTTTCATAATAGAAATTGCTGTAATTATAATTACTTTAGAAGAGTGTTATTATTAATAAGACCAAATTGCACGGTTCAAGCAGGTGCTGGTTGAAAGAACTGTTCAAAAGTTCTACAGTTCGAAAGAACCCACATAATGGGATCAGCCGCAAACCTGGCAGTCATCTCCATGCCAACGTGGCCCTGCCTGCCAGCACACACGCCTTGCAGCTCTCAGGCGGGCTTCCGGGCACATGCCTGTGACTCCTCACAGAGTCACTGGGCTTTAAACAATGGACCTCTAGTTCCTGATTAAAGCCTTCGGGGAACAAGCACACTTCCAACAGTTGACTTTCCCATAAAAGAAGGGGAGCTGGAGGGCTCTGGTTCCTGTTGAACCTCTCCTCTCAAGGCCTCTCCCGTGCACACCTGGATCCAGCCCTTCATTCTGTTGCTCATTCAGCAGTGCTGAAGGAAAGAGGAGATGGGGGAACAGCACGGAGTTCCGGAGGGTCCAGTTGCAGTCATACAATAAGTCCCTAACACCTTGGGGTGTACGTTCAGGGTTCTCTGGCTAGAAAGGGTAGTTTGAGGCCAAAACCAAAGAGATCAGGAGGCATGAAGGGAAGGAAGTCGTTATCTGTCTGGTGGTTCAGAACTTGGCTTCTGAAGTTCAGCTCCCTGGCTTCCATTTTTGGCCCTCCCTCTTTCTTGCCCTGTTGCCCTGGAAAGTCATTCAGTCTCTCCGAGCTTCAGTTTTCCCACCCCCAAATGCGTATAAGACCCCCGAGGGGTGGTGGGTGGTGGGTGGGGATTCCTGGGAAAGCACACCTAAAGCACAGAGCGCAGTGCTTGTCACGTACTGAGCTTTCAGACATTGTCTATGACTATTACTTAATTCTTGAAAAATTCTTGGTTATTTATTGCTTGAATTTACAATTCCATTTTTCTCTCCACCTAAGCAATTTTTATTTTAGGCTTCAGAGAATCAGCAGAGAATAAATGCATGACTCCTGGCCATTAATAGAGCAGGAAAGCTCACTCCAGGTTCAGAAGTCACCTCACTGCTGCCCCCTCTAGCCGGCTGCTGACACCCTGCTGGTGGTCAGAGACATTTCAGGGCAACACAGGCAGGTAGTGAATCCTAATGCAGTAGTCAGGAAAGCCTGACTTTACAGTAGGCATTTGGAAAGATTTGGTTATAAAGCAGCTTATCGCTAAATCAAGCCAGGAGGGAGGTACAGGATATTTCATTCCCCATCACATGTAAAAATTAAATCTGTCTCTGTAGAAGCAGCGCTCCCTGGAAACATGCTAATGGTTGAGAAGTAATCTTGAACCAACTACTGCCTTGGCTACGGTAAAGACAGGAGCCTAGGTACTCAATACATTTCTGTTAATTAAATTAATTAAACCTCATCATTTTAAAATAAAGGTCATTGAATTAATTAACAGGCAAGTTATTATTTATAAAAGCTTTTTTTTTTTGATTGCCAAAGTTAAGTATTTTTTAGTCCTTCTTCAGGCTTCTCCCTTTCCCCTTTGCTCTGGAGGGAGGGTTTCAGGGCTTCTTTTATCATAGCCCTCAGACCACCCACATTTACTTTTAGTAGAGAGAATTCCCTCGCATCAAAGCACACATGTCCAATGGGGATTCATTCAAGGCCTGTTCCAAAAGATTCTCTGCAGGTCACAGAAGAGGTTCTTCCTCAATATCTTGTCATATTTCCAAGGTTCTCAGCACCAGGCACATGTTCCCACGTGTTGGCTGCACCAAGACCACATCTTACAGCCAAGTTAAGCTCCCTCAGCTGATGGGGATTCCTATTCCCTCCCTCTAACCATCCACTCCTGGAGATGGCAAAGATCACTCACGTGGCTTCCCATGACTTAGACGAAAGGCAACTAGAATCAAAGTTTGAATATACGCTTTTGAAGGTTTTTTTTTCCCCCTAAACTAATTAAACAACTACAGAAGTTATTCGGCAGTTTCCTTTTTTAAAAGAATTAGCATGGCATGTCTTTCCTCTTAAAGTCTTGAATAATTTAATGAGAATTATACAAAAGTCATGAGTATGTTCTATTTATGGGGGAATCATAGCTGAATCAAAACCCAAATGACAATGTTAAAAATAAAAATAAACTATCTTCAAATAGTGCATTCAATTGAGCAAAGGACTTCAAATCCCACTTGGATTAGACAGTTTGAAAGTAGGAGGGGGCAGATCAATTGGGATTTTTTTTTTTTTTTTTTCAGATCACTGTGCTTGGGAACATTTGTTTCTTGCTACAAAAAGTGTTAGTAAATGAACATCAGAGTAAGAGAAAAGGAAAGCTGTTTGATTTTATTTTTGTGTTGTAATCGGGATACCACTTGGTCCCCGGACACCTCACTCAGCCCCTGTTTTTTTCCCGGTAGCTGGAATGCTTTTCACACTCTGCACACCCGCGTGTAGATGCATCGCTCCGTGCAGAGGGGCAGGGCCGCCGGATGAGCGAGGACACAGCTGACAAACCAACTCCGAGAAAGGAAAGCGGGCGCAGGGGAGACGCTGCTCCTTCCTCAGAGCAGCAAGCGAGCCACTTCTTAACCGGGTTGCTTTTAGCTGAGCTCATGCATAAATCCTTTTTAAAGGGTACTGCGCCTTTGGAAGCCGGCCACGAGCCTCTTTAGCAATGAGACAGCATGGTGGTGGGGTGGGGGGGGGGCGGGGGGGAGGGAGGGTATGAACACGAGGTGATTTTCCCCATAATAGCCCGTCGCCCAAGGCCCACCGCTCCGTCTCCCGCTGGAAGTAGGTGTCGCCCGCAAGAAGGAAATCACGTTATTGGAGGCGGCAAGTTCCAGGTCTCCTCTCCCGCCCAGCCCCGCGGAGGGGGAGCTCACAAGTTCTGAAACACTCGCGCACACCCCTCAGTGCGCCCCGGGCGGGGGCTGCCGTCCTCCGCGACTCAAGAGCGAGCGCCCCCGCTCCCCGGCCCACCCGAGCCCCTCTGCGTTCCCCGCTCTTCTGTGCGGGGACAGCTGCTGCTTTGGGGGCGACGCTAAGCCGCGTGGAGGCGTCTCTGGACAGCCCCCTCCCTCCAACGAGCCCGAAAAGCCCGCGGCAGCAGCCGGGGGTCCCTACCTTCTGCGGGGGGGTCCCGATCAGCATCTCCAGGTAGTAGCCGCGGCCAGAGTCCCCCTGCAGGTTGTCTACCATGGCCAAGAAGTTGGCGGCGCCCGCGGGGGACGCCAGGGCAGGCTCCAGGGCGAGCGCCAAGCCGTCGGCGTGGCGCTCGGCAGGGGTCCCGGGTCCCGGGGTGGGCGCAACTACGCGGTTCGTGGCCGCGGCCACCCGGAGGGGCAGCGTGAAGGGCGCGGGGGCCAGCTCCGGGGCGGCGCGCAGGAGCCACTGGGCCAGCAGAGGCAGCAGCAGCGCCCGGGCCAGTGCGCCCATGCCCACGGCGGGGCCCGGGGGGCGCGCCCAGCCTAGCCGGTCCCGTCCCGTCCGGCAGCCGCGGCTCAGCGACTCGGCCGGCGCGCGGGGCTGCGGGCAGGGATGGGCGCGCACCGGGACCGGCGGCGGCGGGGAGGACGGGAGGAGGGCCCAGGGGAGGAGGCTCGCGGGAGGGGAGGAGGCTCGCGGGAGGGGAGAAGGCGGAGGCCGGGGAGGCGGGCGCGGAGGCGCAGAGCCGCCCCAGCCCGCGCCGCCAAGTTGGGCAAGTTCTTCTCCGCTGCCCCCTCTGGCGGCCGCGACTGCCCCGCAGCGGCCCAGCCCCTCCCCCGCGGCCAAGGTCACAGCGGGGCTCGGGGGGCGCCGGGGTCCACCTGCGCCTGCCCTCCCCACCCTCGCCGGGCTCAGGCCGCGCCTCTTCCCCGGGAAACTCGAGTCCCGAATTTCCTCGGAAAGCGCCCCAGCGGCCACGGCCAACGGATGTGACGAGGCTCATCTGATACCGGGGGGAAAGTTTCGAGAACCCTTAAAGGGGCAGCGAGGGCCTGAACTAGGGCCCCGGCCCCGCGCGCTTGGGGGTCCGCGGGGGTCTATTCGCCCGGCAGTGGCGGGAGCTTCCGGGGGTGACTCGGAGGTCAGCGAGGAGAGCGGTGGATCGGGAAGGAGCCTGGAGCCTCGCGCGCCTTTCCGAGCCTGCGCCTCCCCTCGCCAAGCTCCTCCGCCTCATTTCAGTCGCCGGGTCTGGCTGCTTTCGAGGCGTTTCCCGTCCGCTGCCCCCGAGCCCCCGCCCTCAGTCCAGCCCGTTCCCCGGCCTCATCCCCCGGCGGCCCCTGGGTGGTTTTAAAGAGGTCTCAGTGGAGGCTGGGAGGGTGGAGGGTGGAAGGAGGCAGAGGAGGATGCGAGAGCTTTGGAGAATTTTCCCTAAAAATCGGGGGAGGTGGGGGGCGTGGCTGCTGCTGGCGCCTGGCCCCAGCCTCATTGCCCCCCCTTACTCCCTCTGTTGCCCACAGCTAGCTGCGAAGCTGGGCTTCACCCCAGCCACCTTCCCCCCACCCCCGCCCCCTTCGCCCCCTCCGCCGCGCCCCTGTCCCTAATGCAGGTCAGATGCTACTGGAACCCGCTGCCTCCCCTGGCACCCAGCCCTCAGGCCACCTAGTAAGTTGCTGTCAGGATCCCAAATCAGGGCCACGAGTCCACCCTGCTGTGATCCCTGCCCTTCTCCCCCACCTCCCCTTCTATCCCCAGCCAGCTCTCTGCGGACTGTCTAATTAATACTCGTTTAGCCATAGACGCCAAGACGCAGAAATGCGTTGAGTAATGCAAGCAACGAGGGTTATTTTATTTTAGATACTAAAGGCAGGGGGGACAATTAGACAAGCTAAAGTCCATCGATTTCTACAGAAACAAGGAATAGAAAATTCTTTGTACCTCCTCCAGCTGAATTATGTTGGCTGTTTTAAAAAACAAACAAGCCCATCTTCAAACAGTGGGGAGTTAGAAGCCAAGCTTCCCCGAATCACTGCAATTTTCAGCTACTTCTACTCAAGATTTGATTTTTATTCCTGTGTTCCCAATTTTAGAATCACGTCTAGCTCTGCAAGGGACCTTTATGTCAGAGATCTTCAAATGTATTGATTTTCAGATGACTTTAACCATAAATCACACTTCCCCCAAACTATATCTCAACTTTAACAAATCCCCAACTCCATGAAGAAAGGCATAGCTGGATCCCGTGATATAACTTAAGTTGATATTCTCCATAAATCTGCATAGTTATTCCAGAGCCCTTCTATTCATATATTCACGTTTCAGATTCAAGGTTGTGGAGGGAATGTGATTTTTTTTAAAATGATTATTTATACTCCTTGGTGTCCAGTCTTGAGGGGTTCAAAAAGACATTCAGACAGCTCTGGGAAGAATATAATCTTTCTGAAAAGCACATGAAATGTATTAGGGCCATTGATAAAGAGGCTATGTGACATATAAGTTTAATACTAGAGACATTTGCTCTGTCTAATAATTAAAAGCCACAAGGGAAATTTTTAAAAAATCAAGTCTAATTAAAGTTTGTACAAGAAACGCGTGACTCAGTCTAGGGTGAGTATTCCTAAGCTTTTCATTTTAAGAGGGATGGTTTGGGTTTGTGGGGAAAAGGATGCATAAAGATCCAGGGATGGAGGAGCACACAGGCTTCCATGGATGGCAGAGCTGTCTTGTCAGAAAATAATGCAAGCTGAAGGGACAGCATTGGGTGACTGTCTCCTTGGTTGTCTCTGTTTTCATGAATGGTCTTAGAGCATATGATCCCTATTCAAGCCTATGGTGCTGGGTGGATTTGGGAGACAATAATTTTACTTTCCAGGTGTTGGAACTGAAATGATAAGTGGCAGCCCTCTCATGGAATAGCATTGATTTTTAAACCATGGTGACCGATGCAGGGCAGAGAAAGGAGAAGGTGAGACCCACCCTCCTGACCTCACCCCTAACATCAGAGGACATGGGATACTGCCCTGCTCTTCCTCACTCCACCAGAGCCTCCAACTCCTTCCCTTCTCCTTACAGCCTCTCAGCACCCTCGTTTTCAGCCATGGCCTTCCTGAGTCCATTCAGGAAAACAAAAGCCCTGCAATTAGATGGGCCTTCTCTCCTTGGAAAGAACAAACATCACCATTAAACATGACCCTGGACGGTGGAGAGCGAGGAAGGATCTCACTCTCCAGCCCAAATGACTAATAGAAGATTCCTGGTAGGAACGTGTGGCGCTCAGCCAGAAAGAGTCACCATCCCATGTTCCACTGATGTTTGTTGTCTCTCACTGCCAGCTCCCAGTTCCTTTTACACCTGCGATTGTAACCGGGCCTATGTTAGATGAATCATAAGGTGTTTGTTTTCCTTTATCGTGGTCCTTGGCTTCCTCCAGGCATGCCTGTTTGCACATAGTCCTTTTAATAGAAGGGAGTCCCTTGTCATTAACTTTATATCCTGGCCCCAAGCCTCCTCACATGATTAATGAACTTGTTTTTCTTTTAAAGAACAATGATCTTTAGGTTAGGCAGATCTCTTTGATGGCATCCAGAAGTTTGATCGGGCTGGGCCGAGGGACGCAAACAGCTTTGATCATGGGGGATCTTACCTCCCACATACTTACCTTACCCATAGAGGCGCCAGCTGTGGTCCTGAACTGATTCAGAAATTTCAGTATTCTGAATTCTGTATTTCTGAGGCCTTTAAAAAAATGATCCTTTGATATATCTACTGAAAAGTTCTGGAAACAATAAGTATCCTTAGTATCATATTAGGGTTACTAAATATCACTTCCCTCCAGAGAGAACCAGGGCTTTTTGGAGAAGGCTGATTTTATAAACTGAATAAGATAACCCTAGAATATCTCATCACACCAGAAAGCAAGGATGTTATCAAAGACTTCTGAGGTCTTGTCATAAGCTGGGGCAAAACGGAGACAATTTAAACATCATTAAAGGCAGTAACTGCAATGCCTCAAAACACTTCAATTATGTTGAAATCTATTTGCTCATAATGTTCTTTTTAAAAGTACATTGATTATCTTTGAAGAATGCTAAGAAGCCCAACTCATTATTTTTAAAAGCTGGTAAAGAAAGGAAAGGGATCAAGCATGTATTATCTTAACTTTCCTGTACAAACTATACGTCAGTATAAGCAAATAGTAGATAAAGGCGAGTTTCTCTTTGTAAAAGTATTGCAGCTAATAAATGAAGGGACGATAGAATTAGAATGTTGCCATTTTACTTCCCTTAATGAGTTAATGAATCTGGACACCGAATGTACATGGCTGATAATATTAGAGGGAGAGGGAAAGAGAAACACCCTGACATTCTAAGCCTTCGGATGGAAATCCGCAATGCTACCCATCTATGACATGTTATCGCCAAACAAAACAAAACAAAAAAACCCTGAATCTGAACAAGCCTGTACATCACAGGTTAGCAATCTGCCTTCTTGGGACCAAATCTGGCCAACTGCCTGTTTTTATAAATAAAGTTTTATTGAAACACAGCCATAGCCATTCGTTTAAGTCATAGCAACAAAGACAGAAGGGCCCACAAAGACCAAAATACTTGCTGTCTAACCCTTTTCAGTGAAAGTCTGCCAACCCCTGCTATAGATCAAAAGAATCCCAGTACCCCTATCAGTCTCTTGCAATAGATGGACCTTATTCAGTCCTGATTTGAACAAAATGACAAAATTGTTTATGAGACAATTAGAGAAATTTGAACACTGGTTGGATGATATTATGGAATTATTGTTAATACTTTAGGTGTGATAGTGGTATTGTGTGTGTGAGAGCTCTTATCTAGTGGAGACACATGCTGCCATATTTATGGATGAAATGAGACTTGTTTCAAAATAATGTGGGTTGGCAAGGATTTCAGGCAATATTCTCAGTTATTTAATACAAAAATGACCCTATTAGCAGGCATTATTATCATTCTCATTTTACAGACGAGAAACTGAGGCACAGAATTGATAGTTGATTGGTGAGAGGTGGGAATGGTATTCAGAACCCTGGGTCTGATTTCAGAGCCTGTACTCTTCCTCATGGAGCCAGGGCCACCCCTTTGATGTGAACTTTCTGGAGCTCATGGACTGCCCCAGCTGGAGAGGCCTCCAGAATGCCACCCGCATCCTGGCAGGACACAGAAAGTGCAATAGGCCAGTGGAACCCTACAGGCTGCATCCATAACCGGGCACTTAACAGACATATGCTGAACCCTCCCTGTGCCAAGCTCCACGCTAGAGGCGGGCTCACATGGGCGAATAACACCCAGAAAGCCCCTTCCATCAGAAATTACAATTTGGCAGGAGACAGACTGACTGTAAATATGTTTCCTTTTTGGGAACACCACTCTAGCTTCTAGGTGGAGGAGAGTTGGGGGTGGTGAGGCTGGAGACAGGGAGACCGATTGGGAAGCTGCTGCGAGGATCCGTGAGGACAGTGGCGATGGGCGTGGGAGGGGGAATTTAGCATTTAGTGCTTAGGAGATGAAGCCCTCGCAGCACAGGGAAGAAGCATCATAGGACTCTCATGTGATGGGAGCACTCAACACACAGCCATCTGCATCATAATCTCTCCTGTTTGCCTGGTGCTGGTGCTGTTCAATTTTCAGAGCAATATCACAAATCCTGCCTCATTTTGCTCCTCAAGCAGTGGGAGGCAGGGATGGTAGGGATGATAATTTTCCTTATAAAAAGAAATTGAGGGACAGGAACGCTGAGCTCCCACCATGTCCTGGGACTCTTATCCTCCAACACTCCCAGGTAGGCACATGCACCTGCATCACAGAGGACGACGCGGAGGGAGAGAGTTGATGACTCGTCTGACATCACAGTGAGGAAATGACGATCCCGGATTTGAACCCAGTCAGCTTCAGAAGCCTAAATATTCTTTTACCTAACCCATGTCGCCTTCTTCAAATGACTAATTAGGTACCTTTGGGACCAGAGGGAAGTAGGGATTCACCTCGGACTTCCTTTAAAGAACAATTTTTCCTCATGTATTTAAAATGGATTCCCATTTACAGAAAGCCGTGCATGCTTTCAGGAGCATATCAGTTGGATAAATAAGGCCCATTACTATGATATTACATCAGCAAGGTCCCAGCTAGGCGAGGTTCTACCTAGAGAGGTGGGTGGCTAAAATGATAGAGGTTTCCAAATGTCTGTTTACCATCAGCCCTCCTGTATTAATGAGCGTGGAGATACTCCATGGAAGGCTCAGAGGCTCTGAGCCTCAAGACCTGGGATCAACTTCTGATTCTGCTTAGACCGTTGGCATGTTCCAGGCAATTTTCTGCCCCCTGAGCTCTGGTTTCCTTATTTCCATGTCTACCGGCCACCTCCGAGGGCATATTCTCATAGACTCAACATGAATGGCCCCTCCTGAAGTTGTGTGTCAGTAAGTCTCAGTTGACTCACTGTAGTGGGCTTCCTGAGGATGAAATCATATTCTACAGTCTCTCAGTTCTGTTTGTTCCTAGTTTAACCACTCCAAAGCCAGGATGCAGACGCCACTGTAGCGTCTTATGTTCTCCATGCCACAGCCATGGCATGGTGAGGGTAGGCATATTGTTGTAATTCCTGGTGTCATGATGGGAAACCACTCTCCTGACATTTTAGTTACCAAATGACTAAGGATCATTGGAGAAGGTGTCTAACACCTTCCTGTTGACAGCTTCTGACAGTGTCAAGAGAGCCCCAGCATAAACATTTTCAGGAAGGTGTCAGGGGCTGGGGGTGTTCTGGAGACCATAGGAAACTGCTTGTAGTGAGGAGGACAGTGTCCCCCAAGGATGTCTTTGCCCTAATCCCCAGAACCAAGAAATCAGTTGCCTTACATGGCAAAAAGAACTGTGAAGATGTGATTCAAGGAAGATCTTTGAGATGGGGAGGTTATTTTGGTTAATCCAGATGCTAGCCCAAGCTAATCAAGTGCATCCTTAAAATCAGAGAACCTTTCCAGCTGTGCTCAGAGGGTGCCATGACTGTGGAAGAATGGTGGGTCAGAGAGATGCAACGTTGCTGGCTTTGTAGCAGCGGTAGAGGCCATGAGCCAGGGAACACAGGCTGCTGGAGAAACTGGCAACAGCAAGGAAGTGGACTCCAGAAAGCAAAGCAATCCTGTGACCCCTTGACAGCCCAGTGAGGCCTGTGGCAGACCTCTGACCCGGAGAAGTAGAAGACAAGGTTTGCTTTGTTTTAAGCCACAAAAGTTGTGATAATTTGTGACTGCAGTGTATAGGAAACTCATATGCTACTCTTATGAAATTCTCTACCACCTGACATCTTAATGGCAAAGAAGATGACAGCGCATGGAAAAACATGGATATTGATGACTCCAAGTCCAAATGTGATTCAGAAGAGTTAGCCTGAGTGTGGAAAATGTTAGGAATGATTTAACAATTGATTTCACCTATATATAATGTTTATATAAGAATGTCTAAATAGGGCCCAGCCTTCTTCATACATACAAAACAGAAATCCTAAATAATAATAATAAAGTATCATGGTTTAATGGTAGCATGCTTTTAGTAGTACATGAAAGGATGGTTCTTTTGGTCGAGGCATGTATCCTAGTATCATTAGAGCTGGTGAAACTGGGCAACACTTGGAACATAGCAGTCGCTCAGCAGACACTGGTTTTCCTTTCCTGAGAGTGTCATCTAGGGTTTTAAGCCTGTGACCCCCTTGGCTATGTGTATCTGTGACTTTTGGGGTGCCTATGTCGACTGCCTGACCTCCTTATTTCTTGGGCTTGGTCTGAATGCCCTCTGTTTCCCACTCTGTAACTGCACTGTTCCACCTTTCCCAGCGCACCAAGAACACTGTCCATTTCTTTTCTTTCTTTCTTTTTTTTTTTTTGAGAGGCAGTCTCGCTGTGTCTCCCAGGCTGGAGTGCAGTGGCGCGATCTCGGCTCACTGCAACCTCCGCTCCCAGATTCACGCCATTCTCCTGCCTCAGCCTCCTGAGTAGCTGGGACTACAGGTGCCTGCCACCATGCCCGGCTAATTTGTTGTATTTTTGGTAGAGACGGGGTTTCACCGTGTTAGCCAGGATGGTCTCGATCTCCTGACCTCATGGTCTGCCCGCCTTGGCCTCCCAAAGTGCTAGGATTACAGGCATGAGCCACAGCGCCCAGCCCCTTTTCTTTCTTTTATATTACGTTTATTGAGACATGGTTTACATAAAGCAAATTTCACCTTTTTAGGTATGTAGTTCTTTGAGTGTTTAATTTTATATATATATATATATATATATATATATATATATATATATGTAATATATATTTCTATATATATTAAAGTATCCCCTCTGTACTTTTGGGGGGTACCAGTGGTTTTGGGTAACGTGGATGAATTGTGCAGTGGTGAAGCCTAGGTGAGGGAATGGAATTGTCTTTAGAACATGCAGCATCCTTCTGGAATTCGCGGGGGCTTTCAGATCATCGTGACTAATTGGTATTAATGCCAACGCAAGCAGGAATGAGGAATCCTGGAGTGGCAAAATCTGAAGTGGGTTGCTGGCCACAGCAGACTGACTCCTTTGGCAACACAAGTGTTTCAAGAATGTATTGTATTTATGTGGTCATTTTCTGAAAGTCTTCATCTCTCCCCTTCCCTGGTAAAAATCTGGAGGAAGACCAATGGAAGCTAGAGCCTGCAAAAGTGTCTGTTTTCACAGGGACCATTTGGAGATTGTCCTTTGGGCAGATTTATGAGTTGATCAGAGGAAAAAAGTAAAACAGTGAAGGAGGGAGGGAAGGGGGAAAATAAGGAAGAAAGGGCAAGAGAAAATGCAAGTCAGACTGCAGGGCGCAGCTGGGCATCTGCATGTTCACACCCTCCCCGGGAGATTCTTGTGCTCAGCAGAGTTTCGGAACCCCTGGCTGGTCCTGTTTAAATTCGATCAGTTTAATGAGATCAAGTGCTTCGGGGCATCTGGCCTGGCAGGGCCCTTAGCCGACAACAGGAACCCCAAGAGAAGAGGGCGGTGCTGCAGTTCACCTTACGATGCTGATGCTGTGATGTAAAAGGTGGGAGAAGAGACCCCCGGCAGCCGTGAAATGCTCTTAGGCTCGGCTTTGCATGTGCTTCTCTGGACTTTCCAGCGCCCTCTCAGAGAAAGCCCTAAGATCTCACCAGTGCAGAGGCCAGAAGTGGGGTTGGGGGTCAGGAAAGGTAAACCTGGGGCAGTTGTGGGAGAATTAATTAGAGAACCTCAATAATTCCACCACAGTGTCCCCCACAGAAGGTGACTATCCAGCCTTGGCCTGCAGATTGACCTTCCACAGCCACTTAGCTGGCTCAAGTGCCAGCTGCCACCCGGCACATTGGAGCTCAGCCTTTATCCTGCCTGCCTCCATCCTACCCGCATTGGAGCTCAGCCTTTATCCCGCCTGCCTCCATCCTACCTCTGCACCACACCCAAAGGGGAGTGTGCCCGCTACCCTTGCCCACAATTCCATTCCCTTCACTGTCTCCCAAAGACTCCTATTAAACTACTGACAGAGAGAGCCCACACTAGCTGCCCAAATTCATCCACCTTAGCTGGCACATATCAATATGTGTAGATGGTAAAAAGACCCCAGCACATGGGATCCGCAGCTGAGGGAGGGCCACTGAGCTGAGAGGGCCCTGGAGAACCTAAGAAATCATTCTACATTTCCCCCTCTCAGGTAGATTTTAGAAGCTATTCTATCAAGGAAATAAGAGCTTTTACTTAAAAAAAATAAAAGAGCAATAGGAGCTAAAAAATAATCACTGGAGATAAAAGTATAATTTTTGAGAGTAAAAGAAAAGCTGAGTGGACGTAGTAAATGGCAGAAGGGACTAAGCTAAAATCTGATGTCGTGAAGTATCGGTTTAGTGTAATTTAAGGCATTATCACAGCCTCTGAACAAAAAAGCAAAGAGATGGAAATGAAGAAAGGAACAAAAAGAGATCCAGGAGACTTTTCCTTCCATGTCACAGGAGTCCAAGAAAAGAGAACAGAAATGGTGGAGGTAAAACAAAGATCAAAGGAACAAGAAGTTTTCCTTGAGCTGAAGACATCAGATCAACAATGTTTGCCAAATGCTTGGGGGGTTATTTTAAAAGACACTTAAGAATTCAAAAGATAAAGAGAAATTGTTTAAATGTGTGTCCGGCTGGCATGAGACTCTCTGGAAGACTAGATGGTAGCAAACACTAGAGCAACAGATCCCAGGGAAAGTGACACACTCCAGAATTCTATATCCAGCCCAACTATCTGTCTTGTGGGAGGAAGCAGAAAAAGTATGGTTTACCTTCCATGTGCCATCACTGTATTTTTACTCACAAAATACATCAACCCAATGGACAAAATGAATCAGAAGGAGGAATTCAAGAAAAAGAAGGTGAAGTATCTGAGAAACAGTCATATAAGTGAAACGAATGAATCTGAACAATTGTGGATAACATGACCAGAAAAAAAGTACAGTCAGGCATTGCTTAATAATGGAATACACTCTAAGAAATATGTCATCAGGAGATTTCATCATTGTGTGAACAACATGCAATATACTCACACATGCCTAGATGTCATAGCCTACTACGCACCTAGGCCATATGGTATGGACTGCTGCTGCTACACTACAAATCTGTAAAACATGTGATTGTACTGAATACTGTAGACAATTGCAAAATAATGGTAAATACTTGTGTATCTAAACATATCTAAACATAGAAAAGATAGAGTAAAAATACACTATAGAAGGTAAAAAATGGGACACCCGTGTAGGGCACTTACTGTGGATGGAGCTTGCAGGACTGGATGTTGCTCTGGGAGAGTGACTAAGTTGTGTGTGAATGTGAAGGCCAGGGACTTTACCGTCCACTACTGTAGACATTATAAGCACTACACACTCAGGTTACACTAAATTTATTTAAAAATTTTTCTTCCTTCAAAAAAAAATTTTTTCTTCCTTCAATAATAAATTAATTTTAGCTGACTATAACTTGTACTTTATACACTTTATTATTTTTAACTTTTTGACTTTTATAATCATAACTTAAAATACAAACACATTATACAGCTGTACAGAAATATTTTCTTTACATCCTAATTCTATAAACTTTTCTCCATTTAAAAAATTTTTTATTTTGTTTATTTACTTTGTAAACTGTTTCATTAAAAACCAAGACACATACACACATTAGCCTAGGCCTACATGGGGTCAGGATTCTCAGTGTCACGGTCTTCTGCCTACACATCTTGTCCCACTGGAAGGTCTTCAGGGGCGATAATGTCTCCTGTGATAACAACGCCTGCTTCTGGATACCTCCTGGAGGACCTGCATGAGGCTGTTTACAGTTAACTTATTTTTATAATTGGAAGGAGTACCCTCTAAAATAATGATTAGAAGTATAGCAAATTGATAAATCAGTAAAATAGTTGTTTATTATTATTACCAAGTATTACATGCTGTATATAATTGTACGTGCTATACTTTAATTTTATTTTTATTTTTTTTCTTTTTTAAGATGGAGTTTCACTTTGTCACCCAGTCTGGAGTGCAGTGACATGATCTCGGCTCACTGCAAATTCCGCCTCCCGGGTTTAAGCGATTCTCCTGCCTCAGCCTCCTAAGTAGCTGGAATTACAGGTGCCCACATCCGCGCTCAGCCAATTTTTTTTTTTTTTTTTTTTTTTTTAGTAGAGACAGGGTTTCACCATGTTGTCCAGGCTGGTCTCAAACTCCAGAGCTTAGGCAGTCCACCCGCCTTGACTTCCCAAAGTGCTGGGATTACAGGCGTGAGCCACCACATCCAGCCGTCAACTAACTCTTTGAGTTGGAGGAGTAGGGTAAGAATGAGAGGGAAAAGGGAAGGAAAAAAGAAAAAGAGTCTGGCCGGGGTGTGGGTGGGGCTGGCGTGTGATGAGAGCAGAGGTTGGGGGTGGAGAGTGGGAGAGAGCTTAACAGGGAGGGGGAAGGGAGGTCACCCCAAGGACTGCATTGTTACTCAGGATCCACCAGCTGTGTGCTCCCCAGCACACCATATCCACTCTTCACACCTTGGCTTCCTCCTCTGTTAAATGGGAGATAGGGCCCAGTTCATCAAATATTTGTGAAATTAGGTAGGAATACATGTCAATCACCTCACATAAAGCTGGTACGTTTTAAGCCCTAGTCACTGGGTATTATTTTAATTAATACTAATTACTATTCCTGATGGTGATGGGATAATATAGGTTCAGACATATTTTTAAACTCTTTTTACATAAACTTAAACCGGAAGCTGGGGTGGTGTCCCTCTGTGCTAAGCCACACAAATGGAACCTGGCTTCCTAGCGTTGGGTTGGGTTGGGTTGGGTTTGGAGGGTGGAATTTGTTTGCTTTTTCTTCTGGAAGGTTGGGGCTCCTCCTCTTCCCTCCCTTTCAGGTGGGTGGAGGCTGATTCCAGGGTAGGGAAGAAAGCACTTAACAAAGAAAGTCACACCTTTATTCTTCTCCCCGGAGCAGAGAGGAGGATGTAGGCCTGTGTACACAATGCAATTGCAGCCATTTGTTTTTAAACTGCAGACGTGGGATTGGAACCACACGCCACTGTTCCTATTAGTTCCCTTGAGCCATCCATATCCTGCAAAGAGCCTCAGTCCCTTGCATGATGATGAGAAAATGTCAAAAGTTCTCCTACAGATCTGGGAGCCAGTTGCTCTCCTCTGGGTAACATTCTCTTTGGAGTCACTTGGGAAACTCGGGGTGGGCACACCAGGGTTTTATCAGGATGGGGATCTGGGAGCTGGGACGCCCGCCATTCAGCCTTTGGAGCTTTCTGACAAGGCAAAGAACCTTGGTAGAAACTTATCTCCTTGGGAAATCTGTTTAAAGCTAGGTAATCACTATCATCCTCATTACTGTTTACCAGCCACAAATCACTCAGTCTCAAAAAATTCTTAAGGAACTGTGGATTGTGGGTGCTATCCCCAACCTATAAGTGAGACCATCAACACCCAGGGAAGTGAAGGAACTTGCCCCTCCTGGGTGGAAACACTGGATTCCAGCCCTGGAGAATCAGATCCGTGGTATAACGTCAGGAAGAATTTGAGGGCAGCACATTTCTTTTAGGCTTTATTGCTGTTTTTAGGTTATTTTCATTTAAGAGAAGAACTTTTATTTGCGTTTGAAAAAAAATACTTTCATGTATCTATACTTTATAGAGATGAACAGTAGAACAGTAACAACGTCCCATGAAATGAGAACAGCCTTGCCTTATCTCTTCTTGAAGGCTGGTGGCTTTCTGTTTATGAATGTGGTGATTTGCTCATGAATTTGTCTTTCCTTCTGCTTGGGAATGTGATGGTCGTAGTGTTTTTATTTTCCAAACTCTCTGTGAGGGACCTTCAGCTGGGGTATTTTGTACGCAAAGTTCAAAGGTAAACACGTCATATCCTCAAGTCTCAGCTGCCACCTCATTGGACATTGAACTTGATGGAAACCAAGCTGGGAATAAGCTTCCATAACCCAAGGAAGGACTTTGGGCTGGACACGGTGACTCAGGCCTGTAATCCCAGCACTTTGAGGGGCTGAGGCAGAGGATCACGAGGTCAAGATACCAAGACCATCCTGGCCAACATGGTGAAATTCTGTCTCTACTAAAAATACAAAAATTAGCTGTGCATGGTGGCACGTGCCTATAGTCCCAGCTACTTGGGAGGCTGAGGCAGGAGAATCACTTGAACCCAGGAGGCGGAGGTTATAGTGAGCCGAGATTGTACCACTGCGCTCCAGCCTGGGCGACAGAGCAAGACTGTCTCAAAAAAAAAAAAAAAAAATCTTTGGCTGCAAACTCCAGAATGGAGTATTTTATATTAGTTCTTGAATAAAACTTGGAATCATCTTCAAACCCCAGTCCCCATCTGACCTGAACCCTTGGCAATATTTGATGCAGTGCTGACCACTCTAACTCCATTCTCTTGATTTCTGCAATGTCTTTCTCTTGGTTTTTCTCTTTCCTCTGAGTCCCTCCTTCGCAGGTTCTTTTGTGGGTTCCTCCTCTTCTCCTCCACTTCTTAGTGCTGGAGATGCCAGGGTGCAGTCCCTGGTTCTTTCCTGCGCCCCGTCCATTGTTGATCTCTGGGGATCTCACCCACATTTCAATCATGACTCAAAATATCTCATCTGTTTTAGTTCCAGCTCAGACCTCTCCTGAATGCCCACTACTCTTATACCCTCTGCCTCTTTGATAGTCCACTGGGCTTTCCTCACATCCATCTCAGATTCTACAGCATCCACATGGAATTTCTGCTCTGTCATCCCCTCTCTTCCCTACCTGCCATCCTCCTCACCTCAGCCACAGGTCCCATCTGTCCCTCTTGCTGTTCAGACCACAGTTTGGAGACACCCTTGACTCTTCTTTTTCTCACACCACACATCCAGCCGTCAGGAGTCATGCTGGATCTACCTTCGACCTTTACCAGAAACTGACCAACCGCTTCTCACCTCTCCACAGCCACCTGGCCCCAGCTCCCATCCTCCCTCACCTGCCACAGCCTCCAGCAGGTCTCTGGCCTCCACCCTTGTCCCCATGGTCTGTTCTCTGCCCAGCGGCCCCAGTGATCTTGTTAAAATATGGCACAGAGTGTCCCTCCTCTGTTTAAAAGCCTGCAATGGTTCCCATGGGACTGCATCTTACAGTGGTCCTTGAGGCCCTCTGTGGTCCATAAGCCCCCTTGCTCTCCCACTGCAATCTGTTCTGCTCCAGCCCCTCAGGCCTCCAGCCTCATTGCGACTCTGGGGAATGATCAGGTGGGCTGTACCCTTAAGGCCTCCTTGCAGCCCCTTACTTCTACCTGGAAGGCTACCTGCTGGATGGCTCCAGGACGAACACTCCTACAATTCCTCAAGTCCTTGCCCAGAGGGCACCTCCCATTTCCAGTCACAGCCAGGCCCCTTCCTCCCTGCCTTGGCCCAGGCACTCCCTGACTCCCTATGGTTTTCATTTTCCTCTTTCCTTTTTTTCTTCCTTCTTTCTACCTGCCTGTTTGCCTGCCTTCCTTTCTTTTTTCCTTTCCTTTCTTTCCCTTCCTTCTTCTCTTCCTTTCCCCCTCCCTCTTTTCTTTCTTTCCTTTCCTTTTCTCTTCCTTCCTTCCTTTCTTTCTCTTTCTTTTCTTTTCTCTCTCTCTTTCTTTTTCTTTCTCTTTCCTTTCTTCCCTCCCTGTCTTTCTTTCCTTCCTTCTCTCCATTTGTCCCTCCCTCCCTTCCTCCCTCCCTCTCTTCCTCTTTCCTTTCTTCTGTCCTTCCACAGCTCTAATCATTTTATAACAGACCACACAAATGGATGGCTCATTGTGTTTGCTGTGGACTTTCACCATCTCACTGTGCCCTGTCTCCCTGCATACCTCCCTCCCCAGCACATAAGCTCCACGAGGGTAGCAATCAATCTTTGCCTATTCTGTTGACTGATGTATCCTGAATACCCAAAACAGAAGGTGGCATGTCACAAGTGCTCAATACATATTTGTTGAATGAATGAAGCCATGAATGAAAGAAGGAATCACAGGGATTCCAAAGGAACTGCCAGGGCCCTCTTCTTTACTGGATTCCTAGCTTGTCCTACAGTCTGGGTGGCCCTTGCACATTCTCCTGGCCGCCTCAGTTCCTGCCACTCTGGGCTGAGCTTAATGTGCTACTGGGGTCAACCCACATCCTGCTGGCCACTCTGAGTCCAACAGGGTCCATCTCAGGTGTGGGAGACACCATTGCTCCCTAGTTGTGCCAAGCCATCCATGAAGCCACTAAAACGGCAGGGCTCTGAGCCCAGCACACGGACTGACTCTTCATTTTCTACTTGGCAGGAGGCACTTGAAGTACAGACAAAGAGAAAAGTCTACCAAGGAAAGGGAGAAGAGCAAGCTGAGGACGCCAAAGAATCTTGTTTGGGATCTGCAGATAGCAACAAGAATCTTTAATAAGTAAGACTTCCATTAAAAATAACTTCATGGGTTTTAAAAAGTCATTTTCAAATGAGCAGGCCCTCAAACTTCTGATCTGGGACAGAAGACTGAAAACACAATTTTTTCATTGTCTTTTGTCACTAAATACATAGGATTTTGTGTAACTCCTCTTTTATTTGTTCATGTAAACCCAGTTGATTTACAGGGTATTTTGTTTTTTTAAGGCATAATTCTTTTAAGTCCACTTATTTCTTCCTATGCCTACTGATAAGGTTTGGCTGTGTCCCCACCCAAAATTTCATCTTGAATTATAGTTCCCATAATCCCCATGTGTCCTGGGAAGGACCAGGTAGAGAAAACTGAATCATGGGGGCAGTTTCCCCCATCCTGTTCTCACTCTTGTGAGTGAGTTCTCATGAGAGCTGATGGTTTTATCAGGGACTTCCCCCTTCTCTGAGCACCCATTCTTCTCCTTGCTGCCGCCATGTGAAGAAGGAAGTGTTAGCTTCCCCTTCTAAGTTTCCTGAGGCCTCCCTAGTCCTGCATAACTGTGAGTCAATTAAACTTCCTTCCTTTATAAATTACCCAGTCTCAGGTATGTCCTTATAGCAGCATGAGAACAGACTAATACACCCACTTTCCATATTTAATATTTTGTGCTACCATATCTATAAAAAATGGGGCTGTTAATATATACAATTCTGAAAGTGCTGTTAGTATGAACAGATCTCAATGTGGACATTCAGGTTAAATGATCTTCTATTGTCCCTCCAGCCAGAGACAACACAGGAAGATACTGGGCTTAGGTCTTGACTTCCATATGCTTGCAAATTCTGCTGGGAAAGAAAACAGAAGAGGAAAATGGAAATTGCATGTATATGGGGCCATCCGTGGTTTGGTGATCTTGGCTATCTTTTCTGCACATGACCTCACTGGCCTTCAATCTCAATCTCTCTCTCTCTCCCTTCTCTCTCCCTCTCTTTCTCTCACTCTTTCCCTCTCTCACTTTCTCTCTCCTTTCTTCCTTTTTATGTCCTTTGCATGTTCTCAGGCCCACTTTCATGTCTGTCTTCTATCAATGAGGGTGACTGACTCTGGAACCCCAGGACCAAGCATCTCAGGTAAAGCAGAGAACTTACCCGGAGAAGCAACACTTATTGTTGCTGGCTAACATTTATTGAGCACTTACTGTATACAAATGCCAACGCTTTACCTTTACTAAGTCATTTAATCCTCCCATCAACCTGATTTTAACAGATGAGGAATCTGGGGTACATAAGGGTTACATCACTAGCCAGAGACTAATTGGCAGTGGTGGGGGAAGGTAACTGATATGAGATGATTTTGTATTTGAGAATATTTTGCAAAATGTAAAATCCTATACAAACTTAAATAAGCATCAGAGCTCTGTTATTCATGCATCTCTAGGGAATAGGAAGCTTAGATGATTTCAATACTTGAATAAAGTATTTTACTGCATTAATAGCTTACAATATTAAAATAACGACGTTGCAGGGTATGATGGATGAACAGTATCATCAGGGGCTTCAGTAGCAACTCTTCAGAGCCCTTTCTGGGTAGCAGATGTGACAGCTGCAGCAGTTAGGTTCTCCTAACCCACAACAACCCAAAGGTACTTTCACCGTGACCACCCCACAAATGAGGAAACATTCCTTAGTTACTCAGGTAGTGGCATCCTCCATTCTTCCAAGCCTTGACCTGTGCTCCACAACTGCATTGTTGAAAGTGATCTTGGGCTTTTTTCCCCAACAGCTGCTCATATCGGGTTCCATTTCTCCTCCTGCTGGAGAAGCCTCACCAGGTCCTGGTGCACACAGGAAGGTTTCCCTGACCACCCCAAGCTCAGAGACCCCATTCTCCCCCATCACACACACACACATGGAGACACTCAACCTCCACACACACAAGCACACATCACACTTACACACTGTCTCGCCACACCACACTACACACCTCACATCACACACCCAGACACATACATCACACACCACACACACATCATATACACTCCCTCACCACACAACACTACACACCAGACATCACATACTCAGACACACACATTGCATACCGCACACACATCATATACACTCCCTTACCACACCACACTACACACCACACATCACACACTCAGACACACACATCGCACACCACACACACATCATATATACTCCCCCACCACACCACATATCACACACCCAGACACACACATTGCACACCACACAGACATCATATATACTCCCTCACCACACAACACTACATACCACACATCACACAAGCAAACAGCACACAGGACACACACGCTATACACCACACACATAGCACACACACATCACACACGCCACACATATGGCACACACATTGCACACCACACGCGGCACACACATTGCGCATGCAATGCTACACACACACAATACATACTACATACCACACAAACACATCACATACTACCACATACAGACACATACACAGCACACCCATACACATCAGTATCTCTTGATGGCTCGTTAGCCATAAACCGCATTGCATCTGCTCTCACACCAGCCCCCCTGTGCTCACGCAGGCTTTCACTTGGTCCTGCCCCAAGCACCTTCAGGACAGGTGCTGTGTCACGCTGCTGCCCCTGAGGCATATGGCTGGTCCCCGGCTGTCCTAGACTGCTCGTCAAGTCCCCCTGCCTCGACCTGTGCTCTGGAGGACTGGTGACTCTCCAGTACCATTGGATGGGGCTTCCATGTGGAATGGCCAGAGGGGCTGGACATTTTCTGAGACACAGACTATGGCTGGCTGCTTTTGGTTGGTGGTCCCATGAAGCCAGCCACAAGCAGAACCCCTGGACACTGACTCAGTTTCCCCAAGACTACTTGACTGAGGGAGGGCTCATCAACCCTGGCAGGTTTTTCTCAAACAACTCCCTGTCCTCCCGGTCCTCACCTCACCTGCATCCTGTGCCCTCCATCCCCACCAGGAGGGAGGAGAAAACCAACCCCAATGGTGCCCGCATCTGGAATTATCTCCCTGGCGCTCAGGTCAACAGCCTTTCCAAGAACACTCGATGTGAGCATCTGCAGCCTTTGCTTCTCATTTCCTCCTAAGAGGAGCCCCTGGGATGCTATGAAGGAAAGCATATGGAGGGCAAAGGAGACTCACAGATTAATGCTTGGAATTCTGTCCCATGACATCCCATGCTCTGACCTTGTGGCACAGGGCCTTTGGATGCCGCAAGTGGTCATAGAGGCTGACAGCGCATGTGCCCCATGTTGAGCTGGACTTCTTCTAAGCAGCTACAGTATCAGCTTATTGAGTCTCCATGACAGCCCCATGTTGACCTGGCTTCTTCTAAGCCGTTACAGTATCAGCTCATTGAATCTTCACCACAGCCCCATGTTGACCTGGGCTTCCTCTAAGCAGCTACAGTATCAGCTCATTGAATCTCCGTGACAGCCCCATGTTGACCTGGCTTCTTCTAAGCAGCTACAGTATCAGTTCATTGAATCTTCACCACAGCCCTGTGTTGACCGGGGCTTCTTCTAAGCAGCTACAGTATCAGCTCATTGAATCTTCGCAACATCATGCATGGCAGATCTAACAATTGTCACCCTTGTTTACAGATGAGGAAACTGAGGCACAACTGGCAAGTGGCAGAAACTGGTTAAATGCTCAATGAGTAGTTGTTGAATCTTAGAAGGAAGAGGAAGCTCGTTCCGCTCCGCAGCAGCGGCAGGGTGGGGCTGCCCTGACCCACCTACACTGTCTTTGAGCATTTGGTGCCATTTTGGGATAGTGAGGTTCCTTTTCACAGGGGAAGCTGCAGTGTCTCCCGGGGATGGTAGCCTTTTCGAGAAGCACAACCAGTTAGCTTGCAGAAGTGGGGACGCGACTGTTCTGCATCTCCCTCTCCACGCACCCCCACTTGCAGAAACAGCCAGCCGCTCTGTCACTGAACCTGCACGAAATGCCCTGTGTCTTAGGAAAATGAACAGTGTCTGTTTATCCAAGATGAATCTACTCTAGATAAGAATGTATCAACCTCAGACCACATTGTGTCTGCAAATATTTTTCTCCGTTTCCCGATTGTTTAATGGACAAAGCGGGTTTGGGGGAGCTGGGGAGAGTTGGGCAGTTCTCACTGAGCACCAGTCCTTGTTCTTGAGCCTGTAGTTTTTGTCTCCACGGCTGCAGAGACTGGCCAGGGTCTCATCTGCCATCCACCTTCAGAATGGTGGAAACAGTTGAAAAGAACATTGCAGTGAAGCTTGGGCTGGTTTGCAAGCAGGTCGCATCTTAGAAACCCTCCTTGCCGCTTTCATGGCAAATGCTCACTTTCTCCAGACCCCCTTGCTTGTGTGGGCAGGGGTCGGCATGCACGGGGTTCCTTTTTAGAATATGGGTGCAAATATCACAACAGTTTGCATAAGTCTCCAACCGCTTTTTCCTCCTGTGAATCAAACTTGCTTTTTTCCCGGTTAGAATATTGTGAAAGCAAAACAAACAAATAAACAACAACAACAAAAAAGATGTGGGTTGGTTCGCCTGCTTGTGCGTATTTCTTTCAGTGGGGTCAATGAATCCCCCATTGTTTGCTCCTACAGGCCCCTCATTGTGTCCATGGGTAGCCCTGTACCAGGTAATGAAAGGATTTCTCTTATGTTTCTGTTCTTTGTTTTCAAGGAACAACAGAGAGATGGTATTTCCAGACAAGGGAATAAATTCCCGGAAGCAACTGGCCAAGGAATGAAAATCCTGGAGAACAGAGTGGAAGAAACGCGTATTCCACATTTCCTGTTGATTTTCTTTCCTCCCTAAACACTGACCTCCCGCAGTCTTCACTAGCAGGTAAGCCCATTTTCCTCCCTACACCACCATAGCCTGTAGGTCCCTAACTTCCAGACCCTGCTCAGGGTTAAACAAGCTGGACACTGAACAGCCTCTGGGGGGTGCCATGTCTAGCAAGTCCATGGGAATGAGAACCGTTGGGTTGTGCAGTCCACACCCTGCACAACTGTAAGCTACTTAACTCCAGGCTCAGAGCCAAGCGAAAATGCCAGCTTTATTATGCTAATTAGACTAATGATCTGCTGACTTTTTGGAGTAAGAGGCTTTGACCTCCCTGCTCAGCACAACCAGAATGAGGAAGCTTTCAGAAGACAACAGCACCTCAGGGGGCCCCAGCAGCCTCTTCTGCCCCCAAGCTGAGGACTATGTCCAAAGGTTGCCAACTCAGGCTGGGGTAGGGGGTTGTCAGCTGGGCCTGCAACCCTCTTAGGTGTCATCTGCTTCATTATCCTCTCCTGGCAGGGTGTTCTGGCCTCCAGAGCATCTGGATGGGTTCCAGGATATAAATGTGACACTGTCATTGCATTAAAGTAGTCGAGCTGAAACCCCTGAAAACAATCGTAGGACGATGACAAGGTTTTGGCAGCTGCAATCTTAAAGACCAGGAAGTGAGGTGGGTAAATACCTAGGATTTGCAGCCTCGTGACTTGTCAGTGCCCTGGGGTAGAACGGGAGCCTCAGCGGCTGGTTCCAGTTCCCGACCAGTGCTGGGCTGGATGCTTCTGGGGGCTCCCCTTCCCTGCTCAAGCGCTCCTCGTCTTTTGAGGGAGCTAAACGGTATCCACCAGGGGCGGTGAGGGTGTCTCTGAGTGCCCCTCTGCCACTCTCTGCTTGGGGCTCTCCATGCTCTCTGTCCCTGTGGCTCTCCCAACCCCATGTCCATCTCCTCCCTTCTCTTCCATTGTCCTCCCTTTCATGGCAATCATCCTGCTGCCCCCTCACAGCTGATGTCTCCCCTGAGCCTCCAGTGGTGTGATTCGTCTCCCTCTGGTGGACTCAGGGCTGGCCACGCTGCTGCCTGCAGCTTGCACTCATCATAATATCAGCCACAACTAATACGTGAATTGCTTTTCAGAGTTCAAGGAGGTTTGCAGCCTCACGGTGCCCTTGGATCTTTGCAACAGTCCCTTGAAAATGGTAGAATCTGGATGCTTTTATACAGATGCATTTATTAGGTTTAATAAACATATTACTTTTTCAGGCATCACGTCTTTCAAACAGACGTTTTTGTTGATCAACATACAATAAAGCTTTTTAAGAGTTTATATAATCTACACTAAATCTTTCACAAAAGCTAGGAGTAGAATATAATAGCACCAATTACTTTAATTTTCTCTTTACCATAGGGCAAGAGTAAATACCCTGCATTTTTACAGTGCTTTATACTTGGCCAGAAAAAACCAAACCTACATTTAATTCCCAATATAATAGGCTCATCCAGCAACCTTTTGAGGTGAGGGAAACAAGACTTATTATCTCAAGTTTACAGGTTGAGGAAATAAAGGCTTATATAAGCAAAATAATTTGTTCAGAGTTGCAAATACCTGGTAGATAGCAGAGGTAGAGTTTGATTAAAGTTTCCGACTTTTAAAATGACAGAACTCAATTTCTTTCTTAAAATTATGCTTTTTTGACATAGATACAGAAAGACAAGTGCCTACATATGGTCCTCCTCAAACTCTGCCATTCACCATCCATTTTTCTCATGTCCTGCAGGAAAGGATCCCCCACCCCACGTCGCCACACAACTTTTTGACTCATATTTCTCACTCTTCTCTCCAGTTGCTTCCATGGGAGCAGAGAGGCTGACCACAGTCTTGGGCAGCTCCAGTGGGCCTGGCGTGGCACTGCGCACAGAGCTGAGTGGGTCTGGCAGGTGGCAGAATGTGACCTCACCTAATGAGTAGGAAGGGAGGGCTTCCTGGACAATTTCTCACGTTCTCAGAATAAATGAGAATGAGGGCTGGGCATGGTGGTTCACACCTGTAATCCCAGCACTTTGGGAGGCTGAGGTGGGTAGATTGCTTGAGCCCAGGAGTTCAAGACCTATACAAATAATAAGAATAATTTAAAAAGCCAGGCATGGTGGCACACACCTGTAATCCCATCTACTCAGAAGGCTGAGGCAGGAGGGTCACTTGAGCCCGGAGGTCAAGGCTACAGTGAGCCATGATTACACCAATGCACTCAGCCTGAGCAACAGAATGAGACTCTGTCCAAAAAAAAAAAAGAAAAAAAAGAAAAGAAAAAAGCTGGGCACAGTGGCTCACGCTTGTAATCCCAGCAATTTGTGAGGCTGAGGTGAGAGGATTGCTTGAGTCCAGGAGTTCGAGACCGTACTGGACAACATAGTGAGGCCCTGGCTCTATGAAAAATACAAAAACTTAGCCAGGTGTGATGGTACGTACTTGTAATCCCAGCTGCCTGGGGGGCTGTGGTGGGAGGATCACCTGAGCCTAGGAGATCAAGGCTTCAATAAGCAGAGAAGGTACTGCTGTACTCCAGCCTGGGTGACACAGCAAATCCCTGTGTCAGAAAGGAAATGAAAGGAAAGAAAAGGAAAGGAAAGGGAAGGGAAGGGAAAAAATGAGAGTAGCCACATGATTCTGTCATTTAAATCTCACAGGGTAACAGAAGCAAATCATCAGTGCCTGTCTTTGAACTTGATGAAACTGTCTCAGCCTCATGACCTGTGGTACTAGACAGAGACCACAACACCTTGTCTATCCAGAGTGTGGGAGCACTGTGTGCAGTTAGCTCCTGGAGGCTTGTCCTCAGTAGGCTTAGGGCATGAGGAGCCCTGGAAAGCCCAGGACCCCATGGAGGGCCCTGGAGAAACAGCACCTGTGGCTGAGGGGTTCACAGGCCCAGCGAGATCCACTCAGGTAGGCGCTAAAGGTGGAAGTGAGGAGGGGTGGATGTTGGAGCAGAGGTACACTTGGGATTGGGGAGCCAGTGAGAGAAAGGTGGAAAATGAGGGGACTCGGTGATGGGATGGGGTCATCTTATGATTCGTCCTTGCTGAAGTAGGAGCACCTACTTTACCCCAGTTGCTACTGAGCTCACTATGAGATCTAAGGAAGAACTAGAAAGGCCAGTTTTGTGACTGCTGTCCTTTCTTCTTGTCTGTACTTTCCTAACCTAGCTCTGAATGCTTTGGTGCAGGAAACATTTATGTCACCTCCATCCTGCCTGAGCGAGTGAAGCTGCCAGGACGCCTCTACTCCTCCAGCAGAAGGGGGCAGGTGGAGTCATGGTTCTCCTCCGGGCTTCCTTCGGAATAGTCTGTCCCACTGGGGCTTGATCAGTGTCCCAGTTTCCTGTACACCTTCAATCTCCAAACTGTGTTCGGGAGCATTTTTTAATGTCTATTTTTAACCCAGATGCCCTCCCCTACTTATCTCACCACGCGGTAACTCCACAATCACATTTGCTGGAGGAATTCACCTCCATGTCATCGCGATCCCCCAGAAGCATTTGCTTCCCATTCCTGCCTTGAAAGATGTGAATCATAAACACTGGTTTCTGTAGGCACCACTGATTTCCTGATTTAGTTTTGATCAACCTCTAGAGGAGGAAATGCATTCAGCATCATATTATAAATGGCAGGTTGGTGCTGTAGGAAGAACAAGGACTTGGAAGTCAAATAAGCCTTGAGCAATCCTGTCTAACTGTGGGACTTTGAGTAACATTTCTCGGCTTCTTGGGACCTCAGTTTCCTCCTCTGTACACTGGGCGTGTCATCCTTCCCTCACAGATCAACAAGAGGAAATGCACTGTCCTGCACAAGCATGGCGCCCAGGGCTTGGCACTTGGGCCACTTATGGGAGCCCACTTTCATGATGCCTCTTCCTGCTAAGGAGAGTTGGGGAGCCCTGGGAGGCAGGTCCTGCTGCCTGTTGAGGAGCACCTTCCACCCCTGAGGGAACTCAGTGAGGCCCTTTGATCACCAGCAACCACCAGAGTTAGGAGGAGCCTCAGGAGGAGCAGCTCTGCCCACATCTAGATGCTGGATCCCCAGCTGAGAGAGTACCTTCCTGTCATTTAAGCACCCCCAGCTTGTGGTGCTTTGTTATGGCTGCCCCAGGAAGTAAATAGGAGAATTGTGTCTGAGGGCCAGCCCCAGCCCCTCGTTTCTGTTCTGGGGGAACACATAATGATGCAAGAACACGCACTGCCTCATAGCAGAGGCAGCCTGGCCATTGTCTCGGCCACGACACTTGTTGTCATGCCAGGAGTCTGTGACACATTCCTGCGCCTCTGACCCTGGCACCTGGATGGGGGTTTCTGGGCTGCTGGGACTGCCAGGATCCCCGTAGGGCAGAGGTCGGTCACCCTATGGGTGTCTGGGCACAGGTGAGAGGGAGAAAACAAATGGTAAAATCTCCAGCGGGCATTGGTCCTATACTTTCTGGCTAGCGAGAGAATCCTCCCACAGGCAGGTCTGAGACAGTCTTCTGAGTAAGATTTCTTTGGATGGAGAAGTTTTATGGGGGAGAGACAGGGTTGCAAACAACTGATTCAAGCCACGTCCTTTCTTTCCCAGGTGAGGTCACCTGTAGAGGTCATGCTGCGGAGTCCCGAGTCCCTGATTATATTCAAGACGTGGAGCTCTCTTTTTCCCGTCCTGCTTTCTTTCCAGAAGTGCCTCAGATGCATCCTCCCCTTCTCTTTTCTCCACATGAAGACGTCACTGACCATCTTCTCTGGTTTGCTTTCCAACACCGAGCACCAAGTGCTTCAAAGGTCATGGTGCCCTGGGGCCGAGAGCTACTTATGTGGGCATTTATAACCAAATAAATATTGAAATGGCCCACAAAGCAAATGTTAGTGGTAACCAACAGCGGTAAAACTGGGTACATGGGACCCTGAACCTTCTTGAATATTCCCCATGAGACCCTGGGCCGACCTTCGGGCTTTCCAGTGTGCTCAGAAAATCCTCCGTGGCTCCCAGCCCCAGCTTAGTCTTTCAACGGTCCTCGGACTGAAGCAAGAGACAGGGAAGGAATTGTCCAAGGTTTTCCAGCATGCTGAGAACACTTACCATGGTGGAGCCTGGCACGTACTGGCTCTTTGATGCATGTGTATTGGTCTCAAGTAGCCAGAAGCATCTCCTCTGAGAGCCCTTGCCCTCCAGTTTAAATGGCAAATGGAAGGGAATGGGTTCTGGAAGGCCCCAGGTGGGCTGGGGTGGGTTCTGGAGACCATCTTCCAACTCCTGTTCAGGAGGAGGGTTGGTCAGATCAGCTCTGTGGCCACCTGGGCTCTGGAGGGGCGAGATACGGGCAGGTGCGGCCACAGGAGGGAGAGCACCATGTGCGGGGGAAGCCCACAGCTGGAACCAAAAGGCCCCAGGAGGGATCCTGGCTCTGACATCTCCCAGCCGTGTGGCCTTGGGCAAGGTCCCTGACTTGGACCTCAGCCTCCTCATCTGTAAAACAGGCAGAACAGTAATACCGACCTTGTAGGTTGTATAGAGTTCATATACATCAAGCACTTACCACAGTGCCTGGCGGACCGCATGCCCTAAACACACAATCCGTGAAATGAATCCATCAGCAAGCAGCTGCTAGGGGCAGTGTGGGGCAGAGAGGCAGCTGCCTGCTGGAACTGGCTGACAGGAGGATGAGTGTGTGGCAGGAGGAACGCTCTGCACAGAGGACACTAGGTAGCGTCACCTGTCTCTTACCCTGTGTCTCCACTGGAATGGAATGTCAGACTCGCACCATGCATTCCTTTCCCTGCCAAAACGCCTCCTCTTAGCAGTGAGCAAGAAAGTTGTTCGAGTGGATGAAGCCAAAAGCCCATTTGGCAAGAGTGCTGTTTTGGAAAATGCTTAGCGGTGTGGGTTGGGATGAGGTTTTCTGTGCCTTTCCATTATTTCTTCAGCTTCATGTAACCCTGACTGAGCAATGCTCAGCAGAGTGAAGGCTGGGCAGCAGATGGACAAGATTTTCTCAAACTCCTTTTTAAGCCAATTTCAAAATAGAGAGAGGGAAAAATCCTTGTTTTCTCTTTTCGGTTTTGAGAGGTTTCATATGCAGACACAATTTTAAATTTTATTTTTTTTGCCCCCAATGAGATGTTTGGAGATGGTGGTACTAGAACAGGAAGGAATTTATAAGTATTGGGGAATTTTTCATCCCAATTCCCATATCCTCCTATAATTCAAGGAGTGAATGGGTAGTGTTTTTGTTTTTGTGAGAGGGGTGGCGGAGGGTAGAGAGAGAAAGAGAGAGAGACAGAGAGAGATTACATAGAGGTGTCCAAAATGAACACAGTAAAAACCAGTTTTGATTAATTCTGCAATATTAAGTAGGCAGCCAAAAATTTTGGTCTGCTTAATTCTTAGCTCATCTAAGTCTCCAGTTGACTGATTGATTGATTGAATGACTTATTCAACATGCGCTAGCCAGACACTGGTCTAGGGCCCAGGAATTCAGCAATAAATGAAACAAGACCAAAAAAATGCCTCTGTGAACCTGACTTTCTTTGGCAGAGGGTGGGGAGCTGTGGCACAAGGGGGGCCACATCCTGGCCAGCCCATCCATGCAAGCCACAACCGACAGATGATGGCCAAGGAACTTCCAATTCCTTGCACAGCCTCTGCCTGTGGCCCCACACTCTTGGCTCCCTGTGCAGATAACAACCCCCACCCGGGTTTAATCCAGGCTGAAGCCATAAGGGAAATCAAAAGCAGCCATTCCCACAATGGAATGTTTGAAGAATTCTGGGTCAAGAAAAGTTCCAGTGGCAAGTGTCACTCACCCACACCAAGCAGGATGCAGCCTGCTGGGCAGCATCCAACACATTAAACTTCCTGCTCTGTCCAGTTCCTCATGGTGCATACTCTGCATGCCATGGGAATTTGGGGCTTTCCAGTTCCATGCCTGGGAGTCACCCATAAATAGGTGAGTTGGATGTCTGCTACCATTTTTTATTTGCTTCCAATTTAATGATATTTATCCCCCAGGGACATTGCTCAATGAATCCTCATTCACAATGTGTCAGGCACATGCTAGATACTGTGGGAACAAGGGGATATGGCAGACTCAGTTGTTCCAAATTCTAGCAAGCTCTGGATCTGAAGAATTCTGGGGTTTGCAGTGATCCCAGGACTCAAACACCACCACCACCACCACCACAAACAGCAACACAACACAGTGCTGACAACTACAGGAACGATAGCAACAGAATACATGGCGGCAGCAGCGACACTGCTGGGCGTGGAACCAGGCCGGGAGCGTGAGTGGCTCTGCAGATGGAACCCAGCATGCTGAGCATGGTCAATTTCTCTGGCAGAATGAAAGGATGCTTTTTGGGCTAACAGTATCCTCAAAAGTCCAAACTTTCCCCATAAGAGTTGAGAAATGCGGAGGTAACAGGAGTCAAGAGAAGAAAGAAAACAAAGGACGGACAGCCAGAGGGCTCCGCAGGGATGATGATTTGATTTGGAAACAAGGGTGTAGCAGAGCCTCTTCTGCCCCAGTTCAGGTCCTCGAGGCACTTCTGTACCTTGTGTTCTTTTGGGGTGAATCTGACCAGCTTCGCACGTGTGCACCCGACAGTGCGCCACCTGCTCACGCCTGCCCCTCTTGCCTCCCACCCAGGGCTTCCCTGCTGTCACCACACAGGGCCCTCTTCAGAGCCACTCCCATGCAGTGTGGCCTTCTTTGAGGACTGGGTGGGGTAAGGGGGGTGTACTCCCCAAGGGATGCTCCTGAGAGGTTTATAAGCCTTCCAGGGTGCTGTCCTGGGATCGCACAGGCTGTTGCAGAGTCCACACTGACAATCGGCCTCTCTGCAGCCTCGCTCTGCCCCTGTCCCTCCCTCCTGTCCCGGGGTTTGTGCTCATCAGTCAAGCAGTAGCCCAGGAGCACTCTGCCTTGGGAAACTGGCTCCAACCCGGGGTGCCCGCAGCACCCATCTCCTGAGACCTGCCCTGTGAAGTGGGATCTGATGCGCTACAGAGGCGGCAATCGTTGAAGGAGCAAGCGCGCCCGTGTGGAAGTGCACTGAGGGTCTCAGCAACATCGCGTGAATTTTTTATTGCAGGCTCATCATGATGATGCCCATTCTGTAAATGAGAAAATGTAGGGAGAGGATAAAGAACTGGCCTAAGGTCTCAACCGTTGTTCACTGTTGAGTGCAGGACTGAATGCTATAGCCCTTGACACCACAGCTGCTTTCCAGAGAGTAGAGAGGAAGCCGTGGGAGCGGGAGGGAGGGCAGGTGGCCAGGAGAAATTGCATGGACCCCACATGCACTTGAATAGTCTCTGGGTCATAAGCATAAGCACAAAACCTCTGTGGGGGCCGTGTGTGTATGTGTATGTGCTGAGTGCATGTATGTATGCGCATGTGTGCATATGTGCTGTGTATTGGGGTCATGGTTGTGTTGTGTATGTGCATGTATGATGTGTGGTGTGTGCAGAAGTGTGCATGTGTGTTGTGCACGTGTGTGTATTGTGTTGCATGTGTGTTGTGAGTGCATGTGTTGTGTGTGCATGTGTGTTGCGTGTGTTGTGAATGCATGTGTGAGCTTTTGTGGTGTGTGCAAGTGTAGGTGTCCTCTGAAGCACAGTGACTCCTGAGGCAGGCAGTATCTCATGTGGCGGTGGTCACATGCACTGGTGTAGGTCAGTGTCCTGGGGTATGGACAGCTGTGGCCTCCTAGCACAGAGCAGGAGAAAGCAGCTGTGGTGTCAAGGGCTATGGCATTCAGTCTTGCACTCAACAATGAACAACGGTTGAGACCTTAGGCCAGTTCTTTATCCTCTCCCTCCATTTTCTCATTTACAGAATGGGCATCATCATGACGAGTTTGAGTAGTGACCTGCTAAGCTCTGGATGCCTGTGGACTGTCTGGGCTTCAGACAGGCTGGTGTACCCATAAACTGAGGAGAAAGGACTGGGTGACCCCGGGTGCTTGAGGATCACACAGGGCCCCTTTCCATGAGCGGGTGCCTTGGAGAGCCACTGCCGCTAAGGCAGTGTGAAGGTTCAGAAGATGTGAGGAATCCTGCCGTGGCCTGTTTGTGCTGTTCAGATGAGTGGCAGCTCCTTCTTATGCAGGGGATCCCATGTGCAGATGCCAAATGCAGCCGTGTAGCCCTCAAAGGGGCAGTGGAGGTAGTAGGGGACTCGGGAAGGATGTGGTGCAGGGGACAGCATTGGACCTTGTGTTAGGCTGTTCTTGCATTGCTATAAAGGAATACCTAAGACTGGGCAATTTATGAAGAAAAGAGATTTAATTGGCTCGTGGTTCTGCGGACTGTACAGACATGGTGCCGGCATCTGCTCAGCTTCTGGGGAGGCCTCAGGGAGCTTTTACTCATGGTAGAAGGTGAAGTGGGAGTAGGCGTGTCACATGGTGAGAGACAGAGGGCAAGCAAGATCTCAACCAGATCTCACAAGCACTCACTCACTGTCACATGGACGTCACCAAGCCAGGAGGGATCCGTCTCCATGGCCCAAACACCTCCTACCTCCCACCAGGCCCCACCTCCAACACTGGAGATTACAATCAGCATGAGATTTAGAGGGGACACACATCCAAACTACATCCGCTCTGCAGATGGTCAGGACCTCCCTTTGAGAAATCCTCCCAGCCCATATTCTGTGTAAGTGATTATTGATAAAAAGACCAGAGAGTAATAATATATAGCAGAAACAGAAAACACTGTAAAAAAGTGAGTAAAGGCAGGGAATGAAGCTGCATGTTTTCTGCAGCACAATATATTCGGGATATTCTCTTTAAGAGGGTTTTGGAAGTATGTCATAAAATAAACAGTAAACTCAACATGTCCAACCTGTGCTCACTCTTGTTGAACTTTCCATGAGAGGGTGCAACAGTCTCAGAGCTGAGCAGGCTTTCGATGGCTCACCGTTGGAGGGCACTGAGTGGGGCAAAGATATGCTACTGTTTACCTCTCCAAGACTAACAGGCCACTCTGGCTGCCTGGTGGAGGAAGGATTGTTGGGGCTGAGAATGGAAGAGGGGGGAACAAGTTAGGAGTCTGTTGCTATGGTCGTGGCTTGGACTATGTTATCCTGACGGAGAAAGAAGAACGGAGAAAGGTGGACAGATCTGGGGACTATTTTGAAGCCAGAGCTGGTAGATCTTGCTGATAGATGGACCCTGCAGGACAAGGTAAAGCATGAGGAGTTAAGATTGACATGAGACATGGGGCAGATGTGGTTCTGTCACGGGATCCTTGGGCTGTCACTTCGCCAGCTGGAAACCTCTGTGGTCGGTGGCACTTTCTGCCTGAGTATTGCTTGCACCCAGTGGGCTTGTCCCACCCACTCAGCCCGGCAGCCTGTGCTTGGCTCACGCTATCAGCCCAGATCCCACACCTACCACGGGTCAGCCAGGTGTGGAGCAGCAAGGGGTGTGTGGTGGGGGCATCCAGCCACTGTGCATGGCCAGGCATGCCAGCTGCTACAGTGGGGCAGGCAGCTCCAGGTGCCAGCACAGGTGCTAGCTCTGTGCGAAGCTGTGGCTGGACCAGATGTACTGCATGTGGCTTCTGCTGTGGGCACCCACAACTGGACGAGGGGAACACAGTGGCACCTGGAAGCTTGGAGACACCAGGAACTGCAGATCCCCAAAGAGGGTGTCACAGCCCTGGCTTGGGGAGCTCCTAGATCTGGGCTCCCCGAAGGGCCACAGCTCTTTTCTCCTTCTCATCACGCACAGTGGTGAGCAGGGGCAGGTGTTTCAGCCCTGTTTGAATTACAGCTCTTTCTGTCCTGCCATTCAGTGGGTCTTGAGTTCTTGTCCAGTGTGCAGAAAGAATGAGGCATGCAGACAACTGGAGGGTGAGCAAGGTGGAGAGGAGCTTCACTGAGTGACAGAACAAGCTCTCAGGAGACCCAAAGTGGATAGCTCCTTTTCACAGGGAGGTCATTCAAATGAGTCGAGGAGACCCAAAATGGGTAGCTCCTTTCTGCAGCTGGTAGTCTCGACATCTATGTGAGTCTGGGTAAGTCCAGGGGTTTTTATGGGCTCAGAAGGGAGGAAGTACGTGCTGATTGGTCCATGAGTGGCCATGGGCAGGCCTGGAAAAAACACCATAACTTCTCACTCAGAGCTGCAGACTCCACCCAGAACTGGCAGCCCAGCCCCCCAGGCTTTAGGGTGTCCCTGGCTTAAAGGTGGGGTTTTACCAGGGGCCACCCCATTCTACCCAGGAACCTCTCTCCTTTCTGCCATCAACATACCATCCACGGCCCCCAGGCTGTTCATGCTGAGGGGTGCCTGCAGGCCTACGCCAAGGTGCCCTCATCCCCCCCTCACCTCCCTCCAATGCTTGTTGATGCTCAAAGTTCTGAAAGGAATGAAGCTGCATGGGGCTGGCAGGTCAGCACCACCCTGAGCATGCACACACCCAGCTGGGTTGTGACAGCACCCAGGCTCTGCCACAACTTTGCTCCTCACTGGAACAGGCACCCGTAGAGGGGAACGGCCAGATGGCTGGAGCAGAACAAGCACTTCTGAGCCTGCAGGGGCAGGGACTTCCCGGGCCTCCAAGAGCACTGGGATGCCTGGGTCTGGAGCTGTGGCTGGGCTCCCGCCTGTTCCTGGCTCCCACCAGCCCTGCAGAGTGTGCAACCCTGGCTATACCTCCGCCACTGCAGCCGTCTTCCCAGTGGCTGCTCCAGACAGGCTACCACTGCTATCAGTTCCATTTGTTGAGATGTGAAGATGGGGCAGGGGAGAAACGAAGCTGGAAGAGTAACATTTTCTGTTATGTTTGAGGGGCCTTAGTTTGGATTCCCCCCACAAGCAGATCCTTTGAGAAGAGCAGAGCTGCATATTATTTGTGTGGGAAAGCGATCTCAGGGACTGGGAAGAAGTGAGACCGAGGAGGGAAGCCCAACGCTGAGTATGTTCTGGAGCTGATCCCTGCTGTGGACATCTGGGCTGGGTCTTGCTGGGAAGTGGGAGGGGACAGGATCACCACCAGTTTCCACTCCCTACCAAGGGCTGCCTGGGCGTGTCAACTCTCTTACTCTTCCAGGTGTACGATGGCTCCCCCTGTGACTGACTGAGTGGGCTCCTGCAGGTGCCACAGTTACAGCAGCCAAGCTGTCCTGGGGGAGAACCGAGAGGTGTGCGTGGCCTCAGGCTGCAGGTGGAATCAGCCCCTCCTGTGTGCAGCTGGTTACCACAGCAACAGCTGGAGCAAAAGGGTGGGCTGAGAGGATGTGAGGTGGTGTGTAAAAATGTCCCGCACAGCATCCAAAAGAGATGTCCTGGAAATAGTTGGATATATGAGCCTGGAGCTCAGGGAGAGGTAGGGCTGAACTACTGGTATAGGCATCATCAGCATAGAGGTAATACAGCTGTGGGACCTCAACTAGGGGAAAGTCAAAGATGGGCATCTAAGGGTGACCTCTGAGCTGCCCCTTCTGAAAGGGGTTGAGGAGGAAGATCTAGTAAAGGGGTCTGACCTGGAGTGGAGCAGAAGGAAAACTAGGGAAGTGGGTGCGATGAAATCCTCAGAAGGCAAGCCAGAAGAGGACGTAAAAATCATCAATAGGTCACAGATGGGCTTGCTGAGAGTGGCTTCAGTGCCATAGTGGGGAACATCTTGACTGCAGGTGTGGGAGAAGGTGGAGATTGCTTTTAAGATCCAGGCTCTCACAGGGAGCAGGCCAACGAGGCAGGAAGGAGGAGGTGCTTTTTTTCCAAATGGTATTTGCAATATCTCACCAAAAAATATTTGAGCAACAATCTCTGTGTTTGATTGTGTCTCGTTACTAACAGCACAGAGACTTACAAATTATGTTACTTCCAAATTAACCAAAAAAAAAAAAGAAGAGGAGGAAGATGAGGATTAGACATCATTTATCCGGAATATTTTGTATGAGTTCTTGAATAAAACTTGGAAACTAAGCCAAAAAAGGGAGAGAGCAGAGGCTGGACATCTGCTGCGAGGCTGAGGGGGAAAGTGATTCCATCTCAGTCCTCACGACCACATTTCCATTCCGTGTTGTTATCGTAATTTATGTATTTTACAGTTGAGGAAAGAGAGTCTTAGAAAAGTTTTATTACTAACTCATGTTCACACAAATGAGGCTTGGAGAGGGGATTTGAACCCAGTTCCACGGGACCTGGGAGTCTAATTGCTTTCTGGGACCACAGTGTCATGTGAGGGGCAAGGGCAGGGGTGCACCAGTGGGGAGTGGCAGGCACGGATGGAAGGGGAGTAGAAGCTCACTCTCTAGGAGGAGTTTCTTTTTGTAGGAACTCGGGTTCTGGAAGGTTGCCTTTCAGTTTTAAGCTATTTTCCAGAATGATGGATAACCATTTTAGTTTTCTGCCACTGAAATTCCTGTGATGGGACTGGCTCTTACGAGTGGCTGGAGCCACTGTGACACAGTGTTATGGAGAGTGAGGAGCTGGCATTGGACACAAGCTCTTCTCAAAGTCGCTTCTCCATGCTCCCTGTCCTCCCATCCCCCTTATATTCATTCTGTGGAAGACCTAAGCTCAGGATCTGAGGATAATTTGTGAAAACAAACAAAAAAATGGGGAACAGTTTATGTAAGTTTCCCATTTTTTTTTTCCATCACAAATGCTCCCGGGATAGTGTTGAGTGAGGATAGCTGGTCTAACCAATTGCAAGTAGCAGCAATAGATGACATAAGATGGAGAAAAACAAGACCCAACAGATATGTATTCTATTACAGACATAGCTGCCCAGAAAAATTGTTGCATGTCTTGGTTAAAGCCTTGAAAACTGAGGGAAAAATTTCAGCATACTCTGGGAAACAACTCAAAGTCTTTCTCCATTTTAACTATTACTGAAGATGACCTCGAGATGACCAGCAGATGTCAGTATAAGGTAGGTCTGGCAGGATCCTGTGTCCAAACAATGAGGTCAGCTCTGGTGAGAACTTGCTCTGGGACATCAAAGGCCCCCCAAATAAAGGAATGGCCTGGACCCACAAAACCATGGTGTCTTGCATTGTTGCATAGGCTATGGTGTGAATAAATGCTCGAGGAAAATGGCTTCTTATTTCAAAGAAAACGCAAGAAACATTCAAGGAAGTGAAGAAAAAAGAAAGCAGGTATTTACTTGCATTAGCCTTCTTTAAAGACCATAAGGTATAGATAGGCTAAAAAGAATGCATAGAAATCTGATACAATATGATATTCTAGAACGTTCTAGAGCTATGTTTATGAGTATAAATAGCTCCCACAGCATATTGTGGATATTTTTTTTTTAAATTTGGCATGTATAATGTGATTCCACTTATAGAATGTTATGCATTCTATACATTTTAATTAAACAATATATTTGGTTTTGTAAAATAATAGTACTTTTTTTTTTCAAAACAAATTGCATGGCCTCTTCCACTCAAAGTTGTGTAACCCCCCAGCAATTTTTACACTTTCTTTGTGGTGGTAAGAGTTTCATCTTGATCATTCTTTTTTGGTGGCCATCTCTTCCTGAAGCTAGACAGGTGGTAGACCAGTTGTTGCCTTTACATCTTGTCCTACATTTCTTTGTTTTATTATTATTATTATTATTTTGAGATGGAATCTAGCTCTGTACAGGCTGGAGTGCAGTGGTGAGATCTCAGCTCACTGCAACATCTGCCTTCTGGGTTCAAGCAATTCTTCTGCCTCAGCCTCTCGAGTAGCTGGGATTACAGGCATCTACCACCATGCCTGGCTAATTTTTGTATTTTTTTTTTAGTAGAGATGGGTTTTCACCATGTTCTTGATCAGGCTGGTCTCAAAGTCCTGACTTCAGGTGATCCACCTGCCTCAGCCTCCCAAAGTGCTGGGATTATAGGCTTGAGCCACCGTACCTAGCCCCACACTTCTTTATCTTAGATTTTTCTGGCCCAGCCCAAAGGGAACAAACACTTGAGGAAGGTTTATAAAAAGATGAATAAGACCTAATCATTGGAATTTACTCCCCGCGGGGAACAAAATACACACATAAGCAGTTTTGGTGAATATGGTTAGTGCCGTTCCTACCAGGGATACGCTACTCCTTCATTCTCCTTGCCCAACTGACTCCAGCTTTGCAACTGGCTCTTAGCTTAAGCACCAGCACATCCAGGAAGCCTCCTGAACCCCCATATTGCCTGATGGCTGCATTGACCCTTGCCCCTGATTTTCTTCCCCAGGGCCACCTCCTCCTGCCACAGGATTGCATGTTAGAACAGGGGCTCACTAAATGTCAGCAAATTTGTGTGTCAAGAACAGCCCTTCCTCAGCGGTGGATGGGAGGTAGTGGCTAAACACCCAGCTCCTCCCTGCTTGCCAGTACAGCCTGGGGGCATGTACCACGTATGCAGCCTCCTAGACGTCCCCAGTGGGGTTGGGCCCAGGTGCCCACTGTGCACTGTGCATGGGTTCCTTCCTTTCTCTGTCTCATTTCCCTGCTCCTCCATGAGTGTTTCTTGGCTCACATCCCAAATTAACTGCTGTGCTCAACTCCTTGTGTCCAGGTTTGCCTCTGCGGAATCAAGCCTGGAAAAGGGAACCATCCCGATCTGGCACTTACCAGGCCGCATTATACTTGCTTGCTTGCTTGCTTTGTCTGTGTTCCTTTAGCCTACGAGCTTGGTGAGGACAGGGGACATGTCTGGGTCTAGCTCTGTCTCTGGACCGTGATAGACTTTGAGTGGATCCTCATTAACTCATCGAGTCTCACCTGGACTCCGGGTATAATTAGCTGCATAAAAGGAGGGGCGTTTGCATGTCCCAGGCTTTTGCCTTTGGCTTAACCGATTGAAGAAGAGTTTTGTTCATTATCCACTTCTGAGAAGAGGTGGCCAACACATTCTAGGTTTATTTTAATCTGTGACCTCTCAGAACAGTTTTCCTTGTTCATTATTCATTCCATCCAACATCCTCTCTCTCCTGGCTTCAGGTATCCATTCCCCCATATATCATCCTGAAGGAGCCAGGTGCGTTCACACCACTGTGTCAGTGCAACCGCTGTTCATTTTGCTTGGGATATCCCCTTTCCCTAAACCCCTCCTTCCCTGGGTCCTCTGACTTCTGCTCCTCCTTCCAGGCTTGGAGTGTGCCCCTTTCCCTGGAAGAGACTTTGTTGCCAATGCTGCAACCAAGGCAGCCAACTCACGGGGACAAAGCCATGGATGAAGAAAGTCTCTTCCAGGGAAAGGGACACACTCCAAGCCCAGAAGGAGGAGCAGAAGTCTCCTCCGTGTTTATGACTGGGGAAGGAGAGCACAGAGTCTAACAGTGCAGACCCTGGAGTCCAGCCCTTTGAGTCCTAATCTCAGCTCCATCTCCCACCACCTGTTTGACTGGGGTAGATTACTGAACCTTCCTAGGCCCAGGGGTGTGTTTCTGTAGCAAGCCCTCTTTAATGTAAGGACTTTGTCAGCTTATCTTTGTAATTAAGAATCAGTAATTCTGGGGGCCAGGGATTGGAAAGAGTGGCGATAAGAGATTTAACTCCATGAAGTGGAATGTCTTGACCAAGAAGTGAAATGTGCTTGTGCAAACACACACACACACACACGTGCACACACACATTCTCTGTTGAAATATGCAAATACTTTCACTTGGGTGTTTTTTCCCTATACTCTTTGCTCCTGCTGGTGGGCTGGTGATTTCACAGTAGGCTCAGAGGGGTCTTCTTCCTGTAGAAGGCTGGCTCCCTCACAGCCTGGTTCTGTCACACATGCTTTTCCTTCTTCTTGGAGCTGCCCCCTGAGGCTTTCTCCTCCAGGTCCCATTCCCTGGGTCTGGTACCTTCTCTGGAAATACTTCATTAATACCAAGGTCTGCAAAAGCTGGCTGACCTCGCTGTGTTCACCACACCCTGTGCCTGTCTGTGCTGTTGACATTGAGAGTAACACTTTGCTGTAGTTGTTGATTTCCTCCTCTCTCTTTCCCTCCAGACTGTTTCACTTTTCCTTGTGGTGATGGCTCAGGGTTTACAATGCAGTGGGCCCCCCGTAACCACAGGTTCCACATGCACAGATTCAACCAACCACAGATCATAAATAGTTAAAACATTAATACAATATAATACACACTTCGAAATTCAGTATAATGACTATTTACATTTACATTGTATTAGGTATCATAAGTAATCTAGAGATGATGCAATGCATACAGGAGGATGTGTGAGGCTGTATGCAAACCTCACATGCCAACTACGCCACATTATATAAGGGATTTGAGCATCCTTGGATTTCAGTATCTGCAGAGGGTCTTGGATCCAATCCCCTATGGATATTGAGGATGACTGTAGACACTCTAAACTTATATTCTGCCTTCAAGTATATTATATAATTTTGTGTATAATGTATGTGTATAATGTAATAACCATATGGCAGTATAATTCCATCCCTCCACTGTCCCTTCTGCTATTTATGGCATACATTTTACTTCTACAAAATGTTATAAACCCCACAATTGTTATTTTTGCTTTTAACAGCCCATTAACTTTTAAAGGCATCACAGAAAAAGAAATTCTTTTATACCTACCCTCATTTTGAACTCATTTTTGCCATTTCTGGAATTCTTTGTTCCTCTATACCTTTCTGAGTTTCCACCCAGTATCATTTCATTCTGTGTGTAAAACTTCCTTTACTCTGGTTGTTCAGGTGTGCTGATGAAATGTTCTCTGACTTTTTTGGGGGGAGGAGGGGGTCTGAAAATGCCCCTTTTGCATATCTATTTTTGAAAGCTTTTTTTGCTGAATGTAAAATTCTAAGTTGTCCATTTGTTTTATTCTTTGTGTTATTTAAAGATGTTTCATTGCACTGACATATGACCTTCTTTTTGGTTTGATTAGGATAAAAAGAACGTTCTTATCACTGTTCTCCAGTGTGTAACGTCTCTTTTTTTCTGGATGCTTTTAAGATGACCTTCATCACTAGTTCTCAGAAGTGTGATTATGATACATCTCAGTGTGGGTTTTTTGGTGATATTCTGCCTGAGGGTTTGTGGGTGCTAATGTTTGTGTCCTCCCCAAAATTATTACGTTGAAAACTTAATTACCAATATGATGGTATTAGGTGGTACCTCTGGGAAGTGGTTAGATCGTGAGAGCAGAGCCCCCATGAATGGGATTAGAGTCCTTATAATCCCAGATACTGATGCCTTGATCTCGGACTTCTCTGCCTCCAGAATTGTGCAAAATAAATTTCTGTTGCATTGAAGCCACTCAGTTGATAATATTTTGTTATAGCAGCCCAAATGAACTGAGATAGTGGGTTTCTATCTTTTATCAAATCTGAAAATATTTTGGCCATTATTTAAAAAAATTTTTTTTGCTCTAATCTCTCTTTCCTCTTCTTCTGGGACTCCATTTGCTTGTCTACTGGACCACTCCATTTGGTCTCACAGTTGCTGAGGCCCTGTTCATTTTTCTCCCCTTTTTCCTCTCTGTTTTTAAGTTTGGATAGTTTCTGTTTCCCAGTCTTCAAGTTCAATGATCTTTTCTTCTATAGTGTAAATATTGCTGTTAGACTCAACCAGTGAATATTTTATTTCAGATGTTTTGTTTTTCTACTCTAGAATTTCCACTCTTCTTTATAGATCCCGTATCTTGATTGAGATCCCCTATATTTCATCATTATGCTTGTGTTTTCCTGTAAGTCTATGATCATATTTCTAATAGCTGCTTCAAGATTCTGGTGTGATAATTTTATACTTCTTATTGTGTCTGGGTCTTTTTCTAATGACATTTTCCTCCAGGTATCAGGTCAATTATCCTGTCTGTCTGCATGTCTAGTAAGTTTTTATTTTATGCTGGACATTGTGAATGCTGGCTTGTAAAGTGTCTGGATTATATTGTCTTCCTTGAAGAGCATTGAGGTTTTTGTTGTTGTTGTTGTTTTGTTTTTTTGTGTGTGTGTTTTTTTTTTGTTGTTTTGTTTTGTTTTGAGATAGGGTCTCATTCTGTCACCCAGGGTGAAGTGCAGTGGTGTGAACACAGCTCACTGAAGCCTTGAACACCCCACCTCAAATGATCCTCCTGCCTCAGCCTCCCAAGTGGCTGGGACTATAGGCACATGCCACCACACCTGGCTAATTTTTATATATATTTTTGTAGAGATGGGGTCCTGCCATGTTGCCCAGGCTGGCCTTGAACTCCTGAACTCAAGAAATTCACCTGTCTCAGCATCCCAAAGTGTTGGGATTACAGGTATGAGCCACCACACTTGGCCTGAGTTTTGTTCTGGCAAGTAGCTAATTTCCTTGTATGTAGTTCAGCATGATTCTTTCAGTCTTATTTTTAAGCATGTTAGGGTGAGTATAAAGTAGCTTTTACTATGAGGCTAGAGAACCACAGTTTCTGAGGCATGGCATTTCTGAGGCCTCAATTGAGCTCCTAGGGTATTCCTCAGACCTATGAATTCTGGCGAGTTGGTACTCCTACGTCACTTGGCTCTTTGCAAGTTCTGGAATCTCTACGTAGCTCTTTTCAGCCTCACCTCCCTGTGCCAAGGATAGCTGGTGGTTTATTGCTAAAAGCTTTGCCTGGCCTTGTGAAATCTCATCCTATATATCCCCAACTTACGATTCATTCAGAGACTCAAGGAGACCCCTGTATAAGTTTCTGCAGCTCCTCCATGAAGCTCCTCCAACCATGCTTTATGTACTCTGTGCCACCCACTCCCATAGTCTTAGCAACCAAACTCTGAGCTTTGTCTTCTCTGCTCAGCAGGATTACTATGCACTACTATGCACTGCTACGCAGTGGATGAAGAAAGTTTTTTTATTTTTTTATTTTTTTTATTTTTTTTGAGATGGAGTCTTGCTCTGTCGCCCAGGCTGGAGCGCAGTGGCACGATCTCTGCTCACCGCAACCTCTGCCTCCTGGGTTCTAGCAATTCTCCTGCCTCAGCCTCTCAAGTAGCTGGGATTATAGGCACACGCCACCATGCCCGGCTAATTTTTTGTATTTTTAGTAGAGATGGAGTTTCGCCATGTTGGCCAGGCTGGTCTCGAACTCCTGACCTCCTGATCTGCCCACCTCGGCCTCCCAAAGTACTGGGATTACAGGAGTGAGCCACCGCACCCAGTCGTGAAAGTCTTTTACAGGGAAAGAAAGTGGCAAACTCCAACCCTGGAAGGAGGAGCAGAAGATGGAGGACCCGGGGAAGGAGGGGTGGGGGATGGGGACATCCCAGGCAAAATGAAAACAGGCATGGGCTTGCCTTCCCTATGCTATGATACGGAAAGTACTTTAAGTCAGAAAACAGGGTAAATCATAGTGCTTATCTTATTTTTCTCTCCAACAGCTCACAGTACTGCCATGTCTGATGTCTTACATCTTCAAGCAGTTGTTTCACATAATTTTCCCATTTTCCATTGTTGATGGTAGGAGGGCTAGCCTGGCACCAGTTACTCCACTTGGTTCTTCTGGATGTTGAGGGGAGAACACGGGAGACAGAAGGTGGGGTTTTAGTCTGTGTATCCTCAGCTCTCCACAGTAGACACAGGTTCACGGTAGATGCCTGTGGCAGTTTCAAGAATGGGTCCCCCAAGATGCCGACATTTTAGTCCCCAGAACCTGTGGGGATGTTACCTTCTATGGCAAAAGGGACTTTGCAGATATGATAAATTAAGGATCTTGAGATGGGGAAGGTGATTCTGGATGATTTGGGTTGGCTCCGTGTGATCACAACCTCCTTAGAAACGGCAGACAATAGTGACACCAGCAGAAAAAGGAGCTGTAAGGATGGAACCAGAGGTTGCAGGGATGCACTTGGAAGATGCAGGAAGGGAGCAGGAGCCAAGGAGTGCAGAGCCCCCAGGCCCCAGAAAGACAAGGAATGGATCCCTCTGTAAAACCTCCAGAAGCAGTGCAGCCTTGCCAACACCTTGATTTTACACTTCTGAGTTTCCGTACTGTAAGAGGACACATTCTGTTATTCGAAGCCACTAAGTTTGTGTCAATTTGTTACAGCAGCCACAGGAAACTAATTTATAGTGCCTTATAAATCCCAAGGAAATTGGGGTTGCTCAATATTAATGGCCTAGTGATAATTAGCTAACAATTCTTTGAAATGATTTTTGGCTAGTTATATATGGAATGAAATGAGAACCCTTTAAGCAAAAAAGCAGTTGATCTCATAGAAGTAAAAAGTAGGACAGAGGATGCTAGAGGCTGAGAAGGGTAGGGGGAAGGGAGGGGGAGGGAGAGATTTGTGGAAGGTTACAAAATTACAGCTAGAGGAGAGGAATACTTTCTAGTATTCTACAGGACTGTAGGATGACTCTAGTTCACAATAATACAGTTTCAAATAGCTAGAAGGAAGACATTGAATGTTCCCAACACAAATAAATGATACATATTTGAGATGATGGTTACGCTAATTACCCTGATCTGATCACTGTACCTTTTACATACTGAAATATCATGCCGGGTGTGGTGGCTCACGCCTGTAATCCCAGCACTTTGGGAGGCCAAGGCAGGCAGATCACTTGAGGTCAGGAGTTCAAGACCAGCCTGGCCAATGTGGTGAAACCCTGTCTCTACTAAAAATACAAAAATTAGCCGGGCATGGTGGTGGGTGCCTGTAATCTCAGCTACTCAGGAGGCTGAGGCAGGAGAATCACTTGAACCTGGGAGGCGGAGACTGCAGTGAGACAAGATCGCGTCACTACACTCCAGCCTGGGCGACAGAGTGAGATTCTGTCTCAAAAAAAAAACCCAAAAAACCAGAAACATCACTATGTACCCCCATGAACATGTACAGTTATTATTTGTCAATTAAAAAAAATAAAAGGTTAAAAAAAAAAGCTGAATATCATAACCAAAAAAAAAAAAAAAGGCGAGGAAGGGATCTGGAGTGTCAATATTAGTTGGGCACAGGGTCTGGAAGGAGCCGTCTCATTCTCTTGACACACGGTGAAGGGGTGGAGGTATTTATGAGCTCATTACGTTGACAGGAGAGTCAGGTCTTTCCTCATGTCTGCTAAGATAATTCTTCTCCAACATCTGTCTTTCAAATATTAGCTCCATTCCGTGGAGTCAGAAAGTCAGAGATTTTTTTTTTTGAGACGGAGTTTTGCTCTTCTTACCCAGGCTGGAGTGCAATGGCGTGATCTCGGCTTACTGCAACCTCCGCCTCCTGGGTTCAAGCAATTCTCCTGCCTTAGCCTTCTGAGTAGCTGGGATTACAGGCATGCACCACCACACCTGGCTAATTTTGTATTTTTGTAGAGACGGGGTTTCTCCATGTTAGTCAGGCTGGTCTCAAACTCTCGACCTCAGGTGATCAGTCCGCCTCGGCCTCCCAAAGTGCTGGGATTACAGGTGTGAGCCACCACGCCTGGCCGAAAGTCAGAGATCTTTAAAGCAGAAATTCTAGAGTAATTAACTCTGTTAATTGTAATGGAAACCATTGTCCAATGCATTCTATATGATAGACGCCTCTGCTGACGTTGCTTTACTGTAGCCCAGCTTGGCCCGCGTGCTCAACTGGCCACTGAATGCAGGTAAGTCCTTGCAGTAATCCTTCTGGGGAATAAACTGCTTGCCTGCTTTAGTTCCCAATTTTCCCTCCTTGGAAATAAAACTCAGCTCTGTGAATATGAAAATAACTATTTTATTCCTATCACTGAGCCTCTGCCCCCTCCAAAACTCCTCGTTTGGAATCTGTGCTTTTGTAAGGAGCCAAAATACTGAACCCAGCAAGTGAATACAAGAAAAGATGCCTTAGGGCTCTTTTCAGCCTCACCTCTCTGTGCCAGGGCTAGCTGGTGGTTTATTGCTAAGAGCCGCTCCCTCACAATTCCCTGGGAAGGCTTGTCCATTGCTCTCAAGCTGCAGCTCTGCGAGGTCACTCACCGGTGGCCACTGGCCGGTGTGAACTGTTCTGCTCACAACTGGCAGCCGCCCCATCATGAGGCTTCCTTTCGGCCTCAGCCTCTGGGCTAGAAATTAGTTGCCTTTGTCCGCAGTTACTCTGTTCCCCAGCCTCGCTGTGATTATAAATAGCCCTATCCATTCCAGGACAAGTGATTCAGGACTCACACACAGGTTGCCATTTGATCGTAATTATATAATCACATCTGTGAGCACTGCATGGGTTTTAAAATGAAGTGGTAAGTATTGGCTTACTGACTCTAGAGGGTGGTACCTTGGCAGAGGCAGTTGTGTTTCTCCTCATCCTCAAGAAATTGGCGTCGCGAACCAAATGTTCCGTGGTTATGGAATGTTCTATATAAGATTCAAACTGCTGCTTGGAAAAGCTAGGGAAGACCTTCTGGCATGCTGCAAGTTGATCTTTTCTGGCGTAACTGAAAATAGGAGAGAAAGAAGGGAGAGTGTGGAGTTTTTCTTGGTTAAGTCACACAGACAAAATTAGTGCTAGAAGAAGCACTAGCTTTAGAAAACGTGTCATGTGCTTGGATTGTGGATGGCAATTTTAGTACTCCTGTGTGCTCAACTTTTAAATGTCTCTCTAAAAATTTTATTAAGGGCATCCTTGTGGGGGCACATATCAATTTAGTGCTTGCTCTAGCAACCAGATGCCGGGCAGGTTCTAAGACCTATTTCTGACTAGAGTGAAAAGCAAACAGAACTATTTCTAAGATAACATCTTTGCTTGATTTATGCTAATTTCTTGTTAACATTTAAAATCAGTTCCTTGCTTTAATTTAGTATTAAAATTCAGGTACCCTGCCCCCTCCAAGGGGTAAAAAGATAAGTGGGAAAGAGCTTATTTGGACACCCAATGGGGGCTTATCCCCAGATTTAATGTAAAAATATGATTGATAATACATGTGCTCTTTAAAAGTTTTACATTCTAAATCGGAAAAAAAGCAGGAGACTTGCTGTAGACGGTTGGCTGGATTGTATTTTGCCTTCATCCATTTCGACCTCTGCCTCCACTCTGGGTTTAGAGAATGCTCCTGGCTACAAGCTCTCAGCTTTTTCACGTAGCCTGTGACCTCCCAGGGAGACACTGACCCCTAGTCCATCCATTTGCACATTTATTCAGCAAAAATTGAGCATCTGAGGCTGTGTTCTAGACACTGAACAAAATGCCCTGCCCTTATAGAGCTTACCTTCTTGCAGTTCTGTTTTTGTAAATCTACGGAGCCAGCAGAGAGTTGTTCTCAAGCAGGTTCAGTGACTCTTCATCAGGGCCAGAATCCTTCCTGCCACATCTGATCGGGGTTTTGTGTCCCTGTGTCCTTCTGATGCAGAGGACACTGTCATTGTCACTGCCATTAGGAACCCCATGCACCTGTCCACCTGCCCCACACAGAGGCTGGCTTAGCTGCACTCGTCACTCCCTGCATCACAGCTATGCACACGTTTGCAAGTCCCCATTCTTATTTTTGTTTATTCGTTCATTAATTTGTCATTTCTTTTTGCCCTCATCTCCCACTCCCATTCTCCCCTTTTCCGTTGGCAATCAGGTTGATGTGTTTAACGCATATCTCTTAATTTTAAGGTAGTTTTAAAAGAAGGTGTCTCCAGTTTTGTGTGCACTTGTTTAAATTGTTATGTGAAGGATAAAGAGCTTGGGTTCTTGACTCAGCCAGCTTGGGTTCCAGTCCGAGTTCTGCTGTAGTCTGGGTGGCCTTGGCCTTACTACACAATCTCTCTGCATCTTCGTTTCATCATCTGTAAGACGGAGCTGAGACTAGTAACCTACTTGGCTTAACTGTTTCATGGATTAAATTAGTTAATATGGTGAGGTGCTTAGAAGAGGGTCTGGTAGGTGGTCATCCCTCCATAAGGGTTGGCAACTAGTGCTGCTAGTTCATCTTTACATGCAGGTTATCTTCACCTTCCCCACCATATTTTACAGAAAGAGACACTGGCAAGTTTAGCTGATTAACGTTTGTCCTGAAAACCAGTCCCCTAATTTTCTCTCTCCAGCTGACATGCTTCAGGGCAGGGCTGCAGTGGTTAGAAGGAGACAGTGGTCGTGTTGCAGCAGTTAGAACTCAGTGAGGAGAGAGAGGTCAAAGGGTCGGTAAAACAGGGGAAGTTTCATATAAAGAACTACTAACCACAATAAAAGAATAACTACAAGACATAAGGAAATGCAATAGGGTACCCTAGGGCAGTGGTCCCCAACCCCCTGGCCATGGACCAGCATCAGTCTGTGGCCTGTTAGGAACTGGGCTGCACAGCGGCAGGTGAGCTGCAGGTGAGCAAGCGAAGCTTCATCTGTATTCACAGCCGCTCCCCATCATTCGCATTACTGCCAGAGCTCCACTTCCTGTCAGATCAGCGGCATTAAAATCTCACAGGAGTGAGAACCCTATTGTGACCTGGGCATGCGAGGGATCTAGGTTGCACGCTCCTTACGAGAATCTAATGCCTGATGATCTGTTACTGTCTCCCATCTCCCCCAGATGGGACCATCTACTTGCAGGAAAACAAGCTCAGGGCTCCCACTGGTTCTATATGATGGTGAGTTGTATAACTATTTCATTTTATATTACAACGTATATTACAATTACAATAAATATTTCATTATATATTACAATGTATTTTTATTTAATAAAAATAAAGTGCACAATAAACGTAAGGTGCTTGAACCATCCTGAAACCATCTCCCCAACCCTGGGTCTGTGGAAAAATTGCCTTCCACAAAATTGGTCCTTGGTGCCAAAAAGGCTGGGGACCACTGTCCTAGGGCTCAGGGAGATGCCCAAGGAAGGAGGGGCTGGGAATGTCTCCAGACCTTCTGGAGAGGGTGTGGTCAGCCAGGGGAGGCAGGAGGTGCCCCGGCTTGGCCACGACAAGGCGGGTCTGGAGCCACCGGGGCACCTTCATGAGCACAGGCCCTGCGGTGTTGGGGGGCTTGTGGCCCTGCAGAGCACAGGGGGCTGCGCAGGTGCTTGGTTTCCCTGTCGAGAGGGCTGAGGCCAGGATGTCACCAGGCTGAGATATCAGAGCCACTGTGGTCCTCACACCTATGTCCGGCTGGAAGTAACAGACGGCCTTGTTCTCCTGCGTGTCCCTCCAGCGCCCTCTACTGGGAAAGCTTCGCCTCGCACTTTGAAGGAGAGAAATACTGAGAACAATTCCGTGGCTTATCACAGAGCATGTTCAGAAGGATGTGGGCATTGCTGAGAGGCAGTACATGGAGACTGACACTCAAGTCCACTGCACACTCCGCCTCGTTACAGAAAGCATTGCCAAGGAAGTCACTGAAGAAATCACCCGTCTGGGCCTGGCGCGGTGGCTCACTCCTACAATCCTAGCACTTTGGGAGGCCGAGGAGGGTGGATCATGAGGTCAAGAGATCGAGACCATCCTGGCCAACATGGTGAAACCCCGTCTCTACTAAAAATACAAAAATTAGCTGGGGGTGGTGGCGCATGCCTGTAGTCCCAGCTACTTGGGAGGCTGAGGCAGGAGAATCGCTTGAACCCAGGAAGCAGAGGTTGCAGTGAGGTGAGATTGCACCACTGCACTCCAGCTTGGCGACAGAGTGAGACTGCCTCAAAGAAAGGAAAAAAAAAAGAAAGAAAGAAATCAAGAAATCATCCATCTGCTTTGGATACGCGGCCCTTCAGGAAAATTCCTTAACTGTTCAATATTCACTGAGTGCCTACTGAGTGCATTGTTCCATGTGCTGGGGGGTAAGTGATAAAGGTGGGCAGGCTCCTTTGAAGCTCCTTGAGCTCATGAGGCTCATATTCTGGGGGGAGAAGTTAGATAAATAACCAAATATACAAGAAAATATCAGGAAATGATCAGGACACTGTATTGCATATAACAGAATGCGGGTGGTGCGGGGGAGGGGGGTAGAGATCCTGGGCCGGCCATGAGGTGCCCTCTGAGGGGCGACCTTGAAGCTGAAGCTGAGCCTCAGGAAGGGACTGGCTGTGTGAAGACCTGAAGGAGGGTCTTTGCAAGAGCAGGAGCTTGGCATGAAATTCTCAAATGCATCCCTACAATTCCAAAGATTTTAAATCTATCAACTCTTCCTACCTTACAGATAAGAAAATTATGTGTATGAGTTGATAATTGAATCCGTTATAGATACATCCAATATATTTATATTTTATTGTGATATGCATTTTTTTAAAACTTAGTGAACTGGGTTGCTCTATTTCCTTATGGATTCTTAGATTTTCTGGGTGAAAATTCGTTTGTGCCTCAAGTGCCAGGCCTGCTCATCTTTCAAAGTTCCAGAGCAAGAAGTGGAGCACACCCTTTAGTCCACATCCCTTCTCCCCGCATGCTCCTCAGAGATCATTTAGTTTCTTTTTTTTTTTTTGAGACAGGGTCTCGCCCTATTGCCCAGGCTGGAGTGCAGTGGTGTGATCATAGCTCACTGCAGCCTCAACTTCCTGGGCTCAGGTGATTCTCCCACCTCAGCCTCCCGAGTAGCTGGGACTACAGGCATGCACCACCATGCCCGGCTAATTTTTATATTTTTTTAGTAGAGACGGGGTTTCGCCATGTTGCCCAGGTTGGTTTGGAACTCCTGGGCTTAAGTGATCCTCCTGCCTCGGCCTCCCAAAGTGCTGGGATTACAGGAGTGAGGCACTGCACCCAGCCCTTCACTGAGTTTCTCTATCACCTTCATTTTCTGCCTTCCTGTGGGGACCTCAGTCCTGGAGGTAACCCATGTCCTTTTGCTCCACTGCCAAAAGTCTCTATTAAGGTACATTTGTCCTAAGAAAAGCCCCATGATTTAAAGCTCTGTCTCTTCTTCCCTATCAAGTCTCTAATCAATTACCACTTCTCAGACAGCCATCACAGGGAAAGCTGGAGCTGATGGGCTGTTCTGCACTCACCTATTAGTGGAGAACAGACTTTCATGTGTTATTTAATTCCCAGAGTATCAGGAAACAAAAGGTAATTTTTGTTTGTTTGTTTTTACTATGATGCTCTTGGCATTAGCCACAGGCAGATGGAATGGAGATGTGTGAGTCAGTGCCGGGGACTTACTCTTCCATGAATGCTCAAGGATGGTATGAAATAGGGCAGAACAATCCCATTTTTTTCTTCTTATGTATGTGTGATCAAATTATCTCATTTTATTTATTTTTTTGTTTTCTTTGGACTTTCTTGTTGACACAAAAATAAATAGGAATGGATAAAGGCATAAACAAATGTATTATATGCAATGGAATATTATTCAGCCATGAAAAGGAAGACTTCCTGACACAGGGCATAACATGGATGAACCTTGAAGACAGTATGCTCTGTGAAGTGTGCCAGAAGGGAAAGGACAAATGCTGAATGAGTCCACTTCTATGAGGTCCCTAGAATAGTCTGATTCATAAAGACAAAAAGTAGAATGGTGGCTTCCAGAGGCTGCGGAGGAGGAACATGGGGAGTTAGTGTTTAATGAAGACAGAGTACAGTTTGGGAAGATGCAAAGTTCTGGAGGTGAAAGGTGATGATGGTTGATACAACAAAGTGAATGAACTCAATGCCAATGAACTGTGCACTTAAAAATGGTTAAGATGGTAAATTTTATGTTATGTATATTTTACCACGGCCATAAAGATAAGATAGGAAGGACGTGTCCTGAGGCTTTGAGGTCTGGATGCCAGCTTCATTAGAAAGAAGAAGGCAGGAGGAACATGCATATATATCCTCTAAGGCTGACACTTCATTAGTGTGACCTCAAGGCTCTCTGGGGGCACCGTTTCTATCTGGGTGACTTCTGGCCAGTGCTGTTTTGTTTTCTAACATGGTCTGAGCATGGAGTGACTTCTCTGCTGGGAAAAGGCTGTGGCTTTGAAAATCCTCCCAGCCAGAAGTTTTGCAGAGCTGAGGAGCTAGGCACTAGAAAGGGAAGGAACTACAGGCGGAAATAAATGCTGCAGGATCCTCACACCTGTCACGTGGTTTATTGTTGTTGAGAAACAACAATAAACAAACCCCACCCCAGTGAGTGGAGCATGCATGGGTTACTTCCCTCATTATTCGAGCATCTGAAGAACCTTTTGCAAACACAGATGGCCATTTCTGACAGGTTGGAGCTCTCACTGAATGTGCCTCTCTACTCAGATTTGGCTAAGTCCCGAGCACATTGCAACACGCCTCCCCTCAAAAGCCTCCCCTGGCTTTCCACCATTTCCCAGAATGTAGGTAAGGAGAGGGCTACTCCCTGTGATTGCTTCCCTCTCTGACATGTATAAAACACACATTTGGCTGGCTGTGGTGGCTGACGCCTGTAATCCCAGCACTTTGGGAGGCCAAGGCGGGCGGATCACGAGGTCAGGAGATGGAGACCATCCTGGCTAACACTGTGAAACCCCATCTCTACTAAAAATACAAAAACAAAATTAGCTGGGCGTGGTGGTAGGAGCCTGTAGTTCTAGCTACTTGGGGGGCTGAGGCAGGAGAATGGCGTGAATCCAGGAGGCGGAGCTTGCAGTGAGCCGAGATCCAGCCACCGCACTCCAGCCTGGGCGACTCCGTCTCAAACAAAAACAAAAACACCTATTTACCAATTAGCAAGCTAGAAACGAGTGGCCAACTCTCAAGTGTCTGGTTGATTGACACCATTTCAAAGATCAGGTTTCATTAGGTCATTGATTACCATTATATCTGGTATGATAGATTAATTTCATATTCATTCTATACAGACATTTGTTTATTCAGAAATCTGTGTGCTCCTAGAGGGTGTAAAGTAACTAAGATTTGGAATCCTAGAACGTCTGGAAGGAGGAAGAGCCAGAAGTCAAAAATCCTTGATGTTGGTTGGCACGAGGCTATGGTGTTTCAAGAAGTCCAACAAAGGTAAAAATGTCAGGAATAACTCTGGCCTCACATTAAAAATAACAGTTGCATACGCCTCAACATGGTGTGTCTATGCTTCAGAAAATTAGGTGCTGAACTAGTGCATTTCATTAGTTACAATTCACTCTGATTTGAGAGCATATGTACTTGGAACGAGCAACTGTGTTACTATAATTTGCCCATAGGGCATCACGCATCCTTTCTACCTGCTCTTCTTTGTTTTAATAGAATTTATAAAATGATCTATTCAGAGATTCAAATTCTTCCTGGTTTAGTCTTGGGAGAGTGTATGTTCGAGGAATTTATCCATTTCTTCTAGATTTTCTAGTTTATTTGTGTAGAGGTGTTTGTAGTATTCTCTGATGGTAGTTTGTATTTCTGTGGGATCGGTGATGATATCCCCTTTATCATTTTTTATTGCGTCTATTTGATTCTTCTCTCTTTTTTTCTATATTAGTCTTGCTAGCGGTCTATCAATTTTGTTGATCCTTTCAAAAAACCAGCTCCTGGATTCATTACTTTTTGAAGGGTTTTTTGTGTCTCTATTTCCTTCAGTTCTGCTCTGATTTTAGTTATTTCTTGCCTTCTGCTAGCTTTTGAATGTGTTTGCTCTTGCTTTTCTAGTTCTTTTAATTGTGATGTTAGGGCGTCAATTTTGGATCTTTCCTGCTTTCTGTTGTGGGCATTTAGTGCTATAAATTTCCCTCTACACACCGCTTTGAATGTGTCCCAGAGATTCTGGTATGTTGTGTCTTTGTTCTCGTTGGTTTCAAAGAACGTCTTTATTTCTGCCTTCATTTCGTTATGTACCCAGTAGTCATTCAGGAGCAGGTTGTTCAGTTTCCATGTAGTTGGGCGGTTTTCAGTGAGTTTCTTAATCCTGAGTTCTAGTTTGATTGCACTGTGGTCTGAGAGATAGTTTGTTATAATTTCTGTTCTTTTACATTTGCTGAGGAGAGCTTTACTTCCAACTATGTGGTCAATTTTGGAATAGGTGTGGTGTGGGACTGTAAACTAGTTCAACCATTCTGGAAGTCAGTGTGGCGATTCCTCAGGTATCTAGAACTAGAAATACCATTTGACCCAGCCATCCCATTACTGGGTATATACCCAAAGGACTATAAATCATGCTGCTATAAAGACACATGCACACGTATGTTTATTGCAGCACTATTCGCAATAGCAAAAACTTGGAACCAACCCAAATGTCCAACAATGATAGACTGGATTAAGAAAATGTGGCACATATACACCATGGAATACTATGCAGCCATAAAAAAGGATGAGTTCATGTCCTTTGTAGGGACATGGATGAAACTGGAAATCATCATTCTCAGTAAACTATCGCAAGAGCAAAAAACCAAACACCGCATATTCTCACCCATAGGTGGGAATTGAACAATGAGAACACATGGACACAGGAAGGGGAACATCACACTCTGGGGACTGTTGTGGGGTGGGGGGAGGGGGGAGGGATAGCATTGGGAGATATACCTAATGCTAGATGACGAGTTAGTGGGTGCAGCTCACCAGCATGGCACATGTATACATATGTAACTAACCTGCCCATTGTGCACATGTGCCCTAAAACTTAAAGTATAATAATAAAAAGAAAAGTAGAAAAAAAAAGAATTTATAAAATGAAACAATCCTGAAACCATAGCTCTTCCTTCCAGTACATTCTGGTCAGGCTTGGAGCCAGCCCTTGGTTTGGTCAGTTAGATTGTTGGGTCCACCTGCCACAGAGGCTTCCTCAGCAGCTGATGACTCAGGGATGCTGGCCTGCATCGTGCCGCTGGCTGTGGTGGGTGCCTACACGTGGGTCCAGGTTCCGGGGCAGCATTCAGAAGGTCTAGCCAGTGGCAGGGTTCAGCTGTGGCTGCAGTGGAGCCTCACCTTTTATTTATTTATTTTTTTTTTTTGAGATGGAGTCTTGCTCTGTCGCCCAGGCTGGAGTGCAGTGGCATGATCTCGCTCACTGCAACCTCCACCTCCCGGGTTCAAGTGACCCTCCTACCTCAGCCTCCCGAGTAGCTGGGAGTACAGGCATGTGCCACCACGCCTGGTCAATTTTTGTATTTTTAGTAGAGATGGGGTTTTTCCATATTGGCCAGGCTGGTCTTGAACTCCTGGCTTCAAGTGATCCATCTGCCTCAGCCTCCTAAAGTGCTGAGACCACAGGAGTGAGCCACTGCACCCAGCTGGAACCTCGCTCTTTCACCAGAGCAGCTGGTGGTGTGATGTGGGGTCTTGTTCCTGGCTGAATGCCCTCCCAGCATGTTTCTCTAGTCTAGTGGGAACGACATAATGCCCTAATGCATTTATTCTTCTGTTTAAACTAGCCAGAGAGTTTTTTGCTGTGTGCAAATGATTCTTGACTGATCCAATTTTGTGCATGAGGTGTATATTTGAAAGATTAAAAAGTTGGTTGGAAAAATGCTTGCCAAATTCACAACAGAGGCAACTCTGGAGGAGGAGAGAGCAAAAGAATGGAGGTAAAGATAGGTAAGAAATGGACTTCACCATCCTGGCTAACACAGTGAAACCCTGTCTCCACTAAAAATACAAAAAAACAAATTAGCTGGGGGTGGTGGCGGGCACCTGCAGTCCCAGCTACTCGGGAGGCTGAGGCAGGAGAATGGCGTGAACCCGGGAGGCAGAGCTTGCAGTGAGCTGAGATTGTGCCACTGCACTCCAGCCTGGGCGACAGAGAGAGACTCCGTCTCAAAAAAAAAAAAAAAAAAAAAAAAAAAAAGAAAGAAAAGAAAAAGAAATGGACTTCCGCTCCGTCTGTAATATTTTAATTGCTCTATTAGAAATCCAAAACATGCCAGGTGCGGTGGCTCACGCCTGTAATCCCAGCACTTTGGGAGACCAAGGCAGGTGGATCATTTGAGGTCAGGAGTTTGAGACCAGCCTGGACAACATGGTGAAAACCCATCTCTACTAAAAATACAAAAATTAGCTGGATGTGGTGGTGCACGCCTGTTATCCCAGCTACTCAGGAGGCTGAGGCAGGAGAATTGCTTGAACCAGGGAAACGGAGGTTACAGTGAGCCAAGATTGTGCCACTGCACACCAGCCTGGGTGACAGAGTGAGAATCCATCTCAAAAAAAAAATCAAAACAAATATTATAGATATTAAATATGATAAATATTGTTTAATTCTAGGTAAGAACGTATGGAGGAATTTCCTATATTACACTTTTCCTCTGTAAATTAAAACATATCCCAGAACAACAAAACAATAAACAATGTAATAATAACAAAAGCATGGATCAAGGAAGGCATAAGACATGCTTGAGGTTGGCGGGAGGAGAGTGGATAGTGAGTACTTGCCAGTGGGTACCTTGCACAGTCTACCACATGTGAACTGCAATCCCACATGTGTAGTGTGAAACCTGCACAGCTGTAGCCGTACTGGACCCCCTGCATTGGAGAGTTGGCTGCAGCAAAAGATTCTTGGCATTATAGAGATACAGTTGAAACATTAGTTTGTCGTTGGCTTATAGAGTTGTGAACACCATGTCAAGATGCTGATGATTTTTGAGTGGATGAATGACTTGGTCTAAAGGTACATTTTTATTTATTTATTATTATTATTACCATTATTATTATTTTTGAGACAGAGTCTCGCTTGTCACCAGGCTGGAGTGCAGTGGCGCAATCTTGGCTCACTGCAACCTCCGCCTTCCGGGTTCAAGCAATTCTGCCTCAGCCTCCCAAGTAGCTGGGACTACAGGTGCATGCCACCACGCCCGGCTAATTTTTGTATTTTTAGTAGAGATGGGTTTTCACCATGTTGGCCAGGATGGTCTCGATCTCTTGACCTCATGATCCGCCCCCCTCGGCCTCCCAAAGTGCTGGGATTGCAGGCATGAGCCACCGTGCCCAGCCTAAAGGTACATTTTTAGATAATTAATCAGGCATCTGCAAGCAGGATGAATTGGTGAGGAGGAAGTGGAAGCTATGACACTAGTTAGGGTGATGGCAGGACAGCCTGGGGAGCCAAACCACCCTTACTAGTAATTAGGAGACTTGGGGGTCTTGTTTTATTCTGTTGCTGACAAGCAACAGTGGCATTGCTAGTCAAACAAGAAGGCTGTGTCCCAGCCAGTAGCCCACTTTCTGCTCTCTCTCTGCAGAGACCCTTGGGTCACCCCCACAGGTTTGGTAGCTGCTTCCAGAATGTTGTGTGCTGAGTAAATGTCTGCTCTCAACAGCGTGAGCTGGGCTACCTCCTACATGCCAGTGTCTGCCATCTCTCAGGACACAAAGCCTTTGCTTTGAAGCCTCCTTGTGATGACCCAAATTCCAGTGATTAAAGCACTAACATCCTTGACAGTGAGGCCCAAAGTTAGTGTGAGATGCTACTTTCCCATTTTACCAATGAGAAAATTGCATCCAAAAAGCACAGTGCTCCGGAGAGGACACATCTTGGGGCAATAATGAAACTGGCAGAGAAATGCCAAAGTACTGTCTCCGGCGAACAGCTTGGAAATCATGTGGTGTCTATACAAGGAGTGTCTTTCACCTGGCAGCTCACCGTGAATCGACTCCCTAATTAGGCTCGTCTTGCAAGTTCACATGGAATGCTCCCCACTAGCAGTGCCCCCAGCCATTACGATGCCAGTGCTGTGACCAACTCCTGCATTAGACAGAGTGGATCTTATCTGGGTCTGACAGAAACACCAAGGACTGCCGGCAGCCACCAAGAGCTGGGGATGGATTCTTCCCTAGAGCCACCAGAAGGAACCCACCCTGCTGACGCCTTGATCTCAGACTGCTGCCTCCTGAACTGCGAGAGAATCCAGTTCCGTTGTCTTAAGACACCCAATTTGTGGGATTTTTCTTTTTTTGCAGCAGCCACAGGAATCTAATGCAAGCAGGATGTGGAATTCTCACGTGATTTTATGACACAGTCTAAGTCCTCAAAGCAAGTTTGTACTTAAGGCATTTGTGTTGAGGGCCGGAAGTAATTGTTTTATTCTCTAGCTATGGAGATTTCTCCACGGCATTGTGGAAATCCTTGTGCCCCCCAAAAAGGGGATTCAGAATGCTCCCTAGGGCTCATTGCTCTGGGCTTCCCACTGCCTCACGATGCCCTCCCCCCACACACCTCTCCACCAACCTCTCAGGAGCCAAGTTCCTGATATGCAAACAAGCACACCCCATCTTCAGTCTCTCTGCTTGACTCGTAACTGAAACCTGCTTCCACCATGAGGCCAAGCTTCCTGCAGACTTCTCACAAAGTGCTTCTCAGGAGGTGTTTTGTTCTGCATTATTGGATGAAGGGCACTGAGGCAAGGTCCCACCATGCCTGTTCTCACTAGCAACCCATTCTCTCGTTCCTCGATTTGCAAGAGGTGCGTGCTTTCCTGCTTTGTATCCTTCATTGCCTCTCCTGGTTGTCCTCCCCTTTTTACCTGGCCATACCCCTCATCATGGAAATCCTTGGAACCTGGTGCATGGTTTCCCTCTGTACCCCCAAGTCTGGCACCCAGTGGCCCTCAATTAATGCCCCATTTGTTTCCTTTCTTCCTTCCCTCCCTCCCTCCCTTCTTTTCTTCCCTTCCTTCCTTCTTTCTCTTTCTTTCTTTTCTCTTCCTTTCTTTTCTCTTTCTTTTTCTCTTTCTTTCTTTCTTTCTCTCTCTCTCTCTTTCTTTCTTTCTTTCTTTCTTTCTTTCTTTCTCTCTCTCTCTTTCTTCTTTCTTTCTTTCTTTCTTTCTTTCTTCTTTCTTTCTTTCTTTCTCCTTCTTTCTCCTTCTTTTTTTTTTTTTCAGACTCTCACTCTGTCACCCAGGCTGGAGTGCACTGGTGTGATCTAGGCTCACTACAACCTCTGCCTCCCGGGTTCAAGTGATTCTTGTGCCTCAGCCTCCTGAGTGGCTGAGACTACAGGCACACACCACCACACCCAGCTATTCTTTTGTATTTTTAGTAGAGATAGGGTTTTGCCATGTTGGCCAGGCAGGTCTTGAACTCCTGACCTCAGGTGGTCTGCCTGCCTTGACCTCCCAAAATGCTGGGATTGCAGGCACGAGCCACTATGCCCGGCAAATGCCCCATTTTCTAACCTTCTCCTTCCCAAATGATTTTCTTCTCATTCCCCTTTAATTTTTCACTCTCAGAGCTTGTTCTTTCCCAGAACAATTGATTCCCCATGTTTTACATCCAGTCTTGGGGATCATTGTTTCCACCCACGGCTTTCACTTCTCCACCCACTCTGTCCCCTGCTGTCTGTCCTTGGGGTTCCATTTTGCCCTACCATGAAACAGCTGCTAACTCCGGTGCACCCCTGTTGGTCCTTACCTTCCCTGGAGCCTTTCCCATCATGCACCACACTCCCCCTAAAATGGGCTTGTCCCAGGTCCTCGGTGCCCACGCCTGCTCCGTGCCCGTGCTACACCTCTGCTGCTCCCACACCACGCGTCTGTCACTTCATCCTCCTGTCCCTGGACGCTGAACCTCAGAGCTCCTCGGGTGCTGTCCGAGGACTTCTTTGCAACTTGCACACACTCTTGAACCATCTAAGGCACATCTGCCATTTCAATTATAACCTGTTCTGATAATCTCCCAAACTATGTTTACAGCCTAGATCTTTCTCTTGAGCTATGGGTCAAATAAGCCACCCTTGTCCATGAGACGACTACATTTGGTTGTCCCATGGATTTCTCTAACTCAAATGTGTTCAAAATAAAAATCAATTATCTGCTCCCTAAACATGTCTTTCCTCCTAGAATTTCTGTCTCAGGGAATAGGGCAACATCGACCAAGTTTCCTCAGCCAGAAACCTGGGTGTTTTACTTGACTGTTCTGTTTCCCCACATTGAACATCCAAACTTTCACCTTATTGTGCTGTTACTAGAAGTGTCTCTTGCAGGCATCCAGGTCTCTCCATTCCCACAGCAACCCTCTCCTGCTGTGATGGGCCTGGGTGACTGCAACAGCTCTCAGCTGCTGCTCCAGACAGGAACCCTCCCAACGCACCCTCTGCACTACAGCCAGAGCAGCCTTCCAAAATGCGAATGTGATCCTGCCTCCCTCTGCTTAAACCCTCCAAAAGTCCCCCACGCTCTCGTTACATCTTCATAGGGTACCCTGGGACCTTCCTCTCTGGTACCACTCTTGCCTCGAACTCAGCCCTGTCATGGCGGACTGCTTGAATGCAGTTTATGGGTGTGGCGCTCCACCCTGTTCTCATTCTCCTTCTCTCCGTCCCCTTGTTGTCTCTTACTGCAAAGCTAAGCCTATGTTCTTAGATTTTTCCATGCCTGGCAACCCAGCTCTCCCTCTGCCTTTATGCTTTGTTGACCAACTGACTCTGATCATCCATTTGTCTGGACAGACTTCCTCCTAGGACATGGCCCCTAGCCCCACACATAAAATCAGCTCCCTTCTTACTTCCTTGTAACACGTGAACGCTGCCTGGCCAATGCCTTGTGATTTGTCGGACTGCCCTCTAATCTGTTAGCTCCTGGAGGGCACAGCCCTGTTTTGTTCACTGCTCTAATCCAGGTAATTAGAACATCACAGGTGTTCAGTAAATATTTATTCAGCGAATAAACAAATGGAGGTTTGTAGGAGTTAAATGAGATATTGCATAGGGCCCATAGCTGGCTCATTCAAAATAGATAGACGAGATCATTACTATTAACAGCAAAGATGCTCAGCCCGCAGCATAGGGTCACCACCTCCCGGGCTACTGCATCTAGGGGGTACAGGAAAGTTGCTGGCTGGCAGGACAGTTCCAAAGTGCCTGAGAGTTCCACTGCTCTTAAAAAAGATAGATGGGGCCATCAATAACTCGGTTGCCCTAAAGAAATAGTTCAAGTTGTAGCTGAATGAGGTTTCCCCTTCCTCATGGGAAATGTCACATTGGTTTAGATCAAAGCGTGCACCAGGCCCTGCTCAGGGAGACACACGTGCTGGGAGGGGCTCCCGTTTTCAGAGAAGATGCATCCTGGGCCCAGGGAACGACCTACATTTTCACCTTGAGTTGATGCTATGGCCTGTGGGAGGCGGGGGAGCTGTGGCCATATAGCTCCAGAGAACGAGGAGGATGAAGGTTGAAATTCACTTAGGGGGAACTATAAAACACATCTAAGCATTTTTAGGATCTTGTTTAAAGGTGCCCCACAATTCTGTTTGGTTGAGGTGTAGATAGCACTCTCTTTGGTCTTAGATTTCTTACACTTTCTCCCTCTCACTTTCCTCATTTGTAAAGTAGGGAAAGTTGAGGCTCATCTCAGAAGGATGCCCCCAAATATGAAAAGGTTGTTTCGGTTTTTGCTTGGAAGCCATCATTTGTATCCTGGTTTTAGAGAAATATTTTCCTCTCCCGCTCTTTGCTCAGTCTCCCTTCTTCCTTTTAGCTCCTCCTACCTTCTTTTATTTGCTTTCATGTTCATTTTGCTTCATTCTTTTACTCTAATATAAACGAATTTTAAATTATTTTGAAAGTTAGTTATTTTTAAGTTATTTATTAGATGCATAATTTAAAAATTAAATTTAGGTACATAACATTAAATACATAATCGTTCTCACAAATTCAAGCCAATTCACATTTAAGCCAAATGTGACCCTTCTCCCATCAAATTCTAAACCATTTTTTCTCTGATCTGCAGCTTCCCTCAGGGGCCTTCACTTCCCCACTGCCACAGCCCCTTGTCTCTCTCACTCCTCTTCCTCCTTCTCCTCCCTCCTATCCACCTATGTATCTGTCTTGACAATTCCTTTTGTTAATTTAATCATATTCACAAGCCTCTCTTTACGTCATTTCATCCACATCCTTTTGAACACCATTGCATCGTGGTTCATGGCACAAAGGCAGGCTATTGCTATTGTTAGTGTTGCTGTCAGCCGTTACAATCATAGCTGACATGAATTGCCTCGCCCGTCCTGTCATCCTGCCTGTGCGTACGTGTGCTGCCCTTTCCAGGACAGAAATGCCCTTGCTCTGACAAAGGGTGTGCACATGGAACATGGTGGAACTGACACACTCTTCCCCCTCTCAAATGTTGGTGTCTGTTTACGCTTCCACCAAGAGCATGCGAAAATTACAATTTCCTCACAGCATCAGCAACACAAATGTCCTCAATCTTTAAATTTTATGTCAATCTTGTGGGCAAAAATGCCATCTTTGTTACTGCTTTAATCGTGTACTTCTTTGCTTTTTAAGACATGCAAATATTTTGCCTCCAGCCTGCCATTTGTCAACTTGGTTAAGTTGGAATTCTATTTCCCCAAATCTGTCCTTGTATGATATGAATGAGGCAAAGAGGCGCTGGCCTGAGATGTGGGAGGTGGCAGGAAGCAGCAGTCGCTGCTCTCTGAAGGCCGTGTTTCTGAGACAGGAGGGCACACAGGGTGAGATTGCGGTGGGGCCTCACTCTCCTCCACGCCTCATCCCTGGCATCCCCGTCTCTGGCTTGGCAGAGCAACACAGTCTTGCTCTGAGACTTCCTGTGGCAGCCTGGGGGTGCTGGGGGTGCATGGCTGCTCAGACGGGTTGGTAGGGGCTCCCCTGACCCTCCACCTCTCTCCTCTCCCTCCTCTGCCCCCCTCCCAGCTTCCCTCCAGCCATGAGGTGTCTAAATCTCACAATAAACTCCTGACCCCCAAACACACACAAGCAACTCTGCCTGCACCCATCTTTCAAGTCTGTTCATAGGTCTTCTGCAAGTCGAATTTTGCTTTTGTTTGTTTGTTTTTCTTCCTTTTTTTTTTTTTTTGAGATTGAGTCTTACTCTATCGCCCAGCTGGAGTGCAGTGGCGCGATCTCAGCTCATTGCAACCTCCACCCCCAGGGTCCTAGTGATTCTCCTGCCTCAGCCTCCCGAGTAGCTGGGATTATAGGCGCCCGCCACCATGCCCAGCTAATTTTTTTTTTTTTTCGTATTTTTCGTAGAGATGGGGTTTCGCCATGTTGGCCAGGCTGGTCTCAATCTCCTGACCTCAGGTGATTCGCCCACCTCAGCCTTCCAAAGCGCTGGGATTGCAGGCGTGAGCCACCACACCCGGCCGAATTTTGCATTTTTAAGTACTCGGTTTTTCCACTTTCCTTATGACTTCTGGCATGTGTCTAGCTTCAGAAGACCTTCTAGGCTCTAAGATTGCTAAAACAAGGTATCTTCCTATTTTTTTCTAGTACTTTCATTGTCAAGCAAGTGACATCTGTTGCCTGTTATCATGAGCAGAGGTCCAAGCAGCCGGGTCCCCTGCATCTTGGTATTGAAGTAGCCAAGGAAAGCACACACAGGCAGGCACGAGCTGGAGCAACGCCTCGCTCAGTTGGAGAAGGGATGGGGGAGGTCAGCTTCAGTGGTGGTTCCCCCAGGCCAGGAGTCCCTCCTGGAAGCCGAGGCAGTGAATGCACCTCTCTGTGCTGCAGCAGCAGGACTCCTCTCTCCTCTCCTTGCAGGGCACAGACTAAGTATAGGGAGTAGGGAGTGTTGTTTAGGTTGTGCCATGACACACACACTCATGCAGAGCAAAGCCGCACCCCTAGTGCTCAAAACAGGGAAAGATAGTGCCACACAAGGTGGCAAGTCCAGCCCGGCCTTCCAGGAGCCTTTACCTTGGGATAAGGAAGCATTCCAGGCTCAAGGACCGTTCCGATGCCGTCAAGCGGGGCTGAAATACTGCATGCTCGGGACTGTATCAACATTCATCATCTGTGAAAATCTATGAATCTTTAGTGCAGATAGCATCTTGTCTGTGAAGTGAGGTAGAGGATTAACTGTGCCTTCCCTGCATGAGTGGTCGTTATCCCAACACCACTCGGTGAATAGCCTGCGCTTTCTCTGATGATGTGCCTTGCAGCTTTGGTTCACACCCGGCCCTGCCTCTCACTATGCAGTTCTCTCATTGCTTAGCCATCTCATCTCAGGCCTTGGTGTTTGCATCTGTGGATTGGGGGCTATTACTGGACCTTCACAGAGGAATGGGAATTAAATAAGCTGATTCATGGAAAGCACCGACTACACACTAGATTCTCAGTAAAAGATGCCTCTCCTTAAGTTCTCAGCTAAGGGCATCTTTTTTTTTTTTTTTTTTTCGAGATGGAGTCTTGCTCAGTTGCCCAGGCTGAAGTGCGGTGGCATGATCTCGGCTCACTGCAACCTCTGCCTCCTGGGTTCAAGCAATTCTCCTGCCTCAGCCTCCCGAGTAGCTGAGATTACAGGTGTGTGCCACTGTGCCGGGTTAATTTTTGTATTTTTAGTAGAGACGAGGTTTCACCATGTTGGCCAGGCTAGTCTTGAACTCCTGACCTTGTGATCCACCCACCTTGGCTTCCCAAAGTGCTGGGATTACAGATATCTCTTCTTATCACTGTGGTTCTGAAGTCTTCCCAAGGAGGAGTAAATTTCTCACCAATTCTTGAGAACTTCTTTTGTGTCTCTCAAGAGAGCCTGTGGTTTCCTTCACATGCCTGGCATATTGTCATTCAGGTTCTTCTTTTTTTTTTAAAGTATGAGATCTTCGATACTAAAAATATCTTTAATTAAGTCAGAACCTGTAAAAAATTAAACAGTTATCATTTCTGGGCATTGACACCATATACTATGGTTTAGCAAGTTTTTCCCTTTCTCTCTCTTGTAAGACAGTCACAGGTTATTCTTTATGTACTTTACATGTGAGGTTGCTGTTATGTGTGGCTGCTTCATTTAGTCACCTTCTGCAAGTAGTAATTCCTTAAATATATATCTTTATCTTTGTATATCTATTTGTATCATCCTCCCACACTGAACTCTGCCATTCATTTCTTATACTTATTAAGTGGATTGACTTGGATTCTTTGGGTAGCTGTTACATGGAAACAACTATACTTTTATTTCTTTTGTTTCAATATTTAAATCTTTTATTCATCCCCCTGTTTTATGGCATCGATGAAGACCTTGGAAATTTCTGCTTTCATGACATTCTGCACCTGTACTGTCCAACATGTGACACACCGGCCACATGTGGCTTCTGAGCACTTGAAATGTGGTTAACGCTTCTCTAGGATTGGATTTTTAAATTTTATTTAATGTTAATTAAACTTAAAATCTCCTCCTGGATTTCACTATGTTTATTCTATGTTTCTGTGTCATGTACATGGTGCACATTTGGATCCCACAACCATATGATACACAGGCATGAGTTTTGACTTCTCTGAGGACCAGACAGCACTGGCTCAATGCCACTTCCTCGCTGCTCCTCAGGGACAGTGGACAGAGAACTTCTCATCCCGTTTTCCCTGGCAGAGTGGCTCTTGAGGGTTCCAACGCTGCATAGGAATCTCAATTCCAGTTCCCTGCCCTGCACTGTCACTGGCTGCACGTCTTGTTCCAGCTCAGGTTTAGTCCCTGCGCTTCAGTTCCAAACTGGGACCTGTGTCCAATGCTCTCATTGGCTATTGCAGGATCAGCGTTGAATTCCCTCTTCATTTCTGCCATCTGGTGATTTCTCCTTATTTTGAGGCTGCTATGTATTTAAAACGAAAAAGAAACAATTTTTTGTTCTCTTTTATCCAGTATTTCTCTTTCTTTCTTTTTTATTTTTGTATAGCATATAGTGGAACTACACCACAGTCCTCCATATTGCCAGAAAGGATGGTGCCTTTATCACTCTTAATGCGACATATATATGTATCATACTTGTTAGACATTCATGTATTTTAGAGTTGTTTGCAAAGAATTGGCTCTCGATTTTATTTATAAATCTGCTAACTTTTGAGGTGTTTCTATTTTTTTTTAACTTTTTTCCAATTATCTTCATTCTTTTCTTCTATTTTCTTTAGGATTGCTTTAGTGGCTGACTGCTGTAGACTTCCTTTTTTATTTATTATTTTCTTTTTTCCTCATACTACCTTGCCTAAGAACTTCAGACTTCTTGAGTTGAATGCTTAGTTCATTAATTTTTAATTTCTATCATTTTCCAATAAAACCATAACTGTTCCTTGAATTATTAAGTTGCCGTACCTCATAGGTGGTGATATGTAGTGTTCACATGAAATTTCCTCTTTAACATAGGACCTATTTAGCATACTGTTTTTAAGATTTCTAGTTGGCTTTACTCTTTGGAGGTCTTAATTTACAGTGTTTTGGCATCATGATCAGAAATCATACTTCTGTAAGATTTCCACTATTTGGAAAATATTGAGTTTTCTTGGTAGACATCTTTTATTCTTGACATGAAGGGGAAAATGATAGAGAAAGAAACAGAAGGCAGACTTAGAAAAGGAATAGTGTATGAAGGAAGAGTTGGAAACCTGGGGGAGACAAGTGTATCTGAGCTTCACCTCCTAGTGGGATTTCACAGACATGGAGAGGGACAACACTGATGTATAAGTCTGTTTTCACGCTGCTGATGAAGATACACTCGAGACTGGGCAATTTACAAAAGAAAGAAGTTTAATAGACTGACAGTTCCACGTGGTTGGGAATGCCTCACAATCATGGTGAAAGGCAAGGAGAAGCAAGTCGCATTTTACATGGATGGCAGAAGGCAAAGAGAGAGAACTTGTGCAGGGGAACTCCTCTTTATAAAACCATGAGATCTCGTGAGACTTACATGGGAATTCAAGATGAGATTTGGGTGGGGACACAGCCAACCATATCAACAGATAAGAAAATGTACCCCTTAGCTCTGGCATCAGTGCCATTGCAGGAAGTGAGGGAGAACTGAGGACTCAGCTCTTTTACCCTCATTCACTTCATTTTGAGCTACATGTTTCCAGCTCATCTCAGTTTGTCTTGGTGCTGGACAGTGTTGAAAGCCATAGATTACTGCCATGTGAGGTGTTGGTGCCTGCTTTTCCCAGGCATGCGTCATTGGGAAAGAGAAACTTATCCCAGTGTAGTCCCTGCCTTGTCATAGCAGGAAAGCTAATGAGGAGGGAACTCAGCATTCATTCAACACAAACCCATGTTCCAGGCATTGCGTGTGCTCCACTAGGAGTCTCTGTAACTGCTGTGATCCTGCATGTGTAACACAATAGCTAATGGTGCCCTTATTTAGGGCTCAAAGGCTCTGCAGTGTTATAAAGACAAGAGTAAATCTCAGTATACATAAGACTTAAAACTGTATAACTCCTAGAAGAAAACATGAGGGAAAGCTTCATGACATTGTCTTTGGTGATAATTTCATGGATATGACACCAAAACTGTACTCAACAAAAGCAAGCACAGCTAAGTGGGGCCACATCAAATTACAAAGCTTCTGCATAGCAAAATAAACAATAAATAGAGTGAACGACAATCTGTAGAATGGTAGAAAATATTTACAAACCACATATCTGATAAGAGGTTAATTTCCAAAATTTGTAAGGAACTCTTGCAACTTGAAAGTAAACTAACAACCCAATTTTAAAAATGATCTCAGGACTTAAATATGCATTTCTCCAAAGAAGACATAAAAATGTCAGTGGGTGTACAACAAGATGCCCAACATCACTAATCATCAAGAAAATGCAAATCAATCACAATGAGATGCCATCTCATACCTACTAAGATTATTTTATATTAAAAAAAAGCAAATGAATGTTGGTGAAGATGTGAAAAAAAATGGAGCCCTTGTAATCTGTTGGTGGGAATGCAAAATGGTGGAGCTCCTGCAGAAGACAGTATGGAGGTTTCTAAAAAAATTATAAATAGAACCACCAGCAAATCCAGCAATCTCACTTCTGGGCATTTACTCAAAAGGACTGGAATTATGATCTTGAAAAGATGTTAGCACTCTGCAAACACACACACACACACACACACACACACACACACACACACACCCGGGAATATTATTCAGCCTTAAAGAAGAAGGAAACTCTTCCCTTATGTGACAACATGAATGATGAATGAAACTGAAGGACATAATGCTAAGTGAAATAAGCCAGGTACATAAGGAAAAACATGGCACAGACTCACTTCTATAAGTTATCTAAAATAGTCAAACTCCTAGAAGAAAAGAATAGTGGTTGCTGGGGCCTGGGGGAGGGGGAAGAGGGGAGTTGCTAATCCATGAGTATAAAATTTCAGTTTGCTACTCGGGAGGCTGAGTCAGGAGAATCACTTGAAGCCGGAAGGCAGAGGTTGCAGTGAGCCGAGATCGCGCCACTGCACTCCAGCCTGGGCAACAAGAGTGGAACTCCGTCTCAAAAAAAAAAAAAAAAAAAAATTCAGTTAAGCCAGACAAGTACGTTCTAGATACCTGTTGTAAACATTGTGTCTATAGATGACGACACTATATTGTACACTTAAAAATCTATTAAGAGGGGTAGATCTCATGTTACATGTTCTACCACAATTTAAAAAAAAACGATTAAGTGGGGTGCAGACATAGAGAGGGACATGGCATAATAGGAGTCAGAAGAGGGGGGCCGGCATGGGCCACTGACATAGGCATCCATGCTGTGGGATCCATGTGCATGGACCACGGAATCTCATGAGGGCCTTGAGCCTCTGTTTTCCCACCTGCAGGGATCTGTCCGTCGTAGGGTGGATGCTGGAGTCTGTAGCGTGGAGCGTTGTGGGTGCACTCAGCACCCTACTTGGGACTGAGCACAACATCCAGGCACTAGCTTCCCTCCCCTCCTGACCCACAGCTCCTTCTCCCAGGCCTTTTATTGGCTCTGCTGTCCCTCTAGCCCTCCGAACCCAGGCTTCATCAAAGAGTCTGCCAGGTCCTCCCCCTTCCCTCACCAGTGTCCCCTCTCCATTGTGCTCAGCTCTGCGTTGTATGCAGGATGCATGATTTGGTATCTGCAGGCCTGATCTTTCCCTCAGATCCAGGCCCTCACTTCCCTTTTCCTCTGGGGCCTCTCAGTTCCTGCAGTGGGGCACCAGCTTCGTCCTGCTTCCCCAGGGGAAGCCCCGCAACCTCCCTCCCCCACCCCTGCTTGGTCAGACATTCTCAGGCGCTCCCTCTCACGTTTCCCACCTTCCAGCAGCTGTCACAGCCTACCAAGCCTTGTCCTGCAGTCCTGCAGCCCCTCACCTGCTGGGCGTCTGGCTGCTCTTTTCTCTTCTCATCCCCATCCCTATAATTCAGACCCTCATCACCGTTCACGGAGACCCAAGCAGCCTCCTTTGCATTGATCCCACACACCCAGTTTCTCCTTCTCCTGTGACCTATGCCCTGCAGTCAGGAGAATCTTTCCGTAGTGCAGCTGTGATGATATCGGCTCCTTGCTCATGTATTTTTAGCAGCTCCCCTTTGCCTATTAAAAGTGGCCGCATTTCATAGGCTTCCACTCAGGGTCCCCTAGATTGGAACCCGATGACAAACCCAGGCTGCTGCTCCGTTACTTTCTCCCTGTGTCTGTGTCCAGCTGAACAAACTCCTTGTTTTCCCTGATACGTCTCAAGCTCTCTCCAGCCATGCTGTTGTCCTCACTCCTCTGTTAGCTTAGCATGAATGTCCTTTCTCTGACTCTCCCCCTACCAATTCTATCCTTTCCTCCTATAAATCTCTCTCCAGTTATGCCATGCAGTGGTGTCTTGCTCGTGGGTTTTCCGAAGGACTTGCCTTGTACTTCTTAGAAGACAGCAGAGTGTAGAGAAAAGACGTTGGGATCTTCAAAACTCTGTCTCAAAAAAAAGAAAAAATTAAATTTAAAAAACTATTAAAGTTAGTAATCAGCTGACTCTAAAATAGTCGTGTTTAATAACACAATTTTCCACCACTATCTTGCTGTGGGAACTTAGAAGAGTTACTTTCCTTCATTCACCTTATACATTCATCTACAAAATGTTATTATTTTAAGTGTTGTTGAAAGCATTAAATAAGATAACACATAAGGCACAAGGCACCTAGTATGCTCGTTTCTGTTTCTCATAAGTTTCTGTTTCTCATAGGGCCTCTTCTTTCTTACTTAACATTATCATTCAGAGACATCTCTGATCTGCCCCAGATGAGAGAATGCATGCAGGTAGCTTAGCCCAGAGCCTGCATGTGTTCAACAAATGCTGAGTGTTTTGGTGCAGATATTGTTATCACTAGAGTGTAGGTTACCTCACTGTGAAGGCTGGCTTTATTTTCTGTGGTTAAGAAAAGAAAATTAGACATTGTTTGAAAATTGTATAAGTTAAGGAAAAGTTATGAATATATCAATGTTTTCAAATTTGAATATATACACTTGAATTTCTAACTTTACCTTTGCCTAGATTCCTTGAACTTTATTTTCCCATAAAGTCCACAGGGCTGACAAGGAGCTCCAACTCACCTGCAGAACTAGTACAGCAGGAAGTCTCAGCTAGGTGACTGTCAAAGAATGAGTATGTAGGTTTTTAAAATTACATAATCACAAGATGGTCACATAGTATTTAAACGGAAATATCAATGTTTGAGGACTCAAAGACATGTCTCCCTAGTATGCCAAACAGTTCTCATTCTTCTAAACTCTCTGATTCCCAAGGGCCGGAAGAGGGAATTCTAAACGAGTAATTGTTTGCTATGAACCTATGTACTATCTCAAGTTCTAAAAAAATGAACACTAAAACTTTGAGATGAAAACTGTTTGTTTTGCATGTGATCTTCCCTTCTGTCCAACCAGTTATTCAGAATCGACGGTGGCAGCTCAAACTCACCTTTGAGGTTGAGGTAGGCAGGATGTATTAGTCTGTTCTCACATTGCTATAAAAAATGCCCGAGGCTGGGTAATTTATAAAGAAAAGAGGTTTATTTGACTCATGGTTCTGCAGCCTATACAGGAAGCATGATGCTGGCATCTGCTGGCTTCTGGTTAGGCCTCAGGAAACTTACAGTCATGGCGGAAGGTGAAGCGAGAGCCAGCACTTCACATGGCCAGAGCAAGAGGAAGGGAGAGTGAGGGAGGAGGTGCCACACACTGTTAAAGGACCAGATCTCATGAGAACTCACTAACACAAGGATAGTACAACGTGGGGATAGTGCTAAACTATTCACGAAGGATCAACCTCCATGACAAAAATCACCTCTCACCAGGTCCCACCTCCAGCATTGGGGATCACAATTCAACATGAGGTTTGATGGGGACACAGATCCAAACCATATCACAGATGATGGCTCTCCAAACATGTCTCTATCCTAATCTCCAGATGACAAGAATATGTTATCTTGCATGGTAAAGAGAAATTCAGTTTGCAGATAGAATTAAGTTTGCTAATCAGCCGACCTTGATATAGGGAAAGTATCCTGGATTACTTGGGTGAGTCAAGTGCAATTATAAGGGGATTTAGAGTGAAAGAGAGAGAGTCAGAGTCAGGAAAAGAGATGTGATAACTGGCAGAAGGCCAGAGTGATGGTGATTGCTGCCTTTGAAAATGGAGGAAGGGGCCACCAACCAAGGAATACAGGTGACTTCTAGAAGCTGGAAAAGGCAGGAATCATTTTCTTATGGAGCCTCCAGAAGGAACCAGCCCTGCTGACACCCTGATTTTAGTTCATGAAAACTAATTTCCAACTCTTTGTCTCTGAGAACTGTAAGATAATAAATGTGTCATTTTAAGCCACTCAATTTGTGGTCATTTGTTACAGTAGCCATATAAAACTAAGACAGACTTTGATAGCAGGAATGAGATGCAGATGTAAAAAACTATACATAGCTTTTAAAACTATAAAGGGCTTTGAAATTGGCAATGGAGGCCGGGCATAGTGGCTCACGCCTGTAATCCCAGCACTTAGGGAGGCCGAGGCGGGTGGATCATCTGAGGTCAGGAGTTTGAGACCAGCCTGACCAACATGGAGAAACCCCGTCCCTACTAAAAATACAAAATTAGCCGGGCATGGTGGCACATGCCTGTAATCCCAGCTACTTGGGAGCCTAAGGCAGGAGAATTGCTTGAACCCGGGAGGTGGAGGTTGCGGTGACCCGAGATCGCACCATTGCACTCCTGCCTGGGTAACAAGACTGAAACTCTGTCTCAAAAAAAAAAAAAAAAAAAAAAAAGAGAAAGAAAGAAAAAAGAAATTGGCAATGGGCAGAGGTTGAAAGAACTTTGAGGAGCATGATAGACTGCTCATATAAATCTGGTTGTAAAAGACTCTGCCCATGAGGGCTCAGAAAAGAGTAAGAACATGATAGGAGAAAACATAAATTGCCTTAGAGAACACCCAAATCATCATGAATAGACTTAATAGAAAAATGGATGTTACAGCTGCTGTTGGTGAAGGCTTAGAAAGAAATGAGGATCTTGTTATCGGAACCTGGAGGAAAGGAGACCCTTGTTATATTGTGGATGAAAGCTTGGTGGAATTGTGTCCTGAAGTTGTGTGGAAAGCAGACTTATAAGAAATGAACTTGGATATTCAGCAGAGGAAGTTTATAAGCAAAGTTTTGAGAAGGTGCAGCCTGGTTTCTTCCAGCTGCTTATAGTAAAATGCAAGAGGAATAAGACAGACTGATGGAATAAATGTTAAATTAAATAAACAAGACTTGATTTTAAAAATAACCCATCCAGATAGCAGAAAATGCTAAAATTAAGAGATCCACTGTCAGGAAAGCCTGCTCTAGAGAAAAAGCTGAAGGCATGGTTGTGCAACCTTTTCCTAATAGCTCTGAAAAAAAATCAAAAGTTAAGAGTATTCAGTTACACAACCGTCTCCTGGAAGAGATTAAGGTTGTGGCTCACAGATTCCCTAAATCAAACTGGAGGATACCTAGGAAGCTTGGGAGCATTGCACCATAGCCATCTCGGCAAATGCCAAAAATAGAGACAGGAATACCTAGGATAAACCTATGGAGGAGCTCTTGTCTGATGGAGTGAATCCTCATGACATACACAGGAGACCTATAAGCTTCCTGAGAGTTTTATACAGCAGAAACACTGACAGTTTGGATTACAAGGGAGACACAGTATAAAACAAAAGAGGGCTGTTGGTTCTGCGACAGTCTCCTGGCAAGGAGCACACTGATAAAATTACTCAGCTGCAAGCATAGGCTACTTTATATGAAAAGTGAAGGCTAATCAGAGGGCAGAGCTACAAGCCCAGAGGATGGAGCCTTGATTCCTGAGGGCCTAGCCTCAAGCTCAGGGGGTGGAGTTAAGAGCCACAAAGAATTATCCCCAGGCATTAATACCTAATGCAGTTTGCACAGATGGACCTTAAAATTGCTTGGTATGTGTGACTCATTTTTTTTCTATTTTCTTCTTTTTTGAACTGAATGTATATAACTGGTATCCTATGTTTGTACCCCCATTGTATTTTGGGAGCAGATGCCCTATTTTCTACTTGAACAGATCTACAGATGGAAAGGAATTTTGCCCCTGGATGGATTGTACCCAGAGCCTCACCCACATCTGATTTAGATGGTAAAATTTAAGACTTTTGAGGGAATGAGATTTAGATAAAATTTTATACTTTGAGCTGCTTTGGTAATGTGTTGAGACATTCGGGGATGTTGAGATGGGGGAAATGTATTGTGCATTGTTATCTACAAATAGACAAGGTTGGGACAGAATTGTTACGGTGAAAAATGAGGCTGTGTGCTGCTGTATTATGGGACATGGTAAATCCCAGGCAAAAGAGTTCAAAATTCACTCTGCACAAAGTGAGGTGTCTTTGTACAGTGCAGTAGTGGAAATGGGTGGGACACCTCAAAGCCAACTGAATTTCAGAATAAACAACCCTGTGTAGCCAGGCCTTGGTTCCCACCTTAGAAAACAATACTCAGTATCAAAAACGAAGTGGCTGGACCATTGATCTCAAACTCTTGAAATATTTGGACTTTTGTCCAGCTTCTCCTCTGTCCACAACAGATGCTCTGGTCCAAGAGTTTTGAACGTCTCCTAGAAAATAAGCAAGAATTCTTTGATTTTGGCTCTGGAGAATAGACGATCATGTGATTTTGATAATGACTATTAGGTTAGGATCCAGAAGACAGCGGGTGGCTTCTCAAAGGCACACTCCAGGATTTGGGCTTCTGGTGCATCTTGCTGATGTTTTATCACTTCATGAATGGTGTTTTCTGCAAACTTTCCTGTCTTGGCTTTCCTAGGTATTGTCCTAATCTATTCCCAGGACTATAGCCAAATGTATGCCTAATGAAAACACGTGAATTAATAAGGTGAATGGAAGCCTCATTCCTCAAGATGCCTTTGCTCTTCTCCTCACCCTTCACCACCTTGTTTCCTCCTGGCTTGCAGTCACCCCAACCAGGCTTATGACTCTCACTGCTAGCTTTGGTCCAAGCTCTCTTTCTGACCTAAATGACCTGTGAATCTCCATCTGGAGACTGGAGGATGAATTCAGGTTTAAGATGCCAAACCTGCACTCTTTATCTCACCCTCAAGCCTGCTCTTTCTTTATTCCTGATTCCTTAATTAGTGATGTCTCCATTCACAGAAGCTCCCAAGTCAGAAACCTGAGTTCTACCTCTATTTCCTGTTACATGTACTTTAAAAAGTTGGCTCCCAAGTACAGCTCATTCTTGTTCTTAAATATCTGTCAATTTTGACCTCCTTTCTCATTGCCACTGCCTTATTGATTTCTCTATAATTTGTTGCCCGGAGAACTGCTGTAGACACGTAACTGCTGGGTGAGTGTCCATCAGTTGGTCTGCGCCAGGATCCTCCATCCATGCCTTGCAGCTGCTCCTTCCTGTCCACTCCTATTCCTGGTTCCAGTGGAGGTGATCAGTCACCCCCTACTCTGGCCATGCGGATGGCCTGTAACCCACCGGGATAGTGAGGGCAGTTCCCTGGCACTCGTGGTATTTGTATGGATGAGTGAGCAGCTTCTTGTTGAGTGACAGGGCTTGTGATGGGAGCCCATGGAATGGGATCAAGGGGGTGGGAGATGGTAAGAAAACGAATTGGAACCAACACACAGGGAGAAACAGAGGCCAGAGAGCTCAGAGCAATCATCAGGCATGGACTTCCAGGTCCTAGTATCTCTATGTGTTCTTACTCTTCCTTTCTGTATGAGTGGATACAGTCACCATTTCCCTACCATGGCTTAAGATGTGCTTTGGGCTTTTCTCCGTTTCTGAACATCCTCTCATTCCCCGTGACCAGGGGAGAAAGTTCAGGCTTGTCGGCACAGCAAAGACCTCTGACTTCCCTTTTGCTCTTTTGTCCTTCCACACCACCTCCTTATACTTTATATTCCAGGAAGGAAAACAAGCATGTGATGGTTTTCTGAACGTATCTGCACATTTGGAAATACTTCCTCCCCGGCTGATGGGGCCCCTTCCTGCACACCACCCCCGCCAGCTGCTGGGGAACTCCAGGCCCTTTCCTCTCTTGGAATAGTTTTTTTTTTCCTTCAAATCCCAGGCTAGTTATCTTCTTTAGGAGGCTTCCATTGACCAACCCCTCCCCTGCAATCTCTTAGATAAAATTAATTATTCATACTCAGTGTAATCTCGGTGACATGCGCTTCCTTCTTTTTCGTAGTTTTGGCACTGTGGATTCCCTTATTGGCTCAGCTGCCTGATTTCCTTATGAGAGTGTCACTTGTGACGGAGCATAATCTTTGGTACATAGTAGGTGCTCAGCAAATGCCTACTAACTTGAGAATTTCACTGAAAAAGAAGGTAATGAGGGAGCTTTGGGATGATCCTGTGAAGGTGTGTTGTTTCTGGGAATTGCGGCTTCTTTTCCAAAGTACCTCAAAGCCAGTGTCTAAGAATGCACCCCATAATTTTTCTGGGGATCAGAGTCAACCTCACTGTGCTGTAGTCTCCATAATCTGCTCTTGTGAAAACTAGGTCATGGTCAATCTCCTGATATCCACTCACTGGGACAGCTCAGTAACCAAAGGCAGCTGTCCACCCCCAAATCTGTATGTTGAAGCCTGAAGCCCCAGTCCCTCAAAATGTCACAGTATTTGGAAATAGAGTGTTTAAAGAGGCAACTAAGTTAAAATGGGGTTGATAGGGTGGGCCCTAATCCACTTTGATTGCTGTCCTTACAAAAAGAGGAGAACAGTACACAGACGCACACAGAAGGACAACCCCGTGAGGACACAGGGAGAAGTCACCATCTGCAAGCCAAGGAGAGAGGTGTCAGGAAAAAGCAACTCTTCAGACACTGTAATGTCAGACTTCTGGCCTCCTGTTTAAGCAACCCCGCCTGTGGTATTTGGTTATGGCAGCCCTTAGCAAACGAATACAGAAGCTGTGTGACTTCGGCCCCAATTTTGGGGTTCTGGGCAGCTGCTTGATCAGCCTCGAGATGTAAACTTATTTCAGAAGTTCAGCTTCTCTGATGAAACCCTCACCTATTCAGGGTGTTCAGCCCTTCTGGACATATTTTTGCACCATTTCCAGTTTGGCGACGGCCATGGCTAACTTTGGTGAGCACCTGTTCAATGCAGACAGTGTGCCGAGTACACAAGATTGGATAACATATTAATAAAATCATCACCAAACAATATGACACAGACACTGCTATTGGCTCCAGTGTAAAGGGGAGGAAAATGAGATTTAAATATAGTAAGTGGCTTATCTTAGGTTATAGTAAGCAGCAGATTGCAGATCCAAACCAGGGTTGTGTATTCATGACCTTACTGTTTACAAATATCAAAAGCCAGCCCCAAAGCGAGCTGGTATTGATGAATTCTATATTTTTGCCCTGCCATCTCTCATCCATGTATTCTTCATCTGTTTATGTGCTCCTCATGTTTATCAAGTGCTCTCTATATGCCAGCACCTGCCTAGCCTGCCATTCCTGGATTTTCTTCCTCACCCACCATGACTATAAGGAAAAAATAATAGTAGTCATCCTCGGTGCTTTCCACAGCCTTGGTTCCTTCTGTGCTTGTCTTTTAGAGGTAACTTTTGAAGGAGCGTGCTGCAGTTGTGGAGTGTTCTTGAAGTACCACACTGGTTTTGGACATGTCCTTTGCCTTCCAGATATAGCTCTTTCGAGCTGTGTTCATCTGAGAGGCTTCTGGGCAGGGGTCATGCTAGTTTTTGTCCTGCTTCAAGCCATTTTCACTCAAGTGGGGCTAATCTGTGGTTGCATCATCCCAACCTCTTCATGTCTTCTGAGGCTTTTCTTCTCACATCTTTGGCAGTGAGCTTAGGCCCACCTTTTCTCTGGGTTTTTACTGGCGCCTCCACTCTCCAGTCCTCTTGGGACCGCATCTGGGATCACTTACACCTGCCCGTCTCTCCTGTATCCAGGAAGAGGTTCCAAGGCCCAATGGCTCTGGCTTCTCAATGCCCATAGCACCCAAGTCACTGGCCCGCCCCATTCTGGCCCTGACAAATTCTTGCTGGGACTATTAGCAAGTTATTTTCCATATCCAAATTCTGCCCATTCTTTGGAACTCAGCCTAAATGCACCCTGTAATCACAGCTACTCAGGAGGCTGAGGCGGGAGAATCACTTGAACCCGGCAGGCGGAGGTTGCAGTAAACCAAGATCACGCCACTGCACTCCAGTCTGGGTGACACAGAAAGATTCCAAAAAAAAAAAAAAAAAAAGAAAGAAAGAGAAAAGAAAGAGTCAAATATTATGAGCTGGGGAACTGGGCCACCATCAGCAGGGTGACACTGGTTTGGGAATGAATGGGAAGTGTGTCCAGGGACGGAGGTGGGCCCTCTGCCCTCCTGGCTGCTCCCTGGCCTTTACATCCTTCTGTGTGGCTTAGTTTGATTCTCTCTGAGAATTTCTAAGTACAATAATAAAGTCCTTCCATTTTATTTTATTGGGGCTACTCTCTGCCCAGATTGCCATGTGTGTGTGTGTGTGTGTGTGTGTGTGTATAAAATTACATTGTGTGTGTGTATGTGGAGAGAGAGAATCCGTAGACACACATGAAAGAAAGAATGCCTTACATATCATTCTATTTTCTTATTTTGATTTTTATTTATTCTATTTATTCTATTTCATCTTTACAGAGATGGGTCTTGTTATGTTGACAGGGCTGGTCTGGAACCCCTAGATTCAACCAATCCTCCCACCTCGGCTTTCCAAAGTGCTGAGATTATAGGGTGAGCCATTACTCCCAGGTGCACACTATTCTAGAAGTCCCTGTAGGCTGAGTGGAGGAAAGGGCTGCTTCCATTCTCAGCTAATCTTCCTTAATGAATGTGTGTCAATAAAATCAACTAGAGTGTTTATATGCAGAGGATTTTTTTTTTTTTTTTTTGAGACGGAGTCTTGCTCTGTCGCCCAGGCCGGACTGCGGACTGCAGTGGCGCAATCTCGGCTCACTATATGCAGAGGATTTTTTAAGGCCAATCATATATTTTATTTAATCTGACAAAATTACCTTTTTAACATGTAACCAATGTTTAGAAATGCATGAGATATTTTATAGTCTGTTTTTGCACTAAGCCTTTGAAATCCATTTTGGAATTTACACTTACAGCTATCTTAATTTGGACTAGCCACATTTGAAGTGCTAAATAACACTAAGCCTTACCTCTTTAAGTTTGTTTTAAAAAATATGTTTAACAATTTTTTATTATATGCAGAGGATTTTAGTAACATTGTATTCATTGTCTAGCATTAAGCCTAAATTGATAGCCAACAAAAAAGCTATTTCAGTCTTTGTAGAAGAATATTTTATTTAAAAAATTTGCTTTCTTGGGGGGAAAGAATGAAGTTCAATAATCTTATGTCCACTTATTTCTGAAAACCATCATCTTTTATGTTGATCTCAGAGTTACAAATTTGGCTGCGTGTTTTCCTGCTTTTATGAAGTATTGTTTTCCTGCAATTACTCTAGTAATTGGTGTGTTTCTTCACATCTGCAGACCTTGCAGGAATATTGGCTTGGTTATGTTACCCTGCGATCCAGAATTTTAGTAAGACTTGGAGGGTTGTATGCTATATTCATTGCATGAATTACATTATCTATTATTCACCATATTCGCGGCATCCATATGCGTAGAGCTAATGCATTCCTGATGGTTTTTAACTTGCATTGCAAGACCTTATTGTAAAAACAGCGATTCCATAGAAAGCAGTGAGTCCCTGTAAACCAAGGTGAATTTGTAGCAACTGTGTAGTGACCGACCATAAAGGATACATAAAGCACCACAGTTTTCTCTTGGACAGTAGCCTCCTGGTTATAATCTCCTCTTGCCCTTGAGGGAGGCCTGGTGTGATGAGTGGTGCCAGTCTTCCTCTCTCAAGGTTGGCCGAACTGGGGAGTCTCACATCTGTGAGCAGCCCTCCCTGTGACTCTTTAAAGTGTGGCCTTGACAGGATCCCTGCCTTGTCTATCCTCCTTGGGTGCTAGAAGCCATGTGGGTTTTTTGGGAGAAAGACATCGAGAGATTGTGAGGACTTGTGACAGCCCTGAACCTTCCTGGGAAAAAAACACAACCAAACAAGGCTGATTTCTGCTTCTTTGCTGGTTTGCAGCAGAACAGCCAGAAACATGGAAGGGGGGTTTCTAGCCTTCAGTTCTCTGGCTTCAGAGAGGCCCATTTGTAAGTTAGCACCCATACGTTTATCTGGCTTGTTCTCAAAAATTTGCAACATTAGATTTTCTGATTGTTCCAGAGAGTTTGTCCTCGATGTATGTTACATACCCAAAGCAAAATGCTGGCTGGCTGATGGTACTCTCTGACTCTGGCTGGAAAGAATTTGGCATCTCCATGAAATGAAAATAATGTAGCCAGTTATCTAGTGACAGGTCCAGCTGCTGGCAAGCATATTATTATGTAAAAAGGCATGCACTTGAGTTTTTTCAGATCATGATATTTGTTGTTATGCAGAACTTCCGGAAAGTTACAGGTGAATACAAAAGAATTGAACATAATATAGAAGAAAGAGTATAGCGAGACACACATCTGACACTCTCAGTCAACTTAAAGGGAAGTTCCACAACACACTCCGAGGATTCAGATGTGGATGAGTTCCTTCCCTTCCTTCCTTCCTTCCTTCCTTCCTTCCTTCCTTCCTTCCTTCCTTCCTTCCTTCCTTCCTTCAGGATTCTCACCTTCCATTCATAGTCAATGGTTTCTTGCTGCCCTTCCTTCCTTCCTTGGGTCCCCATGGAATTATATGTGGTGTGTTAATGTGGGGGTCGGTTGAAGGGGCCAGATGCTGCATACGATCCAGCTCCAGAGCTTGGTGTAGGAAGGATTAGAAGGACAGCCTCCTTCATGGAGGGCCAAGGCTGAGGGCAGACAGCTGCAGTTGAAGTGACGACTGAGAGCTCTTGAGAAAAACCAGGTTTCCTCTCAGCTGAATTATTGCCCGGGCACTCACTAACAACTCTTGGAGTCCCTGGCTAAGCTTTCCTGTGGTTCATGAGGGAAGCGGGGCTGTGCTCTGGGCTTCAACCTCCTGGTCTACCTAGTACCCTTTTTAGACCCGTTGTGCACCCTCATGTTTTCCTGCCTCCCACAGGTTGTACTGTCTCTGCTGGAAACCACTTCCCCACCTTGGTCATTTGGCCAGCTTCTACTGATCTGAATTTCAACTCATACAGATGTTCTGGGAGCTGTCTTCCCTGGCTCCCCCCATGCCTCCAACCCCAGCCGAGTGTGAGTTAGCTTACCTCATATATCCTCCAAAAGCATCTGGGCTGATTCCTATCAGAGTTATCGGCTACTTGACTTTCTCTACCTCAGGACAGAGGCTTTTGTAGGCATTTCTACACTATGAGCTCCCATCATGGTAATTCACACAGAGAAGGAAATTCATGTCTGTTTCAAGGATGAATGGATGAGTGAATGGCCCTGAGATACTTAATGGGTACGAAGTCAGGTTTGACATGGAAAGTGGATGCTGTAACAGAACTGCTAATGTCTGTGGTAGCTGGATGGCAGGATGTCAGCCCGAAGGTTAGGTCAAGATTTGTATGTGTAAAATGAGGTAATAGATTGAATATTATAGTGCATAGACTCTTTCTCTCACATGCCTGATAAGGAGTAACTGGTACTCATCAAATAGTTTTCTTACCCATTTGTCCTGACATTAGAGTGCAGGTATGGACAAAGGACAGGGCCTTAGAAGAAAATTATTTTGGAGAGTTCTCACTCTGGAAAGAAGTCTTATAGGGAGAGCTCTCTGGGAACTCCACACTGAGGCTGTCAGATTTGTGTATGGGGAAAGATGGGGTAGACACATGTCCATGACTAGTTGTGACACATCATGATGATGAAAGAACAAGGGTTTTCCAAACATTGGAGCAACATGTGGGCCAAAAGCATTAAGTGACCCTCCAGGTCACAAATGATGGCTTCTCTCCTTCCAGGAAGAAAACACTCAACCCTGGGTCTGAGGTCTGAACTTTTATAATTTTTGGATTTTTGAGTAACCTGAGGATCTGCCTCCAATCAGCTGGAGGCCTCTAAGAAGGCAGCTTGAATTCTATGTTAGTCTTTTTAGAATTCCACCCTCCATCCTGGGAGCATTGGGACCGCACAGCTTAGCTTATCAGGGCACTGAATAGCATCTGACACTGGAGTAGGATGTCCCACAGAAGGCAGCAGGAGGTGTGGAGCTGGGGGAGGTGGCTGGGGGAGGTGGGAGTTCAATGGGGACATGGAACCCGGCCATGCATTATTTTTGTCTGCCTAGCATTCCTGCATTTAGAGACACATACTCCCTTATGATGAATTATGTGGTTAGAGTCTACGGTGGGGTACCTGTCAGCCTTTTAGGCATGGTGCTTTGTGCCCTTTGGCCACCATGGGGCATAGTATCCAAGCTGAGTCAGGCCCCTTGTCACCTCCCTGGATACAGCGACTGCTGCCAGGTATAGGCCCTTTCCTGAAGCTGAGTCTTGGAATCCTTCTATGCCATTTTCTAGACTAAAGGTTGAAATTTTACTAAGGTTTAATATCTTTCTCTTCATTTTGGTTCAGGAGCAGAAGAGTGTTAGCTGGGATTGTAGCATCAACTTTGCTGCCACGTGAGAAAATTTGATTGCAAATAGAGCCTAGGGGAGAATGGCAGATCTGAAACACCTGTGGAGGGAAGGAATGTCTGGGAGGGCAGTATTGAACCTGCCTCTAGTTCCTAGATACACAAACTCAATGACATGAGTGTCTCCCTCTCTCTACCCTTCTCAAAGCTTCCATTGTTAAAAGTTTCTTGTAATTCTTTCCAGATATACTGGCATCCATCTATTTATTACACAGAAAGGACCGTAATTCACAGACTTTGCTTTGTGCCTAGATTGTTTTCACTTAATAAAAGATCTTGTAGATTTATCAATTTCAGAATATATAGGTTTCCTTTATTCTTTTTACATATCTTTTTTTTCTATTTCACTCTGTAGGTAAAATGATTTATTTAATCAGTTCCTCATTGGTGAACATGTTGGTCGCTTACAGTTTTTATTTTTATAGGCATTATAAGCTTCATTGCAATGACTAGTCTTGTAAATGTAGTTTGATCAAGGTTTAGGACAACATTACTGGTATAAATTTCAAGTAGCTTATACATTAAAACATTTTGAAAGTTACTATTGAATTTCACTCCAGAAAGTTTGCACCAGTTTATACTTTCATCGATGGAGTACTGGAACACCCGTTTCCTCACATTCTTGCCAGCACTGAGCAGCAATTATTTTTTCCTATATTATGGAAGAATAATGATGTTCCATTATTTTATTTCCTCATTTCATATGTTTATTGGCCATTTGTATATATTTCTTTATGAAATCCTTATTCTTATTATTTGATCATTTAAAAATTGGGCTGTTAGACTTTGCTTACTAATTTGTATAAGTTCTATAAATAAAGAAAATTAACTCTTTTTCAGTCATGTTCTTTTTCTTTCTTTCTTTTTTTTTGTTTTGAGAGAGAATCTCGCTCTGTCGCCCAGGCTGGAGTGCAGTGCCGTGATCTCGGTTCACTGCAAGCTCCGCCCTCCGGGTTCAAGTGACTCTCCTGTCTCAGCCTCCTGAGCAGCTTTTAAGCACTTTTTCAGTGACTTTTTAAAAAATAGAATTTTACATTTCTGTGTGTCCATCTTTACTTCATGACTTCTGGCCTTTGGATTATGCCTAGATGACCAATTCATGTATCCATCTTTTCTTTTAGAATGTTTATGATTTTTTTCCTATAAAAATGTTTTATCCATCTGCAATTTAGTTTTGGGATAAGAAATGAGGTGGTAACCTAGTTTTATTATTTTCCAAACAGCCAATTTTTATATTATCCTTTATTTATAACTCCTCTGTTTCCCATTTATTTGAAATGTCACTTTAATTTATGAACTAAATTTCAATAGGAAATTGTTTTTATTTATAGATTCCTAATTTTGTTTTATTTATGTATAGCTTTTCCAGTGTAATGGGCTTGCTAGTGGTCTCCAAAAGAGATGCCCTTTCAGAGCCTCAGAATATGACTTCACTTAGAATAAGAGACTTTGCAGATGACTCTGGAAAGAAATCATTTTCAATCAGGATACGCCCTACATTCAATGACAGGTGTTTTTATGAGAGACAGAAAAGGAGATGAGACAGGGAGGGACACAGGAAAGAAGCCAGGGAAAGACCGACACAGAGACTGGAGCCATCCATAAGCCCAGGAATGCTGGCAGCCACCAGAAACTGGAAGAGGCAGGAAGGATTCTGCTCTGCGGGTTTCAGAGGGAGTGTGGCCCTGTTGACACCTTCCCTTTGCACTTATGTGCCTAGAGCCGTGAGGGAATACAATTCTGTTATGTTAAGCCACCAGGTTGGTGGTAATTAGTTGCAATGCATTAGGAAACTAGTACATCCAGTCTGAAACATTCCTAATTATTTGAAGGTCGGGTGTTTTAACATTTGACAGCACTAGTCCTCCCTCGTCACACTTTGATCGCACATTCTTTGGTACCCTCAGAAGTAAACCCAAGATGAGCCTGTGTCAAGAACAGCTAGAGTTGAGGACCTAGGCTCTGTCTGTGGGAAAGACTGTTTGCTTAGTAGAATTTCACACCAAATTAATGAGAATCAGACCTTTGACCCTGGGTACTTAACTTAGTTTCATGATTACGTGACACTTTAAAATCAGGAGGACAGATAGATCTATCTCAGCTGTCACTCTTAGTGTTGGGAGATAGCCCTTCTCCCGGCACCTGGCTTAAATCAACTCCTGGAAATAATTATGAAAATCAATGAAGCACAAATAAGAGGGCCCCTTCTTATTGACCACATCGTATATTATGCTTCTGTTTAAAGGAAACAGGGAGCGGCTTTTGTTTTTTAAATTTTTTTAATGAAGAAAAGCCTTATTTACTGGTGCATCAAGGAAAACAATAGCTGATGAGATAAACTTTGTCTTTTGAGTTAACAACTGAAGTGAGAATTCTATGAGCTCAACAGAGCAGTGAGAGTTTACCAGGGAACAATCTAAACAGATACCTTTATCGTAATTAAGTTCATGCTCATCAGCCTGTGGTTCTCTGTTGGAAAGGAAATGGTTAATGCTCTGGTTTCCCACCCTTCTCTCACTTACTGTGGACAAATCTAAAAATGCTCCTGTCTTGTTCAATTTAAATGCAGCTTTGCCCTTCCAGTCAAAGCCCTCATTCACAAGATAGTGGCCAAGTGGGTAATTCCTGGTTTAGGCCTTGAACATCTGGTGGCCTTTGAATCTGATGGCATGTAATTACAGCAGGGGCAGCCAGACAATTGGGGATTAGAGGGATGTTGTTTAATCTTCCGCCATATGTTCCCATTTAACCTCTCTTCTCTCTTACCCACACCCGCACACAGGAAGCATCTCCCAGCTGCTCCCGAGACCCTGCCTCCGTGGAGGCTGTCTCCCTCCGAGCATGGCTGGAACTTGCTGGCAAACCCACAGGCATTCTACATTTCAAGGCTTTACAGTTTAGAAACATATGACCTATTGCCTTTCAGTATTCAAACGATTCCTATTTACCCTACTCCTGATTCCTTGTATTTTCTTGTCCATAAATTGTTAATCAGCATGATCATGATCTAGTTGCACTGGAACGGACAATGGACAATGGTTCTGTCTTCGTGACAGTGTCACATCACATGAAACCATGTCCTGTCCACCTCCTTCATGTCTGTCCCAATGGACATTAAGTGGGTTGATGGGGGTTAGAAGGTTTTCAGAGCCAGATACAAGCCCTGTTTTCTTTCTTTCTTTCTTTCTTTCTTTCTTTCTTTCTTTCTTTCTTTCTTTCTTTCTTCCTTCCTTCCTTCCTTCCTTCCTTCCTTCCTTCCTTCCTTCCTTCCTTCCTTCTTTCTTTCTTTCTTTCTTTCTTTCTTTCTTTCTTTCTTTCTTTCTTTCTTTCTTTCTTTCTTTCTTTCTTTTTTTGATGGAGTCTCTTTGTCGCCCAGGCTGGAGTGCAGTGGCGCAATCTCGGCTCACTGCAAGCTCCGCCTCCCAGGTTCACGCCATTCTCCTGCCTCAGTCTCCCTAGTAGCTGGGACTACAGGCACCTGCCATCATGCCTGGCTAATTTTTTTTTTTTTTTGTATTTTTAGTAGAGACAGGGTTTCACTGTGTTAGCCAGGATGGTCTCCATCTCCTGACCTTGTGATCCGCCGGCCTCGGCCTCCCAAAGTGTTGGGATTACAGGCGTGAGCCACCAGCCTACAAGCCCTGTTTTCTTAGGCTGAGGACATTGGAGTTACCTTGTTTCATGATGCTCCTGCCAGGATAAAAGTGGTGGTGAGACACACAAACTACTAGACACAAATGCTGTTATGTGTCAGGATTTGATAAGCAGCTGTCTGTGTCAGTTTGGGCTGGCAGTATCTTAATATTATTGCACATATATTTTACAATTTTAATAAACATTTAATTCCTTCTTGAAGGTTAGGTTCCATTTCAGAAAACTTCTCTCGTATGTTGTGTCTCTTCAGTTTTTCCTTCTTTATTATTATTAAAGTTACATGGATGCTAATCATATCTTTGTTTCCCATCTGTCTTACTCTGTTCAGGTTGCTATTAAAAAATACCACAGGCCAGGCACGGTGGCTCACGCCTGTAATCTCAGCACTTTGGGAGGCCGAGGCAGGTGGATCACCTGAGGTCAGGAGTTCGAGACCAGCCTGGCCAACATGGTGAAATCCTATCTCTACTAAAAAATACAAAAATTAGCCGGGCATCATGGCACATGCCTGTAATCCCAGCGACTCAAGAGGCTGAGGCAGGAGAATTGCTTGAACCTGGGAGGCGAATGTTGAAATGAGCCGAGATTGTGCCACTGGACTCTAGCCTGGGCAACAGAACGAGACTCCGTCTCAAAAACAGCAACAACAACAAAAACAACAACAACACAACAACAACAACAAAAAAACAAAACCACAGACTGGGTAATATATAAGCAATAGAGATTTATTGCTACCAGTTTTGGAGGCTGGGATGTCCAAGATCATTTGGAGAACTCATTTTTGCCTTATTTTGTTTATAGTGGTTTTTAAACAAGTCTCTGATTCCTTGAGAATTGAAGTTCATCTGAACTTAGTTAATTGCTGAAGAGGTGGTTCATCAGGCTTTCTCTAGAGAGTGACCTGCTTTTGTGGATGAATGTTTGGATGTAAGCCTCAGGATGGAAGCTGAATCTCTAGTTCCTTGACTCATCTGTTATCTAGGATTGATGTGAGCAGGAGCTGCTATGCCTTGTGGGGAGAGTGGTGAGGTCTGCTGGGACTGGACGCTGATTGCTTAGGGGAACAATGGGAAAGAGAATCCCTGGTTGATGAGATGAAAAGGGAAAAAAGACATGGATTGTCAAAGAGTTCACTATAGAGTTCTCTATAGTTCACCAGTCTCTTTAGAAAAATATCCTGGAAGTTCCACACTGCTCTTTAAAGTTTAATGAAAGTGCACTTAACTTATTTGTGGAAACCTAAGGAGGAGGAAGTGGGATTAACAAGAACCAATCCAAAATCTGAATCTCTAAGTATTGTAAAGTATTAGGAAATATGTCTATCTTTATTTCTTCATGAATTTCATTTTAGAAAGGAATGTCATACTGAGTTAAGGAGAATGTATTTTTAGCATAAAAAGTAAATTTCACATCCAAATTGAAGAAGAGTAAGTCAAATTATCTCTGTTCACTGGTGACATGAGCTTATGGCTAAAAAACCCTAGATTCCCCCAAAAGATTCCTAGACCTGATAAATGACTTCCGTAAAGCTTCAAGATACAAAATTAATGCACAAAATCAGTTGCATTCCTATATAACAGCAATAGTCCAGCTAAGAACCAAATCAAGAACTCAATGCCATTCACAATAACCACAAAACAAATAAAATAACCTGGGAATACAGCTGACCAGGGAGGTGAAAGTCCTCTACAAGAAGAACTATGAAATACTGATGAAAGAAATTGTAGATGACACAAACCAGTGGAAAAACATCCCAGGCTCATGGATAGGAAGAGTCAATATTGTTAAAATGGCCGTACTGACCAAAGCAATCTACAGATCCAATGCAATTCCTGTCAAATTACCAACAACATTTTCCATAGAATTTTAAAATTCATATGGAACCAAAAAAGAGCCCAAATAGCCAAAGCAATTCTATGTGAAAAGAACAAGCCAGAGGCATCGCATTACCCAACTTCAAACTATTCCACAAGGCTATAATAACCAACATAGCATGGTAGTGAAACAAAAATAGACACCTAGATCAATGGAACAGAATAGAGAACCCAGAAATAAGTCCACATACCTACAATCAACTGATCTTTGACAATGTCAACAAAAATAAACAAAGGGGAAAAGATACTCTATTCAATAAATGGTGCTGGGAAAACTGCATAACCATATGCAGAAGAATGAAACTGGACCTTCTACCTCTCACAATATAAAAAAAAAACTCAAATGGATTAAAGACTTAAGTGTAAAACCTCAAACTATACAAATTCTAGAAGAAAACTTAGGAAAAAACACTTCTGGACCCTGTTCTAGGCAAAGATATTACGACTAAGACCTCAAAAGCAAAATTCAACAAACCCCAAAATAGACAAATAGGACTTTATTAAACTAAAGAGCTTCTGCACAGCAAAAGAAACAATCAACAGAGTAAACATAACCTACGGAATGGGAGAAAATATTCACAAACTATGAATTCCACAAAGAACTAATATCCAGAATCTATAAGGAAATTCAACAAATCAACAAGAAAAAAACAAATACCCCTTTAAAACATGGCCAAAGGATTTGAGCAGACACTTCTCAAAAGGAAACATACAGGCAGCCAACAAATGAAAAACTGTTCCACATTGCTAGTCATTAGAGAAATGCCATCTCACACCAGTCAGAATGGTTATTATTAAAAAGTCAAAAGAAACTAACAGATGTTGGCAAGGATGTGGAGAAAAGGAAATGCTTATACACTGTTGGCGGGACTGTAAATTAGTTCAACTCCTATGGAAAACAGTATGGAGATTTCTCAAAGAACTAAAAATAGAACTACCATTTGACCCAGAAATCCTGCTACTGGTATATACCCAAAGGAAAAGAAATCATTTTATCAAAAAGACACCTGCACTCATATGTTTATTGCAGCACTATTCACAATAGCAAAGTCATGGAATCAACCTGTGTCCATCAATGGTTGACTGGATAAAGAAAATGTGGTACATATGTGTATATGGAATACTATGCAGCCATAAAGAGGAATGGAATCATGTCCTTTTCAACAACATGGATGGAGCTGGGGACCATTGTCCTAAGTGAAATACCTCAAAAACAGAAAGTCAAATACTGCATGTTTTCACTTGTAAGTGGGAGAAAAAAAATGGGTACACATGGACATAAAGATGGAAATAATAGACGCTGAGAACTCCAAAAGAGGGGAGAGTGACTGGGAGGTAAGGGTTGAAATACTGTCTATTGGGTGCTATGCTCACTATTTGAGTGAGGGGTTCACTGAGAGCTCAAACTTTAGCATTATGCAATACACATACCCCCTGAATCTAAAACAAAACAAAACAATCCCACTACCAAAAAAAAGTCAAAATAAATTTCAAGTATCTCCTACTTCTGCTGTTTCTTTAGGAGTTCTTCTTCACTGGAGAATGTTTTGGATTATGAGAGGAATTCTTGAGGAAGACTGGGTTAGCAAATGCCTTTCTGCTCTATTCAGCCTCAGAAGCCCATGCTCTATTAATGAGGACTGCATGCTGGAGCGTTGCCATGGTGTGAAGGAAGAGACACTTCTAATTTGCTTCCTAAAAATTGAATCATCATAGCGTGAATTTCTCTTAGTCTCTCATGATTCCAAACTCACCTGGTGCTAGGTATGCAGCTAGGCCTTATTTATTTATTTTCAATGATGAGGCTGAAACTACCTTTGACAGAGTACTATTCTAGTCTGGAGAGACTAAGTGTTAAAACAAACAACTCCTAAATCCCGGTGGCTCAAAGTCATTTTATTTCTTACTCACAAGAGTCTAATGAGGTTAGGTGGCTTTCTTGGGTGGTTCTCCTACATGTGCTAATTGAAGAATCCAGGTTCCTTTTCTTAATCAAAATTAAAAATCTAAGTCCCCTAACCATTTCAATAGACGCCTTGTCTTGGCAAAGGCATTCCAAAGTTAACCTGAACCATGAGTTCAGGCCATGATGGGAAGTGGGAGCTGACATGCCTCATTATCCCCTACTCCTTTTTGTAATTACTGATATAACAGACTTTAAGTCTGATAAGAAACATTTGCAATTTATTCTCTCTGAAGCCTGCTACCTGGAAGCTTCATCTGTATAATAAAACCTTGGTCTCCACAACTGTTATCATAAACCTGACATTCCTTTCTATTGATAATAACTCTTTTACCCAATTGCCAACCAGAAAATCTTTGAATCCACCTATGGCCTGAAAGACCTTGCTTCCAGTTGTCCTTGCCTTTCTGGATCAAACCAATGCATATCTTACATATATTGATTGGTGCCTTATGTCTCCATAAAATGTATAAAACCAAGCTGTGCTCTGACCACCGTGGGTAAATGTCATCAGGATCTCCTGAGGCTGTGTCACAGGCACATCCTTAACCTTGGCAAAATAAACTTCTCGACTGAGACCTGTTTCAGATATGTTTTCATTGACATTTTCTTCAAGTGGTTCTGCCGTCTTAGAGTTCTTCATGTTTAGCCTCATGGTTGGGAGAGATGGAGCATGGAAGACAACATGAGATGCTTCAGAGCCAGGTGGAAGCGGCATTTCACCCACACTTGTTACCAGAAAGGGGTCCTGATGCAGACCCCAAGAGAGGGATCTTGGGTCTCATTCAAGAAAGAATTTGGGGTGAATCCATGGAGTCAAGTGAAAGCAAGTTTACTAAGAAAGTAAAGGAATAAAAAATGGCTACTCCATAGGGAGAGCCGCCCTGAGGGCTGCTGTTTGCCCGCTTTTATGGTGATTTCTTGATTATATGCTAAACAAGGAATGGATTATTCATGAGCTTTCCAGGAAAGGGGTGGGCAATTCCCAGAACTGAGGGTTCCTCCCTTTTTAGACCATATAGGGTAACTTTTGGACACTGCCTTGGCATTTGTAAACTGTCATGGTGCTGGAGAGAGTGTCTTTTAACATGTTAATGCATGAGCAGTGAGGATGACCACAGGTCACTTTCCTTGCCTTATTGGTTTTGTGGGTTTTGGCCAGCTCCTTTACTGCAAACTGTTTTATCAGCAAGGTCTTTATGAACTGTATCTTGTGCCGACCTCCTATCTCATCCTGCCTAACCTCCTGGGAATGCAGCCCAGCAAGTCTCAGCCTTATTTTACCCAGTCCCTATTCCAGATGGAGTCACTCTGGTTTAAACACCTCTGACACATTCATTGACCAGACCCCAGTCAGATGTCCCAACCAAACTGCAAAAGAAGGTAGGTAGGAAGTGTAGAGATTTCTCATATACCTAGGAAGACACAGAGGGATTTGGGTGGATCTGGCAGTCTGTGATGCTTGTAATTAAGGAAATGTTTACATCATTGATAACTATCAATCGTGTATAAAATTCCTCCAGTTGTTCTTTTGATCTTTAGGGCAGAATTGGGTCCTCATAGCCCTAAGATCATGGCACACTGGCATCACTGTGGTGTGCAGGGCTCCTTTTTATTTGCCCTTCCCCCTTGTACCAGCTCTGCCTCTCCTACACCTCTCATAGCCGCTCTCTCCAAAGTGTTTATTATGTGTTCTGAAGTATTCATGTGCCTTGTAGAAGGAGCATCGTAGAGTGGGTTTCTGCCTCCTCCCATCTTTTCCAATTCTTGATATTATTCATGACGTATATAAAGTGGTCTGCCATTGTAATTTTGCACTAGTTTGAATGATAGGGTCTCTCCAAAAGTCATGTTGAAACAAAACTGCCCAAACAGTAGTATTACGAGGTGGGGCCTTCAGGAGGTGATTAGGCTATGAGGGCTCTCCCTTCGTGAAATGAGATTGGTGCCTTATAAGAAGCTTGAGGTGGCCAATTTTCCTCCTTCTATCTCTTCTGTTATGTGAGGACACAGCATTCCTTTCCTGCAGAGGGTACAGCAACAAAAGGGCCATCTTGGAGGCAGAGACAGGGATCCCATCAGATGCTGAAACAGCTGGTGTCTGGATCTTAGCTTCCAGAACTGTGAGAAAGAAATTTCTGTTCTTCATAAATTATCCAATCTCAGGTGTTTTGTTATAGCATCACAAATAAACCATAGTAGGTTTTATTTGTGTTACTTTGATCACCACTGATTTCTATACCTGCTTACACATACCCTTCTGTAGGTTCTTAGTCATGTTTTTGTTTTCTATAGAATTTCAATTTTCTATAAATTTTCTTCTTGCTGATTTATAAGAGTGTACATTCTAAATATTAATATGCTGTTGATTTTTGATGAGGCAAATCTCCTAATCTGTCATGTGTCTGGTAACTTAGTTTTTAGCATTTGTCCCTAAACCAAAAGCCTTAATTTTGCTGCATTGAATTGACCCATTAATAAATAACTTCATGGCTTGTTCTTTTTGGTACTTGTTTAAACAATCTTGTGCTAATTTTGGGTCACAAAGACCTTTCCTATATCTTTGCAATTACTTTCAACTTTTAGGTTTTTAAGCTGTCTGGAGTTTAAATGTTTTGATGACGTCAGCTGGGAATAAAGCTTTATTTTTCTCCATAGTGATTCAATTTCTTGCAAATCATCTACTAAACAATCTCTTCTCTTTGCACTGTACTATGGTGCTGCCTTCATTATACACAAAGTTGGTGCAAGACTATCCCTGAGCTCCTTCAGGGGTCTCATTGATCTATTTGTCCAAATCTGTGCAGAACCATATTGCTCTTATTACAATAGTTTTATCAAGTTAAGTCCACCGTGATCCTTATCTTTAGTCTTCATTTTCAAAATCAGTTTAGTCACTTGTGGCTTTTTATATGTAATTTTGGAATTATTGTGTTGAATTCATTTAAAAATCACCTGAAATATTAAGATTGCATTAAATATACAGATTAATTTAGAGATAATTGGTATATCTACAATATTAAGCTGGTTAATTGGTGTATCTACTATATTAGGTATACTATATTATGCTATTTGCACAAGGATCAGGGCATAAATTTCCATTTATTCATATTACTAATATCTACTAATTACTTAAACATTTCCATAAAAGTATCATGCATTCCCTCTTAGGCTAATTTTTTTAAAAACGTGGGTTTTAGTCATAACAAAGTTTAATTGGGGATGCATTCTTCTGAGAGGGTTTCTGTCAGATTCCATCACAAATGCCTGTAGAAATGTGTCCCTCTCGGTAAGAGTTGGCTGGTTCTGCCTCCATCATCAACCTCATTCTCAGATGGAGCTCTTCAGAAAACGTAAAAAGCTCCCATCAATTAAAATAAATTAACTGCACCCTGGGGATATGATTTAAGACATGAACTCTGCCTGAGTAGAAAAATTTCAGCCTATTTCAACCCCAACAATCCTTCAACATCATTTACACCCCAGGGAGCTCTGGGACCTCTGTTTTGCTTATGAAAATAACACGCATTAAGAAACGAGGACACTGGAAATGAGTACTCTTTGGAGAAAGACTCAGGGCCTCTCTGAACTCCTCCACCAACATAGTGTTCACAAAACTATACGTAGTTTTTCTTTTGCGTAGTTTTACCCAAGAACTTATGCCACTAAAAACCCAGCTTAGGATGGCCTGAGGCCAGTACAAATTTTGTTCTGAAGTCTTGTGTTTTAATAGTAAAATTTTATTCAAAATTTGAATTCTCCAAAATATGCTGTTTACAATTTTTTTTTTCTAGGCTCAACATGTTGGGAGGTAAAACGGACTCTCTAGAAGGTTGTGCTACATTCGACCTACAGCTTTGCATAACTCAGGCACACTGCCCAGGGGGCTCTCTGAAGACAATTCAGGTTTTTTTGTTTGTTTGTTTTTTGTTTTGTTTTTGTTTTTGTTTTTTAGACAGAGTCTCGCTCTATTACCAGGCTGGAGTACAATGGCATGATCTCGGCTTACTGCAACCTCCGCCTCCTGGGTTCAAGTGATTCTGCTGCCTCAGCCTCCTGAGTAGCTGGGACTACAGGTGCGTGACACCACGCCTGGTTGATTTTTTTGTATTTTTAGTAGAGAAGGGGTTTCATCCTATTAGCCAGGATGGTCTCCATCTCCTGACCTCGTGATCCACCTTCCTTGGCCACCTGAAGTGCTGGGATTACAGGCGTGAGCCACCGCGCCCAGCCTATTTTTTTTGTATTACATTTTGCTTGGGGATTGTTAGGGGCTGAATTGTCCTCCCCGTTCTCTGGTCCCCAATTCATATGTTGAAGTCCTGACCTCCAGTACCTCAGATGTCACTATATTTGGAGGTATAGTCTTTTAAGAGGCAATTGAGTAAAACGTGAGACCATCAGAGTGGGCCTTAACCCAGTCTGACTGGAATCCTTGTAAGAAGAGATCAGGACACAGAGGGATGACCCTGTAAAGATGCAGGGAGAAGGTGGCCATTGCAAAGCCAAGGAGGGGGGCTCAGGAGAAACGACCTGCTGACCCCTTGATCTTGGACCTCCAGCCTCCAGAATGCTGAGACAGTCAGTGTCTGCTGCGTAAGCTCCCCTGCTCCGTGGTTGTTTGTTACAGCAGCCGAAGCAGAATAATACAGGGATGGACCCGTAGTTTCTATTGTTAAAAGGATATTTTTCTTTGGGAGGCTGAGGTGGGCGGATCATTTGAGGATAGGACTTCGGGACCAGCTTGATCAACATAGTGAAACCCCATCTCTACTAAAATACAAAAATTAGCCGGGTGTGGTGGCGGGTGCCTATAAACCCAGCTACTCGGAGGCTGAGGCAGGAGAATCGCTTGAACTGGAGAGGTGGAGGTTGCAGTGAGCCGAGATTGCACCACTGCACTCCAGCCTGGGTGACAGAGCAGAGTGAGACTCCCTCTCAAAAAAAAAAAAATACTTTTAAAGGATCTCTCTAGAGGACCTTGTAGTCCTCCAACCTTCTTTGATCCTTCCACAAATTATTGGTTTCCTTTTTTTTTTTTTCTTTGAGTTGGAGTCTCGCTCTGTTGCCCAGGCTGGAGTGCAGTGGCATGATCTTGGCTCACTACAACCTCCGCCTCCCAGGTTCCTATGATTCTCCTGCCTCAGCCTCCTGAGTAGCTGGGACTACAGGTGCCTGCCACCATGCCCGGCTAATTTTTGTATTTTTAGTAGAGACGGGGTTTCACCACGTTGGCCAGGCTGGTGTCAAACTCCTGACCTCAGGTGATCCGCCTGCCTCGGCCTTCCAATGTGCTGGGATTACAAGCGTGAGCCACCGTGCCCTGCCTATTGGTTTCTTTCTGGGCAATAAAGACCAGAAAGAGGTCAGCGTGGGCCAGAGGAAGGAAGAGGGGAGCTGAGGAGTGAGCTTAGTCCGGGGTGCACTGGTGGTTCACGGCAAGCAGGAACTCCACTCAGGGGAGAAGAGGTGACCTCCAGAGAATCCTGAGGAAAGAGGAGGCACGGGTCACGCCAGGTCATGATGCTGACACAGGATTCTTTGGGTTCCCCTTCTTCAGCTGGAAATGTCCACAGCTGGTGGTGCTCCTGCCCAGGCTTTGCTGGGCTCCGGGCTCACCGCTGCACTTGCCCCTCCCACTCGCCAGGCAGGCTGCATTCGGCTTGTGCCTGCGGCCCAGATCTCACACCTGCCAAGGGTGGGTCAGGCACGCGCTGCTGTGGCGGGGCCGACAGCTCCAGGTGCTGGCACAGCGCTGGCTCCGTGTGAGGCTGTGGCTGGACCAGGCATACCACAAGCGGCGTCCGCCTTGGGAGCCAGCATCTAGATAAGGGGAGCATGGTGGTGCCTAAAAACTCAGAGACGACAGCCACTGTGGAGCTCCAAGGGGGTGATACAGTGGGTCACGGCTCTGGCTCAGGGAGTCCTGAGGTCTGGGCCCCAGAAGGGTCGCAGCTTCTTCGAGGTGTCTGATTCTGGATAAAATAACAATGTTCGTGTTACAGTTCATTCATTCCCACCATCTGCACGCTTCGCAAACGGGGGCGTGTCCCAGCCCGTTGGGTCCTGCCACCCTGGGGCAGCCCGCAGCCCCTGGGCTGGCCTGGCCACCGCTGCTTCCCATCACACGGGGCAGCCACCCAGTACCGGTGGAGGGTGGGAGGGCTACGGTGTTACCGCCCCTTTTGCACCCACGATTCATCGGGTCCTGGGTTCCTGCGTCCAAGAAGAATGAGGTTACACAGACCACCAGAGAGTGAGCAAGGCAGAGAAGAGTTTCATTGAGCGACAGAACAGCTCTCAGTGGAGATGGGACCCGCAGTGGGTAGACCCTACCTGAAGGCGGCAGGTAGTTCCCAGTCCGGGGTTTTTTATGGGTTCAGAATGCAGGAGTGCATGCTGATTGGTCCATGGTCAGGCCTGGAAAAAGCACCATTTGACTGGCTAAAAGGCATCTAGGAAGTTCTCACTCTGGGTCATGGACTTCACCCAGAACTGGCAGCCCAGTTTTCAGGCTTTACGCTGTTTTTGGCTTGAAGGTTGGGTTTCAAGGGGGACCCACCCTTTCTGCCTAGGAATTTGCCTCGTACTGCTATCAATATTATGGTTAGCATGCAAATGAGAAGAGTTTTTATGTCGGGGCCAGGACGCCAAGCCAAGACATAAACTCCCAGGGAAGGGGCTAGGGAAGAACAGAGTTGAGGCCAGAGATGCCATTCGACCCAACAGGCCTGGGGAATGGGTGCTGTTGATGTAGGGAAGTTTAGCAGAAGATATATTTTTCAGCATGAGCAAAGCATGAATGCAAGGAAAGTTTGGGTACAGGTTGTGGGGAACCTGCCCTCAGGGAAAGATCCATGGTGTTGCAATTCACAGACCCACCTGGAGTGTCCAAGGAGCTGCAATTCTGAGGAAACTGGGTTGAGGCTGGACTTAGTTCTAGGAACCCAATAAGGGAGGACCTTTACTTGTGCATTTATGTTGAGTCAGCAACACTCAGGAGGGCTCGCCTTGGTTCAGACACTGGGGAGGGTGCTCGAGAAACTGACCTGGAGTCCAGGCTCATCGGCTGTTGAGTTGGGACTTTCTCACTTCCCTTGTACTGGAACCAGGATAGTTCTGGGACTCGGGATGAGACTTGGCCTACAGGCGGGGGAAGAAACTTCAGCCTCTGGAAGTTGAGTGAAGCAATGAAGAGTAAGAGAATGAACAGCAGTCAAGCCATTACAAAGAGGGGCTCAGCAGCAGTGTTTGGGGGTGAGTCGAATGTTTAGGACAAGGATCCTGAAGTTCTCTAAATGTGAACCCGTGACTTGCCATATGGGATCTGTCATAGGGAGCGGGGACGTTGGCTGTTAGTGATATTATAAAACTCCAAACTGTAAGATTTCAAAACAAGCAATTATTTTAGCAGAAAATGAGAGACCAGCTTCAAGTTTTCTTGTTAGGACTTGTTTCTAAACAGCTGAATAATTACTGTCGTCTATTTAAGATTTCCAGATGGTTTCTATATTTTCCTGCTTTCTTCAAAATTTCTCAGCCTTTTTACACTTGTCTCAAAGATTGCGATGAAATTTCTAATTGAATCATTGCATTTTCAACAAACATTTCTTAGAGGCCCACTCAGCTAAACTCTGACTGAGATGCAGAAAATCTCCCAGCGCTATTTTAAGAAGAGATGGGGTTTTATATAATTTGGGAATATATATTTTATATAATCTTAGGAATTTTTACCCATTATATTTGCAATTAAACCAATATTGACAAGTCAAATACTGATTTGATGAGGTGTCTGAGTCTGGATAAAATAACAAATTCCATAATTTTCAATTAAATGATATTTTAAGTTGACATTAAATCACAAAATAGTAACATTTTTTCTTTTATTTTTTTACATGAGGATAATAGAATTTTTTATTCTTTTGCAGGAAACTTTAGTTCCATTGCGGATACCCTGGTTTTTTAGTTTTTATTCAGAGCATTAAGCAAAAATGTATCTGGGTCTGGGAGTAGCTGCCACAGTCATGTTGTCTTTTATAAATATTTGTCATTAGCTTTGTGTTTGGGGCCTAGCGTGGGACAGAGGGGCCCAGGGCTTCTCAGCATCACTGTGGTCCATACTGTCATCTGGCTCCAGGTTTTCTGTGTTCCAGTACAAGGAAGTGATTCTAGTACGAGGAAAGTGAGGAAGTCCCAGCTCAACAGCTGATGCGTGAGGCCGCCTGGGAGTCTCGCCTTTTCCAAGTACAGCCTTATGTTTCCTGTGTTCTTCATTCCATCTCTACTGGCTACGTGTTGTTAGGTGTTTCCTGAGGTCCTCACTGAATACGTGTTTCTTTCCTTTGGAAGCTTATTGCATTTTTACTTTTCTTTTGAGGGTCCATAATTCTGCTTTGAATGATAGGCACGTGCCTGTATGGACAAGTTCCGGTATAGATATGTTCCCATTCCCCTTGATAAATTATAATTCTTGAAGACTGGCTGTCATAGATAGATATAGACATAGAAGTGTAGATATATAGATATGCACAAATAGATAAAAATATAGGTCGAGCGTGGTGGTTCACATCTGTAATCCTAGCACTTTAGGAGGCTTAGGTGGGCGAATCACACAAGGTCGGGAGTTCAAGACCAGCCTGGCCAACATGACGCAATGCCGTTTCTACTAAAAATACAACAATTAGCTGGGCATGGTGGTGGGCGCCTGTAATACCAGCTACTCAGGAGGCTGAGGGAAGAGAATCATTTGAACTTGGGAGGCAGAGGTTGTAGTGAGCCGAGATCGCACCACTGTGCTCCAGCCTGGGCCACAGAGTGAGACTCCATCTCAAAATAAACAAACAAACAAACAAACATAAGTATATGGAAAGAAATAGAAAAATAAGTATAGATTGATAAAGGGATATAGATATATAGCTAGATAGATAGAGATATAAATAGTGTAGAAATAGATAAGGATAGATACACATAGATATAGGTGACAGATACACAGATTGATAAAGATTAAAGATATGTGCATATTGATAGAGATAGAGTTACATATATTTCCTATTCAGTAGAAAGTGACCTCCTTGAAAACAAGGGATTTTTGTCTGTTTTCATCACTGCAGCATTCCCAGCATCTAGAACCCACCTGTTCTGGGTTAGACGCCTACCTGTGGGTTCAGCCGGCACCTGGAATGCAGCCCTCATACACTCATGCTGGGCGGCTGTAATTGCCTGCTGTCCGTTCCTCATCCCCGTGGCACTGCGAGCTCTGTGGGGCAGGCCTCTACACCCCTAATCATTGTGTTCCCATATCTCTCACTGAATATGTGCTGACAAATTATGTATATCTACAAAGTGTTCCTGAACAAAAAGAGACACTCCTTCAAGTCTTTGTGCAAATGTCACCTTAAAAGGAGGACTCTCTGGAAATGCTGTTTAAAAAATCAAACTAGTGTGCTCCCTCACCCAGAATGTTTTCCCCTTTAAGTTTTCTCCAAAATTTTATGACTGCACTACACATTTCCTTGCCTGTCCCCAGTGAGGTCAGGGGCTCTATCTTGTTCTTTCCCTGAAAAGTATCTGCAATGTCGGTGTTCAAAAAAGGTTTGTTGAATGAATGAAAGACCGAAATAGAATATCAAAATACATCTGAGGAATTGTTAAAAAGTTTTAGTGATTTTTAAAATAAATATTTATAAATAAATTTTTTAAAATAATTTTTAAAATAAATATATTTAAAAATAATTTTAAAAACTTACTTTAAAAAATTAAAGTGTAATAAGAGCTTTACATTGATGTTCTCTGTGTACCTCTCTCTGTAGATTGGATTTAGCTGGTGAAATTTTGTTAAGCTCTGTGAGGCACCCCCCAGGAATCAGCTTCCTTGTTACCTGGAGGAAGCTGACAATCGATGTTAACTACCCTCAAAGTCTGGAATGAGGACTGAAAAGGAGCTGGATCACAAAGTAAGAAGACAAATCTTTCTTTCTCAGGACTGGTTTGGACTAACAGCTCTAGCAGCTTTGCACAGATGACTGATCCTGTGCCTAGGCCTGACACGTTCTCAACAGATGTTTCCTGAATCAAACATCTCCATAAAAATATAGTTCTTCAATGTGCTTCGGAAACATGGGTTTCATCAATTAAATGTGAGGCTCATCTATAAGGCATAAACCCTTCCAAATCAAATGCAGCAAATATGATCGTAAACTTGCTGTTATAGGAGATGCTATGCTATTCCACATAGTTTGTGAAAGGTCTGTAGCTTAAGAGGGAGGCAGGATTAAGTGGAATGTGGAGACCCCACATGTTTGAGGCGGGGTCTGTCTTAGCAAACGTGGCTGGCTGTATCACCACTGTGGACATGTGCCACCACTCGGGGGCGCCTTGCTGTCTCTGTAGGGTGCTGGAGACCCAGTTTGCAAGCCTGCAGCACTCTGCTGGTCGTTCTGGAAGCTCCTTTCCACATGGCCCAGAGATTCCCGTTAAGGTCTTTAGTTTAACTTTAATGAATGCTCCAGACCGTGGTGTTGACAGACAACAAATATGAGTTCCTGTGCAAGATGTCAATTTACTAGGCTCTTGCCAAATTTCTCTTTTCTTTTTTAAAAAGAATAGTACCATATTTGGAGGCTACATGTTTACATTTAGAGTTTAAAATGTGGACTGCTATAAAGGAATAAATTGAGAGATGGTTTGGTGGTTTACATTTTTCCCTTTGATATATAGCACATGTTAAAACCCCCAATGGCTTGCACAGTGCACACACCACACTCCTTGATGGGCCTGCCTGCTGGGTCTGGAATGTACAGGTCCACCTTCTGCCCAAACCCGGGCAGAGTGGGCTCTTGGCCCCGACCATCCCTTGAGCACATATATAACATGTGCTATATATCCCTTGATATATAGCACATATTAAAACCCCCAATGGCTTGCACAGTGCACACACCACACTCCCTGATGGGCCTGCCTGCTGGGTCTGGAATGTACAGGTCCACCTTCTGCCCAAACCCGGGCAGAGCGGGCTCTTAGCCCCGACATCCCTTGAGGCTCTTAGCCGCGAGCATCCCTTGAGTCTGCGGTGGGAAGCTAGACAGTGGGTTCCAGGCGGGCAGGCTGCCCAGTCCTCTTCTACCCTGTCCCTCATCATACCGTCTCTTCCTACCTCTCCCTCCATCCTTCTTTTCCTCCTAGCGAGCGTCCATTTCCTCCAGAGAGCTTGACACAGATAGACGGGAGAGAGAGAGAAGCTTGTCTTTTGTTGTTTATACAGCACGGTCCATTTTATTTTCTGGTTTGGATTTTGGACTCAAGTTTTGGAGTTTTCCTGTTGGAGTGAATGTCTTTGGGTGACTCTGCGTGTGGGGTGATGGCTGTCCCTGTGCCCCTTCTCTCAGCTTGCTCAGGGCGCCTCTCCACTTTCCAATCTTCCTCACCACACTGAACTTTGAAAAGGAGGGGATTGAAGGATTAAACATACATTTTTTTTTTTGAGACAGAATCTGGCTCTGTCTTTCCAGCTGGAGTGCAGTGATGCCATTGATCATGGCTCACTGCATCCTTAAACTCCCAGGCTCAAGCAATTCCCCTGTGTTGACCTCCCAAGCAGCTGGAATTACAGGTGCACCACAAGCCTGGCTAATTTTTTTTTAATTTTAATTTTTTTGTAGAGACAGAGCCTCACTATGTTGCCCAGGCTGGTTTCAAACTCCTGGCCTCAAGTGATCCTCCCACCATGGCCTCCCAAAGTGCTGGGATTACAGGCATGCGCCACCATACTTGGCAAATATATGGTTCTTTAAAGCCCTTCATGGCTCCATTTTTGGGGCTGCCATGAGTCTCTCTCGTACACTCTGGGGAGAGTGAGGAGGGAGGTGGAGAATAACATGGGGAGGGAGGGGGCAGTTTTTGCTGTGTGACCACCACACTCTGCCCAGGCCCCCCCTGAGGCCCTGGGCTACCTTTTCTGTACCCCATCACCCTCCCTACCCAGGAACCAGCCCTGGGCACCGACTGTGACTTCTCCGTGGCCAGGGGAAAGAAGAAGGCTTCAAGTGGATTGGGAGCAGCACATTAGATGTGTCAGCACAATTGCTCTTCTTTTCACATGCCCTCATTGGCATCATATGTGTATATATATAATTGTGGTAAAATGTACACAACATACAATTTACTTTTTTTCTTTTTTTGAGACAAAGTCTCGCTCTGTCGCCCAGGCTTGAGTGTGGTGGTATGATCTCAGCTCCCTGCAACCTCTGCCTCCTGGGTTCAAGTGATTCTCTTGCCTCAGTCTCCCTAGTAGTTAGGGTTACAGGCACCCGCGACCATGCCCAGCTAATTTTTGTATTTTTAGTAGAGATGGGGTGTCACCCTGTTGACCAGGCTGGTCTCGAACTCCTGACCTTAAGTGATCCGCCCGCCTCAGCCTCCCAAAGTGTTGGGATTACAGGCATGAGTCACCATGCCCAGCCCTACAATTTACCTTTTTAACCATTTTCAAGTGTACGGTTTAGTGGCATTAAGTGCATTCACATTGATGGTGCAGCCCCACCATCCTGTGTATGTTATTTTTCACATGTGCTTTCCAATTAATTATTTCCTGCATTCTTTCAGCCATAGGGGATATGTCTGGGCTATGATAAGCCTTCAAAATGAACAGGAGGTTTTGGGTGAAATGGCCCTGAGGGCAACACCGAGCAACTCAGGTCCAAGTGGCCGGTTCGACCAGGTCGTGACTCCTCAATGCCAGCAGAGGGCGCGAGCGGACCGACCCTTGCAGCTCCGGGCCTCCCGCTCCCCGCGGATGCGCAGACCCGGGAGGAGCGCTGGTCCAGAGCAGGTGCGGAGAGCAAGTCAGCCAGCACGCACCAAGCAAGAGTGCCGGGTGACGTAAGGAACGCGGGAGCCCAGCAACATGGGAGCTGTTTAATTTTTTCGCCAGTTTTCATCGGTGAACGGAATTCTCAAGGAACAATCTTTCTCCCCTCTCTCCCAGCCCGCCTCGTTCTTTGCTTCCGAGCTTTTCTGGTTCCAGGGGGCAGTTAGCAGCATTTTTGGGGTATTTTAAACGGGATGGGCGGTTCTGGGGTATCCAATACCACTCAAGGCAGGCAGAGGCCCATGGTGTGCTGCAACGTTGGTGTGAAATTTGACTGGGAGACAATCAGGAAATGAGAGAGCATTTCTCGACTCTGTAATGGTGTGGAGCGAGTCATATCTATCTAGAGATGGGTATGGCTGGGAACGCGAAATGTTTCTCCAAAGCCCCTGCAGTCACTCATGGCATTACTTAGAGAAGACATAGAAATCAGGACCTCCAGTCTTCACGTGTCTGAAGAGGACCTAGCTATGAATAGCAGAACACTCCACTGGCAGGGGGCTGGCTAGGCGGCAGCCATGCCCATTGTCTACAGGCAGCTGGGATATTTTTAGCAAACAACCAAGAGTAAAAGGAAGAATTCTTTAGGAAATGAAACTCTGGCAATTATAGCCACAGAGAGTCAGATAAAAACACACAGATATTGTCAACAAAAAACGTAAAAAACAACTCTATTATTTTTAAACCTGATAACCTAGAATTAGTTAAAAAGAAAACTCCACTCAAAAACAAAAATGACAAAAAAACAAAATTCAAACCAAAAAAACCCCATGATCTTTAAGAAATCTTTACTAGAAAACAACTCATTATCTAACAGATTTTTAAAAAGCATTTTCTCTTCTCAATGATGAAAAAGTACTTTCCCTCCTTGACCATTCACTACTCCTTGTCTATGAACAATTTCAGGAATTAAAAACAAAAACCAAAAATCAAACACCAAAAACCTCTTCTAACTTGCTTTTCGTCACTTTTTTTTTGTACTGCACTTTATTTTCCAGGTCATCTTGCTTTCGTATTAGCAAAAATACACTGAACTTTGGAGTCTCTTTCTTTCCTATCTCTAGCTGAAAAATAAAGTTCTCTTATGCAAATGAATGCCTTATGTCTGACTTTCTTGGGTCTATGTAATGGGGTTGCTGGCATTTCTTTGACCTCCTAGTAGAATAATTAGGTGCTCTAGTTACCAAGCAACAGAATGTCGGGTGACATAGGAGCAGAGATTTCTGGGCAGACACGGGAAAGATGGAGCCTGCCTCCTGGAGAGCCCAAACCGGGACTGCATCTCTGTGGGGACACTGAGCCTCCTGCCATCAAGGTTGATGCTTTCAGGTAGCCAACTTGGCTCCACTGCCCCCAGACTGGGCACAGATGGGATGCCTGCCCATCCTGCATCCCTGTGGACCTGATTGTATGCAGTGCCCATTTGAAGAATTCAGTCACCTCTTCACCATCAAGATCACTCAGTCCTTGGTCCTGGGGAGGAGGTATCGCCTGTCCATGTCTCTGGTATTAAAGTCTCGACGTGGCTGAGAGGGACTGACCCCATGCACTTAGGGTTCTGAATGGTGACTTTTGTGTGTCAGACTATAAAACCCCTAAAGAGGAAAAATACATATGGTAGCATGGGAAGATTTTCTCTGTCTTTAAAATTTTGTCTTGTAAAACCGAGTAAATTCTTGAAGTGGCACATCAACAAAAGAAGGATATTATACAAAGATGTATGGATAGGGCTATTGTCCCAAAATATCCATGTGTTTAGGGGAAAACTCCCAGAATGTCGACTGCGAATTTTCCTGATGTTGAGATTATGCGATTATGAGTAGCTTCTAATTATTGTCATACATTTCAATATTTTTCAAATTTTCTACAGTTGATGTTGCCTTTACATTAGAAAATATAAACATGTAAAACGTACCTCTGTATACATGTGTATGTGTGTGTTGTGTGTGTTGTATGTGTGTATGTATGTGTGTGTGGGTGTATTGTGTGTTGTTTATGTGTATGTATGTGTGTGTGTTATATGTATTTGTGTGTGTTGTGTGTGTTGTATGTGTGTATGTATGTGTGTGTGTTGTGTGTGTATGTGTGTGTTGTGTGTGTATGTATGTGTGTGTGTTGTGTGTGTGTGTTGTATGTGTATATGAATGTGTGTGCATATTTGCACAATGTCCCGGGGTTTGCTTTCCAAAATGTGATTGTCTTTGTATATCACCTAAAATCTGCTTATTCCTCCAGGGGGAAAAGGAAAAAACTCACTTCTGAGCAGGGCCCTGAGTTGCTTTGTGAACTGCTAGCACTTCCCCACGGCCCTGAGATTTGGCAGGTAGGAATCTTCTTCTTAGCCCCGTGATCCTCCTGCTGTGTTTTTGGCCCCGTCCCCGGAACTTAGATTCCTCAGCTGCAGTTCATAGTGATAAGAGGTAACATTGGTTGGGCACTTATTTCTTCACTGGATGCATATTTTCTCTCATTAGTCCTTGCACTGAGCCTGAGAGGGAGGCTCTGCCATCATCTCCACTTTTCCAATGACAAGACAAAGACACAGGTGTGGCCAAGACCCCTGCATCACCCACCAGCCACCCTGTTCCTTCTAAATGGGGTGGCGGGGCACCCCCAGGGCGTGTGAGGCTTACAAAATCAATTTCACCAAAGAGGTTCTTGGGAATTCAATAACATATTGAGATTAGTTGTTTAAAATACATTGAACATTTCAGTGTATCAAGTAGAGTCCACACACTTGGTCCAATCTAGGTCTGGGTGAGAAGGCTGCCTTCTTATGGGATCTGGTTGGATGCACAGGGGATAACAGGTCCCGCTGAGACACGGTGACCATGTGGTCCAGGCCTCTGTCGATGGGTTGCCTCCTGCTGTCTGGGCAAAGACCTGACCTCTGTGGATGTGAGAGACCGAGGTTTACGCACAGGCTCATGGCGGAGAGACTAAAGCAAGCACGGCCCAGACAAAGTCCGAGGTGATGCTGGGAGGAACTCCAAGACCGTCTGTCTGCTCTGTGGCTTTCCTGGTGCAAAACCCCTGCTGTGTTAGGGCTAAGGTCTACCTCATATGTCCCTGGAATAGGGAATGTATTCATTTACATTCTTACTCAAGAACATGGTTGATGTAACATGTTTCCCTGGCAGTCTATCTTGAGAAGTTTCATGGCAATCATTTTAACTAGCAACCACTCTAGAACAGTAATAGGCAAGTCAAGTTAGTGTCAGTCTATCCTAGACACATGCAGAACCACGAGTCTTTCTGAGGGATGATGACTGCATAGACTTCAGACACATGGCATGTTGAAATGGAGCAATTGTGAATGAAGCCCTAAGCAGCGTGGTGGACAGAAGTGTTGAAAAAACATCTGGAATGCTGAATTCTTATCGCTGCCAGTCACTGCATGACTCTGCAAGATTACAACTCTAAAATGCTCCTTATCTCAGGATTCTAACTAATTGTAACAACTCTGGTTTTTTTGATTGTCATACATTTAGGAGCAAGACAACTTTGCAGCTGTCTTTCCCTTAACAGATCACACAGTCTTCGTTTTTTTTTTTTTTTTTTTGAGACGGTCTCACTCTGTCACCCAGGCTGGAGTGCAGTGGTGCAATCTTAGCTCACAGCAACTTCTGCCTCCCAGGCTCAAGCAATCCTCCTGGCTCAGCCTCCCGAGTAGCTGGGACTACACACACCACCATGCCCAGCTTATTTTTGTACTTTTAGTAGAGACAGGGTTTCACCATGTTGACCAGGTTGGTCTTGAACTCCTGACCTCAAGTGATCTGCCCACCTCAGCAGACGATCTTGGAGTTCCTCCCAGCATCACCGCTGACTTTGTCTGGGCTGTGCTTGTTTTAGTCTCTCCACCATGAGCCTGTGCATAAACCTCGGTCTCTCACGTCCACACAGGTCAGGTCTTTGCCCAGACAGCAGGAGGCCACCCATTGACAGAGGCCTGGACTAGATGGCCACTGTGTCTCAGTGGGACCTGTTATCCCCTGTGCGTCCAACCTCCCAAAGTGCTACGATTACAGGCGTGAGCCACCAGGCCGAGTTGAGATCATGCAGTCTTTTGGCTCCAGGTTGTGACATTCTGTGGTGACTTCTAGTAGATCTCTGCTCAGACCCAGGCACTCATTTATTCAGTCAACAAATGTTTATGGAGCTAGGAAAATGAAGTGGGAGACAGTTCTCTGCCTTTAATGATTGCACCTCTTAGCAGAGATGCCCACAGCCCTCTAGACACAACGACACTTTGTGTTTGTGTGTAACAGACAGCGAGGACTCAGGTCAGGGTTTAACAGAAGTATGTTTGCACTAAACACATCTCTGTGGGTTTGGAGTTGGCCTGGCTGCGTCAGAGTGGAACGCAAATGAGGTTTAAGTTATGTGCAATTAGAAATTTCTCTTTTCCCCTTCGTCTGGTTTTGCTCATCGCTAATCTCATTTCTTGCTCTCATACCCATCATCTGTCCTGGCATCAACTTAGCAGAACAATGTCTATGAAATTAAATTCACAACAGCCTTGGCAGCTGATTCGGAATCTAGTCCTGATGTCATCTGGATCCTGGGCTGCGGCCAGTGTGGAGGCCCTGCAAGGAGCAGAGCAGCAGCGGCAAGGCCGTTTGTAGACAGGCCTGTTGAGCCCCGTCTCGCCTTGGGGAGGGCAGCAGGAGGCTGAGCTCTGTGCCGAGAAACTCCAGGGACCATTAGAAACCCTGGAATTGCTTCTTCCGGAACCTTAATCCCCATGACTTAAGGACACCAGGAGACAGACTTCCACCTTTTGGATAAAATCACTCCTAACAGTTAGCTAGTCACCTCCAAACAACACCGCATGCTAAGAGCCCAGGATTCCTACAGCCTATTTCCCAGACCTTTGCGTTCTACCAAGTTTCTTGGGGGATGACAATCTCCCTCATCCGTGTATTTTATCTCCCTCCCCTTTTACTTTGCCAGCTGAATAATTTGGCTTGTGTAAAACAGAATGACAAAAGGTGATTGTTTTGAGCCTTTTGGGCAGGGACTGCGTAACAGGCCTTTTAATTCCCAAGAAAATTGCTTTTTCTATACAAAATATACTGTACCATTCACTTCTCAGCAGAGCCATTTCTATTCGAACATAGCTTCCTTTCAGATTCGACATACAGTATGTAAATGTGAGCTAGCAACCAAAAGCTCCTTTCTAAAATCGAGACTGTTAATATTTCCCTTTTAGGACTGTCACCTCCCTCAGACGGCAAATTACTGTCAACTTTCCTGCTGCCTGGCAGTGGGTAACTGAGCTTTTTCTCCCATTTGTTGAAAGGAAATATTGTGCTAGGGACCATTTCTAGAAAGACATCTGTATTTAAAAGTCATTATCTCCAGAAGCGGGCATCAAAAGTCACTGGCCGTGCTCTGTTCACATCAAGTAGTCGGCGAACAGGTTAAACATCTTTCCATTGTGTGTGAACTTGGTAACTCTTGGTCTATTTTAGAAGGCTTCAGTTCGGTGTAATTACTACGGTTTCTAAAGGAGTTTCTGTGTAATTACCATGTAGTTTATTTTATGGTAACTATGCAATTAACTTGTCTCACTTCTTTAAGTGGAAAATACTATAATTCTAATACAAATGGTTTGGATGCTAGTTTCCCCAACCATACTTTCAAATATCTATATTTTAAGTGATTTCTTCATTTTTTCCCTTCCCTTTCTTCAAATAACAAATCTGGTTTAGTTATTTTATTTTATTTTTTTTGCTGTTTTTTTTTAGAGCAAAAAAAGGTAAGATTGTTAAAATTTTATTGGGCAGCCCCAAATTATCAAGTTATGTTTTGGGACAATGATAGTTAAACACAACGGTAGTTAAATGATCCACACCAGTGAATGCTGGCCAGGGTCTTTACAGAATCTCTCGAGGTCTGATAGAAATCAAGAAGAGAAGCCAGAGGAAAATGGATACATTTGTATTTACTTTTCATTATGTCAGAATTAGCTTTAGGAGGCAATTTTCTAGACTTGCCATTTCTGCTGGGAAGGTGAGGGTGGCATTTGGAGAGTATCCAGGGGACATCCCCTCCAATTGTTTAAGGCACAGGTAGGGCAGATGGGGCTAGATTGCCATGAAAGGCTTTGAAAAGTGGAAGCTACCCCATCGCTAATTATACCCTAGGGGAAAGTGGAAAGTGTCAGCCCATAGATTTTTTTTTTTTTTTTTTTGATCTGGAGTCACGCCCTGTCACCAGGCTGGAGTGCAGTGGCGCGATCTCGGCTCACTGCAACCCTTGCCTCCTGGGTTCAAGCGATTCTCCTGCGTCAGCCTCCTGAATAGCTGGGATTAAGGCATGCACCACCACGCCCAGCTAATTTTTGTATTTTTAGTAGAGACGGGGTTTCACCATGTTGGCCAGGATGGTCTCGATCTCTTGACCTTGTGATCCACCCACCTCAGCCTCCCAAAGTGCTGGGATTGCAGGTGTGAGTCATCGCACCTGGCCAGATTTTTTTTTTTTTAATATCATTTCAATTGTTCCTGCCTGTGTAACCAGCTGGGATGGCATTTATACAGCCCACTGAAATGTCTGATGAATTAAAAGCAAACCAATTTACCTGTCGAACAGTGGGCCCAAGGCCAACCTTAGGCATAATTCTGACTCATCTAATCTCATCAATTCATTTCTCCATTCATCTTTCCAAGCATCCAAGACATACAAATACCTAGGCATTGGGGCAAAGGAGATAACACCCCCACCCCTGAAGATCTTATAGCCCTGTGTGGGAGGCGATTGGAGTGACAGACAATTAGAATAGAGCAAGAGAGCACCGTGATGGCGTGAACAGTCGTGCTGTGAGAGCACACTTGCATTCTACAAACACTCTACATTCTACAAATAGAGCACCTCCTATGCACTGGGTGTTATTCTAGGTCCTGGAAATGCAACAGAGAGAGACCCATGAAATATCAGTCCTTACGGTGCTCACATTCCAGTAGGAACATGGGAAATCCACAGGTAAACATGCACACTGATTGCATGCGATGGTGTGTTTCACATTCTGCAAAAGGACAGGGAAAAGGGCTGGGGAAACAAGGAGCCATGTTGGATGTGGTGGCCAGGGAAGGCCTCTCAAGAAAGAGGCATTTGAGCAGAGACACCATAAAGTCAGGGCGTGAACCTTGGGAAGGTCTGAAGAAACTAGGGTCTCCGCAGTGGACTTGGCAAGTGCACGGCACAGAGGCTGCTGTTCCAGGAATAGTGAGGCTGGATGGGAGCCTCTGGGAATGAGGCCGGAGAGGCTGAACTGGAGCCACATGAACATCACAGGGAACTGGTGGGTGTACTGTTGTCTGTTTTTTCTGCATGAGATAGGACGTCGTGGGAAGATTTTGGGTGGGGGAAAGACAAGATCTGATTTTGTTTTTTAAAAGGAAAGTATTACTCTTTGGCTGTTGTGTTGAAAATAGAACATAGATGGGGCAAGAAGGGAAGGTGGTGAGCAGTCTACAGTAGCCCCTCTTGACCCAGGGGAGGCCTTGCAGGACCTCCGGTGGATGTCTGTTGCCACGGATAGTACTAAACCCTATATAGATTATGTCTTGTCCTATAGATACCTATGATGAAGCTTAACTTAAAAATTAGGCACAGTAAGAGATTAACAGTAACTAATAATAAAATAAAACACCTGTAGCAACATACTATAATAAAAGTAAAATCAGGGTGGTTTGGACACAAGCACTGTGATATCACAACAGTCCATCTGATCACTGAGATAGCTACTAAGTGACTTATGGGAGCATAGTGCAGACAGTGTGGGGATGCTGGACAAAGAGGGGGTTCACATCCCAGGCAGGATAGAGCAAGATGGTGAGAGATTTCATCGGGCTACCCAGAATGATGCATAATTTAAAACTTAATGGACTGTTTATCTCTGAATTTTTTCCATTTAATATTTTCAGACCACAGTCGACTGTGGGTAACTGCAACTGTGGAAAGTAAAACTGCAGATAAGGAGGACCACTTGTCTCGAGTATTCGAGGCGAAGAACGATGGTGGCTTAGGCTTAGGGATTTTTGGTGGAGGCTGCACAAAGTGCAGAGTAATCTCTGAATAGGCTTTGAATATAGAACCAATGGGCTTCACGACTGAGCTGCGGGTACAGCAGCAGAGGGTGAGGAGGCAATGTTGGCCCCTAGAATTTTGGCTTGAGCAGTCAGAACGGATTTGCTGAAGTAGGGGTGACCTTGGGAGTAGCAGGGCTGGAGGTAATGAACCAAGGCTCATCTTTGGGCCTGCTGTGTCTGAGATGTATGTCTGGTATCCACATAGAGATACTGGGTAGGAGCTGGATACAGGAGTCTCGAGATGGGAAGGGCGCTTGAGGTGCTGATGTGATCTGGCTGTGTCCCCACCCAAATCTCATCTCGAGCTGTAGATCCCATAATCCCCATGTGTCGTGGGAAGGATCTGATGGGAGGTCTTTGAATGCGGGGGTGGGTTTTACCCGTGTCGTTCTTGTGACAGTGAATAAATCATGAGATCTGATGGTTTTATAAAGGGCACACTCTCTCTCACCTGCCACCATGTAAGATGTGCCTTTGCTCCTCCTTTGCCTTCCACCATGATTGTGAGGCCTCCCCAGTCATGTGGAACTGTGAGTCCATTAAGCCTCCTTTTCTTTATAAATTACCCAGTCCTGGGCATGTCTTTATTAGCAGCATGAGAACAGACTAATGCAGCTCATAAGGGAGATGAGGTCACTTTTAGCATGCAGGAGGCATTGAGGGTGGTGAGACTGTGTAAACTCACCAAGAGAACAGGAGTAGGAAGAGGAGAGGTCTGAGGACGGAGCCAGTGGTGCCCGACGTTGACAAGCTGGCAAAGGAAGGAGTGGGGATTGGCAAACGAGGCCAAGAAGATGCAGACAGGGAGACAGGGAGAAGACTGGGGGACCTGATGTCAAGGGAGGCAAGGAAGGAAATGCTGAAAAGGGAGGGGTGATCAGCCATGTCCAAGGCACTGAGAAGTCAAGGAAGGTGAGAGGACTGCCCCCAGGCAAGACAAAGCAGTCACTGTCATTCCTGACAGCATTCCAGAGGAATGTCTGGGGCCAGAAACCCACACGGAGTAGGATCAATAGACCGGGGGTGAGCGGAGCTGAGGAGGTGGACAGCAAGATAGATCACTATTTTGGGGAGTTTTACTATAAATAGGAGCAGAGAAATAAGCTGGGCAGAGGTGAACATGAGGCCAAGGGAGATTTCTTTCTGAGAAGGGAGATTCCAGCATGTTTGTGGGATAAAGGAGTGATTCCTTGGAGAAGAAGGACAGAGGAGAAGAGTGAGAAGATGACTTGTGAGGCACAGGTGAGAGGAGGGACACAGAGTCCCAGAGAGGGGTTGACAGGAGCAGCTCGACCAGGAAGGAAGGCCACATTCACCAGTGCAGAGCCAGGGTGGGAGGCAGTGAAGGGTGAGGAAGAGAGCAGAATAAAGCTCAGAAAGGCATGGGTCATGCATAGAGTCACAGAAAAGGGTGGCGCCAGGCCAGCTTGCGTCCCAGGGCTGCTGACTCCAAGTCAGTGCTGTGGTTTCAAGTGCTCTCTGTCTCTGAATTTGGCAATCTCTACCTTTCTCCTCCTTTTTCTTACCTCTCCCTTCACGTCTTCCAGCCAGCAGACCTTTGAATTAGCATCCATTTCTAAGTGTCCTGTCCTCTGCCTTTGACAGGCAGTATTTCATTCTGGATTTTGCCTTTTCATGTGTTTGCGATAGAAAGAATAATTACCATTCCTCCCCCAACAAGATATCCATGTTTTAATCCTCAGAACCTGTAAATATGCTATATTACACAGCAAAAAGGACTTTGTAGGTGTGAGTAAGTTAAGGATTTTGAGAGGGGAGGGTGGTCTTGGATCATCTGGGTGGGCTCATAGTAATCACAAAGGTCCTTATAGGAAGAAAGTAGGAGGTTAGAGTCAGAAAAGAAGATGTGGCAGGTGTCAAAAACAGAGATGGAGTGACACGCTTTGAAATTGGAGGGAGGAGCTGCCAGCCAAGGAACTTGGGTGCACTCTAGAATCTGGAAAAGGCAAGAAAACACTCCCCGTAGAGTCTAGAAGGAACACAGCCCTGTTTATACCTTGATTTTAGTCTTGCAAGATTCATTTCTGACTTTGGGCTGTTGCAGCAATAGGAGAGTAAATGTGTGTATTGTTAACCACTGCATCTGCAATCACTTGTTACAGCAGCAACAGGAAACTAATACATCTTTATGAGAATTTACAGAGTATGAGAGCCATGGTTCTGAGTTCCATCCTGCTCATAGGGTGCATTGACCTCTGTGAAAGCACTGACACTACCAAAGGTTACTCCTCTTTCGGAGATAGAGCAGGCTGGTGAGAGAGGGATGGTGGACAGATGGTGCTTTCAGCCTCTGCCATATCACAGACTAGGCCTCTGATGCGTGCGTGCCCCAGGCATAGCTACATAATCCCCAGCCGTGACTTCTGATTTGGCAATGCTGCTAGTAAAGCCAGTCATTTCAGCAGCGTGGTGACTGTGACAGAGGTTGGTCATGGTCTCAGCTTTGTGCTCTGCTCTTTGCCCCAGTGGCCAAGGCACAGAACCCCATCTCTCTGCCTCTTTTCACAAAGGGAAGGCCTGCAGGACCTGTGCAGCCGACTCAGGCTTCAGAGTAGGATAGGTCAAAGGCCTTCAATTTCCACTAATTTCAGTTGACAGCATTTTTGTCTATTTGCAAATTTGGGACTTCTCCAGGAAGCCTGTCACTAGGTGGTTTTATGTCATTGCTGTTGATCTTGAACCAGTATAAGCTGTGAATTGCAATCCCTCCCTAATGTTTTTGCTACAAAAATTAATGTGCTGATTTTCTTCATGTGCACCCTTGGATGATGTTGTGATGGGTGGAATTTTAAAAATCAGAGGTACAGGTATGTTGTAATGATCAAAGACAGCATCTGAACTGCGGAGTCAGTGAACTATTTCCCGTAATGCTACAGGAGTGGGTGTCTTCATTTTCCTTTCTATGAAATTTCCACTTCCAATGCAATTGCCCTTTGTGGTTAGAAAAGAGGAAAACAATAGCATCTTATATTCTCTCACTCATAACTCAGACACAAAGCTATCACCACGAAGTGAGAATTAAAATATAGCCCAATCTTCGCATTTGGAAGGTCAGCCAGTGGTGAAGTCTTGCTAAATATTATAAAATGAGATACATTCACCATCTTAATTGGAGCTCGGAAGTGCTCCAATTGTGTCCATAAATTACAGCAAAGAAGATAGTACATGAATATGATATGGTGGAACTTGAAGGATGCCTCTGAGTTGAGCCACAAAGTGGGCAGGGAGTGGACAGTGGCTGGCTAAATCCCTGCCCTTCACTTTGGCAGGCATCTGGCAGGGGCAGAGATAGGAGCATAGGGTAAAATTTATTGGAGATGGGGCATTTCAGAACTGTAGTCTCTCTCTCTCTCTCTCTCTTTTTTTTTTTTTTTTTTTTTTACTATGAGCACAGGAGACTCAGAAGAAAGAGGATGCCCTCTGGGGCATGGCCATGGTGGGAAGCCCCAGCTGCCAGGGACACAGGATGGGATACCTCAAGTGTGTTGATGAGGCGTAGGTGGTAGCCTCTGCAGAAACGAAGCCTCTGTCAGTGGATGGGCAACTTCAGCGCACCTGGAGCCCCTGGTGAAGGCTTTATTTAGAGTGACTGTCATTCCTGACAACATTCCAGAGGAATGTTTGGGACCAGAAACCCACATGGAATAGGCTCAATAGACTGGGGGTGGGGGGAGCTGAGGAGGCAGAGATAGCAACATAGACCACTACTGTTTTGGGGAGTTTTGCCGTAAATAGGAGCAGATAAATAAGTTGGGAGTTGGTGAGCATGAGGCCAAGGGACCCCTCACCTGGGGGTGGCAGGGGGTTGATTATGCCTCTGGGTTTCTGCTGTATCTATTCTTCTGGATCTGCTATTTACACATCACCCCCACTAGGCTGCAAGCTTCTTAGGAGGTGGGTCAGTGTGCTACTCATCCGATATCCCCAGTGTGCTTCCCAATGCCTGGCTCCTAATTCAAGCTCAGTAATCGTTGGATGCAAAAGCAAGTGGAAATCCTCCTAGACAGGGATAGGCAAACTATGGCCCTAATTAAATCCGGCCCCTAGCCTGCTTTTGTCAATAAAGTTTTATTGGAACACGACCACACTCATTAATTTACATATTGTCTATGGCATGCTAAAATGGCAGAATAAAATAGTTCTTGTGTGATCCACAATGCCTAAAATATTAAGTCTTTGGCCCTTTACACACAATGTTTGCCAACCCCTATTCTAAGGCAATTATATCACCACTTGGTGATTGTATCTTAAGCACATTATAATGCTGTACTGAGAATCTTCTGTAAGTTTCCTAATTTATTATTTGAAATAATCAGAGACAAGTTAAATCAAGTCAATTCAGGATCCACTGTCTGCTCCTTTTATTCAGGACTGGACTGTCCTGGACTCTGAAGCATTGCCCGGCCCCCAGGGTCTGGGAAGGGCTCAGGAGGGCCAGCCTTATGCAGGGAATACTGAAAATGGCTTTCTGACCCCACACTATTTCTTTGTTCATTGGTGCACACTACCTGAATTCTCATCAAACACCCCTGTGAGAATTAAGGATATCATTGTTGTATGCCTTATTTTTCAATCAAAGTGCTTTCTCCCCTCGTTCTGACCTGAGATGGGCAGCGCTGGTGAAACAGCCTTGAGAAGGCCTCTGCGCCCGGTCTGGTGGTGGGAGGGGCATTGTGGAAAGCAGGGCAGGCAGCAGGGTTGTTTCACAGCTGGGGGCTCTTTGGAGGGAGGAAGGCCTGCCTGGCTTTTTAGAGTTGAGACATTAGGTGAGGAGAGGGCAGCCTGGCTGAGTTCCTGGAGGGGTGGGAAGAGGAGGACTGAGGAGGAGAGGGTGTCCAGTACCCAGCCTCCCTGCTTCTGAGCTGTGCCCCTGGATCAACCGCTATGCACAGGACCTACTTCCTCAACAACTGGGCAAATACACAGAATCCCGTGGTTCCCAATGGTAGGCCCCGAGGGCACATTTGGCAGTGTCGGGGAAGCATTTTTGGTTGTCACAACTGAGTGTGGTGGGTGGTATTATCATCTAGTGGGTAGAGACCAGGGGTGCGGCTAAACATTCTACAAAAAATTCACAGGCTGGTGCCCACCCCTGCTGATCCCCTCCACACACACACACACACACACACACACACACACACACACACACACACAGAGGCATCTGGCTCTGCAAGTCAGTGGTGCTGAGGTCAGGCAGCCTGGATGGGATCCTGGCATACCCGCACACATCCCCTGAGCTGATGAAGGCTGCTCAGAGAGAGGCCATGCGCGGAGAGGTACCAGCTTGGCTGGGACCAAGTGAAAATTTCTTGCCTGGAAGATTGTAAAGTAATTAGATGGGGCAACTACCTTCTGTTTTGGAAGAATAGGAAGAATTATCTTGTCATCGCAGGGCAATTATCCTGTGAATATTTTGGCAGCCCATTATGTTTTGCTGTGTAATTGCAATTAACATGTAAGTGATCTAGTACTTCTGGTGTGTGTCATTCCTCTGAAAAATATATGACTAATGCCGCGGTGACAGCTACACACGTGTGACATATCTACAGGAAGAGGTGGCACGGCCATCAGCTGCATTGTTGGCTTCTCACCCAGGCTCCAAGCTTTCAAACGTTTGTGTTCTTAGAGGAATTTTAGGCATGAATGTATAGAGGGGTTTGGGAAGCAACGATGGAGCATCCACGTTGAGAGTGGCCATGTGAGCATGTGATTTTTCTGTCTCTTAGAAACACTTTCAGGTACAACACTGATTCTTTTGAGAGCACAATGTCAATGGCAGAGAATACTCTATCTGTTGAAACAGTAGTTCAAATGCAATTTCTTTCCTCATATCTTTAAATGTTTCAATATGGATTTAATTTTTTTTTTTTTTTTTGCTAATGTAGACCTCAATTTTCTACTAGAATTCGTAGGAGTGTCCATTGTCCTTCAACGACAAACTGTGATGCGTCTCCCGTAGCTGTGTGCATTTCAGGGTCTAACACGACAATCACCTTTACTCTGAATTTTCAATAATGATTTGCTAATTTTCTTCAAAGAGTAAACTTTCAGAAAATGTTTTATTTTGAATTGGAGAGCTATTAATATAATGATTCATTCTGGCTCCTTTTCTCCTCTCTAGTCATTTCTAGCAGCAAAATAGGGTGTCATAGAGTATGTTAGCATATCATGAGGAGCTTTGGCCGACCCTGGCCCGCTGCTGATGTCTAAAGAGGGTTGGCTCAGCTTGGGGCGCATGCCCCAGCTCCTTGTGGACAGCTGTTTGGGCTCAGGTTGGAGGCCCTGACTTGTGCTAAAGCTGGTCTTCCTATATTGCACATGGTTGAGAATCAGGCCGGCTGTGGCCTCCAGCCCTGCTTCCTTTTTTTGTGGATCTAGGAACTAATTTTCATCAGATCCTGTGGGGATGACCAGGTTCTTGGAAACCTACTCACACCGGTTAAAACTTCACAAGACGGAAGTGTAAGCTCTCAGGCTGAGATGCTGATTGTCAGTGATTTGAACACCCAAGCTCATCCGAGGAAACTGAATCCATGATGTTTCACTATCCTCCTGGCCGTATACCCCAGCCTGGCTTCACTCCAAAACTATCCAGTTTTTTGGCGATGACAGTAACATCTCTTAGTCACCCAGGCTGCTCTTTGGTTGGTTCCTGATGCCTGAAGTCTTTTTCTTCTGTGTACAGTTAGCCACCAAATTGTATCTTTGTTTTCACTTTCTTTAGTGTGCATCTATGTGTTTGCTCCTGCTCCCCATAGGCTCATAAGCTAAGTCAGGTCTGGGCTGCTGGAACAAACTGGTTTCTGGGCCAGCTCATCTGGGATGCAGCAGCTGAATTCATTTTCTACAGCATAAACATAAAAAACACAAAATGTGAGGAAATGCATTTATTTTACATGAGAGGTCTTCATTTTTTAAAAAGAGATAATCAGTATTTATTTTACTGTCATCGTAATTTTACATATTGAGTTTTTAACACCAAGTTAGAGTTATGGTCACAGATTATGGTGCAGATGTTATCATTAATAACTGATATTTTTGTGCTTTAAAATTTTTCAAAGCAATTGTCTATGCATTATCTCCTCTGGTGCATTTAGAGCATAATTTGACTTTCCAAAAAGAAGTATTAGCATACAATTTTTCAGAAATATATGAAATATACCTACTATAATTATACAAAGTGATAGATATGCATTATATATGAGTTTAGAAATATGGTCTTTATTACACCCTCTTAGGATCAAGAACAGGGTCAAAAATGAGCCCTCACTCTGAATTCAAACCCCTACCCTAGATTCATTTGTAAGCCTTGCCTTCCCATCAGGCTTCCTGTACCCTAATTAGGCCCCAATTCTCCTATATTCCTTCTGTACAATCATTTCATAATGGTTGCATCTAAGCTACTAGTTTAAGAATCTAGATAATAACACATCTTGTACAGAATCATTGATAATAGCTGCATATTTATAATCTACGCCGTGAATGTTTTCATCTTTAGAAACACAATAACATATTGCTCATACCAATTTTGAGTCCCCTCATGATCTTACTTTCTTCTTAACTGCTGATTTCTTCGTGCTGCCGTGGCTGTAGCATCGTCAAAACACTGTCTGGTTTATCCAGCACGTCCCCATGGGACTCGTCCTGTGCCTGCTGCTCTTATCGCCTCCGATTCCATCAATGCTCATTCACCTCATTCAGCATTTACTGCATTTAGGAAACATATCCAAATGTCTCTGCTTTTATCTGGTACATTCCACACAGTCCACAGTCCACACTTTCTGTTGGTCAGTACTTACCTTTGTGAAGGTTTTTGTAGGATGCCTTCTGCTTTTCCTCGGCTCTGGGGAGGTGACATTTCTGCTCATGGTGAGGGCTCCCAGTGGTTGTCCTGCTGTCTGGGGCTGATGCAGCCTCACCGACTCCTCTCTGCAAGTCCATCAGCGTCCTCGCCCCATCCAGGGGTGCAGTGGGGACCATGGACAGAAGATTGGCTCATGGACAGTGACACAGCTGGTTTGCCCCGGTTAGCACTGGCTTAGCTCACCAGTCACACATTGAGTCAATTATTTCAACATTTTAAAAAATTACAACTGCGGTTAACTATTTTGTTCTATTCAAAGTTGATGTGAAATGTTTATTAGGATAAAATTTTGATATCAGCTTTGATCTGGCCACTTTCGGCAGGAAACAGGTAAAAGATCTGGGCTTAGCTAATATTTTTTCTGAAGATAATAAGCCATTTATCAGCAAATCAAAAACTTAAATAAAAGGTGGATATGGTGTGGTTTGCAAATACCTTGCAAAAGAAGTGTTCATCCTCAGGAGCTGAATGGATTCTCCCTGCACAAACCAGGGCAGGGGGACAAGACATTCTCCTTACAGGTTAGCCTGGTATGTCCCAGAGCGTGCAAACCACGCAGTCTCCTCCATTTGCCTTAATGCATGTCCTCTTTGGTTAAATGCCATTTTATGGCTAAATGTTATTGTTCTTTGAAATTGTGAAATGTTAATGGAAATAAACCATTAATACCAAGTCAAAGTTATAGATGAAATCCTACTTCGTGCTTTAGAGATACAAACTTAGAGCATTTACCATTGACATGGGGTCTGGAGAGGCGGTGAAGAGGCAAGATGATAGAATTTAAGCATATGCTCTACAAATGTTTATCTTTCTATTGTTATAGAAATGCACGCTTATTATAGAAAATTTCAAAAGTAAAAATAGCATGAGAAAGTATAATAAATCACCTTCAACTGGTAACCTTGGGACAACCTCTGTCAATATTTTGCCTATCTTTCTCCAGTCTTTTTTTTCTATATAATTTTTTGTTTTTAAACGTAGTTGAGAATGAACAAATGTATTAATCCTGACAGGCAAAAATAGTGGGCCGAAATCAACAAAATAAATTCAAATAAGGACGAATGGAAATTCTAACATTTTGTTCAATTAAGTATTTTTACTAACACAAATGTAGGGAGGCCTGGCTCAACGTAAGTTTAAGTGAAGGATATCATGGCTTTTTAGCTGGTTGCAAATTGAATGTGGGGGGAGTCTTGCCAGTAAAATCTTAAAATTAATGGAGATATACCTAATGCTATATGACGAGTTAATGGGTGCGGCACACCACATGGCACATGTATACATATGCAACAAACCTGCACGTTGTGCACATGTACACTAAAACTTAAAGTATAATAAAATAAAATAAAAAAAAAGAAACATAAATGCTACATTAAAAAAAAAAAAAGGAAATACAGTGTCCTGGTCAAGGGAGGTAATCTAGGGCATTCTTGGAAAAAATTGTGAACACGTGTCCTGATATACGTACACAGGTTCAAAATTTTTTTGATTTTCACGTATTTTTGAATATGTGAAAATATTTTTGATTTTCACATATTTCTATAGTTTTATACATGTAACTGTAAAATGTGTCAGAAATATGACTCATGTCAAATATGTTACATGTGTGTACGATAAGTAAAAATGATAGTAAATAAAAGTTGTCATATTAATTTCCCATGTCTGGATTAATTTCTCACCCCTAGGGTGTTGTGTTGGGAATCGCTGACCTGAAAGAGTGTGCTTCGCTCTGCGCATCTCCAATATGTGCCTCTTCCTAGAGACTGGTGCCTGGGAAGATGAGGGGTCTGGGAACGGAGTCACTTGGGGACCTATGGGAGACTGGGCCTGCTCAGTCAACTCTGTTAGAGACTTGAGACCCCCATGAGCCACTGAATGTCCCACTGCAGTGATGCCAAAGACTCATCTCTTCCTTCTTGAATTTTTATCTGTTCTTGTGACCATGCCATGTGTGTGTACTGTGAAATTTATCACGTATCCTAGCCTTGCCAGAACTTGGGGAGGACTGTGTAGTCATTCTTGATATTAAAAGAACCAACTGCAAACATTACATAATTGTGAAGATGACCTCAATGAGTCTTATGCTCTGTGTGAACACTCCAATCCTATCACACCCTCATGATCTGGACATTTATTTTCTAAAATAACATTCTTCTGGCAGATTTAGGCACAATAAAGGTGGGAGGGTAGATGCATGCTCTGTCCAAGGGATGTAGCATCTGTACATTTCTATCTGTAACCGCACAAAGGGGAAGAGGCTTACAGTGCCTTTTGCTAGCATAGGGCTTGGAGATCTAGTACATCTATTGGGATTACAGGTTTGCAGTACCCCACAGCTACGGTTTCCTATCCAGTTCAAGTATAAGATGCTCTTTTGTATTTGAGCCAAAGGACTTTCTATCAATGGCTCTTGACTTGAGTAGATATGAAAGGCCTTTGATATTCTTAAAAGATATGTCTTGAGATCTTAATAAATATCAAAATTTTCTTATGCAATTACACATGGTTTTATCCAGGAAAAATATATGGTGGGCCGGTCAGAGGACAAAGCCCTGCTGAATTGTCACTTCACTTTTTTATTTTCTTTAACAGACAGAGTCTCATTCTGTTGCCCAGGCTCAAGTGTAGTGGTACGATCATAGCTCACTGCCGCCTTGAACTCTTGGGCTCAAGCAATCCTCCTGCCTCAGCCTCCAAAGCCCTGGGACTACAGGCATGAGTGACCGTGCCTGGCCCTACCTTGCTCTTCAGTACATACTGCACTTGCACCCAGGGACAAAAACTATGAAAAAAATGTGCAGTGTCACTAATCACCAGGGAAATGCAAATTAAAATGACAGTGAGATACCACCACCTTATTTCTGCAAGTATGGCCATTATTAAAAAGTCAAAAAAAAACCCAATAGATGTTGGCATCGATTTTGGGAAAAGAGGATGCTCACACACTGCTGGGAATGTAAATTAGTACAACCTTTATGGAAAACAGTATGGAGATTCCTTAAACAGCTAAAAGTAGATCTACCCTTTAATCCAGCAATCCCACCGCTGGGTGTCTACTCAAAGGAAAATAAGTGATGATATGAAAAAGACTCTTGCACACATATGTTCATCACAGCACAATTCACAATCGCAAAGATGTGGAACCAACCCAAGTATCCATTGACTAATGAGTGAATGAAGAAAATGTAGTATATATACACCATGGAATATTACTCAGTCATTAAAAGGAAGGAAATAATGCCTCTTAGAGCAACTTGAATGGAGCTAGAGGCAATTATTCTAAGTGAAGTGACACAGGAGTGGAAAACCAAAAGCTGTAAGTTCTCACTTATAAGTGGGAGCTAAGCCATGCATATGCAAAGGCATGCAGAATGATATCATGGACTTCAGAGGCTCAGAAAGGAGAGGGTGGGAGGGGGATGCAGGGATAACAAACTACACATTAGGTACAATGTACACGACTTGGGTGAGGGGTGCTCTGAAAGCTTAGAATTCACGACTATAAAATTCATCCATGTAGCAAAAAACTACTTGTACTCCAAAAGCTATTGAAATAATTTTTTTTTTTTTGAAAAAGAACTATTGCTTCCTGAGGCTGCCTCTCTTTCTCTTTAGTTCAGGACCTAGCACTAGCCAGTGGCTCGCTTTTTGGGTCATTTATTACTCTAGGAAGAGGAAAAGTTTAATCAGTTCACAAGAGCTGCTCATAAGTGTTGTGGAGAAGAGAATCAGCTGGGCTTTTGTGAATGGGGATATGGGTTGGTCAGCAGGCTTATTCTCAGGCAAATGATTTGCTCCAACATGCCAGCTTCCTACCTGGCATCAAAACAGGTCTCAGCAACATCACAAATTATCCTATGTCATGGACATGGGAAGTTAGGAAGAACAATTCAACTAGAATCTCGAATGAGGAGCAAATGTGACCGCTGTTATTTCTTCTTTGTTACTCGACATCCTGGGAATGTCCCCAGTTCCCTTGAGAATTAGTGGTCATACAGCAGCAAAGCTTCAGGTACCTTAAAGATAATCTTTTTATCCCATCTCATTCAGCAGAAGAGGACTTTGGGCCTCAAGGTTGTCATAACAAATCAGTGCAAGCACTCTAGCTCCACAATCCACTCATCTTCTGTTTCTTTATCTGTACGATGTCGTGATGGAAGAAGATTAGAGGTCATTTGTGTCACATGCTCGGAATGGATGAGACAGTCTATGGAAAAATGGCCCCTTCTAAAGCAGGATTTACACTAAGAATTCCTGAGTCCTGATGCTGGAGCTTCTTTGAAGACACAGCTAGGACAATAGCCCCTCTGTCCAAGCCTATGGGCCTTACCAGTGGCCACAGCCACGGGAAATGCTGTTCACACTGCTGATGACACAGTGGTACTGTCTTTCTAAAATCACCATTTTCCCACCTCAATTCTTTCTACATGGTCATTTTTGAAAACTCTAAATTCAGAGGGAATACTGCCATGTGTGAGTTATGCAAGTCGCACACATAATTTCCTTGCAGTGAGATATGAAAATAAAGTCTCTTTGTAATAAACAAAAAATATTATGCATAATTTCCCACTGGTCTTTTTTGTTAATTGGGCTCTTACTGTTGAAGCCTCTAATGTACAGAATAAATGAATAACTGGCTTTTATGCACAGCCTCCTTTCATTATGTACAAGGGCTCAAAATTTAAAGTGAGCTATTTTTAGATCTTACATTATGATATAAAGGATTGTTTATTGCTGGTAATGCAGGAAGCAAATTGCATTCCTGCTTCTGCCTGATTTCTCTGTGGTAGCTTATGCTGGCTTCCATTCTTGCTGATTCATTAATTACATCCAAAAAAGTCTCGAGTAAAGTCTGATCATTTTAAACAAGGAATGTGGTTCTCAAACAATTCTAGTACAATTCAAGTTCAAATTCTGCTTTGACCAATCAGGATAGTGGTCCTTAAATGAATCAAATTAAAATTCTCTTATGTGAGCCCTGCTGGGGTGAAACATAGGAAGTGAGATGTCATGTTAGGGGCAGGAGCAAAGTTCTCATTATGGCTTTTGCTTCAAAGGTTGGTTCTCTGCACCCTCTTTCTCAAATCCCTTCTGCCTCTCCAGCTTTTTCTCTCCTTTTCCTTCTCTGATTCATGATCCAACATTACGAATCTTTTTTAATGTGACAAAATGTCATGGTGCCTCACCTGATAGTTTTTGTTCTTTCAGGATCTGAGGCGGTAAACATAGAAATGACACAGAAAATAACGGTGAACTCAGCAACCTCTTAAAACTCATCACAATGATTCGTATATATCTTTCAAAAATCGTATAAACACATGAAGAATTCTTTTTTAGCTTATGGAACAATATGGACCCAAGACTATTCACAATAGGGTTTCATCTGCCCATAGGTTGAAAAACAATAAACTCATGATATGTAAGTTTTCATTCATTTATTCATTAACCTTTTGCTGGCTGCCAGTGATGTTCTGGGCATGAAACAAAACAAAGCAAAGCAAAACAAAACAAAACAAACAAACAACAGCAACAAAAAAAACAGACATGGAAGAAACAGTTCTTGCCCTTAGGTGGGCACACGTGAGCCAATAACAGACTCATCTTGGGAGGCTGGGCAGTGCTGTGCCCTGATTGGATTCCTTCTCCCAGGGATAAGTAGCTGTGTGACAATGGCATGTCAGTTTTCTCATTGATAAAATGGAGGTAACAGTAACAGCCTCCTTCACTGGGCTGTGGCAAGAATAAAATGAGTGACAGCATGTGGAGCATATGGAAGTGGCTGGGGCACACACATTCCATGGGGTTAGTACTGATGACTTGTACCCGGTGGCAAAGGTGTGGTCCAGGGGTTCCAGTCCCACCAGCCTGGGCGTGCACACAAGAACCTCGCCCTCCGTGCAATGCAGACACCTGCCCTCAGAAAAAACAGACTGCAAAAGTGCTGTCTTTGTCTTGTGAGCCTCAAGCCTTTGTCCAGGACAGGCTGGTTAACCTGGCAGCTAGGAGCAGAGGTTTATACCCGGACTCACGTGTGCATACGGATCACCTGTGGGTCTTGCTATGGCACAGGTGGCTGCCCTGCCCCAGAGCTTCTCATTCAGCGGGGCTGTGCATGCCTGAGAATCTACTTTTTAAACAAATTCCCAGGTGAGGTCACTGCTGCTGGTCCAGCGGCTGGCTAAACTTTAAGAACCACCGTGGACACTGCACCCCAGGCCACTGTGGGTCTCAGGGTTTTCCACAGAGGGGAATGTTTGACATCCTGCATCTTGAATGCTACTACTTCCTTAGGACACCAACATTTTACTGCCTCTGATGAGGGCTGACAGCTGCTGATTTACAAAGAGCCTTTGCATTTATTGAGGATGCTTGTTTCTTACCCAACCTTTCCTCTCCTGGATCTCTGTAGACAATTTATTTTTCTCTTATGTTACAGTATCATGATGATTGTGGTTATTGTCTTATAATTTCCTATTCTATCAATTTTATTTGCCTCTTTAAGTACTCTAGATTGAAGGAGTTGTTGGCTGATGGATCCAAGCCAGTCAACCCTCTCCTGTCGCCCCTGTCTGGCACCTCAGTGGCATTCATCCCCCTTAGAAGAGTTAATTCCCTCTACGTATTACTCAAGGTACAGGAAACAAGATTGGTGAAGTTAATAGTTTGATCAGGTAGGACTCAGAGCCTAATTTGTCTGGTCTGCAGTCCAGTGGTCAGTCTGAGAAGGTACAGGTGGCCCGTTCTTGTCTCCTTTCCACATCCTCCCAGCCCTCCTATCTCATGAGTATTCTAGAAGGCACAGCTGCTAACCTGAAAGGTCAGTGTTGTGGTCTTTGCCTGACATCCCTCAAGTGAAAAGAACACGCTCGGTGTTTGAAAACAATGAGATTTTTGTACACACACCAAAACACTTCCCCTGTCCAAAGAGTAGTTGGCCTCATTCGGTTGTGTTTCACGAGAAAGCGTAGTTATTTCTGGAGTTGGTGAAAGATCTTATTCAAAATCCCTGCAGAGTCGACATCAGCAAATATTTACCATCCATCCACTCCAGCACACTCTGTTCTTATGTACACCCTAGAACTACAAGTAGAGATACATATAGATACATTTTAACGAAGAAGTGACTGATAGGAACTGATTAGCTAAACTTGGAGTTGTTCCTGAACCACACTTTGATTTCCAAATGAGAGGTGGGAAAATGGAATTTGGGGGATCAGCAAAGCCCTCTGAATGGCCGGGTGTGCCCTGCATTTCGGGAAACCGCCAGCAGGTGGGAGAGAAGTGTGGCTCCCTCCCTACATCTGCCACGGAGAATGACATACATCATGTAGCAAAGCACGGGGCCTCCACGGAGAGCTGAACAGGCTGCTTTAGGATGCAGTAAGAGATTGCAGTCGGTAAGCACAGCGTGGTGATTTCAGGCAGGAACTCGGCACCCAGGCTTGCACCCTGCTTGCTGTACACCTGAAGCCATTTTGTCCCTCTGCCTGCTGGCCCACAGCCAAGGCTAATAGAGAAGCGTCCATTCATCCACATGCAGGTCTCCCCTGTCCTCTTTCTGTCTCCCTGAGCCTCCCCTCCTTCCAGTCCACCTGCTTATTTCAAAACAAGTTCAATTCTTCTCACTTCCCTTCTGTCCGTATTCCATCCTAGTCCCACCTTCATTAACATTTAAATATTGAATACCTGTAAAATAATACAGCTGCCTTTAGGAGTGAGGACATTGTGGCTGACTTTTTTATTTGTACCTGATTTGTGGTCAAATAGGATTGTTATAAAAGGACTCTGAACCAGCCAAAGACATCAAATAAATGCCAGCATCGGCAATTAAAATGCACCATGTTCTAGAGGCACCCAGCGGCGCTGCCCCAGTTAGGGCTCTGTCAGTGGCTCAATTATAACATCCCTTTTCAAGGTGGCTGGTCATTGTCACTCACTCCGTGCTGCGGCATAACTGGCCACAGTTTTGCATCCTCAGAGTTTTTTGAATTTTGTAAATGCTGGTATTTCTCTTTTAGAAACATGTGATTAAAAGTAGTTGTTTGTTCCTTTCTAGGAGCATGAGATGATTTAGGAATTATTTCTGAGAGGTGCATTGCGTTCCCATGCTCACACTGAGACCTGATTTTTCCTTCCTCCCTCCCCCTCTGGCTCCTTCCAGCTGCTCCTCCCTCTCCCCACATCTTTGAAAGCAAACCTGGAGCTAAAGCTTGCACAATTAGCATTGTTCAATGGCCTCACTATAGGGGCAGAATTTTTTTTTTTAATTTTGTGTGAAGTTCAACTTCATCACCGTTTTCCTTTCTGTAGAGTCTCATGGTAGAGATTTAAAGGATTTTTGACTCTACTAAATAGAGGACTGGTGAGATGTGAACAACTTTTCAGTCGGTCACAAACCCACATATTTTGTGGATATGATTATTTACTGCTTCCACCACATGTAATTTTTGGAAACACACAGATGGAAAATTTCTGTCTATATTCTCATCTGCTGCCCTTACAAATGGGGTAGAGATGTTTGGAGTCGGGTAGTTTGTCTTATACCTTCTCCATTTGATTTCCTGGGCCTCACACACCTGATTGTGAAGTTCCACATGCTGTATTTGTCTTCAATCAGACCTATCCCCTTGTGTTCTGTTTAGCTTCCTTTTCTCTTTTTACTGTCCAAGTATTTCTCCATACTCCAGCTATTTTCCTATTTCCTACTTTAAGGTTCATAGCAAAAGTCACCACCTGCATGAAGCTTTTTTTCTACCCCTATAGGGCAGATGTAATGGCCAACTTTCTCTATTAGGACATTTATCTATTAGAAATATTCATGCCTCCCTCTCTGAGAAGATGCATCTCCTTGGGTCAATGAGCTACGTGCATCACAGAAGTTTCACAGAAGACAGGCAGAATGATTTTACATGAAGAGAGAGAGAGAGAACAGAAACTTTCACAGATACATGACAGAAAAGAAAGTGGCCCAAAGAAAATAGATGTAGATACTTACAAGTAATGAACAAGGACCCCAGCTTGCAAAGCATGAAAGTACCTTATAAATCACGGAGTGCAGACCAGTCACCTGTTTTGCACTGGGTGGGGGCGGGCTCAGCAGAGCTGCCTGAGGGTGTCGCCCTCTTTGGTGCCCATCAGCATCCAGGCTCTGCTGCTTGTATTCTCGTCGTTTCTCTTTCCACAGGGTCCCGTGTGATCATCATTGTATCGGGGCCATGGGTACTATGGCCTATACCCTCAAGGATGTTAGTGCTGAACTGGTGGTAAGGAGGGTATGCATGGAGAAATATGCTGATCCACCAAGAGAAAGGACAGGCCTGGGGCCCCAGGGTACTGCCTGGATGGAGCAAACAGGAGGATGTCTATTCCAGCTGCAATTTGCATGACTTGCTGCTTTGTACACCTTGTCCATATGCTATGGTTTGGGTCTGTGTCTCCACCCAAATCTCAAGTCGAATTGTAATCCCCAGTGGTAGAGGTCAGGTCCAGGGAGAGGTGATTGGATCATGGGGTGAAGGTGTCATGAATGGTTTAGCACCATCTCCCTTTGGTACTGTATAGTGAGTGAGTTCTCGACATCAGATTGTTTAAAAGTGTATGACGCCTCCCCCACCACCTTCCTTCTGCTCTGGCCATGTAAGATGTGCCTGCTTCCCTTCACCTTCCCCCATGATTTCAAGTTTCCTGAGGCCTCCCCAGAAGCTTCTATGCTTCCTGTACAGCCTGCAGAACCGTGAGCCAATTAAATTTCTTCTCTTTATAAATTACCCAACCTCAGGTCTTTATAGCAGTGCAATAATGGACTAATATACTGTACTTCCCATAATCAAAATGGGTTCACGGGAAACAGCAATGATCAGCATATAGCTTTCCCTTTTAGGCCTAAAGTGTACATCCTGACCCCTGGTGGTGCACTTGGGACCAGGAGCATGGCCTGTTTGAATGGCTCTTCCATGTCTATCCCATATCAGGAAGCTGTCTGCAAACTAGGGGTCTGTTTGCCCAGTTATAATTCCCCCTCCCCTGACATTGATATAGCTATTGATACAGCCTTAAGTGCCAATCAATTAGTAAATACACAAACACAGTGCAATGGCCAGTATAGTTTGCAGGACAGTTCTGTCATATGCCTCAGTCTTCCCACTCATTAAATGGGTGGTTATGAAGATTAAATGAGTTAATATGTGTAAAGCTTTGGACACAGTGCCTGGCATATAGGAAAGGCTCATTGTATGTTAGATATGCTGGTGCTGCTGCTGGTAGAGAAGAAGGAAATGAAGAAGAAAAATAAGAAGGAAGACGGAGGAGAAAAGAAAGAGATGAAGAAGGAGAGAGAGGGAGAGAAGGAAGAGGAGAAAGAAGCAATGTGATATACTTTTATTTTTTGAGACACGGTCTCACTGTCACCCAGGGTTTCACTACATCAATGCCAGGGTAGAGTGCAGTGGTGTGATCATGGCTTACTGCAGCCTTGACCTCCTAGGCTCTAGCGATCCTCCCACCTCAGCTGAAAAAATTTCTTTTTCAGATTTTTCATTGTTGGCATATAAACATGCTACTGATTTTTGTATGTTGATTTTGTATCCTGAAACTTTATTGAATTTATTTATCAGTTTTAATAGTTTTCTTGTGGAATCTTTAGGTTTTTCCAAATATAAGGTCATATTTTCTGCAAACAAAGATAATTTGGCTTATTTCTTTCCAATTTGGATGCCTATTATGTCTTCCTCTTGTCTGACTGCTCTAGCTAGGACTTCCAGTACTATGTTGAATAGCAGTGGTGACAGTAGGCATCCTTGTCATGCTACAGATCTTAGAGAAAAGAATTGCAGTTTTCCCCTATTCAATATAATACTAGCTATGGGTCTGTCAAATATAGCTTTTTTGTGTTGAGGTATGTTCCTTCTACTCCCAGTTTTTTGAGGGTTTTTATCATGAAAAGACGTTTAATTTTATCAAATGCTTTTTCAGCATCAGTTGAAATGATCATATGATTTTTATCTTCTATTCTGTGATGTGATGTATCACATTGATTGATTTGCATATGTTGAACCATCCTTGAATCCCAGGGATAAATCCCACTTGGTCATGATGAATGATCTTTCTAATGTAATGGTGAATTCAGTTTGCTGGTATTTTGTTGAGGATTTTTGCATCAGTATTCATCAGAGATATTGGCCTGTAGTTTTCTTTTTCTTCTCTTTCTTTCTTTCTTTCTTTCTTTCTTTCTTTCTTTCTTTTTCTTTGTTTCTTTCTTTCTTTTTTCTTTCTTTCTTTCTGTCTCTCTCTTTCTTTCTCTTTCTCTTTCTTTCTTTCTTTCTTTCTTTCTTTCTTTCTTTCTTTCTTTCTTTCTTTCTTTCCTTCATGTGTCATTTTCTGGTTTTGGTAACAGGGTAATACTGACCTTATAGAATAAGTTTGAAAGTATTCCCTCCTTCTCTGTTTTTCAGAATAGTTTGAGCAGGTTTGGTATTAGTTCTTCTTAAATGTTTGGTAGATTCAGCAGTGAAGCCACCTCCTGGGCTTTTCTTCATTGGGAGAGATGGGGTTTCACTGTGTTAGCCAGGATGGTCTTGATCTCCTGACCTCGTGATCCACCACCTTGGCCTCCCAAAGTGCTGGGATTACAGGCATGAGCCACCATGCCTGGCCATATGTACTATCTCTTGAAAAGTTGTTGGAGTTATAATTTTGGATTGGTTCATTGTTTAGTTTTTCTACTAAGGATAAGAGCAGTTTATACAACACAGTCACAGTGTTATAATACTCTGTGTTTTTCTGTGTATTTACTATTCCCAGTGGGTTTTGTACCTTCATGTGATTATTTATTGCTCATGAATGTCCTTTTCCTTCTGATTGAAGTGTTCCCTTTGGCATTTCTTATGGGACAGGTCTGGTGTTGATGAAATCCTTCAGCTTTTGTTTGTCTGGGAAAGTCTTTATTTCTCCTTCATGTTTGAAGTATATTTTCACTGAATACACCATTCTAGGGTAAAAGTTTTCTTTTTCCCTTCAGTACTTTAAATGTGTCATGCCACCCTCTCCTGGTTTCCACTGAAGAGTCAAGCTGCCAGATGTATTGGAGCTCCATTGTATGCTGTTTGTTTCTTTTCTCTTTCTACTTTTAGGATCCTTTCTTTATCTTTGACGTTTGGGAATTTGATTAATTGTCTTTCTTTTTTTTTTTTTTTTGAGACGGAGTCTCTCTCTGTTGCCCAGGCTGGAGCGCAGTGGCACGATTTTGGCTCACTGCAAGCTCTGCCTCCTGGGTTCATGCCATTCTCCTGCCTCAGCATCCCGAGTAGCTGGGACTACAGGCGCCTGCCCCCACACCCAGCTAATTTTTTGTATTTTTAGTAGAGATGGGGTTTCACGGTGTTAACCAGGATGGTCTTGATCTCCTGACCTCGTGATCCACCCGTCTTGGCCTCCCAAAGTGCTGGGATTACAGGCGTGAGCCACCGCGCCCAGCCTGATTAATTATCTTGAGGTAGCCTTCTTTGGGTTAAATCTTCTTGGTGTTCTATAACCTTCTTGTACTTGAACGTAGATATCTTTTTCTAGGTTTGGGAAGTTCTTGTCATTATTCCTTTGAATAAACTTTCTACCCCTATCTCTTTCTCTAACTCCTCTTTAAGGCCAATAACACTTAGATTTGGTGGCAAAGCCAGCCAGGCCTCTGTCCTTCTTTTCAGGGCAGTGAGATTCCCCCAGGTCCCAGGTGGGTCCAGAAGTGACATCCAGCAGTCAGGGACTAGAACCAAAAACTTCAGAAGTCTACTGATTGTTCTACTGTACCGTGGCTGAGCTGGCATTCAAATGACAACACACAGTCCTTCCCACTCTTCTTTCCTTTTTCTAAAGGCAGAGGAGCTTCAGCCCATAGCCACTGCCAATTCTAGGCCACAAGGAGTACTGCCAGGCTATTGCCAATGTTCCCTTAAGACCCAAGGGCTCTTAAGTCATCTTGTGGTGAATTCTGCCTGGCCTAGAACTCACCTTTCAGAGAAATGGGCTCCCCTCTAGCCCAGGGAGGGTCTAGAAATGCTGTCTAAGAGTCAATTCCTGGAATCAGGGACCCCAAGAACCCACCTGGTGTTCTACCCAACTGTGGCCTTGCTGGTACTGAATGTGCTAGACAAAGTCCTCTTTACTTTTCCTTCTGCTTTTCTCAAGAAGAAGGAGTTTTGCCCCATTGCCACCACAGCTGGTAATGTGCTGAGGCTTACCTGAAGCCAGCAAATCTCAGAGGCTCACCCAAGACCCTGGATGTGATTCCTGGGTATCACTGTTGGTTATTCAGGGCCCGAGGGCTTTTCAGTTACAGGTGATAAATGCTGCCAGGACCGGATCCTTTCCTTCAAGGCAGCAGGTTCCCTTCTGGCCCAGGGTGTGTCTAGAAATGTCATCTAGGCACTAGGGCCTGGAACAAGGGCCTCATGGCTCTGACCCACACCCTATCCTGCTGTGATTGAGCTGGTATCCAAGATGCAAGACAAAGTCCTGCCCACACTTCCCTCTCCTCTTCTCAAGTGGAAGGAAGGGGTTTCTTTTGGAGCCGTGAGCCATATAGCCTGGGGTTAGGGGAGTGGTGATGCCAGCACTGCCTTGGATGCCCCAGCTGGAATCTCAGTAGGTCGTGTGCCCCTGCCCCAGTCCACTGTCTCCGGGCCTAGTTCAGCACTGGGACTCACCTAAGAGTTGCAGTCCTTATGGCCTAGATTGCCATTCAAGTTTACTTGGAGACACAGGGCACTTCGGCTGTCGTTGGTGAGGTCTGCAGGAAGTCAGTCTGGGGCTGCTAAGATTGGCGGTTTCCCTCTGGTTAGGGCTGGTTTAAATGCTCCCTCCATGGGCAGGTATCAGCTGAGTTTGGTCCCATTTCCTTTTCTTTTCTAACAGGCAGGATTCCTTGTGATGCTGGCTGCTTGGGTGAAAGGGGGATTTCCCTGGCATTTCCATTTCGGAAACTATAGGTAGTTCTCACCATGCTTTATGAGTCGTTCCTGATCATTGAAATAGTTACCGATGGGCTGTAAATCACATGCAATGGCTGAACAACACACAGCACCACAGAGCAAGGGTGAATCTTTTATGTGCCCAGCAGCTCATAAACCCAATCAGATTTTACTTGTTTCAGTTACTTTGGATCCCATAACTAATCTAGTCCTTCATTGAGATATAGTTCCAAGTTTTCGTCCTAGAGCAGGAATACTTGTGGGAAGGGGAGGAAGCAGCCTCTGGCAGTAGAAAGTTTTACTGTATAACAGAGAAGCAAGAAACTGCTTTATTCCAGTGCGCCTCTAAGAAAGAGCTCTGAGCCTGAACCTTTTGTCACAGGGTTACCATTGCACTCAGAAACTTTTGTATTTCTTTGTGCCTGGAAAAGGCCTTAGCAATCTTTAATTCCCAATACATTGTTGACGCTCAGTAAATGTGAAATAAATGCACATATAGTAGAGCTGAAAGAGGATCTTTAAGGAACTCTATCTTATCCCCTTAGCTTCTAGATAAAGAACACAAGCCCCTAAATTGGTTACCTGACTGCAGAGCAACTTGATGATGACAACTGGGCCTTGGGACTTTTTTTCCTTTTCCCCCTTTCCCAGGTAGACTATAGGACCTCCTAGAGTCCCGGCTAGAGGAAAGTCACTCCAAAGGATGGGTCAGGATGGCCAAGTCTCCTGAGTGCCTTTGGTGGCCCAGTCCTTGCATGGAAAAGCAGGAAGAGAGTTGAGCCAGACTCTATACTGTGGTAGTTGGTAGCAGGGAAGCAGGTGTCTATAGAAAGTTAAGCTGTAGGGTTTGCAGCAACATTCACAGTATCCTGTGTGTCCATGGGCCATTTCTCAACAAATGAGGGCATTGTAGCTCTCTGATGCTCCCAAAGAGAACATGCAGTCTTACTTGGGCCTCCATTTCTTCATCTGTGATGGGGAGGACAATGTCTGTCATTCATGGGGGCTCTTACGGATGTATGGCACTTTGATTAGTGGCTGGCACAGAGCAAGCATTTGGTAAATATTAGCTGTGTATCTGATGATTTGTAATGGAACAACTTGGTCAGCATATACCAGGATGGTGGAAACAGGCAGTCCTCCAAAGGATTGAGTTGGGAGAAATTCTCTTTGTGAAGGGCACTTGGAGGATGTTCCATATGTAAATGCTTGCAAATAGACTAGACGATCTCTCTCGGTGCCTCTAGGCCTCTCTGTTTATTACAATCAGTAAAATGTTTTAAAGAAAAAGAGAGCTTATGTTGCCCAGGGCTTTTTTTCCCCTATATTTTAATCAGTTGCAGTGGCAAATAAATGAGATGGTCTGTTCTCTAGTGTTAGAGATATTTTGCAGGCTAAAATATTTCCAACTTCTGATTTTCTAAAAAAAAAAAAAAAAAAGAAAGAAAGAAAGAAAAAGAAAAGGAAGAAAAAAACTCAAAAAACCTTTCTCTCAGTTTATATCCTCCTCCTTGGTAAAGCTAAATTTTAAATCACAGAGTTAGATCATCAATGTTCACTCAGAGGATTGTAGCAGAGTCATTAAATCTTATTACAAAGCGAAGTGCAGAAAGTAATTGCACATATTTGTAGGTAGCTTAGAATTGATTAAAAATGCATAAAGAAAAGCTGCAAAATTCTCTGCAGGCCCAAGGATGCTACCCCCTCAGGGAGACCTTACAGCTGCTCATTCTCTGAGTAACCTTCTTCGTTTCCCTGTGAACAGGCAGAAGGGCGGCCAACCTGGCACTCCAGCCTTTCTGAGCAGAGCGTGTGGCAGCCCAGACAGGTTGCTATGGTTCAGCAAGCCCAGGAGGAGTGGAATTCATATTTCTTTTGGGACGTATTAAGGAAAGCTCATCATCTTGAACTGACGGAATCTTACCCAGCTCAATGTTCTTACCTCAGAGGCTGCATTTTTGCAAGGTAGCATTTGCTACAAGGGTGGGCTGGAAGGTGAGAAATGGAGATAAGCTATTGGGGTGTTTCTGGAAGGAGGTTTTCGTCATATGCAAGTTGCAAGCATAGCAGGTTAGCTGACGTCTTTAGTGGGATTTCAGCATATTTCCAAGGAAATCCACTGGTGTTTACCTCTCCCATTTATGATCTCTTGGAAGTCACTTCCTTCAATAATCAATCAATCACTGTGACTGGAACATCAAGGTGAGAAATTACTTCATTTAACTTACATGTAATGAGTGCTTATTATGAGCCAGCTTTAGTTGTGAAGAACTAGCTCCTACCAGAAAGGAGTTCACATTATGAGAGAGAGAGGGAGACAGAATACAGGCACACCTCATTTAACTGTGCTTCACTTTATTGCACTTTGCAATTATGCTTTTTATAAATTGAAAGTTTGTGGCAACCTGGCATACAGCAAGTCTATAGGTACCATGCTTCCAAGAGCATGTGCTCACTTTTTGTCTCTGCATCATATTTTGGTATTTTTTGGTAATATATCAAACGTTATTATTATAATATACGTTATGGTGATCTGTGATCAGTGATCTTTAATGTTACTATTGTCATTGTTTTGGGGCACCACCTACTGCACCCACAGAAGATAGCAAACTTAATCTATACATGTGATGTGTGTTCTGACTGCTCCACCTACCAGCCATTCCCCTGTCTCCTTCCCCTTGGGCTTCCCTATTCCTTGCGACACAGTGATATTGAAATTAAGCCAATTAATAACCCTACAGTCGCCTCTAAGTGTTCAAGTGAAAGCATCTCAGGTCTCTCATTTTATTTATTTTATTTCATTTATTTATTTTTGAGACAGAGTCTCGCTCTATCACCCTGGCTGGAGTGCAGTGGTGCAATCTCTGTTCACTGCAAGCTCCACCTCCTGGGTTCACGCCATTCTCCTGCCTCAGCCTCCCGAATAGCTGGGACTACAGGTGCCCACCACCATGCCTGGCTAATTTTTTTGTGCGTGCGTGTTTTTAGTAGAGAGGAGGTTTCACCATGTTAGCCAGGGTGGTCTCGATCTCCTGACCTCGTGATCCACCTGCCTCGGCCTCCCAAAGTGCTGGGATTATAGGTGTGAGCCACCACGCCCGGCCAGGTCTCTCATTTTAAATAAAAAGCTAGACATGATTAAGGTTAGAGAGGAAGGCATGTTAAAAGCCAAGACAGGCTGAAAGCTAGGTCTCTTGCACCAAATAGCTAAATGGTGAATGTAAATGAAACGTTCTTGAAGGAAATTAAAAGTGCTACTCCAGTGAACATACAAGTGATAAGAAAGCAAAAGAGCATCATTGATGATACGGGGAAATTGTTAGTGGTTTAGATAGAAGATCAAACCAGCCACAAGATTCCCTTAAGTCAAAGCCTAATCCAGAGCAAGGCCCTAACTTCTTCAGTTTTATGAAGGCTGAGAGAGGTAAGGAAGCTGCAGAAGAAAAGCTAGAAGCTAGCAGGGGTCAGTTCATGAGGTTTAAGGAAAGAAGCTACGTGTATAACATAAAAGTGCAAAGTGAAGCAGCAAGTACCGATGGACAAGCTGCAGCAAATTATACAGAAGATTTAACTAAGATCATTGATGAAGGTGGCTACACCAAACAACAGATTTTTCAATGTAGATGAAATGGACTTTTATTGGAAGAAGAGGCTGTCTAGGATTTTCACAGCTAGAGAGGAAAAGTCTGTGGCTGGTTTTGAATCTTCAAAGGACAGGCTGATTTTTCTGTTATAGGCTAGCAAGAGAGGCAGCTGGTGACTTTTAGTGGAAGTCAATGCTCATTGACCATTCTGAAAATCCTAGGGCCCTTAAGAGTTATATGAAATGGACTGCCTGTCCTCTAAAAAATGGAACTGCAAAGCCTGGATTATAGCACAAGTGTTTATAGCATGATTTACTGAATATTTTATACCCACTGTCAAGACCTACTGCTTAGAATAATATATTCTTTTCAAAATATTACTGTTCACTGACAATGCATCTGGTCATCCAAAATCTCAGATGGAGATGCACAAGAAGATAAATGTTGTTTTCTTTTTTCTTTCTTTCTTTTTTTTTTTTTTAGACAGAGTCTCACTCTGTTACCCAGGCGGCGTGCAGTGGTGCAATCTCGGTTCACTGCAAGCTCCACCTCCTGAGTTCAAGTGATTCTCCTGCCTCAGCCTTCCAAATAGCTGGGACTACAGGTATGTGCCATGACGCCCAGCTAATTTTTGTATTTTTAGTAGAGATGGGGTTTCATCATGTTGGCCAGGATAGTCTCGATCTCCTGACCTCATGATCCACCCGCCTTGGCCTCCCAAAGTGCTGGGATTACAGGTGTGAGCCACCGCACCTGGCCTATAAATGTTGTTTTCATGTCTGCTAAGACAACATCCTTTCTGGAGCCCACGGATCAAGGAGTAATTTTAACTTTCAAGTCTTATTATTTAACAAATATATCTTATAAGGCAATAGTTGTAAAAGTTATTTATCTGATGAATCTGGGCAAAGTCAGTTGAAAACCTTCTGGAAATTATTCAACTTTCTAGGTGCCATTAAGAACACCTGTGATTCATGGGAGGAAATCAAAATATCAACATTAACAGGATTTTGGAAGAAGTTGATTCCAACCCTTATAGATGACTTTGAGGGGTTCTAGACTTGAGTGCAGGAGATAACTAAAGTCATGGTAGAAATAGTAAGAAAATTAGAATTAGAAGTGAAGCCTAAAGATGAGACTGAATTGCTGCACCGTGATGATAAAACTTGAACCAGTTGCTTTTTATGGATGAGCAAACAAAGTGGTTTCTTGAAATGGAACCTACACCTGGTGAAGATGCTGTGACTATTTTTGAAATGACAACAAAAGATTTCTAATATGACATAAGCTTAGTTGACAAAGCAGTGGCAGGGTTTGAGAGAATGGACTCCAAATTTGAAAGTTCTATTATGGGTCAAATGTTATCAGACAGCATGGCATGGATCAGAGAAATCTTTTGTGGAAGGAAGAGTCAATCGCTGAAGCAAACTTCATTGTTTTCTTACTTTAAGAAATTGTCACCTCTAGTCCAACCTTCAGTGACCACCAACCTGATCAGTTAGCAGCCATCCACGTTGAGACAGGACCCTCCCCCAGGAAAAATATTAGGACTCACAGAAGGGTCAGATGATTGTTTGCATTTTTTAGCATTTTAATAAAACATTTTAAAATTAAGGTATGCACATCATTCTTTTCACCATAAGGCTATTGCACACTCAAGAGACTATAGTATAGTGTGAACATAACTTTTATATGCACTGGGAAAGCAAAAAAAATTGTGTGCCTCCCTTTATTAAGGTGTTCACTTTATTGTGGTGGTCTGAAATGAAACCCCAAATATGTCCAAGGTATTCCTGTAGTGATAGATGCTATAATGGATATGTTTGCATGGTACTGCGGAAGCACAGAGGAGTTTTATTAGTTAGCTTATTAGGCTATTCTGTGGTAACAAGAAAAACCCCAGTCCTCAGTGGCTTTGAACATAAACCTACATTCCTTCCTCCCTCCCTTCCTCCCTCCCTCCCTCCTTTCCTTCCTTCCTTCCTTCTTTCCTTCCTTCCTTCCTTCCTTTCTTCCTTCTTCCTTCCTTCCTTCCTTCTTCCTTCCTTCCTTCCTTCTTTTATTCCTTCTCTTCTTCTCTCTTCCCCCGCAAACATTTATTGAGCACCTACTATGAGCCAGACATTGTACTGGGTGCTGGAAATACAACAGGTAACAGCCCCTGTTTCCAAGGAATTAGTGATCTGTACTCTAGATCTTCCCTTTTGAGTACATCCTCAAGGGAAGAATATTTGAACTATCTTTTCTTCCTTTTTTAATTTTTTTAAATACATGTGTTATTGAAATGTACATCACTAACCCTACAAATCCTAAACTAAACACACTTCTGTGAACAGCACCCAGATGTAAATAAAATATTTCACACTCCCAAAACCCCAATTTGTGCCCTCTCCCAATCGTTAATCCCCAAAGCAGTACTATACACTATTTTTAAAAAGTGTTTGACCTTTATAAATAAAAGCATACCTTTTACCAAAGAGGATTACAATGAAATACCCATAAAAATGGCTTCTTCTGCCCAACCTTGTTTGTGAGATTCGTCTGTGTTGTGATAGAAGTAGTTTCTTTTTATTGCTGTGTAATATTTCATTGCATAGATACACCCCAAGATACTTACAATCTACTGTTGATGGACAATTGAGTTGTTTCTTATTTTGACTATTAGACACAGTTCTGGTATAAAGATCTTAGATGTGAAATTTCTAGATTAGGGATAAGCATATGTTTAGCTTTATTAGAAATTGCCAGTTACACAAGGGAGTTTTACCAGTTCAAATTCTATCCAGGAGGTTGTCAGAGTTCCAGTTGTTCCATGGCCTTCTCAACACTTAGGAATGTCATTTTTTTTATTTTAGTTATTCATGTAGGTATCTCATTGTGGTTTTTGCTTGCATTTCTCTGATGGATAATAAAGTTGATGATCTCATTTTCTTATTGACCACTTGTACCCGTGATTGTGAATGACCTCTCCTGCCTGTTTTTCTATTAACTTGTTGGTCTTTTTTCTTCTTAATTGGCAAATGTATTTTCTTGCTTATAAGTTCTACTGCAGACCCAATAGCTCTCCAGGGTAGCTCCCTTGCACATGGAGACTCAGGGATCTAAGTTACCTGCATCTTATGGTTACTCTAATGAAATCACATGGCTTCCAAGTCAGTAGGTCCAGGGAAGAAACAGCTGGAAGGTCTTGTACTAGCAGTTAATTGCATTGGCCTGGCAGTTACTCACACCACTTCTGCTCCTAACTGAATGGGCAGAAGTAGCCAGATGTCCCCACTTAAAGGGAGGGGATTGGAAAGTGTGGAGGAGCAGGTGAATAGTCAGTGATTGGTAAATGTCTCATCATAGGAGGAATTACCCATCTCTGCTTGAGGAGATAAAGAAGGTAAGAAAAGTGACAAATTAGCAGGACACATGCTGGTTTAGCTGAGTCTGGAAAAATGGGTATGCGTTGCTGAAAAAAACAGAATGGCACAAGGACAGAAAAGAAGAGGAGGTGACATTCCAGGGATAGAAGCCTTAAAATCTGGGCAAGCAGAATGAATTCACAGCTTTTAAATTAGTCAAGGGAAATCTGACAGAGGTGTTTGTCTCGTGCTGGGTCTTGAGAGAGATGCAGGAAGCTCTGGCATTAGCCAGTATTTATTTCACAATATCCAAAGTTCTCATTTCTGTAAACATATGAACATTAAGAAAAAGACTGCTCCATATGGAGAGATTGTGAGACTTTTTCTTGAAATGCAAAATATCCAGTATTGTGTAACAACGCAATACTCTTGGGTCCAAGGCTACCAGTAGTTGTGGTTGTGATATTTGTAGCCAAATTGGAATGTTGCACTAAAAGCCATACTTGGGGGCACTCAGGTATATTTACTCATTTCTTAAAATCAGTATACAGTCAAATGTACAGTTACAACATGTTGATAAATGTCTGTTATTTCTATCAGAACATAAATTATCTGGGGGCAAGAACCAAATCCTACTGTCTTGTAAATTCCTGAGTTAGTCAAGCACTGTACTTTGAACAAAGTGATACCCAAGAAAATGTCATTGAATGGAATTTTCTTATTTTAGTTGAATCTTTTGAATAATTAACTAAATGAAATTCTTCTTTGGGAAGTTGATTCCTTCAGAAAGTGGCTTCCAGTTTAGAATGAGAGGTGGAACGTATGTGTTTTTATCTCTTCCTCTGAAGTTGCTATTATAAGGAAAGTAAGAGAATAAAAAATGTATTCTCTTTCAACCAGAAAGAGAATCGGAGGAGACCTGCCAATGAATGACAGCTTTCTAGGTATTTTCTTTTTTTTTTTTTTTTTTTTTTTTTTGAGACGGAGTCTCGCTCTGTCGCCCAGGCTGGAGTGCAGTGGCGGGATCTCGGCTCACTGCAAGCTCCGCCTCCCGGGTTCACGCCATTCTCCTGCCTCAGCCTCCCAAGTAGCTGGGACTACAGGCGCCCGCCACTACGCCCGGCTAATTTTTTTGTATTTTTAGTAGAGACGGGGTTTCACCGTTTTAGCCGGGATGGTCTCGATCTCTTGACCTCGTGATCCGCCCGCCTCGGCCTCCCAAAGTGCTGGGATTACAGGCGTGAGCCACCGCGCCCGGCCTCTAGGTATTTTCTAAAGACAAAACTGTGTAGAGTGATGGTGAATGACGAATCATGGAAAGGAAGACCCTCAACTCTGCAGCTGTCTATGTGCTCAGTAGAATCCCATGGAGGCCCTGAATTCAGAACACTTTTGAAGGTAGGCGTGTGATGTAGGAGGATTAACCAAGAGTAAACAGACAACCTATCAAATGGGAGAAAATATTTCCAAACTATGCATCCAACAAAAGTCCAATATCCAGAATCTATAAGGAACTCAAGCATGTCAACAAGCAGAAAACAAACAATCTCATTTTGGAATGGGCAAAGGACATGAACAGACACTTCTCAAAAGAAGACACAACGTGGGCAAGAATCATGTGAAAAAATGCTCAGTATCACTAATCATTAGGGAGATGCAAATAAAAACCAAAATGAGAACCATCTCACACCAGTCAGAATGGCTCTCATTTAAAAAACTAAAAAATAACAGATGCTGGCAAGGTTGCAGAGTAAAGGGACTTATACGTTGCTGGTGGGAATGTAAATTAGTTCAGCCTCTGTGGAAAGCTGTCTGGAGATTTCTCAAAGAACTTAAAACAGAACTACTATTTAACCCAGCAATTCTATTATTGGATACATACCCAAAGGAATATAAATTGTTTTCCCACAAAGACACATGAATGCATATGTTTATAAAAGCACTATTTACAAGAGCAAAGGCATAACATCAATCTAGATGCCCATCAATGGTGGACTGGATAAAGAAAATGTGGTATCTATATACCACTGAATACTACACAGCTATAAAAAAATGAGATCATGTCCTTTGTTGCAACATGAATGGAGCTGGAGGCCATAAACCTAAGTGAATTAACACAGAAACAGTAAACCAAATGCTGCATGTTCTTACTTATAAGTGGGAGCTAAATATTGAATATACATGGACACAAAGAAGGGAACAATAGACACTGGCGCTTATTTGAGGGTGGAGGGTGAGGAAAAGTAAGAATTGAAAAACTGTTGGGTACTATGTTGATTACTTGGGTGACAAAATTATCTCTACACCAAATCCCTGCAACAAGCAATTGAGCCATGTAACAAATCTGCGCCATGTGCCCCTTGAACCTAAAAGTCGGAAAGAAAGAAAAAAGGGTTGAGCCATGACAAAATCTTTCCTACCCTATGAGCACAGTACAGCCAATAAGCAGATGTTTACCCTCAGGCAAAAAAGCAAAGGTTTCTCCACTAAACAAATAAAGTTGTCTGTGGAGTGGCAGAGTAGCTAATGAGTACTGGTGTCCCCAGGCTCTGAATTCTGGGGCCCTAGGGGTTCAGCTGATTTCTATCCTGTTCATGCTGGAGTGAAACCTTCCCAGAAAGTGCCTCATTTACAGACACGAAGCTCACAGCCTTGCAATTGCTGTATTTTAAAATAGAAATGGACAATTGGGTAACAGGCATTTGAGGAGTCTGCAATGTAAAGAAAAAACACCAAGGTAAACAAGCAGAAGAAAATGACCCAGGAGGAAGCAAATAATTCAGGGAATAAAAATGTACTTTAAAAAAATCCTAATTGATGTCCTCAGAGAGATTTGAGAAGACATAAAATTGATAATACATAAATAAGATGTTAAAGACTATCAGAGAACAAGAAAGATCTCTTGGAAAGAAAAAAAAAGATATGCAAACTACAAAATTCAACAGAAGGTTTAACAATGAAAGTTGGGGGAATTTCTTATCAAGTGGGACAACAAAACCAAACAAAAAGGAATAGAAACATATGCAAGAAACTGAGAGATAATAAAAGTCTATTTACAAGGTCAACATACAGTTAACAGAAATTCCAGAAAGTGAGACCAAAGCAAACACAAGGGAACCAGTTTTTGAAGGCATATTAGAAGGTTATTTTCTACGGCTGAAGAAGGAACATGTCCTTGAACTGAAATGGCCCTTTGATCCTGGCATCATGCATGAGAAAGACCACATTGAGACACATCATTACAAAGGTTCAGAATACATCAATTAATAAAATATTCAGAAAGCCTCTGTAGAGTAAGAACTGTTCATTTACAAAGGATAAGAGTCAAGCTGGCTGAAAAATTCTAACCAGCAATACTTAATGTTACAAGACTGAGAGGGATGTCTTCCAAGTTCTGAGGCAAATGATTTTCAGCTTGGAATTGTATATGCAACAAAATTACCAACTAGCTGTGAAGACAGATTATGCAAGAACCCAGAGGTTTTATTTCCTTGGCAACCTTTGTGACAAAGCTATTTAAAGACATGCTCCAGCAAAACAAGGGAGTGAACCAAGAAAGGAGGACTTAAAGTCCAGTAAGAGTATCAGAGGCTTTTGAACCAGAGCAACTCCATCTTGAGTAAGGGCTGGGTAAAATAAGGCTGAGACCTATTGGGCTGCATTCCCAGATGGTTAGGGCATTCTATGTCACAGGATGAGACAAGAGGTGGGCACAAGATACAGATCATAAAGATCTTGCTGATAAAACAGGATGCAGTAAAGAAGCCGGCTAAAACCCACCAAAACCAAGATGGCCACGAGAGTGACCTCTGGTTGTCCTCACTGCTACACTCCCATCAGCACCACGACAATTTACAAATGCCATAGCAATGTCAGAAAGTTACCTTATATGGTCTAAAAAGGGGGCATGAATAATCTACCTCTTGTTTAGCACATAACCAAGAAATAACCACAAAAATGGGCAGCCCTTGGGGCTGCTCTGTCTATGGAGTAGCCATTCTTTATTCCTTTTCTTTCTTAATAACCTTGCTTTCACTTTACTCTAGGGACTCACCCTGAATTCTTCCTTGCACGAGATCCAAGAACCCTCTCTGGGGGTCTGGATCAGGACCCTTTCCTGTAACAAGAGTAGATTGTATCCAGGAGGATAGCTCTGAAACAGAATTAGAGAGGGATTAGGTTAGAGCAAAAGGACTCCATAAAGATGGGAAAAGGAAGAAAAACAATTTCATGTATTTGAAAATGTCCTTAAATATTACATGGTGGTAAGGATATGACAAAGGCAGACATTACAAGATAGATATAGATAGATAGATAGATAATTAAATACTCCAAGAAAAACAAAATGTATGCAAAATGAAATTAATTATCACTTCATTTTTTATGTTATTTATTTCCATCTGAACCTAAGGACAAAGCAAAATTGTGTTTACAGAACAAAATGCATGTACTGCAAACCTTGGCCATGAAAAAAACAAAAGTATGAAGGGAAATGAAAGGAGACATGAAGGAAAGAGATGGGCGTTCATATACTCATTTTAAGAAGAAGAAAGTCATGAGATACTGTCCATAGTTGATCAAATAGATAAATTATAAAAACGGTAAAGGAACAAGCATCCATGATATAACTATATTGGGAGGAAAGAAGAAAAATAATTTAAAATGCTTTTGTGAATTTAGTCCTCATCTCTTGTTGCAGGCAATAATGCCTAAATTTGATAATTAAAGACATACAAAATTGAGGTTGTTACTTAGAAATAACTCTGTAAAGAACTAAATATGGGCAGATTTTTAAAAGTTAGGTTAATTTTTTTTGTAGGCAGGTTTAGGGATAAGAAGGAGTTGAGTAGATACTCTTGCTTTTTACTATAGACTTATTGATATTGATACTATTTGACATTTTACACATGTGCATTTATTACTCCGGGAAAAAAAAGTTAAATTCTCACCAAAAGTGGTTCTCCTTTGCTTTTAGATATGTGCATCTCTTCCCAGTTTGGAACTTTTAGCAGAAGTTAAAGCCTTTGATTTTTTCCAAAAGAGTGAATACCATATCTGATATAATTAGGCTTTGCGTTGCCGCCCAAATCTCATCTTAAATTGTAATCCCCATAATCCCCACGTGTCAAAGGAGAGATCAGGTGGAAGTCATTGAATCATGGGGGCAGTTTCTCCCATGCTGTTCTCATGATAGTGAGTGAGTTCTCATGGGATCTGATGGTTTTATAAGGGGCTCTTCCCTCTTCCCTAAGCACTTATCTCTCCTGCCGCATTGTGAAGAAGGTACCTTCCTGCCCTTTGCCTTCTGCCATGATTGTAAGTTTCCTGAGGCCACCCCACTCATACAAAATTGTAAGTCAATTAAACCTCTTTCCTTTATAAATTACCCAGCCTTGGGAAGTTCCTTAGAGCAGTGTGAGAATGGACTAATACAACATCTCTCAAAGGACAGCTAGGCTTGCAGCCTAGAATAAGACTTTTCTGTTTAGAACTTTATATCTAAGAGAATTCTGTGCAAGATTCAATTCAAAAACTTTTAAGTGCATGCATAGCCTCTTAGACACTTCTGGAAAGGTATCCCAGTTGAGTGCATTGAGGAAACCTGTGGCTACATCTTGTAGTCAAGGGGAGGCAGAGAGCTGAGCATGTTCCCATGTGGTGATCACTCAATCCACTTTCCTAGTTAAGCTGAATTACTCAAAGCAAAAATGGTTTTCTGACTTTTTCTCTGGAGTAACTTGCAAAACAAATGGGCCAAATCCTTCACTCTCTGTTATGCACATACTTTTGAGTGTGACTTTGTAGCTTCTCTCATTAAGAGGTGGAGTCTACTTCCCCATATCTTGAATCTGTGTGGGCCTTGTGACTTGCTTTGACCCATAGAATGTGGCAGCCACCGTCATAGTACTTGAGAGCCAAGCATAAACCTCAAGAGAACTTGCTTATCTCCAGTGGTTCTGGAGTCCTGTAGCTTTCATGCTACAGGCCAGCCTGCTACAGGATGAGAGATCATGTGGAGCAGAGGTGACTCATTCCTGCTGAGGCCATTTTATATGAGCCAGTCCCCAACCAAACCAGAAGCTGACATGCAGATGCACAAGTGAGCCCAGCCGAGATCAGATGAGCCCAGCCCCACCTAATCATGAGTTAAATAACTGAATGTTGTTTTAAGCCACTGCATCCTTGGGTAATTTGTTACAAAGCAGCAGCTAACTGCTATACTTACTTATATTTTATATATATGTATATTATATATGTGTGTATATATACATATAAAATATATAAAATATATGTACATAAAATATATGTATATTATATATGTGTATATATATACATATAAAATATATGTATATTTTATATATATACATATATATAAATTTTGAGAATCATACATGCCAGATTGCCTAAGGATGAGGGAGGGTAATGAGTGTGATTATTTTGTCTTTATTTTCTAGTTTTATATATATTTGTCTTTATTTTCTAGTTTTATATATTTACATATATGTCTTTATTTTCTAGTTTTTTATATGTATTTATATATACTTTATATATATATCTTTTTATATATATTTATATATATATTTATATATTTTTTATATATTTTTTAATATATATATTTTATATATATACCAACACACAAATAAGCTGCTTTTTCACCTTTTCATGTGCATATTGTTCTACACATTGTCAATATCTGCAATCATTTGACATTCATTATTATTTTTGATCCATTCCCTAGTGTGCTATTATTTACCGTATTTAGTTTTCCAATGTGAGAAATGAATTAGATAATATTACAACAATGTAAAGAATGATCCAGCCCCCAAATTCACCTTTGACATCAAGTATCCAGATGAGAAGGGAGGGGAAAAAGACAGTCTAGTGTGAATGTGCATGCATGTGGTGAGGAAGAGCGAGCTTTCTTAGAAAGGCATTTTATTCACCCTTTCCTCTAGCTCCAGATCTAACTGCCAGTTCTCAGGGAGCATGTTGTTCTCTGGGACCTGGAGGTGGGGCCAGAGGGAGGTGCCTACCAGACTGTATTGTGCTGTTCACACTCCAAAAGCTCAGCAATTGGGCTTTCCTCTAAATGAGGTGCTATTAAATGAACTCTGTGCCCCTCAGCCGGGATCCGCATGCCATTTCTCCCTAGTAACAGAGCAAACAAGTCTTAATGAAAAATCATGACCTCAGCAGAGCCTGTAAGCACCGGGCTGCTGTTGAGACTTTGTAACCGATGGGCAGCGGTTACACGGTTTCACTCACTAAAACCGTGAGGCTGTTGCTGGATGAGGCCACAGGTTTCCATAGCAACAGAAGTGATGGCAAGCCCTGGGGACTAGGGGTCATGTGAGGTTCATGTGGGGAAGAGGAGGATTCACGTGGCTAAGGGGGAGGAGAGACTCCTGGCACTTTCTGCATTAAAAGGGAGGCCGGCGCTGGGCGAAACCGTGAGGTTGGGAAGCTTGTCTTCCACGGCTTCCTCCTACTCTTCTGTTCTCCCTTCTTTTCCTTTCTAAATCCTGCCCTGCTTGGGCTGCTCAGGAATCCCCACTTGGCACCTGGACCTGGACACAGCCCATGGAGCAAGCCTGTCCACGCCTCCTTAGCTGTCTCTGCCCTGCTACTTTGCAACCTCTTTACGGATTGATGGTGCTGAACTGGAAGTACCACTGTGTGAAAGACCTGGAGGGCAAATATTTTCCTTGACAATTTTTATGCTGGACCAAGAGATCTCCACAGATAGTATACTTCCCCTCAGGACTGGCATGTAGGTTATCTGGAGAGTCCAGGTCTAGTCTTGATTGCTAGTAAATGTGTTGAGAATTATGGGACTGGGGCCAGGTTGGGCCAGTGGGGCACTGTGATCAGCTGGTGATGTCTGCCAGTGTGCAGAAGAGAAGCCGGTGATGGTGAGCAGGTTACCTGCTAACTTCCTTCAACCCAATTGTGAAACACCAGACAGGAGGGAGGCTGGGGGTAGAAATAGCATATAGTTGAGCTCCTTCACGTTCTGCTTGCATGTGAGGCGTTCTTGTTTCTATACCACTGTAAACACTCTTCTCTTACAAGACGTTCTTGCACCATCTACGTCCTGGGGCATATTGACCCATCAGATGATGTGGGAGAAAAACTATGTGTCTCTACAACTCATGTCTACTCACATTTTGAGTCTGAAAAGGTGGATTTTTCCTATTTCTAGTCATCTCGATCACTTCCTCAAGTCTTACCTTAAGAGAGTATGTTCTAGACCTTGGTTCCTGCGGGGAAAACATCTCCTCTTGCTTTAGCAGCCTCCAGTTAGAGAAAATTCACAGTTTTGTTCACTCTTCAAGGTCCACTTCTGATTTGCATTGATATTTGGAAGATAGGACCACGTGTTTCCCCCCAATTAGACTTAATGTGTGACTTCCAGAATATGGTCTGTTAGAAGCTTAAATGTTATCCTCAAGTTTAGTTTCTATTTTTCTATGCCTTTGCCAAAATGGAGCATGGGCCTGACAAATGGCATTCCTATTTCAAAAACATATTGTTTGGAATGAGCTACTGAAAGGCTGAGAAGAGGTAACCAACCTTGCTGGTGGGTGGGGAAAGGCCATTTCTTGTATTTCTAAATGTCAGTGACCGTCAGCCCACATGAAGGAGGCCGCTGATGCCACTGAGGGTGGTCAGGGTCCTTGTACCTTTCCTTTGTGTCCTCAAGTATGTCAGTTTCCTATTGCTGTTGTGAAAAATTTCCACAAACCCAGTGGCTTAAAAAATATGCATTATGGCTGTGCTTGGTGGCTTACGCCTGTAATCCTAGCACTTTGGGAGGCTGAGGAGGGCAGATCATTTGAGCTCAGGAGTTCGAGACCAGCCTGGCCAACATCATGAGACCCCATCTCTACTAAAAATACAAAAATTAGCTGGGTGTGGTGGTGCGTGCCTGTAATCCCAGCTACTAGGGAGGCTGAGGCAGGAGAATCACTTGAACCCAAGAGGTGGAGGCTGCAGTGAGCCAAGATCGCATCATTGCACTCCAGCCTGGGAGACAGAGTGAGACTCCATCTCTCTCTCTCTCTCTCTCTCTCTCTCTCTCTCTCTCTCTATATATATATATATATATATATATATATATATATATATGTGCATATATGCATTTACTCTCTTAGTTTTAGAAGTCAGTAGTCCTAAAATCAAGGTATCAGCAGAACTGCCTTCCTTCTGATGTATCCAGGGGAGAATCTGTTTTTTTTCTACTTTTCCAGCTTCTAGAAGCCATCTGCATTCCTTGGCTTTGTCCTCTTCCTCCATCTTTAAAGCCAGCAGGGTAGCATCCTCCAATCTCTCTCTCTCTCTGTGACTCTGACCTCTGCTTCATTGTCACATCTCCTCTCTGTGTTTCTGACCCTCCTTTCTCCCTCTTGTAATGGTCATTGTGATTATATTGGTCCAATTCACATGATCCAAGATAATTTCCCCATCTCAAGATCCTTAATCTCATCGGCAGATTCACTTTTGCCTAACGTGGTAACATATTCACAGGTTCCAGGGATTATAATGTGGGCATCTTTCTTTAGGGAGGTGTGATTTTGCCCACCACATTGAGGATCAGGACTTGTTTCCTGTGGCCTGATCCCAGTGGGGCTGGGAAACCTGGCAGAGATGTTGCCTATTCTGGGCTATTAGTGGCTAAGCTACTGAGTAAATTGAATGACCTATGGTCACCTTGCCATGAATTGAAAGACATATGGTCACCTTGAAGAAAAGAGTAACAAAAACCTTGTGTATTTTAAAAGAGAATAAAGACAATCAATTCTGTAACTAAAAAGTAAATAATTTTCATCCCCAATACTAGCAATGGCCCTCCATGAATTAAGGCAACTCGATCTTTATAAGCATTATCAACACTCTCACAACAGCCTCTTCAAACAGGCAAGTTTTCCAAAATTACAGTCCATGTGGCATTTGCATCAGCAGCTGTCTCTCCTGCTACAAAGGAAGCTGCTTTTGTCTTGATGTGAGCCAAGCAATGCTTGCTTTTCTGTTTTATTTTTTTCCCCCCAGAATTCCTTCTCTGATATTAGGAGGTCTTCTCTGGGAGTTCAGTGAACTGGTCAAAGCTGAGAGATGCACCTGCTGACTTTGTGCTCTTGTCTGCTGTTTCCTTTCCGCTTAAGCCACTTTCAACAAAACAGTGAGAGAGGTTTGATTACCTTCGGAAGTAGCTGGCTCAGGCATGCAATCAGGGCTTAATTGGAAACCCTGAGTGCCAAGTCTGACCCCTCAGATGAGCATATTCCTTCCAGGGGGAAGGATAAGTGTATATTTCTTTGTAGGGGGTCTCTTGAAGCCCCTCTGCACTTAATAACTGAAATCAAAGGCTCCCTGAATGAGCCCATCTAGGCAATAGAAACTCTTTCATCTGCATAACACAATTTCAAGCAACTCCCAGTGAACACAATTCATCTCTTTAAAAGACACTGAGAGTCGAGCATGGTGGTGCATGCCTGTCATCCTTGCTACTTGGGAGGCAGAGGCAGAGGCAGACGATTGCTTGAGCCCAGAAGATTAAGGCTGTAGTGAGCTATGACCATGCCACTGCATTCCAGCCTGGGTGTCAGAGTAGGACCCCATTTCTTAAAAACAAAAACAAAAACAAAAAAGATACTAAGGGAGAGAGAAGAAATTTCATTTTGAGTATCCTACCCAGAGCTATCAGCACCAGGGCTCAGCAGGCCATTGAGGTGGAGATAGACCAGTCCTCTCGGGCAGGACAGGTGAGACTGAGTCACAGTTTGTAACAAATGTGCAGGAGGTGCACATTCTGGCTGTCTTCACTCAGGGAGGACTTAAGTTCTTGTTGTCCCTGGGTTTCATAGCTTCAGGTCTGGGCAGAGGTCTGTATCTTCTGCCATCATGCATTACTTTCATCTTTATTAGAACTTCGTAAGTATGGAATCATCCAATATGTGTTCCTTGAGCCTATGTTTGCTTAGTAAGTGTTTATAAGATTCATTTAAGCTGTTGCTTGTATCAACAGTTCATACCCTTTCTCCTTCCTTCCTTTCTTCTTTCCTTCCTTTCTTTCTTTCTTTCTTCTTTCTTTCCTTTCTTTCCTTCTTTCCCTTTCTTTCTTTCTCTCTCTTTCTTTTTCTCTCTCTTCCTGCCTTTCCTTCCTTCCCTCCTTTCTTTCTTCCTTCCCTCCTTTCTTTCTTTCTTTCTTTCTTTCTTTCTTTCTTTCTTTCTTCCTTCCTTCCTTCCTTCCTTCCTTCCTTCCTTTCTTTCTTTTCTCTCTCTCTTCCTTCCTTCCTTTCCTTCCTTCCCTTCCCCTCCCCTCCCCTTCTCCTCCCTTCTTCCTTCCTTCCATTTTTCTTTCTTTTTAAACTGAGTTATATTTCCATTGCGTGTATGTGTCGTCATTGGTTTATCTGTTCTCTTGTACATTTGGTTTGTTTCAGTGCCTGGCTATTATGAATAAAGCTGCCATGAACATCCATGTACAAGTCTTCATGGAGTTATACATTTTTATTCCTTTTGGGTAAATTCTTAGGAGTGGAATTGGGGGTCATATGATAAGTATATGTTTAACTTTGTAAGAAACTGCTAAACTTTTTTCAAAAGTGTTAGAACAATGTTACTTTCTCCCCAGCAATGTATGAGACCTTCAAATATTCCACATTCTTGCCAGTATTTGCTATTGTCTGTCTTTTTTGCTATAGCCATTCTTCTGGCTTCCTAGATATTTTTTAGTTTTGCTCTTAAAATAGTTTTCTTGGTTGCTCTAGCATTTGAAATATTCATCTTCAACTCATCCAAGTCTATTTTTAAATGATATTATGCCATAATTTAAGAAACTCATAGCAATATATACATTTTCTCTCTCTCATTGTTTGTGCTATTGTTCTTATATATATTACTTCTAAATGTGATAAACTCTAGAATACATTGCCACTACTTTTGTTTTAAACAGCTATTTTTTAAAGAAATTAAAATATAAGACAAATCTATTTTACATTCACCCACATATTGATAATTTCTGGTGCTGTTCATTTCTTTGTGTAGAGATTTCCATGTGGTCCTGTTTTTATTCTACCTGAATAACTTTCTTTAACATGTCTTCTTCTGTGGTCTGCTGGAGATGAAATGTCTTGTTTTTCTTTTTTTGTCCTGAAACACTTTTATTTTACCTTACTATTGGAAACATCTGTGCTGCGTATAATTAATTTCTGAGATGTCACTTTTGTTTTGATTTGTACTTTAATGATGTTGATTCATTATCCTCTGGCTTGCTTGGTTTCTGCCAATATATCAGGTCCTTTTTCTTACCTTTGTTTCTTAATAATATACTCTGTGTTTCTTTGGCTGGTTTTCAACTTTTCTCATTATCGTCAGTTTTTAGCAGTTTGCTTATGATATACCTTGGTGTGGCTTTTTTTCGTGTTTATCCTAATGTGGGTTTAAAAAAATTTTTAGAGATTGTCTCACTCTGTCACCCAAGCTGGAGCGCAGTGGGGGTCATCATAGCTTATTGCATCCTTTACCTCCTGGGCACTCCTCCTGCCTCAGCATCCCAAGTAGGTAGGACTACAGATGTGTGCCACTGTGCTCCGTTATTTTTTTTTTTTTTTTGGAGATGGAGTCTTGCTATATGGCCCAGGCTGGTCTCAAACTCCTGGGCTCAAGGGATCCTCCCACTTCAGCCTCCCAAAGTGCTGGGATTACAAGTGTGAACCACCATGCTCAGCCTAATTTAGGTTTTTAGATTTTAGATCTTTGAGTTTTTTTGTTTTCTTTGAATTTTGTAAAAACTTAGAGTCATTATTTTTTCAATTTTTTTTTTTTGGTTTTACTCTCTGTTTTATGTTTCTAGGACACCAATTATCTGTATATGAGACTGATTGATAGGATCACACTGCTCACTGAGATTTCCTTCATTTTTTTCACCCCTCTTTTATCTATACATTTTATCTTAGATAGGTTCTATTTCTATATTTTCAGGTTTACTTAGGTACTATTTCTATATTTTCGAGTTTACTGCAGTGTCTAATCTCTTGTTACTTCCGTTCATTCAGGGAATTTTTAATTTTAAATGCTATATTTTTATCTCTACAAGTTCTTTTAAACAATATCTTTCATCTCACTCCTAGCAGTTATGTTTTTCTTTAAATCTTTGAATATATTTATAATATTAGTAATAACTTCTTTTACGTCTTTTTCAGCTAATTACATCATTTCTGTCATTGCTGTCATTGATAGATTCTTTATTTTGGTTCTTGGTCACATTTCCCCACTTGTTTACATATCTAGTATTTTTTTTTCTTACTGGAGTTAGACATTGTATTTTATGCTATTGAGTACTGGATTTTGTTGCATTCCTTAAAGGTGTTGGACTTTGTTCTAGCAGGCAGTTAAGTTACTTGTAGACCTGCTTGATCCTTTCAAGTTTTTTTTTTTTTTAATTATGGAATTGGGTCAAGAGTAGCCTTTTCTTCTAGGGCTAGTTTATTCCTTCTACTAAGTCATAGCCCTTTTTGTGTCTGTAATGAATGTCCCGTGTACTTAATGAATAATCACTGCTTGGTGGGAACTTGGAAACTTCCCAGTCATATGTGAGCTCTGGGAATTTTTCAGCTTATTGTTACCACAAATAATTTTCCTTTACCGCAGCTGTTCTTTTTCCTAGTCTCAAGGAATTTCACCCTAGATATGTGCAGATTCATATTCAAGGGCTCCTGATGCAGATTTTTGTAGCCACTTTTGTGTGTGTGTGTAGCCTCCTTCCCTCTGGTATTCTGCTGTACAAGTTCTAGCTGCCTCCAGCTTCCTGAAGTACATATTTTTTTTCCACAGTTGAGCAGGTTGCTGGGATCTGTTTGGGTTTTCTCTCTCTAGTGGGTGGTCTGGAAATTGTCTTCAGGCAGAAAGCCTTAAGTGTTCACCTTGTTTGTTTCCACCTTTAATCAGGGATCACAGTCCTGTGGTAGGTATTGTCCAATGTCCATTTATTTCATATATTTTTCCAGTTTTTCTAGTTATTTTTAATGGCAAGAGTGCAAGTACTTTATCAATTGCTCTTTCATGGGCAAATGCAGGCATCTATATTTTAAAATTTAATTCTTATAATAACCCTAAAAGGTTAGTATTATTAATCCCACTTTACATTTAGTCAATCTTAGGTACTGAAGGGTAAGAAAATTGATTGTATCACCTTGTTAACAATTATTCAGCATTGTACCAATGATTCATTCATTCACTCACTTCACAAATGTTGAATACTTGCTTTGTTCCAGACAACAGGTTGAGTCTAGAATGCTGAATAAAGAATGCATGGTCTTGGTACTTATTGAGCTTGCAGTTTCCTGGTGATGACAGCACAGTGCCTGGCTTATTGTAAAAGATCAATAAAGATTTGCTGAATTGATAGCAATATCTGCAACTGATGCTGTAAGAGCCTCCTACTATTTGTGAGTGGAGGGCCTCAGTTCTGCTTTCCCGTTCCACACACTTCTGCAGTGTTCCTGGTTCATGGTCATGCAGCTTTGGCTTGGTTGCTTCCCATGACAGGAAGCTTGTTATCACACAAGGCGGCACATCCCATTATGAAACTCTAATTAACTACAAAGTCCCACAGCCAGGATATAAGTCAATACTGGGCCAAAGAAAAAGTGTAGCAGTTGTTCTGCAGAGGAGAAAGGACAGAGAGGAGGGAACTTGGGAACCACGAAGACTGACTTCATTCATCAATTTTTCCAGTGCCTGATCAGGACCTGTTTGCCTTTTAGTCTCCGAGATCCCTATCTTTATTCTTCAGCAACTGACTGACAGCTTGCCTGAGAGGCTGTGCAAAGAATTCATGTCTGCTGCATGAGTGGTGGGCTGGGGCCAGGATGGACTGGGTGACCACTGAGATTCTTCCTGCTTCTGAGCGCCTTCAGCTTGAGTTTTCTTGCTCCACTTCTGCTCTTCAGAAGCTTTATTCATGGTCAGACCTAAAAAATATAAAAAGCTAACCCCTGCAAGTGCACCTTCATTGCACATTTTCTCCCCAGAGTTTACAAAGGGTTTATTTAAAGTTGCCCTAGTATTTTCCTCTGCACTATATGATCTAATTCCACCTGGCTTGTTTCCACATTTTCGTCTTCTATTTCTGAGTCCTTGCTTCCACCTTCACATCCTACTGGGTGAAGCTTATTTGTAGTCTCAGAGGCAACAAGACTGTTCTCTGTAGTAGGGGCCCTAGAAATCTGTGTCCTAAAGTGTGGGTTTGGCCCTTGGACAGAGATCCAGGAAATACAGGTCTCTTGTATGTGTGCTGTGTTTGTAATCTGAGAGGCTCTTAAGAATGTTTTATTTATTTTAATAAAGCATTTTAATTTACCTTGGAAAAACAAAAAAATCTAATTTAAAATAAGGAATAAGGTTACCCAATAAACAACATTCCTCTATCATAGTGATTTCAGGCTTTGAATAACCTTGTTAATTCAATTCAACTATGTGCCTGGGCTAGCAGAACCGACGCTTAATCCAAGGAGACAATAGGGTAAATTGGATTGCTGGTAGCTCAAGCACACTTTGGTCCTGCTGGCCTGCTTCTCTCAAAGGGCATATGGCTTGAGCAAACCCTTCAGCCTTAGCCATGAGTAGAACACCTGCTCAACTAACTAGAAATGTATTTAACTGTGAGTATGAACCTTCAGTATAAAAAGTTATTACATATTCCTTTTCATATAAATATTTCAAGTAAAATGTATAAGACAAAATATTGATTGCTGAGAGTGATAGTGTTGAAAATCAACTGAGTTTCAGCCATGACTAAGAATAGACAGGCCTAATTCAATGATCCTGTTGGACTAATCACTATGAAGCCAAATTGTAAGCCAATTTGCAAATCATAGGATTTGCAAGTCTATCAGCAACTATAGTAGAAGGTCCAAATTTCTGGAATATATAGTCTGACTTCTATTTTTATTTTATTTTATTTTATGACAAAGTATTACTCTGTTACCCAGGCTGGAGTGCAGTGGTGCGATATTGGCTCACTGCAACCTCTGCCTCCTGGGTTTAAGGATTCTTGTGCCTCAGCCTCCCAAGTAGCTAGGACTACAGCTGCACACCACCACACCTGGATAATTTTTGTATTTTTAGTAGAGGTGGGGTTTTCCATGTTGGCCAGGCTGGTCTCGAACTTCTGGCCTCATGCAATCCACCTGCCTTGGCCTCCCAAAGTGCTGGAATTACAGATGTGAGCCACCATGTCCAGACTACTCTGACTTTTAAAATGTGGTTGGGTCTGATATTTGAAATGTATCACTCTATGTAGTTAGAAACTTTAAATCTCACACTATTCTTTTTGCTTAAGTTAACTACTTTGGCTGCAAGTACCTCTCATTAACCATATATGCATCTTAACCCTCAATATCATGACATTGATTCAGTAAGAAATTATCTTCACATGGCTTGACATAAATAATGCTAATTATTTTTGCTTTACATTCTTCCTCCAAAGCCATATCCTGCCTTTTTATCCTCTTTTTTCTTCTGAAGTCTTAGCCCTAATTTGTACATAAAAACAAATTAAGGTAGGAGGATTGCTTGAGCCTGGGAGTTCAAAACCAGCCTGGGCAACAGAGAGAGAACTCATTTTCTACAAACAATAAAAATTTAGCCAGGCATGTTGGTGTGTCCTTGTAGTCCCAACCAGTTGAAAGGCTGAGGCCAGAGGATCACCTTTTTGAAGGGGAAGGTAACTTTGAAAATTACTGGGTTTCTTGTTATTTTTTCTTGTTAAAAACTTTTATTGTAAAATATAGGAGCTCTACAAAAACAGCACAAAACACATGCCTAGATTACTTACTTATAATGTGAGCGCACTTAAAACAAACACCCAGGTCAAAAATGGTGCTTTTCTAGCCTTCCTGGAGTTTCTCCATTCCAATCATACCAAATCTCCCTGAAGTAGCCACTCCTCTGGATTTCCTTCTTATTTATTTATTTATTTATTTTATAGACAAGGTCACACTCTTTTGCCCAGGCTGGAGTGCAGTAGCATGATCATAGGTCACGGCAGCCTCGAACTGTTTGGCTCAAGTGATCCTCCTGCCTCAGCCTCCTGAAGTAGGTGGTTTTACAGGCACATACCACCACTCCCAGTTGATTTTTTAATTTTAATTTTATTTTGTAGAGATGGGGTCCTGCTATGTTGCCCAGGCTGGTCTCAAACTCCTGGCCTCAAGTAGTCTCTCTGTGTTGGCATCCCAAATGCTGGGATTATAGGTATGAGCCACCACTTCTGGCCTCCCCTGATTTTTATTGTAATAATTTTTTTGTATTTCTTTACAATTTTATCCTCTCGTATGAATCCCTAGACAGTACAGTTTAGTTTATAGTTTTCACAAACCTTCAGTTTGTGAAAAGTGCAGTGTCTGAGAAGTGCAGTAAAGGTGAAGCACAATGCAGGGAGTTCTGCCCCTGTGCAAAATGTTCTGCGTGCATGCTGACCCTTTGGATTCAAAATAGAACTGTAAACTCCGGGGTGTTTACCAAGCTTCTCCCATTCTACATTTGAATCTTCTTTCTTCCGATTAAGAACCCTGGTTCTCAATGACATGGGAATGATAAAATATCCCATAATTGCTTGTTTGTTCATTCCACCTTACACACAAAAGTCTCAGAATAACAATACAAATGCTATCACTGCCGGTATCATTAATGAAAGCATTAAATTGTTTTGTGGATGTTGTACTCATTTTGGCCCCATTTTTCGGTAACATTATATATATTTTGCCAGGGCACAGAGCAATACATACCATGCTCTTTCTGTTTTAATCCACATTATTGAGACTTAGTTATTCAAGTAACTATTTAAAGCTTGCAACCAGTACCTTTATTGGTGCCTCACTAGATATTCTGGTTTTCTGAAGTTAATTCCTTAGCAAGTCCCTCAAGAAGGGCTCACACATGCTGATAACAGTTTTTCTGTGTCATTTATGTATGGAAGTCAGTTTGTTGGCTCTAAACCTGAGGCTTACATTTTCTTTCATATTTTAAATGCTACTCCATTTTCTTATGGCTAAACCATTGCTGTCAAAAAGCCTGATGCTAATACTTTATTTCCCCTTATAAAGCTATAAAGCACTTGCTTGTTTGTGTAGATGTCCAAATACATTTTTTAAGTCTAGTACTTTTACTGGACTATATGACTTGGCCATTCTGGGTCCATATGATAGGGTTCAGGGTGTCTTTTCCTATGTATAGTGCCCATGTGTGGTGTGTATGTAACTGTTTACAGAAATCAAGTTTTTATGTGCATAAGTGCTTATCAACACTTTAGTGGGACCGCAGCATTGGTTTCTGGAATTCTATGAACAATATTTGGGGAAGGTTCTAGAGCAAGGATCATCAAACTGCAGGCCATGGCCAAGTTTGGCCAGCTGCCTGTTTTCTTGCAGCCTGCAAGCTGAGAATGGTTTTTGCCTTTTTGAATGGTGAAATTTGAAATGATTCTGTAAGTTCCTATGCACAATCCTCCATATTCCCTCTTGGCCCTGAAAGCCTAAAATATTTACTTACCTGGCCTTTTAAGGAAAGGCACATTGCCTCCTGTTATGAAAGAACGATTGCAGCAATGTGGGTAAGCATCCGGCGGACAGGGTGGAGGCCACCAAATCAGGAGATTGACTCGATTTGTCCTCGATGCCACAGACTTTCGTCTCCTCATTTCTTTTTGCCTAGACATCCTCTTTCAGAACTTCCCACAGGGATCTCAGATCCTGCCTCCACTTCCCATCTCCCTTTCTACCTCTCTAGCAAGCTCCTCTCATAATGGGGCCTGATGAAGTCACTCACATTGAGGAAATTTACAATGTGCTGGGAAATGCTATTCATTCTGAGAACCTTTCATTTATCTAGGGATAATGGCTTTAAGGAAAAGGAATCGGTGTCCGAGTTTTGAATTCCAAGATTCAGTCAGTGTGTGTGTATGAGTGTGAGTGTGTGTGAGTTTATATGCGTGAGTGGGGGGCTATGTGAATGTGTATGTGTGCATGTGCCTGAGTGTGTGTGGGGGTGTGACTGTGTATGTGGTATGTGTGAATGTCTTTGTGTGAATGTGGGGATTGTGTGAGTGTGTGTGTACAAGCATATGTGAGTGTATGGGAGTGTGTGTGTATCTGTGTGTATTTACGTTTGAGTGTGAGTGGGGAATGTGTGTGTGTTGGGCGTGTGAGTGTATGTGCAGGTGGTGTAAGTGTGCACATGTGTATGCTTATATTTGTGTTTGAGTGGGGGTGGAGAATGTGTGTGTAGTGTGTGTGAGCGTGTATGTGTATATTTGTGTTTGAGTGGGGGTGGGAGATGTGAATGTGTATTTGTGTGTGAGTTTGTGTTGGGTATGTGTGTGAGTGCGTGTGTGAGTGTGAATATGTGTGGGTATGATATGAGAGTGTGTGTGAGTGTATGTGTGTGAGAGTGTGTGTGAGTGCTTGAGAATGTGTGTGAGAGTATAAGAGTGTGTGAAGGTGTGTGTGAGTGAATTTGTGTGTGGGCGTGTGTGAGTCTGTGTGAGTGTATTGGGTCTGCAAGTGTGTGTGTGTGTGTGTGTGTGTGAGAGAGTGTAGGGTGTGTGTGAGTGTGTGAGAGTATGTGTTTGAGGGTGTGTGAGTGAATGTGTGTGGGTGTGTGAGTGTATAGGTCTGAGAGTGTGTGTGAGAGTATGTGTGTGAGTGTATGTGTGTGAGTAAATGTGTGAGCAGATGTGTGTGAGGCCGTGTGTGTTTGAGGGTATGTGAGTGAGAATATGTGTGTGAGAGAGCGTGTAAGTGACTATGTGTGTGAGGCTGTGTGTGTGTGAGCGTGAGGGTGGTGGTCATGGTGAGCTGGTGGACTGGGGTGCTCCCGGGCTTCCGAGGTGCTCCGTGCCTCTCTCCTGAGTCATCTATGGGATCTGGAGCCTGGACCTGGTGAGCAGTTCACTCAGTGCATCCGATGACCTCCTCTCAGGCCAGGCAGGCTACAGGGGTTGTGAAATGAAGGGCTGCACCGGCTCTACCCGCTCCCCACTGGAACTCGGTTCCCTCCCCGGGCTGGAGGGCTCCGGGGCTCTGCAGGTGCAGGCCTCGGCACTGTCAGGACTCTGGTGAATGAGCCTTGAGTGGATGAATGACCAAGTGTGTTCTTGGGCGGGAACGCATAACGTCGTAAAAATATCACGTGTGTCAAAATTGCAATCCCAACAGGATGTTTTTTTTGGAATAGAATTAAATGATCATATTGCAGGCGGTGGGGGGAAGCCTGAAAATTTCCTGGAAAACAATTAGAACATTAGTGAAGGAAATTTACACTACACATTGAAGGTAATCAAATCAATATTGTTTTAGTGTAGGAACAGATGAATTAATTAATAGAATAGAGGATCCAGAAATAGATTCTAATACATAAGAAAATTAAATTCATGATAAAAGTAGAATCGACGTTTTATTTAGAAAAGTTGGCTTGTCTGAAAAGTGATGCTGGCATAACTTCCCGGTTGTCCATCTGGAAAAATAGAACGTTGGACCCGCTATGTCAGATCGAATCCAAAAATAAATTGCAGATGGATTAGGGACATATGCTTAAAAAAATCACTAAAAATTGTAAAAGCAATTTTAAGGGTGAGGAGACATTGTTAACAAAGAAAACTGAAAAGTTATGGGGTGATAGAAACGCACATCACAGTCTATATGAACATTCATTGCAGAAAAAAGCCAGGAACAAAATTTAAAAATAAGTGATAGTTTTGGAAAATGTGTTTGAATGAAGAGGACAAATAAAGCTCTGATGTCTTACAAAAATGACAAGAGAAAAGAGAGACAGATGGGTCCAGCCTGTGAACAAAAGGACCTGGGGATCTCCCCGGAAGCAGGACTGCCTGTGTCTAAGAAGTGTAGGGAGGCGTGGTTGGGGTGGGAAAGGATCCCATTTCAGCTCAGAGGCTCCCTCAGTTCCCAAGCCCCCACATCCTCCTCAGTGGTCACGGGGTGGCCTCAGCGCTCCCAGCCTTGCCCCGCCGGCCCCTGCATGTCCTCGGGGAGGCCTGCCTTCCTTCATCCCTGCCAGGGGTCCCCACCCTGCACGCCTGGCGAGCGCCCCCATGTCATGGAAGCAACGACCTTCTCTACCTCCACCAGTCTAGGGGCTCTGCGGTCAGCTTCAGGTGCTGGGTTCCAGCGACATCATGAAGAGTGCAGTCAATACCCGCTGCGGAAATGGGTATGAACTGCATAAGAGTTTTGTGTGTCCCCTCCCCTTTTACAAATTCAGCCAACATTTAAAAACTGATAGATTGTAATAGCTACCTTTCTTTCTTTTCTTCAAAGATGGGAAGATCTGTACTCTGGATGGAGCAGTGGCCATCCCGGAGCTGCGGAGCCTCTCCCTTCCAGTTCAGAGTCCGCCCCAGACCCTGCAGGCATTTGAGTTTGAGACCCCAGAATCTGGCTTCTCCGGTGTTTTCTGTAGCTCTGGGGCCACACCCCTGTTTTGAGTCGGCTGTATAAAGCTGCTTCTCAGGTTTCTGGGACCATTCTTTACCAGATCCCCTGTGAACCTTGGCTTTGATTAGAGCTAAGCTTGCTCTCGTGGTTTTTGCCTTTAGATCCAGCACACCTGGTTCTTGTATTCCCAGCTTCTGAAAATGCCAGCTTTATGGTTTCTATCGAACCATCCGTCCATCCATCGACATACATGCACGCATATACACGTACATGCACATATGTGTGGGCACATACATATAATTTTACATATATGTATTTATTTATAAAATAGCTTTTAGTCAAGTTCTCTTCCAGATATTGAGACACGATTTTCCCATACCCTGGAAGCAGGCAGAAATAATTATGGGGCAGACTTTTGTGCTGTTTCTTTAGGGATTTGGGGGATGCCTTCATCACACCATCCACTTTTCCTGTTCATGGCTCCGCCATCCAGAGCAGCACGGGCTTTCCAGCAGAAGCAACGTCTTGGGAGAGCTGCACGTCTGCCAGTTCTAACGAGACTCTTGTCTTACTGGCTGTTATGAAAAAACAGAAACAAAAACCAACCAAACAAACAAAACCCTTGGAACTCATGAAAAACTTACACTCATATTTTTAAAAAACCCTTCTTTTTCTTATAATAAGGGATATATGGATTAAATTCTTAAATTAAAAATTAAAAAAAGAAAAGCTTTTGCATCTCTCATGGGGATATCTGTGACTTATCATGCAGGGCTTGGCTGTTATCAGAGATCAACTGGCAATAAGCCAGCACTTCTCTTCCATGATCTGAAGAGTCTCAGGCTACACGGCTCCCACCTAGTATTTCCTGGTACTGGCTTGTGTTTTGAACACATCTGCAAGACACCCTTGGTTGACTCATTAATTCCTTGTCATGCTCTCAAAAAAAACTTTAATGGGGCTATTTTCTATATATGTAGCTTGCATGATGAGCTTTTTCCTTGAGATTTTCTAAATTTTCCTGTAGGTCCTGAGAATCCATCTCCTGATCAGCTCTTGATGTAATTTCCAGACTCGGTGTGAGGAAGGTGGTTATTTTTTACAATTTGCTCTTTTTAAAACACTCAGGGAGACAGTGGTTTTAATCATCCCAAGCCTGCCACTCAGCTTGGTGGCCCCGTTTGTGTGTCTACTTGAGAGTCTCATAGCAACGTCGCACCCAATGGCAGGTTTCTTGAGAAAAGCTGGGGATGATTTATTGATGGCATAGGTGAAAATAAAAAGAGTTTGTAAACTTGGGTGGCAGCTTTGAAAGGTGGGGAGTCAGAGCCTTGGGCTGATGAGAACCATGAGGACCTGCCCCACTCAGGCAGAAAGAGGTGCCTCTGTTACCAGCTTTATGTCTTTTGTTTATTTCTAACAGGCTCCACGTGCACCATTGAAGCCCTGACTGTGTTTGTCCTGGCTGCACTCACAGAGAGCAAGAGTGATGACAATTTTGAACACACAACTCAGGCTCTCGCTTCTTGCAAGAAGAGGTACCACGTGTTAGTCATTTACTAAGGGCCAGCTCTGCTACGTATTTCGCTTTTGACTCTCACAGCAGTCCTGGGAGATGAATGCTTCCTCTTTCCACATGTGACAGATGAGCAAATCGAGTCTCTAAGAATTTACATAACTGGCTATGGCAGGGCCAGAGATTGCACAGGGCGCTGCCTGACACCCAGGCCAATGCCAGACCACATGGTGGCCTGTAGCGTGGAGGTGAAGAGCTCCCATCCAGAGGCCAGACGGTGAAACCTTTTCTCTCTACTTGCTTGTTGGGTGACACTTACCTCTCAGGATCTGTTTCCTTTTATACAGAATGTGGACAGTAAAGGGCCTCTTCATAGGGTTGGTGCAAGCTGTAAGTAACTACAACACCAAGGCTCACAGAACAGTGGGGCAGCTCGTGTAAGCATGAGATGTCGTTGTTGCCACGTCCTCTCCAAAGAGAAAAGAAAATTCCTTGGTAAGAAATGGAGCTTATATTTTTAGAGGTCTGTTGGGTCAATATTCACATTACACATTTTCCATTAACTTCCTGCCCTCTCCCTTTTTTTTTTCTTTTACTGAACTCTGGATTTCAGCCATGCCCAGTATATATGCTTCACAAACTCCCAATACGCACGTTATAGGTATCTGCACTATTATACCATGTGGGCTCCCATGTGGTGTCACATCTGCCAAGATGAAGTCTGTTACTCACATGACAGTTATGTTACCTGTCACAAGGACAGAATTCTGGAAGAACAACTCATTTCTCAGTGAATGCATGGTTCCCCCAGTGATAAAAAAGTGTCTTTGCACGATCCTCTGCTCTCCTCTCTCCTAATGGGCACGCCAGAAGCACGCAGTCAGGGTGCCAGCCAGCATCTCCCGCTTGGTCCTTCATTGTTTGTTTGGTGTTTAGGGTGCTAGAGGGGCCCTGGATTCTGTGAAGCCAATTGTCCTCTCACCCATCCCCTTCTCAGTTTCTGCAGGGCATCCACTCGTGGGTAGACCCAGAAGTCCCCAAGGAGCAGCTTCACACTGTCACCTCTTCTGCCTTTCCCAGCCCACTCCCTCTCGGGAGCACCAGTTCTTCCCACTCACCTCCTGTCCCCATGCCAGTGTGTCTTCCTTTTTGTTTGGCATGTTAGGGGCTACGTTGTGTTCCCCAAATCCATCTGTTGGAGCCCTAACCCCCAAGATCTCAGAGCGTGGCTGCATTTAGAGATAAGGTCTTTAAAAAGTTAATTAAGGTAAAATTAGATCATTAGAGTAGGCCCTGATCCAATCCCACTGGTGTCCTTATAACAAGGGAACTTGAGGACACAGACAGGCACAGAGGGATGACACTGTGAAGGCACAGGGAAGATATCTGCAAACCAAGGAGAGAGGCTCAGTCCTGCCGACACCTCCATCCTGGACTCCAGCCTCCAGAACTGTGAGAGAAGAAATGCCTGCTGCTTAAGTTAATTAGTCTGTGGTGCTTTGTTACAGCAGCCCTGGAAAACTCAGAAAACAAAAAGAAAAGAAAACATATAGTGAAAGCATTTAACACACTGGAGATGCTCAATAAATATTACCATTTTTTTTCTAAATGGTAAAAATAAATAATAAATAAATCCAAAGAAAAAGAAAGAAAACTCATATAGGCATTAAGCAAAAGTTACCAAAGTCAGGTTTGGTTCTATCACTTTGGATGAGCAGAATGGCAGAGGCAGCCCACGGCCAGCAGGTGTTCTTCTACTTCTGCCTTGGGTCAGACACCATGCACCTAGGAGGGGGTTGGGAGGAACGAGAAGGGCAGAACATCCACTCAGAATATTCTTACGTGGAGCTCTCCCTGAGTCCATGCCAAATCAAATCCCTGTACTTATGTTCAAATACATGATATGTAAATTTAGTGAGAAAACTGTACTTTCTTTGTTCATAGTTAGACATTTTCACTTTCTTTTTCAGCAAAACCAGTGTGATATTCAGAGTTCTGGCAATAAATTAAAAGAACTCTCGCTGACTTCAATAGAAATAGTCTCTTACCTGGTGCATGTTTTCCTTACGTCCTGTCTTTTGCAAATGAATTAAGCAGAGGGGAGAAGTGTAGAGAAAATAATTCAGGTAACAAGCAAAGTTGATTCGAACATGCACGGGTGTTTTATAGAAACCATGCAACACCATGTTAATTTATTTTACATGATGAGAAAAAAAATACCTTTCAATAAAATGCCCCACTGCATTCTCTTGAAACACGAAATACTGCCTCTCCAAGTTGCATGTATTTCGAAACCACACATGGCAGAGTTATCCCCTGAATAGTCTGCAGCTTCAGACAAGGATGGGCACGGAGACCACATCCATCACTGTACTCTCTCATGGCGCCAAGTGCAGTCCCACACTCACAGCACAGGGCCTCAGATCACGTGTGCTCCCTTCTGGCTGGTGACTGTCACTCTCTTGCTGTGCTGGATATGCCAAGAAGTGAAACTGGAGCCCAAAGGACCTTCAGCTGAAGCTATATTGTATGTATGAGGGAACATCCTTGAATCTAGCAAGTCCTTGGAAACCCAGATTCATTCATGATGCCGGCCCTTCACTTATCCCCCTGTAAAATAGAAATCACAGAGTGATGCTCTCCTGCTTGAAACCCCCCCAGAGACTCTCCTTGGCACAAAGAATAAAATCCACACTCGCATCAGAGCCTGCAAGGTCCTGGGGAGCCACCCCTGTTGGCATCTTAGCCTTGACTTTGACCGCATGTCTCAGTGTATTATGTAATATGTGGCCCCAAAGGCCATTGTTGATTTTTTCAAATATCATTAAGTCCTTTACTGCTTCAGCATTTCTGAGTCTTTGCACACACTGTTACCTGTGTTTGGAATACAGTTCCTTTCCTGTCCTGGTCTCCAGTGCACAGACATCCACATATAGGAGCATGTGCATGCAAACACACACATGTGCACACATGCACACTCTATCACACCATGCATATATACGCATACACACGTGCACAATCACACACACACACACACACACTTTTCCTCTCTCTACACTTAGAAAATGTCTGTTCCCCCTTTTGGTCATGGCTTAAATGTCCTGTCCACAGAGACAAAGAAACCATCCCAACCTCCCAAATGAAACGATAGGCCTGTTGATTTACAGTTTTTTCTGCTTTCCCTTGATGGCACCCGTCTTTGTTATGAAAATATGTCATTTTGTGTAATTATTCAGTGTCTGTCTCTGCCTCTGTGAGGGAGGAGTCCTATCTAATTTGTCCGCCACTGTTTACCTCCAAAGGAATATCCGTTCTTCCAGTCTCACTAGCTGCTGAATATGAAAGTTAATGAAGCAAAGACCTGTGACTTGACACCTCAATTGTTGCTTTAATGAAAGTGTATACAGACTCCCCAAGCTTTTCTTCTGTACAGAAAGAATGTTGTCATAGGATTCTTCATATTTTGCCAATGGATATTCATTAGCAACTGAGAATGAATTTTTAAGTAGTCTGAACCGGAAGACATGTTCATCAACAGAGAAGCGGTGATGACTCCTCCCTAGTCTAAAATGAGGTCTCCTAAGAATGATTTGATCTTAGTTTCCTTGACCTTAGGTATTTGTGCATTTTTCTTACATGCAGATTAGGTAACTTAGATGCCCTTTTCCTGGCCCCAAAATTCACATTTGATAAGATCATAGACAACTGTAATAGAATGCCTCATGTTTGTGTGGCATTTAATAGTTTACAAATGGCAGTTTCAGTGTGCAGCATCTATTGCAAGGAAGAAGGCGTGCTCCTGGGTGGCTCATCGTGCTTAGCCTTCATATTTTCAGGACTTTCGCCCTACTGAACTCTTCTGTCCATGTCACCCTCGCTGGCTTCCCCCAGGGGTCTGCAGGCTAAGGGCCAAATCTTGTTCACTGTTTTGGTGCCACCTGTGAGCTGAGAATAGTTTTTACATTTTTAAATGGTTGGAAAAAAAACCAAAAAGAATACCTCGTGACAGACATACAAAAATAATACAAAATTCGAGTTTAGCATCCATAAATAAAGTTTTATTGGAACCCAGCCACTTCCATGGCTTTCCTTATTGTCTAAGGCTTCGGCTGTAATGACAGAGTTGAGTGGTTGTGACAGATAGGGTCTGCCAAGCTGAGAACATTTTCTAGGGGGTCATTTAGAAAATGTGTTTGCCAGTGCTTTGCTGACATAGTGACCCGCCCCTGGGTTTCCATCTTGCCCCCCTCAACTGAGCTTCTCTGCCATCCTTCAGTGTCTCAGGCCCAAAGAAATTTCTTCTGGAAAGCATTCCTGACACCAAGCATAGTCCACTCCCCATTCCCTGTGTTCTCGTGACCTCCCTGGTTCACACTGTGTTTTTGCACCCCTAACCCCTGCTGCATATGGTGTTGGTGAGATTAGAGTAAGAATCTTTCCTCCTCTATAGACTGTAAGCTTTGTGAGAGGAGGTTCATATCTGTTTTGTTAACCACTGTGTCAGTAGAACTCAACACAGCACAGAAATATTTCTAGAATAAAAGAGTGAGGTTTTGAATGCCATCTCATACAGAGGAGGAGAGTAATTTCATATGCAAAAAAAGGGGCCTCTGAGAACTCAGCCAACCAGAACCCATGCTTTGAACCATCAACTGTCCATAGTCGCAGGTCACAGGACAACATGGCTAATTAGATCCATGGCAAGAAAGCCCCAACTGTAACCTAGGAAATCTCTCAGGGATTGTTTCCTGGAAGGGCCTCATATGGGAAATGACCTCCAAATGCCAAAGGATCAGAGAAACCAAAGAAGGAGGCAGACAAATCCAGTTTGTCGGTATTAGTTGATGTATCGGGGAACTTACACATGGAAGCGTGGCCCTGGGTGGCCACAAGACAGGTGGCTCTCTGCACTGTTAGTCCCCAGACGTGGGGCTTACGTACCACAGGGAAAGGGTGTACGTGCTCCCGCAAAACAAAGACAACTCTCCAGGACAGCAAGAATGTCACGTGCGCCATCGCCTCTAGTTTGTGCGGTAATGTCCAGGTTGACACGTTCTTACACCAGGGACAGTAGATAAAGTAGAAACCAGGAGGCATTCATGGGACTGGGGCTATGAGACATCAACATGGTGGGTTAGCATCCAAGAGGGACCCACTTTTGTCTCCACAGGGATCATTAATTAGAAGTAAAACGTGCAATCTTTGTGGTAGAACTTTTATAAAACCATGAAGTTGGCAGCAGTGAACAACCCAAATGGCAAGTCTGTATTGATTGGGCACTTATGTTACATGCATCAGGGCTAAATTTCATTATCATTAAGACACAATTATGGCCAGATGTGGTGGCTCACGCCTGTAATTCCAGCACGTCAGGAGGCTGAGGCGGGCAAATTGCTTTGAGCTCAGGAGTTCGAGACCAGCCTGGGCAACATGATGAAACCCCATCTCTACAAAAAACACAAAAATTAACGGGGTATTGGTGGTGCAAGCCTGTAGTCCCAGCTACTCAGGAGGCTGAAGCTGGAGCCCGGGAAGCAGAGGTTGCACTCCAGCCTGGGCGACAGTGAGACCCTCTCTCCCCCCCCAACACACAAAAGACAAAATTATGACTACGCCTACTTTACAGATCCAAAACACAGGCAAAGGAGTTATATCTTAGTCCAGAGCCTGGATTAAAATCCAGACCTGTTTGTGCCCCATAAGTGGGCAAGTAGCTCCTAATAGGGTTAGGTGTAGGCCTCCTCCACTAAATGTTCATTCCCAAAGTTTGCCAGTACCTTGGCATCCCTGGGGCTGCAGGCTGTTGTCTGTAACATGGAGACAGTAAGCTTCAAACAGCAGAAACAGCATCTCAGACCCAGTAGCTGCCGAAAGCTGCAGAGTGCCTGACTTGGAGCCAAGGAAATGTTTATAACACAGCACTGTTAAAATTACCCATTTAGAAGGTATTTTTCTCAAGATTTCCCTTGGGTAATTCTGAAGGGCAAAGTAATTCTGAACCCAGACGCACACAGTGTTTGCTGTGCCACCTCGTAATGGAAATAATACCAGCTTAACTGGCTCAGGGCCTCTGAATTCAGAAGCAAGCTGAGGAATAACATGTAATGGACTGTTTTTCCAACACCAGGTAACGCTTATAGGCCACAAACAGTGTGTATGGTGAATGCAACTTTTGATCATTATAACTAAAAATTTCCAATCAATTTCTTTTTTCTCACCTCCATATCCAGCATGACTGGAAGCCTATTTTTTTTAACCTTAAAAAATATATCCAGGATTTCTAGTTTCAGCTTCAAAATGTAAAGAGTTTGAAAGTCATTACTCCCATCCTTCCAACAAGAAAAGAGCTAAAAAAGCTAAAAATCAAAAAGCTCTTTTCAATCCATCAGAGCACTAGAAAGATGTAGCCACCCAGATCTGCTTGTCTGGAGCAGATGTCACTGGCACCATGAGGTAGGAGCATGTAACTGGTAATGTTGTTGGATTGCTGGAAGCTGAGTATGGACCGGTGTGAGGGTAGGAAATTCCTAGGACTGCAGTCTTAGGGGGCTCCATATTTTTGTAGGCTTTACCTCTAGGAATGCTACCAGGTTCTCACATCGAAGAGCCAAGGAAAATCTTGTTGTCTTTGGCAAAGGGAGGGGAAAAGTAACCATTCTGAAGTATATCCAGGGTATTCTCCATAACTAAGGCCCCACCAGCAAGGGGAAATGCTTCGTTAGAGCCTTATCCCAATCTGGGGGCTCCTTCTAGCCTTCCTGTAGCACTTCAGGGAGGAAAATACCTAAGACATGCTTGTGAATATCACAGCCAAGTCTAAAGGCCAAAAAGACACTCGGTTTTAATCCTATTAATAAGATTTTAGAATGCCCCTCCTCATATTACCTCCATGGCAACAGGGTTCCAGGGCATCAGGACTGGCTTGGAGCTGAGACTGCTGCAAGGCACAGGCTCTTCTAAGGAAAGGTTCTCAGGGAAGCACTAGGACATCAGGGGAGGACAAAAACAAGGGTGCTGGAGGAATCTGACACCTCCGGCACCTACAGCTACAGCAAGCATTAAACACAGTGCAACTCTCAGCCAGATTAACTTAAAACCTAGCACTTCAGACCTACTTACCTCATTGCCTGTTACTGGATATGTTACATCCAGCTTTCACCATAGATTTACATGAAATTTTAAAAGGAAAAAAATAGTTTGAAGAGACTAAGGGGTCTGAAGCATCAGAATCAGACTCATAGATGACAGATATTAGAGTTATCAGACGAGATTTAAAATAACTTTGATTAATACGCTGAAGCCTCTAATGGAAAAATTAGACAACATGCAAGAACAGGTGAGTCATGTAAGCAGACAGATGAAAACTCAAAGAACAAATAAAAAAGTAATGTTAAAAAGCAAAACACTGTAGGCTGGGCATGGTGGCCCACACCTGTAATCCCAGCACTTTGGGAGGCCAAGGCGAGCAGATCACTTGAGGTCAGGCGTTCAAGACCAGCTTGGCTAACACAGTGAAACTCTGTCTCTACCAAAAATACAAAAATTAGCTGGCTTTGGTGGCTGACACCTGTAATCCCAGCTACTTGGGAGGCTGAGGCACTAGAATCACTTGAACCTGGAAGCAGAGGTTGCACTGAGCCGAGATCATGCCACTGCACTCTAGCCTGGGCAACAGAGTGACTCTGGACTCTGTCTCAAAATAAATAAATGAATAAATAAAATTTTAAAAATAGAAACAAAACATTATAACAGAAGTAAAGAATGCTTTTGACAGGCTCATCAGTAGACTGGACAGGTGGAGGAACGCATTAGTGAACCTGAACATAAGTTAATAGAAACTTCCCATCTGAAATGCAAAGGGAAAGAGAATGAACAACAACAAGAAGGAACAGAAAGAACAGAACATCCAAGAACTGTGAGATAACTTCAAAAGGTATGACAGACACATAATTGAAACACCAAAAGGAAAAGAGAGAGAGAACTGAAAAGAAGAAATATTTGAAGTGATAATGGCTGAGTTTTCAAAATGAATGACAGACACCTAAACACAGATCCAGAAAGCTCCCAAAATATCTACACCTATGCATATCTACCATTTAAGCTACAGAAAAGCAAAGATATAGAGAAAATGTTGCAAGCAGTCAGAGGAAAAAGAAATAATTTTACCTATAAAGGAACAAAGATAAGAATTACAGTGGACTTTTCATCAGAAACCATGAAAGCGGGAAGAAAATGGAGTAAATAAAATATTTTAGGTTTTGGAAGAAAAAAACAAAAACAAAATGCCAACCTAGAATTCTATATCCAACAAAATTATCCTTCAAAAGTGAGGAGAAATAGAAGTTTTCTCAAAGAAACAAAAACTGAGGAAATTTATCACTAGTACATAGACCTTTCCTGTAAGAAATGTTAAAATAATTTCTCTATAAAGAAATAAGATGACATAGGTCAGAAACCAGGATTTACATGAATAAAAAGAACATTGGAGAAAGAATAAATGAAGAAAAAATTGAAACTTTGATTTTTCTTATTTATACTTCATCTAAAAGCACGATCTCGGCTCACTGCTTAAAATAATAATAGCAATAATGTATTAAGTGAGTATAGCGTATGGATAAATGAATGAATTATAACAATGTCACAAAGAATGGGAGGAAAGAATTAGGAATACTCTGTTATAAGGTATCAGCACTACTTGTGAAGTAGCGTACTATTATTTGAAGGTGGACTTAGGCTAATTAAAATGTATATTTCAAACTCTGGTGCAAAACCTATTTAAAAAAAATAAGGATAATTGGCGGGGCGGCTCACACCTGTAATCCCAGAACTTTGGGAGGCCGAGGTGGGTGGATCACGAGGTCAGGAGATCAAGACCATCCTGGCCAGCATGGTAAAACCCCTTCTCTACTAAAAATACAAAAAAATTAGCCGAGTGTGATGGCGCTTGCCTGTAGTCTCAGCTACTCGGGTGGCTGAGGCAGGAGAATCACTTGAACCCAGGAGGCAGAGGCTGCAGTGAGCTGAGATTGCACCACTGCACTCCAGCCTGGGCGACAGAGTGAGACTCTGTCTCAAAAATAAATAAATAAATAAATAAATAAATAAATAAATAAATAAATAAAATAAGGATAATTGATATGCTAAGAGAGGAGAAAAAAATCGTTTGCATAAAATGCTCAACTAAAACTAATGTAGGCAGAAAAGGAGATGAGATAAAGACACCAGAAGTGCAACAGGTAGAAAACAGCTGCAAACATGGTAGCTATTAATCCAACTGTATCAATAGTCACTTTAATATGAATAGTCTACATATAATTAAAGGACAGAGATTGTCAGGGTGGATTAAAAATAAGACACAAGTCTCTAAATTTAAAGACTCAGGGAAGTTAAAGAGCTGAAACAAGATATATTATTCTAAAATTAACCAAAAGAAAGCTAAAGTAGATATATTAGTTTCAGGCAAAGTCAATTTCAAAATATGGAAAATTATCAGAGATAGTGAGGAGTATCACTTAATGATAAATGGGTTAATTCTGCAAAAAAAAAAAAAACCCAGCATAAAAATCCTTCATATGTATAAATCTCACAACAGAGTGTCCAAGTATGTGTAGCCAAAACTGACAGAATTGAAAGGAGAAAAAGACATATTGATTATTTAGTTGGAGGCTTCAATGTTCCTTTGTCAGTACTTGGTAGATTAAGCAGGCAGAGAAGATATGTGAGGATATAGATGATCTGAACAGCTTTATAATTAGCTTTATTTAGTTGACATGTATAGAATACTCCACCCAAAAACAGCAGAGTACATATTCTTCCTAAATTCATCTTTACCATGGCAGACTACATCAGGGCCATAAAACTCTCCTTAAAATTGTAAAACAATAGAAATCCTTTGGAGTATGTTTTTAAACTACATTGGAATGAAACTAGAAATCAATAACAGAAAGAGAGCTGGAAAATCCCTAAATATTTGGAAATTAAGCAACAAAAGCCAAAATTGTACATTGGTCAAAGAAAAAGTCTCATAGAAATTAAATATTTTGATCTAAATGAAAATAAAATACTATTAATCAAAATTAGTTGGATGCAGCAAAAGCAGTGCTTTGAGAGAAATTCATAGCATTAAATGTATATGTTAGAAAGGCATAAAGATCTAGAGTCAACAACCTAGGTTTTCATCTTAGAAAACTAGAGAAAGAAGGGTAATTTAATCCTAAAACAAGCAGAAGAAAAAAAATAAAAATTAGAGCAAAAATCAAGGATGTTTTGAATGCAAAAATGATAGAGAAAAATCAATAAAACTAAAAGCTATTTCTTTGAAAATATCAATAAATTGATAAACCTCTAGCTATGAAAATCAAGAAAAGACAAAAAATATCAACACCAGAAATAAAAGAAGGATCATTACTATTGATCTATGGACATTAAAAGGAATACTACGAATGACTCTAGCCCATAAATTTGATCACTTAGAAGAAATGGACCAATTTTTTGAAAGACATAATTTACTAAAATCCACACAAGGAGAAATAGGAGAGTCTTCCTTACCTTAATAATAAAACGTTAAAAAAAAAAACCTACAGCTAACATCTTAGCTAATGATAAGAACCTGGACCCTTAACCACTAATATCAGGAACATGGCAATAATGTCCTTCCTCGCCACTTCTTCATTGTACTGGAAGTTGTAGCTAGTGCTAGAAAAAGGAAATAGAAGTTATACATTGGAGAAGGAGAAATAACACTGTCTTTATTTAGAGATGACATGATTGTCTATGTAGAAAATCCCAAAGAATTGACAAAAAACTCCTGGAGCTAATAATAAATATAGTAAGCCATAGGACACAAAGTAAACATATAACATTCAGTTGTTTGTGTCTATATTAGCAATGAACATGTGATATTTAAAATACAAATAAATCATTTACATTAAGTTATGCATTGAATTTTCCCCCCCTTCCAAAAAAATATGTTGATGTTCTAACCCCCCAGTACTTCATAATGTGACCTTATTTGGAAATAGGGCAATTACAGATATGATTAGCTAAAATGAGGTTCTACAAGACAAGGTAGGCCCCTAATCCAATGTGACTGCTGTCCTACTAGAAAGAACAGCGTGTGTAGAGACAGAGCCAGGCACAGAGAGAAGATGTGAAAACACAGGGAGTAGTCAATCTACAAGGCAGGGAACACCTGCAGCTTCCAGCAACTAGAAAACAGGCATGAGACAGAGCCTTCTCTCACAGCCCTCAGAAGAAATCAACCCTGCTAGCACCTGGATTTTGGGTTTCCGGCCTCCAGAACGGTAAGACAATAAGTTTCTGTTGTTTAAGCCACCAAGTTTGTGGTACCTTGTTATAGCAGCCCTAGGAACTAGCACAGAATAGCACACACACACAAAAGGAAAAAAATAGAAGAGCAAGAAAGAAAGACATAAAAGAAAAAAAATTGTAATTCTGTGGCATAAACTTAAAGTATTACAAAATCTGTGTGTGGAAAAAGACAATCTTTTATGAAAAAATCAAATGAAGTAAACTGGATTGCATGTCCTTGGATTGGAAGGCTTAACATTCTTAAAATGTTAATTCTTCCCACCTTGATCTATAAACACTAGCAATAGAATGAAACAAGACACAGGCTGGGCATGGTGGGTCATGCCTATAATCCTAGCACTTGGGGAGGCCAAAGCGGGTGGATCATCTGAGGTCAGGAGTTTGAGACCAGCCTGGCCAACATGGTGAAACCTCGTCTCTACTAAAAATACAAAAAGTTAGCCGGGTGTGGTGGCAGGCACCTGTAATCCCAGCTACTCTGGAGGCTGGGGCAGGAGAATCACTTGAACTTGGGACGAGGAGGTTGCAGTGAGCCGAGTTCATGTCATTGCACTCCAGCCTGGGTGACAAGAGCAAAACGCTGTCTCAAAAAAATAATAATAATAATAAATAAAAAGAAGACACACACTGGGAAAAAAATATTTGCAAAGCACATATCTGCCAAAGCACTTGAATCCAAAGTATACAAAGAACTCTTTAAATTCAACAATTGGGAAACAAACTATTCAATTAAAAAATGAGCAGAAGATCTGAAGAGACCCTCACCAAAGAAGACATACAAATGACAACAAGAGTTACGGAAAGAATTTCTCAGTATTCTTCAAATAGCAGGTGGAATATCACAGATACTCAGTTTCTATACTCCGAATCCTACTACTCATTAGTCACCTCCCTCTTTTGAGCCTTATAAGTCATGTGAGGGTGATGGAGAGTTGTGTGAATATTTAAAAAGAGAATAAAACGTGTCTGACAGTGTAGATTATCAGTAGATCTTAGTTTCTGCCTTTAAAAATGCTGTACAGTTGACCCTTATATGCAGATTTTTTCTTTTCTTTTCTTTTCTGTTTTTGTTGTTGTTGTTGCTGAGACGGACTCTTGCTCTGTCACCAGGCTTGAGTGCAGTGGCACGATCTTGGCTCACTGCAACCTCTGCCTCCTGGGTTCAAGCGATTCCCCTGCCTCAGCCTTCTGAGTAGCTGAGACTACAAGCACGCACCACCATGCCCGGCTGATTTTTTGTATTTTAGTAGAGAAGGGGCTTCACCATGTTGGCCAGGATGGTCTTGATCTCCTGACCTTGTGTTCCTCCTGCCTCAGCCTCCCAAAGTGCTGGGATTACAGGCGTGAGCCTCCGTGCCCGGACGAAGTTTTTTTCAATGAAGTTTACACAAAGTGTGCCTGCCTCTTCTGTCTCCCCTTCCAACTCCTCCACCTCCTTCATCTCTTGTCATCTCTGAGACAGCAAGGCCAACCCCTCCTCTTCCTCCTCCTCCTCAGCCTACTCAACGTGATGATGAGAACCAAGATCTTAATGATGATCCACTTCCACTTAGAGAATAGTAAATATATTTATCTTCCTTGTGATTTTCTTAGTAACTTTTTTTTTATTGTAAGAACACAGTATATAATACATTTAACATACAAAATATTTGTTAACCGACTGTGTGTATTATCGGCAAGGCTTCTGGTCAATAGTATGCTATGAGTAGTTAAGTTGTGGGGAATCAAAAGTTATACACAGATTTTTGACTGCGTGGGGAGTTGAGTTGCCACCCCTAACTGCCATGTTGCTCAATGGTCAACTGTGTTTAGGTATTTGGCTCACTGTGAGTTTTGACATCAATTCTGTAAAAATTTTAACCTTGTATGATTTTCTGCTCAGCAGTGTAAGCCTTAGTCATATTCATGGGAAGCTTCTTCAAATCAAACCTCATGTTTTCCCATTTGTGATGATGTTGCTCTTGTCCGCTAGACTGCCACAGCATCAGCTAGAGGAGGCTGCCAGGACCACAGTTCCCACAATAATGCAGAGAAAGTGCGACAAGCTAGAAGATCAGTCCTCTGAACTGAATGCATTGCACACTCAGATTCTCTAAACTAAACAAGCGTGATCATAATATTTCTTTTGAACTGTAAAGACAATATGTTACAGAATTTGGAAAAATAGATAAAAATATCACCCGCTGTTCTATGACATTCACAAAATACTTGAGTTTTTTCCTTCAACCATTGCAATCCGGGTCCAGATACATCTGTGTAAAATAACACACAGATGAAATACAGAGTAAATGTTTCTATTTAATGTGTGTTTCCATGGGAAGACTCTTTCTACTGATGAAGGCCTGAAGGCAGAGAAGACAAAGCATCGTCATACTGTTGGTCATTTCCTCTAGGAAAACAGAAACTGTAGGACTTTCCCAATCGAGCTCTTTTCAGAAGAAAATTAGTTTCTTCAGGGATATCTGGAAAGGCTGCATCTCCTGATAAGCACACGCATTTTGTACAATGTTCCATAATTTGAAACTCTTTAGAATTTTTTTGCTAACACATATTTTCCCCATAAATCTGCCCCTAGGGGGTCTACTACATGAATATTTAGGGGATGCTACCAGGATGGATGGTCTCTAACAAGTGGGGAAAGATGCTTTTACCTAGGAAAGGAGACCCTTGAGACCCTGACAGAGCTGGGATGGAATAACTTAAGTTCTTCCTAAACAAGTGACAGAGCCTTCAAGGAAACCCAGTCCTGCCTGTTGAGGTGCTTCCTGCTGTCCCGCGACAGCAATCCTGTGGCTTGCAGCCTTGGCTGGCCAGACCCCCACTGTGTCCTTGCAGACAGAAAGCAGAAGCCAGTTTCCTGACCTATTGATGCTTCATCCTCAGGAGCATTCTGGCATTCAAAGGGCCAAGCAAGGTTTGGAGCAACTTTAGGCCTTCAAGCTGCTGTCTTGTTAGAGCTCTGGAAAGCTAGGTCCTCAGCAATCACCTCAAGGCTTCGTCCCTCCAGCGCCAACTCTTCTCCAGCTCCGTAGCTTCGTTCCTGTTGGCTGTTATACATTAGAAAATCCCCTCCTCTCATCTCTCATTCTTGGTGTGGTCTCTGATACAAATGGCAGACAGTCCTTTGCATGGATTTATATCCTACAGGCCACATCCCCACCCTCTCTCTCATTTAACCCATGTGTCATTTTACTGGGGAAGAAATGGAGACTTGGAGAGGATACGTTGCTGGAAAGTGGCTCCAACTCCCAAGTGGTGACTCCAGAGCCTGCACCCCTTGGTCACTCGGCACCTGCCTCAGCTTTTCTTCAGGGCTGTGGAGCAGTGGTTTCTGTCCCACCCTTCTCAGGAAGGGATCTTTTCAAGCTTGTCTCTTCCACTGTATTGGTCAACTGGGCAAACAAAGCCCCCACATTTCTGGAGATGCTGCTGCAGGATTGCTGCAGGACTGATGACCTTCTCCTACAGGATCCTGTCACCACAGGATCACCCCCTCAGCCTGTGTTAGGGCCATCTTCAAATTGTAAAGGAAACAGGGAAATAAAGACGCTTGAGGGGAAGCACCAAGGTACTCAGATAACTTTTCTCTTTTCATTCTAATGAATGTGTGTGTGTGCAGTATGAGTGTGTGCGTGTGTGTGTGCGTGCGCGTGTGTGTGCAGTGTGAGTGTGGGTTTGTGTGTAGTGTGTGTATTTGTATGGTGTGTGTGATATGTGGTGCATGTGGTGTGGGTTTTTGTGTGTGATGTACGTGCTTGTGTGTATGTGGTGTATGTGTGGTATGTGGTGAGTCGTGTGTGTGTTTGGTGTGTGTTTGTATGTGGGCAGTGGTGTGTGTGTGTGTGTGATGTATGTGTGGTATGTGGTGTGTGTGTGGTGTATGTGTGGTATGAGGTGTGTGTGTGGTGTGAGTATGTCTGATGTGTGTAGGGTGTGTGCATTTGTGTGGTGTTGTGTTTGTATGGTGTGTGTGGTATGCGGTGTGTGTGTGTAGTATATGGTGTGTGGTGTGTGTGTTTGTGTGTGGGGGTGTGTGTGTGATGTCTATGTAGTGTGGTACGTGGTGTGTATGAGGTGTGTGTCTTTGTATGTGGTGTGTGTGTCTGTGTGTGGGGGTGTGTGTGATGTGTATGTAGTGTGGTATGTAGTGTGCGTTTGTGTGTGTGGTGTGTGTGTTTCTATGGTGTGTGTTTTATGTGTTGAGTATGTGTGGTGTGTGTATGGTATGTGTGTTTGTGCTGTGTGTGTTTGTATGGTGCATGTGTGGTGTGTATAATATATGGTGTGTGTTTGTGTGTGTGTGGAGGGTGTGTGTGTGTTTGTGTGTGTGTGGTGTGTGGTATATGATGTGTGTTTGTGTGTGGGGTGTATGTGTGTGTGAGATGTGTATGTAGTGTGCTATGTGTTTGTATGGTGTGCTGTGTGATGTGTGTGGCATGTAGTGGTATGTAGTGTGTGCTTGTGGGGGGGTATGTGTGGTGTGTGTGTGGTATGTGGTGTGTGTGTGGTATGTGGTGTGTGTTTGTGTGGTGTGTGTGATAAGTAGCGTGTGTGGGGGTATGTGGTGTGTGTATGTGGTAGGTGGTGTTTATGTGTGTGTGGTATGTGGTGTGTGTGTGTGGTATGTAGTGTGTGTGGGGTATGTGGTGGTGTGTGTGTGTCTTTATGTATGTCTGTGTGTGTGTGGTATGTGATGTTTGTGTGTGTGGTGCGTGTTCGTGTGGTGTGTGTGTGGTATGTGGTGTTTGTCTGTGTGCATGTGTGGTGTGTGTGTTATGTGGTGTGTGTGTGCACTTGTATGTGGTATGTGTTTTTGTGGTGTGTATGATATGTGGTATTTGTATGTGTGTTTGTGTGGTGTGTGTGGTATGCAGTGTGTGGGGGGTGTGTGGTGGTGTGTGTGTGTGTCTTTGTGTGTGTATGTCTGTGTGTGTGGTATGTGACGTTTGTGTGCATGTGTGGTGTGTGTTTGTGTGGTGTGTGTGTGGTATGTGGTGTTTGTGTGTGTGTTTGTGTGGTGTGTGTATGTGCTTGTGTGTATGTGGTATGTGTTTGTGTGGTGTGTGTGTGGTATGTGGTGTTTGTGTGTGTGTTTGTGTGGTGTGTGTGGTGTGTATGGTATATAGTATGTGTTTGTGTGGTGTGTGTGGTGTGTATGGTATATAGTATGTGTTTGTGTGGTGTGTGTGGTGTGTGTGTGGTATGTGTTTGTGTGTATGTGTGTGTGTGGAGGTAGTACTTTCCCTTTCCTAAGGTGGGGACAGAGGATGTCCAGAGAGCAGCTTACAGATATGGGGAACTGAGCTGAGTGCAGTGAGGGGCCTGGGGAACTTAGTCTGCATCCCTCTCCCCAAATAATGTCCAGGATATTTCTTCCTCTTGCTCCAGAACTAAGGATGATGATCATTTAGTTTGTCTTTTAATCAAAGATGGGAAAATTTTTCTGCCAAGCAACACTGATGCACATCAATTTAATTAAAGGTCATATAAATGAAAAGCAATTTTATCTGTTAGAAAGGTATGTAAAATGTTCTAATCTTTTAAAAATTTTGAATAAAATATACAAGCTCTACTTAATAAAAGCAATAAATTAAAGAAGTTAATTTCAGCATCGAGTTTAGAAGACAATGAGGTTCTGAAATGGAGACCTGAAGAAGAAGGAAGACAAAGACAAGCCTCTCGCCAGTTTGCTAAGCTCCAAGAGACACACATCTCACTAATTTACCAGCACTGGGCTTGATTTGAGGGAAAAAAAATACAATGAGAAAGATTGTGGAAAAAAAACTCTCAGAAAAGAAAGATCAGCATGCATTAGGAAAAGGAATTTTAAAGCTGTAATTTGAGATCTAGAAATCAAGTCTTATCCCATGTTAGCACTACAGGAAAACGCAGTCCTGCTACTTTAAAACGTAGGAAATGTCACTCCTGTATCACTTGAGGGAAATACGGTTTTGAGTTTAAGAAAAGCTCTAATATTTATATTTTTCTGTTTATATAATTAAATTCCAAAATATGCAAATTCATTTTGCAACATGGGGATTAACGGAGCCCTCCTTAAGGTTTGCCAGGGATGCTGCAACAAGTTGAGCTAAGGGATAAGATTCATTTAGAAATTCTACAGATTTATTCCTTTCTGGTGGGTGTGCACCGATATCTCGTCATGTTCTTTAACTTGTATTTCCCTGATTAACAATTATACTAAGAACCTTTCAGCATGAATAATAGTCTTGGATATTGGATATCCTCTTTTGAGAAATTCCCATTCGATTATTTGCCCATAAAAAATAGGTTGTTTATCTTTTTTTATTGATTTCCAGAATCTCTTTAAATATTCTGGAGTCATTTGTCTGATGCAAGTATTGCAAATATCCTGTCCCACTCTTGGTTTTCTCTTTAACTATCTTAATGGTTAGTATGTTTTGATTGACACAACTAAATTTTTATGAGTCCAATGGATGGAATATTTTTTATAATCAGTGCTTTCTGAGTGATGTTTAACTTTTTTTTTGGCTATCGCAAGGCCACTAAGATTCATGAATATTGTAGATCCTTTGAATTTCCATGTTTAAGTATTAAATTTAGCTTGTTAATTTCCTCAAATATATCTGCTGCGAATTTGATTGGAATTTTATTGATGCTATAGAAAATTTGGGGAGACTTAACAACATTGAGTATCTCAACAGAGACATATGCTCATTTATTTAAATCGTTTGCAGTCTCTAGTTTTCAGTGTCGAGTTATTGTACGTCTTTGATCATTTATTCTCAAGTATTTGATGTTTTAAAAATACTATGTGAAATAACATAACATTTAAATTCGTTCATGTTCTCATCCTCTGTTGATAGCATATAGACAGGAGGATGGCAGCAGGTTGGTGGAACAGGACTTTTCTGTGCTTGTCCCCCTGTAGAAACATCCGTTTGAACATCTATCCTCATGCAAAAATACCTTGACAAGCGTTCACGAGACCAGGTGAGACATCACAGCACGTGTGGGTAGCACAGAAATACTAAGAGACCATTGAAGAGGGTAAGAAAGTTTCAGGTTACCCTCACCCAAGGGTAATCTAACCCCCAGGCAGCACAACATGGAGAGAAATGCTCACTGCTTGGGGGAAGGAGAAGGAAGTGAGCACTGGACTTTGCCCTGGCCCTGGGCCTGCCTTGGTAAAACCTAGCACTGGATGGCCCCCGCAGCCCCACACTCCAAGCAGGTATGCACAGACTGAGCCTCCAAGCCTGCCTCAAAGCCAAGCCTGCCCAGAACCAGGTTGGCCCACACAGCCCCAGGCTTCAGGACCTCTCCAGCACCAGGTCAGCACTCCTGGACTCAGGCACCAGGCCACCATCTGCAAACATCAGTTCCAGGCCTGCCAAGTGCCAGGCCAGTCCCTGCAGGCCCATGCTCCAGCAGACCCAGGATCCAAGTATGACCCAGTAGAGCCCAGCGCTGGACTAGCCCTCATGGACTCAAGCTCCAGGACTGCCCCTGTGTCTCCAAGCACCAAGTTCAGCTCAGTGCCTGGCTGGCCCCTGCAGACTCAGGCTGAAGGTCTACCCCAGAGCCAGGTCAGCCCAGTGGACCCAGGCTCCAGACTGGTCCCTGCAAACAACAGCTCCAGGCCCATCATCTTGGATTCAATCAACTGGTCTACCACAGCAGATCTAGGTTCCAGGCGCGACTCCAGAGCCCCAGGCACCAGGCCTCCTTAACTGCTGACCCAGTAGAGCCCAGAGCTGGACTAGCCCTCATGGCCTGCCTGTCTGAAGACTCCAGCAGCAAGTCTGCCACTGATCACGGCAGATAGCCTGCCCCAAACCTCTGGGTGGTCTGACTGGTGAAGGGCTTTCCCAGACAAAGCCAGTCTGAAAAGACTAGAATAACTCTCCTCCGCTTCTTCAAATCCACAGACTGACATCAACATAAGGCAAGAAACATGAAAAATCAAAGAGAGATGACACCACCAAATTTTCCTTTCTTGAAATGCCCATGACAGTTTTTTTTAAATCAAAATTATAAATTGATCTGGGAAATGTTTCCTGATCTTCTATTTTCTGAAACTTTTCATAAAGATTGCTGTTATTTATTTCTTAAATATTCTGAAGAATTCACCAGTAAAGCCATCTTGGTTTGGATGGTGGAAACAATTTTACTGCAATCAACTTGTTTAGAAAATACTAAACATCTTCAGGTTTTCCATTTTTTTTTTTTTGTCAGTTGTAGTAATGTGTGTTTTTCACATCTTATTTAATTTTTTAAATAATTGTCATAAAATATTAAATAATACCCTCAGTCCTTTAACAATTACAGGATTCTTAGTAATGTTTTTAAAAATATGTTGATATTTGTAATTTTTAGATTCCCTCATTTTTCTGAAGTACTCTGCAAGTGGTTTATAAATATCATTAGTGTAAAGCATCTACTTTTGGCTTTGTTGATATTCTCTGTAAGTATTTGCTTTCTATTAAATTGATTTCTGCTGTTAACTTTACTATTTCTATCTTTTGACTTTGTTGGGTTTAACTTCTTTTTCTTTCTCTAACTTGTTCAGATGAAAGTTTTGATAATTATCAAACATCCTTCTTTTAAAACATATTTATTCAAAGCTATACATTTTCTCCTAAGTGCTGCGTAAGCTATGAGATTAGAAATGTTAAATCTTTATAATTATTGAGTTTAAAGTATTTTGTTATTTCCACCATGATTTTTCATTTGAGTCAGGTTTACTTAGAAGTGTGTTGTTTAACTTCCAAGTCCTTGAGAATACTCTAGTTGTTTTTCTCTTGTTGATATCCAGTTTAATTCATGGGCCAATGATTTAATCTGTGTAATTTCACTTCTCTGAAATTTGCTGGGACCAATTTTTTTTTTTTTTAAACAGAATCTCGCTCTGTTGCCCAGGCTAGAGTGCAGTGGCATGATCTCAGCTCACTGCAACCTCTGCCTCCCGGGTTCAAGCAATTCTCCTGCCTCAGCCTCCTGAGTAGCTGGGATTACAGGCGTGCACCACCATGTCTGGCTGATTTTTTAAATTTTTTACTAGAGACGGGGTTTCACCATGTTGGCCAAGCTGGTCTTGAACTCCTGACCTCAGGTCATCCGCCCGCCTCGACCTCCCAAAGTGCTGGGATTACAAGCGGGAGCCACCACACCTGGGCCTGAGACCTATTCTGGCCCACCATATTGTCTATTTTGGCAAATGTTCCACGTGAACTTGAAAATATATGTATTTTGTATGTCAAGTTAGCGTTCTATACGTGCTAAGGCAATTGAATTAATCTTAAAATTTAATTATTCTACAGCCTTTCTATTTTTTTCTACCTCTTCTATATTTTATGTTACCAAGAGAAGTTTAATGAACTCTCCAAATTTATAGTAGATTTGTTTATTTCTCCTTTCATTTCTGCGAATGTTTTCTTTAGCTATATTGTAGCTGTTATTAAGTGCATACAAATTTAATATTTTACATCTTGTGGTTCAACTGATCCTTTTATCCTTCTGGTAGACCTCCCTTAGTCTCTAGTAACAGCTCTTGCCTTAAAGGTTGGTTTTCTTGTATTAACGTAGCCACAACATCTTTCTCTTGGTTATGTTTGAGTGTCATATTCATTTTTATCCTTTTACTTTTATCATAATGGTGTTCATATATTTATTGTCTGTTTACAGGAAACACTAAATTATTGGAGCTTGTTTTTAATCAATTCTTCGTCTTTCAATTGGATCATTGAGTGCATTTATGTGCAATGTAATTAACAATAGAGTTGAATTAAACTTCATCATCTTCCTATTGTTTTTTATTAATCCCACCTGTTTTGGTTCTTTTATTAATCTTTTGGATTAGTCAAGTGCATTTTTATCACTTTTAGAATTTTACTTATATAGTATTATTATTTTTACAGTGGTACTTTAGGAATTGAATGCTCATGCCCCACAAGTATTGACTTTTACCACCTTCTACATAATAGAAGACTTACGTTAAGTGTCATTGTATTATCCACTCTCAACATTTGTGCTATTATTATCATACAGTTTTGCCTCTGCATATATTATAAGTCACACATGGCACTATTATAACTTTTTGGATGAATGCATTATTAAGATTAAATTAGTTATTAAACAGTTAATATTATTTTATTCCTATGCATGTATTTACTCCTTCCAAGGCTCTTCCTTCCCTCCTGAAGGTATGTGCTTTCCTTCAGCTTGAAGAACTAACTTTAGTATTATTTGTCATTTCAATCTTCTACCAACAAATGAATTAAACATTAATTTTCCAAAATGTGTCCTTATTTCATGCTTTTTGAAGGACATTCATTAATCTATGAGGGAATAGAATTCTAGGTTGGAAAGTTGTTTCATTTTCTTCTCTCAGCACATTGAAGATATTCCTTTTTTTTGTTTTGTTTTTGTTTTTTGAGACAGAGGCTTGCTCTGTCACCAGGCTGGAGTGCAGTGGCACGATCTTGGCTCACCGCAATCTCTGCCTCCCGGGTTCAAGCGATTCTCTTGCCTCAGCCTCCGGAGTAGCTGGGACTACAGGCGTGCACCACCATGCCCAGCTAATTTTTGTATTTTTAGTAGACAGAGGGTTTCATCATGTTGGCCAGGACGGTCTCGATCTCTTGACCTCATGATCCACCCACCTCGGCCTCCCAAAGTGCTGGGATAGATATTCCATTTTTCCAGCTTCCATAGACTCTATTGAAAAGGTAGACTGTAATCATCGATAATGTCCATTTGAAGGTCGTGTGTCTTTTTTCTTGATATAAAGATTTTATCTTTTATCTGGGTTTCATTTTAACTAAATGTGTTCTGGTATGAATTTGTTGGTAATTATCCTGTTTATGGTTTGCTGAAGTTTCTAAGTATATGGGTTAAGGTCTTTTATCAGTTTTGAAAAATTGTTAGCCACTATTCCTTCAAATATTTCTTCTGCCCCACCCTCCATTGTCCTCTCTTTTTGGAACTTCAATTACACGTTTATTAGACCTTTAAACTATGTCCTGACTTGTATTTATGCTTTGCTTTTTAAAAATTATTTTTCTTGACGTATTTCATTCTGGGTATTTCAATTTACCTGCCTTTGGGCTTATTACTTCTGTCTTCTGCTGTATGTAGTCTTCTGTTTTAAACTTATACAATACGTTCTTAATTTCAGATATTATTTTTTTCAATGTCCGAATGTCTACTTAATTCTGTTGTATAGTTTTCACTTCTCTGTGGCTCTCCTTCCCTGGTCAGCTATTTTGTACATCTCCCTCACTGGGATTTGTCTGGTGATTTTCTCATGATTAGACCAGGGTTACTGGTTTTTGGGGAAAAGAGTGTAGATATAATGTGCCATTTTCACACATGTATCTAGGGTACGTATTATCAACATGACATTCCGCCATTGATGGTAACCTTGATCCTGAGGTGGTGTTTCCCAGGCTTCTCCTGCTGTGCTGTTTGGGAGGAAATTCCTATACACAGCCTGCATTTAAGAAGTGCGGAGTTATGTTCCACTTCCTTAAAGATGGAGTATCGACATACATTATTTACAATTCTGCATGGGACATTTTTGTCTTCTTCATTTATTTAGTTGCTCAATCATTTATTTATATCAGTATGGACTAGTGAATATGTAAGTCATAATCCAATATTACTTTATTTTTTGCTCAAATTACTTTGGCTTTGACCATTGAGAATTTGTCCAGTTGACTTCAGTGTTCTTTTCTTTTCTTTTCCTTTTTTCTTTATTATGATTATTTGTGTGTGTGTGTGTATTTTTAGTAGAGATGGGGTTTCGCCATGTTGGTCTGACTGGGTCTCAAACTCCTGACCTTAGGTGATCCACTCACCCTGGATTCCTTAAGTGCTGGGATTACCTCTTTATTATTTTTTTAAGAGACAAAGTGTCTGCTGGGGTCACCCAGGCTGGAGTGCAGGGTGCTATCATACCTCACTGCAGCCTCAAATTCAAGGGATCCTCTTGCCTCAGCCTTCCTAGTAGCTGGGACTACAGACATGTGACACCACGCCCGACTCCATCATTGTTTCTTTGAGCATTTCTTTACATTCTGGTAACACAATTGCAGGCTCATCTTGGGTATTTTCTGTCCCACTCCTAGAATTAAATATTTATCCGAAGAATTCTGACTTATTTTGTTAGAGATTGGTATTAGAAACCAAGATTAGGGGCTATATGTGCTGATCTCTACACATATTAATACATTTTTTTCCATACGTAACTATCTGTATGTATGTTAAACTAAATGTAAGTTTTTACTGATGACTCTAACGCTAATCTATTACTACATGAATCATTTTTGCCTCCTCCCTTGCTTGTCTGTAATCCTCCACTCCTACAGTGAGACACCTGGCTCCCACCATCTGCCACTTTTACTTAATTGTTCAAGTCTAGTATACACGTATAATAGTTTACATGTGTTAACCTATGCTCCTATGAGAAACAACCTTATCAACCATACGGTGCTATGTATCATTATTTTTACTTCTAGCTTTAGAGACTCCACTCATTTCCAAGGTTACTTAGGTTAGTGTTTCCCCCACTCCCTGTAGTGACATTGTTTTACACATTTTTAATGCAGTTTGATATTTTTGTTACAGTCTGCATTCTGTGCTGGGATCCCTGAACTCCTAAGTGATTTTAAAATTTGTGTACATTTGCTCTTTGTGCTATAAAGTTCAGTGGGTTTTGACAAGTGCATAACATCATGCATCCACCATTACAGTATCAGACAGAATAGTTTCACTGCCCTAGAAAGTCTCCCGTGCTTTGTCTATTCAACTCAGCCCCACCAGCCCCCTGAAAATCACTGCTCTGCTTACCACCTCTATAAATTTGCCTTTTCCCAAAATTGTATGATTGGAACCTCAGTAAGCAATCTTTCATACATGTTTCATAAATGCTTGTTGTTTAAGACATGCAAAATACGGTAATTTTTTCTTCTGCTTTATATTTAAATTGCTCCTGTTTTGTCTGGTTTCTTAAGATTGAATCTTAGTGTATTGATCTTAGATTTTTCTCTTTTCTAGTATGTGCACTTAATGGTATAAATTTACCTCAACACACTGCTTTCACTGTGTCCCACGATTTTCGACATTATATTTTTCAGTTGTATTAATTTCACTTTGTATTCAGTAAGGTTAAGAATAATGTGAATTCTAATGTCTTTAGGAAAAGTATTCTATAAATGTTAACTAGGTAGAGTTGATTTATAGTGCTGCTTTAATTATCTATATCCCCATTAATTTTTCTGTCTGCTAGATATATTAATTACTGATGGAGGGGTGTTGAACTCACCAACCATAATAATGGATTTGTTTATTTGTCTATTCATTTCTATCATTTTCTCCTTGCCTCACATATTTTGATATCCTATATTAGGTACACACATATTAGGATTATTATATTGTTGGAGAGTTGACCTTTTATCATAGCATAAGTTTCCTACTAATCCCTGATAATATTCCTTCTTTGAAGAGTAGACTTCCTTGTTTAAAGATAATATAGCTACTCCAGCCTCCTTGTAATAAATTAATTGTGTAATGGTATATCTTTCTCCATCCTTTTACTTTTAATCTATCTGATTGCTGATATTTAAAGTGATTTCTTGCAAAGAACAGTTGAACCTTTTTTAAATCCAATTTGACATTCTGTCTTTTAATAAAATTATTTCAATTATTCACATTTAAAGTTAAAATTGATGTGGTGGTTTAATAGCTCCCATGTTTGTAACTGTTTTCTATTTATTGTAATATTTTGCTCCTTTCCTCTCTTCTTTTTTTCTATTTTTTTCTGGTTTTAAGCAAGTATTGTATTTCTCTCTTAACATATCAATGATACTTTAATACTTTTTCTAGTGGTTGGTCAAGGGTTTACAAAATACATTTGTTACCTACTTTTACTAATTTAAGTCTATTTTCAAATAATGCTATGCCAAATTATATGCCAAAGTGGTACCTTAAAGCAGCATCCTCCAATATCTCCCTCCCATCTTTTACACCATTATTGACTTCATTTGACTTACCCATGTGCTATACTCAATAACTTTTTCTATTATTGCTATAGGCAAACAATTAATTTTCAGATAAATTAAGAAAAATAAAAATGCATAAGTTTATTGTGCCTTTATTTATACCTTTCCCAACATTTTTTCTTTGTTTATGTAGATTTCCGTTTCTGGCCTATATCATTTGCCTTCTTCCTGAAGAACTTACTTTAACATTTCTTGTAGGACAGATCTGCTGGCCATGAATTCATTTGGTCTTTGTCTAGAAAGTCTTCATTCTCCTTCACATTTAAAAGATACTTCACTTGTATAGAATTCTAACTAAGTTGGTTCTTTTTATCTTTCAATTTTTTAAATATTTCACTCTATTCTGTTCTTGTTTGGATTGTTTCTGATGAGTAGCCTGCTGAAATTCTTATCTTCATTCCTCTATAGGTAAGATCATTACTTGTCTTCCAGATTTTTTCAAGATCTATTTTTTGTCTCTGGTTTTCTGCAGCTTGAATTTGGTATGCCTAGATATCCTTTTTGTGGGGCTGTTGGTTGAGGGGTGAGGGTGATTTTTCCTGCTTGGTGTTCTCTGAGTTTCCTTGATCTGTAGTTCAATGTATGCCATTAATTTTAGAAAATTGTTGGCCATTATTATTTTAAATAGTTATTTTGCTAAGTTCTCTATTTCTTTTTATGGGATAACAATCGCACATATGTTACACTTTTGAAATTGTCCCTGTGCTATTGTGAAATATATATTTTGTCTTTCTCCTAGTTTCCTGATATACAGCTCCCAACAGTCTTAAAATCTCTGGAGCAATAGGGCATCATTTGTAAGCTAACAAGATGACTGGTGGCTGGCAGCCCCTAGGTGGCTTCAGGATAGGGGCTGGCTACTGGGAAAGACCAATATTAAGACATGATTAAAGGGTTGAGACATTCAGTCCCACCCCCTAATCTCTGAGGAGGAAAGAGGGGCTGAAAGTTAAGCTGATCAACAATAATCAATGACTTAATCAATCATGCCTATATAAAGAAGTTTTCATAAAACCCCAAATGGCTTGGGTTTGGGGGACTTTTGGATAGCTGAACACATGAAGGTTCCTGGAGGGTGATGTGCCCAGAGAAGGCATGAAAGGTTCTTGCCCTTTTTCCCTTGCCTTACCCTGTGCATCTCTTCCACCTGGCCTTTTATCTGTATCCTTTTAAAATTCTTTCTAATAAACCGACAAACATAAATGTTTCCCTGAGTTCTGTCGAGGCACTCTAGAAAAGTAATCAAACCCAAAATATAAATTATGGAAAGCCTGATTTATTGCCTCTTGGTCAGAAGTACAGGCCACAGTCTGTGCTTGTGATTGGCAACTCAAGTAGGGGCTATCTTGTGGGACTGACTCCTCATCCTGTGAGATCTGATACTACCTGCAGGTAGATCAAATTCATTAAATTAGAGGGCATTCAGCTGGTGTCCACCAGAAAATCTGCTGTGCAATGTGCAGAATTTGTTGTTGGTGGGGAAAATTTTTCACACATCTTGGTGCCCAGAGGTGAAGTGTTCTGTGTTTTGAGAGTAAAGCAGGAGAACCTGAGTTTATTTTTATTAAAGTCCCACAGATTTTGGATATTCTGTTTCTGTGTAACATTTTTTCTATTTTTTTCCTTTTTATATTTCAGCTTAGGAAGTTGTTAATTGATGTATACTAAAGTTCACTAATACATTGGCCATATCATGTAAACTGATGATCCCATCAAATGGTCTTAATTTCTCTTACAGTATTTTTTCTATTTTTCTTTTTTATCCTTTCTTAGAGTTTCCCACTCTTTGTTTATATTACCCATATATTATTGTATGTTGTTACTTTTTACTGTTAGTGACCTTAACATAATACTCATGGTTATTTTAAATTCCTAGTCTGATAATTTCAACATCTATATAATATCAATCTGGTTCTTATCTTTCTTTGTCTTTTCAGACTGTGTTTTTTCTAGCCTTTCTGTATGCCTTGTAATTTTTTGTTGAAAGCTGAACATAATGTACCTGATAGTAGGACTGGAGGTAAATTGGGCTGTGGTGCTGTTTTACATTAACCTGGTTAGGAGTCTGGCTGTGTTTGATGTTTGCTACAGTTGTAGGTACCAGAGACTTCCGGTTCCTTCAATGTCATTGTTTTTTCTCACTTGTTGACTTTAAGCTTCCCTAGGTATTCCTTCTTATATAAAGTCTGCATTTTACAGCTCTTTCAGCTGTAATCCATTGTTTTTTATACTAGAAACTTGTTACTGTGGTGGTAAGGTAGGAAGAAGAGAAAGCATTCTATAATCTCATAATTAAATCTCAGTGTGTTAGTGTGGTTGTATCTCTAGGTTATGACCTTCATAGTATTTTTTCTAGTAACTTGGCTTTCTTTTTCCACTTCCTTCTTATGTCTTTCTTGACTGCAGTATTCCTAATCTATTTCCTTGAAGCTGTGACCCTTTATGATTATGCTTTTTCCTCTTTGACCTTAGGGAGGCCAGATGGAGCTTGACTGAGAGAAATGTCTTTCCCACAGGTAGGATAAGGTACTAGCAAATTCTTTTCCACTAGGGAGTAGTCCTTTTTTTGTGATGACTTATTACATTTCATAATGATTGCCTTTCCTCTGCCAGAGCCAGGGCATCTTTCTCAAAGCTTCAATATGAGAACCCAGTGTGGTTCCAGGAAGTGAAGCCCACAATGTGTGGAGGATCCCCTAAGACTGTGGCTCCCAGGACTTTCTCACTTTCATGCTAGCCTATACTTTAGCCTCTAACAGCTCATCAAAATTGCTACAGGAATGTCCCCACCGGTTTTTGAGTCCAGTGGCTTCTGTTCCAGATAAGCAGATCTTGACTATTATGCTCCGTGTTTGTTTCTCAATATTTTGATGTTACTTTTTCCCTGTGACCTCCATTTTCTGTTGAGTTCAAGGAAAGTCACTGATTTATATTTTTCCAGCTTTCTCTTGATTTAAGTAAAGGATGAGAACTTCTAGTCTCTTTACCTGTCAGAGCTGAAACCAGAAGCCTCTATTTTTTTTTTAACATGTTCTGACTTATGGATCCCACTGTCTGACTAATAATTTTTAAAATTATATTTCAGGTATTGCATATAAATAAATCTCAGGTGCTCTAGATAATATCTTCCACTGCTGAGGATTCAATTTCCTCATGTGGGCATATATTATGAGGAACTGATCACCTCAGTCCAATTAAAATTACTTTTGGTCAAGGCTGGATTGCAATTTTAGGATTGTTTCACATCTGGCAAGTCCTTGTTTCTTGTATATGGTGCTTCTAGGTTTTGGTTTATCTCCTTAGCCCAGAATATTCTGCCCTTTAGAGATTTTGTGCTTAGCTCCTTAGCCTTTCACCTTGTACAAGTTCAGAAATTGAATCTGGCAAATGTCTTGAGAGACCTGCCATGTGTTTTTATGTAGGCCCCCTCCCTCTGTGGGATATTTTGCTCTGCTTTTATTGGGCATGACTTTCCCAGATGTTTGACTGAGGGACCTGTTTTCTCAACTCGAATGCTTTGCCCTTTGGAGGCTTTGAATTTTTCCTGCACGTAGGCTCAAATATGGCTGGCAGCTTGAGAGGGAGGCCAGCTTCATGTCTGCTGAAGGGCTTCTCCCTGTAATGGGACTTAGTCTTTTAATCACTAGATTATTACAGAAAATTTTAATCTGTGTTTGTGTCTAGGTTTTTCCACTCCCAGCACTGTCAGAGAACTCAGAAGTCTCATGGGGAAATTGTTTGGAGATGACAATAGTTTCCAAGCCATCACTCTACCCACATGTGACTTCCCAAAGCCTACCAAGAGCATCCCTTAGTTTGAGATAAGCCTAATCTTTAACTGATGTCCAGAATTGGCAAATAATGCCAAAAGAAGAAAACAGCCAGCAATGACTACCTCACTAGAAGGAACTCTTCTGTCTCTGGGGCTTTAGTTCTTCTAATCTTTGGCTTTTCCATATGTCTTATTTCATTTGTTCTGCTATAGCAGAATACCTGAGACTGGATCATTTAATAAAAACAGAAATGTAATTTCCCACAGTTCTGGAGAATGGTCTAAGAACAGGATGCCGGCATCTGGGAAGGGCCCTCTTGCAGTGTTCTCACCTGGCAGAAGTGGAAGGGCAAGAGAGCAATAGTGGGAACTCACTCACATGAGCACTTTTTATAATGGCATTAATCACAATGGGGATTAAGTTTTCAACAAATGAATTCTGAGAGACATATACAAACCATAGCACTATAGCTTTCCAATCCTTTAAAAATATGGGTTGTGTAATTTATCCAGCTTAAAAAAAATTGTTGCAGTGGTGTTATTGGTCTGACATGCCCTAATACATCTTCCTGGAAGCAGAAGACATTATTACTTTTCTATAAGAAAAATTAGAATTCTTTCATTTTGGCCTTTGCCTATATGCACCATTTCTAGTGGTAGATATCAGCAGAACTGTCTAATCCTCCTTTATTGACTCATCACATTAGCTGGGAATATGCAATCATCACTACATGTTAAGTGTTGGATGTCAAAAGAGTAGAAATCCAACATTTATATTTCAAACTTTGAAAGGCATAATAAACATACATTCATTTATGGTTCTTATGGGCATTTAAGGGAACACAGTAGAAGAGAATTCAGTATCCATAAAGAGGAGCAGAAAGCACAATAAAAAAAAATTGCACAATATTACATGAAGCAGAAGAAAACTGAAGTATCCTGTGGGGCACTTTAATTAGAGCCCAGAAAATTGCAATTTCTTTAGAAACAACACAAAGAACAGGAAACATCCAGTGTAGATTCACAAAGGACTACTTAGAGGTATACCAAAAAAAAATTATGCTGGAAACGATAAACAAGGGAGTGAAACTCAGAAATGAAAGGAAAAAAAAAAGTTAACTTCAAAAAAATCTCAAAATGTTTCAACATGATATAATGCCAATTAGACCAAAACAAAAACAAACAAACAAACAAACAAAAAAAGACCGAAAAAACAAACCCACCAAAAAACCAAAAAAACAAAATCGGAAAACACCACTCTAGTTCCTCAACATCCCCCGCAAGGATGCGAGTTGTTAAATATTTGAGAAAATTGTGAAAACAATCAATGTGACTTCAAATTGTTTGTAGTGCAAGGTAGACAGATGACAGTAATGGTATGAGTCTTTGCAAACAGACCTTTGTTTATTTTTACGATTCCTTAGTGTTGAAATATCTGCTTGTTCAAAATATGAAATGTATTACACATATGCACGCGTATTTCTGAGTGTATGTGTGCACTAAAGCAAAGGCAGAATAATTGTGTGTCACTAGTTTTATACATAGATATGGCCACTCTCTTTTCTTTTTTCTTTTCTGAGACACGGTCTCTCTGTTTCCCACACTGAAGTGTAGTAGCGTGATCTCAGCTCACTGCAACCTCTGCCTTCTGGGTTCAAGAGGTTCTTCTGCCTCAGCTTCCCGAGTAGCTGGAATTATAGGCACACATTTCCACACTCAGCTAATTTCTGTATTTTTAGTAGAGATGGGGTCTTACCATGTTGGCCAGGCTGGTCTCAAACTCCTGGCCTCAGGTGATCTGTCCACCTCCGCCTCCCAAAGTGCTGGGATTACAGACATGAGCCACTGTCCCCTGCCAGGTACTCTCTTTTCTAAACATAATTGAGAATAAATAATCTGACATATGTGTGTGTACACTCAGGAGTCCTAAGGGACAAGTGTTTGAAATCAGTAATGTTCCAGAAAATTCAAGGCATACTGGGATGCTGTGTTGGGGCAGTAGAGAGACCATGGATTCCAGAGTCAGACTTGGATTCAAATCCTGGTGGCACCACAACAAATGGATGAGTGTGAACAAGTCATTAATCTTTCTGAACTTCAGTCTCCTCATGTCTAGAATGGGGATAATATCCATTTTCATAAGGTTTTGGTGGCAATTAAATTAGTAATAAATAAATTAGTGATGATAAATACCAAGCACAATGCTGGGCACCTGGTAGGCATTCCATAAATGATAGATCTGATAGTCATGTGGTGCACAGGGAACAGGAATTATCAGGCAGCAGATGGTAGAGGCATGGCTAAAAGGTGGTGTTTCAAGTTAAGAAAGAGGGGCAGTGGTAGAATGTGGACCTAATGAACTCACTAGGATATCAGAGATTGGGGAGCAGAGTTGGTAGATGGAGGAGTGTGGCACTGGTATTGCAAGAAAGCCTGGGTTCTAGGAAAAGAAGAAAGATGGCGACATGTACATGATGTAGGTTGAGGGGACTGTGATGCAAGTGTGGGGGACAGTGATTGGGCCCCAGAGGGGTCTCCCTGACTATGGCATCTTCCAGGTTTTTCTGAGACTTGACAGTGTCTTCTTATAATGCAGTCACAACAAATCTGGCAATCCAGGGATCCTACTTTGGGACCAGGTCTCTATTGTACCCTCCCATGAAGCCAATATAGTGTATAATCAATTAAAAAATTCATGTGCGATCTCTTCCACTCCTGGTAAAAGTCACTATGACTCTTGATGAATGATTCAATAGCTTCATCACCACTACTCTTAACTGTAAGATGAGGGGGTTGAGATCTTCAAAGACCTTTACAAGGCTTAAAGTCCATGCTGTCAAAATTGAGGAAATACGTGATTGTTTTTTAGAATAAGGATCAAAGTAAGAAAAGAACCATACAACTGATATGCAACAGGATGAAAGACAATTGCAAGTGACTACTGTGAGAATCAGAAGAAAACAATGCAGGGGTTATGGTGGGCAGCAAGCCAGATGCACATCTTCATTTGTGGCACTGCTGAGGGACAGAGGGCAATTGAGGGTGGGAGATGGGGAGAAGGAACAATTCTAATTTGTACAGTAAACTCAAATAACCCTTTTATGGGGATGGAGTTCAAGGAGGAAAAGGAGCTAACTTAGAATCTCTTGCTGCTAAGTAGGTAGAAATAGTGGCTCCTTCCTCCTTCACTAAAGGGTCACTGCACAGAGAAGTTTAGAATGTGATTCACTTTTGCTTCCTTGTAGAATTTTTTTCTTCCTCTTTTTTTCTTCCTCTATTTTAGGGCCTGTAAGAATTTTTTTCTTCCTCTATTTTTAGCCTTCAGCCAGAAATGATTGAGTTTGCTGAGTGACTGGCCTCTTAATTACATTTACCTGATAAAGAAAACATTTTGTGCTTAGTCAAACAGTAGATAAGGATAGGGTCTGGGCAAACACCACTGAAACAAAACAAATCTACTTCTCATGAGGTCAGAACAAAATTCCAAGGAAAATCCAAAAGAAATTGGTCAGAATGGGTGAAGGAAAGACATACCAGGTTTCCAGGGGCAGAAGGTTCTAGGTGTTACCCTTCATTATAAAAGAAGATGTAAGCTATGCATAAATGTCAAGGTAAAGGCATTTGGTCCTGCCCAGGAATGTCAGAAGGTTGGGAATACATACTCTAGAATTTCAATCCAGGGTTTCTGAAGTGATTGGACTTTCATCCCTCTTCCACACACCCTTTCTTTAATTAGACACTGTGTTTAGGCAGTAGGTCAAAGTGTTAAATGAGATTGGTTTCTAATGCTCTCTGGCCTACAGACCTATTGCAAGGCTACCACTGCATGAAAAGGGGGGAAATTTATACTGTAGGGCATTCTTTTCCCTTTGGCTTTGCCATCCAGTGGGGAAATCAGAATTGTTGCCAAGTGATGCTTGCTAAATCTCTTCTGAACAGCTTCAGAGAAGCTACTCAAGGGAGAATTGCTGAATTTTATTTTAAATTTTATTTTCTCACATGGTAGACAGATTCTAAGATAAAACCCAATTATCCCTGTTTCCTGCTGTCATGCCTTTGTGCAATTCCCTCCCACTGAGTTTGGGTGGGACTTGCATCTAGTCAATAGAATATGGCAAAGGTGCTGGGATAGCTCCTTTGCGACTGCATTGTGTTATATAAAATTCCAGACTCACTCTTGCTCTCCTATGGGCCTCGAAGAAGCAATACGTCATGTTGTGGAATCAATCTGCCTATAGAGAAGACCACATGGCAGAGAACTATGGGTGACTCTAGGAGCTGTGGAAGTCCCCAGCCAAGAGCTAGCAAGGAACTGGAGCCCTCATTTCTACAACCACAAGGAGATGAATTCTGCCAACCACCTGTGTGAGCTTGGAAGTGGATCCTTCCCCAGTCCAGCTTTCCAGTGAGAACACAGCCCAGTCAATGCTTCATTACAGTGTTGTGTGACTCTAATCAGAGGACCCAGCTAAGCTGGGTTTGGCCTATTGAACCACAGCAATTGAGAAAATGAATGGATGTTGTTTTAAGCCTCTAAACTTGTTGTTATCTGTTTTGCAGCACAGAATATTAATATACCTTTATAAGCCATATTCTATTATACTTGGGAATTTTAGCTCCTTCATGTTGAAAGTCTTCAAGGACTTGGCATGATGGTGCCCAGCTCTTTCCCTCCTACAGGCTGTCTAAAGAGGCAGGTGTGAATGACTGTCCATATTGGGATGACCTTCTTGAGGCACAGCCACACAGAGTGGCAGAAATACTACACCAGGCCTAATGAACATCAGGTTTCCTTTGGCATGGACTCACTTATTTTACCATTCTCCTATTGTGACAGATCCTGTGCTAGGCACATCAGCAGAAATATTAATGTTTAAGACCAGGAACTGCCCACAAAAATCTAGAATCCAGTGGAGGAGAGGAGAATTTAGATAAATAACTTCAATATAAGCCACATCTTGGGTCCAGACAATGAGACATTTCTAAGGAAAATTCAAACTAGGCAAGGTGCTCTTGCATTCATTCTTCCTGGAGTATCTTCTTCCCTATGTCAGCCCCAATCTCCAGACTTCCTGTGCTCCCATGCCTTCAGCTGTCGAGGGGTCTGCCTGTCTTATCTTAACCCAAGCTGACCTCTCTGCTCACTCCCTTACAATTTAAAAAGGGGTCACAAATAGGGCTATTTTCCATGTTAGCACTGTGAGTTTTAACAGCATTCTCAAATGCTGTGCATTCTGTTTTTACATATTTCAATGCTCAATGGTGCTCATACTTAGCAAAATTTTGTATTAAGTGAATCTGATTTTTGGTACCTCTGGTCTTTGCTTTCTGCATCCTTTTCCCACTGTGATCTGATGCCTTCTCCTCTATCAAATGCTGATCACAACAAAAGCATCTGCTGCCTTGATCATCTACTTTGACACTCTCTTGCAAGTGGATCTGTATGACTATGATACCCTTTCCAGGTATTCACAGAGTAAGCTCTAACGCAGTGGATTAAAGGGTTTAGTCATCATTTAAATAGAGTGAACACACGGCAGGAGCTTTCTTTCTGAATGGAAGTTTCTAGAAATACCTCTTTAGGCAAGTAGGCAATAATCTAATTTGCCCATGCAGAAGACCAGATCCCCCAATCTCATCCATGACTAGTACTATGTCAAATGCTTAAAAATAATGGTGTCACATGTGCATTTAAGACAGTAGTTCTCAACAGGGGTGATTTTGCCCCCTATTGGGCATTTGGCCATGTGTGGATACACTTTTGGTTGTTACCAAAAGTGGGGTGGTGTGGACTTTTGGTTGTTACCAAAAGTGGGGTGGTGTTGTTGTATTGGCATTGAGTGTGTTGAGGCCAGGGTTGCTGCTGAACCTCCTGTTATGCACAGGACAACCCCCACAATAAAGAGCTATCACCCACATTGTCAGTAGTGTTGAGGCTGAGAAACCCTGATTTAACAGACTCCAATTCAACCCCATTTATTTGGCAAAAAACTAGCTCCAACAGCAAAAATAAATTAAAGGCAAATCCCCACCCCTCCATTTACCCTATTACCTCTCTTCGAACCCTCCTTCTTGACTGGCCACAAACAAAGCTGAAATAGAAACAAATGTAGACTAATTTTTTTTCCCTTTGAATTTCTGTTGGGTTTTTAATATTCATCTTTATAATTTTATCCTGATTGTGAACATTTGGTGTTCTAGATTACAGAGAGATGATCATTATTTATTTAAAAAGCAAATAATAATGACCACATGGATCCTCCCACCCTGATTCTTTTTTTTTTTTTCCATGCTTTAAGTTTTAGGGTACATGTGCACAATGTGCAGGTTAGTTACATATGTATACATGTGCCATGTTGGTGTGCTGCACCCAGTAACTCATCATTTAACATTAGGCATATCTCCTAATGCTCTCCCTCCCCCCTCCCCCCACCCCACAACAAGCCCTGGTATGTGATGTTCCCCTTCCTGTGTCCATGTGTTCTCATTGTTCAATTCCCACCTATGAGAGAGAACATGTGGTGTTTGGTTTTTTGTCCTTGTGATAGTTTGCTGAGAATGATGGTTTCCAGCTTCATCCATGTCCCTACAAAGGACATGAACTCATCCTTTTTTATGGCTGCATAGTATTCCATGGTGTATATGTGCCACATTTTCTTAACCCAGTCTATCATTGTTGGACATTTGGCTTGGTTCCAAGTCTTTGCTATTGTGAATAGTGGCGCAATAAACATATGTGTGCATGTGTCTTCATAGCAGCATGATTTATAATCCTTTGGGTATATACCCAGTAATGGGATTGCTGGGTCAAATGGTATTTCTAGTTCTAGATCCCTGAGGGATCACCACACTGACTTCCACAATGTTTGAACTAGTTTACAGTCCCACCAACAGTGTAAAAGTGTTCCTATTTCTCCACATCCTCTGCGGCACTTGTTGTTTCCTGACTTTTTAATGATTGCTATTCTAACTGGCTCACACCCTGATTCTTAACCCTGGGGTTAAGAATGATAAAAGCTGAGACAAATGTCCTACACATGCAAATGTCAAAGTCTACATCATAGTTTAGGAACAGGTTTTATCTCCTTATCTAGAGGAGGAAGAGTCAGCCACCTTCTCAAACCTCCCAAAAGGAGGATGAAAAAAACCTTTGTTCCTTGGAGATACAAGAGAAAGGATCCTGGATTCTCACTCTAACCTATTGGAATGTAAATACATCTTTTCTAGGGCCAGGTAGGCCCTCATGTCCACTTCTATAAGCTAGAGGTGCCTTCAAGTTCACAGGGCTCATTTTCCCATGAAATGTAAACATATGCCCCCAGAGAAAGGTAGATCTCTCTGGAGTTCTTTCACTCTTTATGCAGCTGTAAATTAATTTCACAAGGCTTTCTGTGAGCCCAGGTTCCTGAATTTGCAGACAAATATATTCAGAAAGCCTCAACTTCAGAAACACAAAAATATGTTCCTATATCTGACAGTTTCCAAGGGTCCAGGGTCCTTAAGGATGACTTAAAGGATCTTGACTACCTTTTCTTCTCCTTCTGTGACTACCCCATGTGAGGTGGATTCTCCTGTCATATAGAAGACCAGCACTGCTGCTTGTCCAGAAAGCAGGAAGCATTCCTGTGTCATATCCCATTAGGATTATGCCCACAAATGTAATCAAGAAATCCTGCTGAGTTGGTAGAGCTATTGATTAAGATACTTCTCACACCGTTCTGCTTTGAAGAGTCAATATCCCCACCAAGAGGTTATGTTAGGATGGGAATTTGACCCTGAGGCAAATCAGGGGTGGATCTACATCTCAGGTCCCTCTAAATCAGTCTCCAGGGGGTTGTCACGTGTGCATGAGTGCATGCACTCATTGTGCATGGCAGCTCTGTGTCCTTATCTTGGCAGCCTGTCCTGAGTATAGAAAGGAAAGACATCTGTGTGGATTGGATTCTTTCTGCCACTGCCATGTATAGCCCACAGTCAGCAGCTCTATCTGCAGAGTCAGGCAAGGACAGTTGTAGCACACTCTTGGCATTGGGTATTATTAACAAGGATGCTAAAAATTAAGGGAAAGCTATTCTATGATTCCTTCAAATTGCACTATTTTGGGATAAATATGTCCTGAATTATTTATGATGGAAAAAACAATTGGTACAATAAAAGAGACTAAGTAGCAGTCACTAAAAAGCAGGTGTTTATAATTTATGAAATAAAGCTTGAAGGTGAGACATGTTAAATATATTACTTACTCTCTGACTTGAAGGATTAAATGTTCGCTGGGGAGAAAGTGATGATAAGATACCAGACGCCAAGTTTGAATCCTGTTGTCCATGCAAAACATCCCAATGAGAGGGGGCATTCACTCCAAGTCCATTTGTCAGGAATTTGGTAACAAAACAGACTTTCAGACTCAGCCAGGGTGCCACGTCCCCTTTTCTCCAGAGATTGACAGAGACAATTACAGTAAATTGTAAAGACTGGCTATCAAGCAGTCTATTCTGTGATTCTGTCATGTAACAAGAAACTCATCCTAGATTTTTTTTTAGGTAATAAGTAGATATTTTCAAAGTTTACCCATTTTGATCTGAAGCTCAGGGAAGATCATATACCCATTATCATCACATGGTATTTATCACACTTGTAACTGCCCCATAACTATACAACTTAGGACAATCAAAGTCCTGGGAACTTCTAATCCATTAGTGGCAGAAAAGATACTGAAAGGGAAATCTGTACATCAGCCTCTGGGATAATTTCCAACTGGAAAACTTCCATTGTTTTAGGTTGGAAGGTGAAGTGTGTTCTATGGAAAAGTTTAGACTCAAGGTTCCATTTTTCCAAGGGCAGTGGACATAGCCCTGCCTGAAATCATTGTTAGGTGACATAGCTTCAAGGATCTCCATTCCACCTAGGATAAACTTACAGCACTTGGGACCCAAGGCTAAGTAAGTTGTCAGGGGCAGAGAACTGAGGAAGCCCCTCTATGACTTGATCAACAGCCTTTTCTCAAGATCCTGAGTGCCCAAGCCAAGTCATATTTGTGATAGCTGAGTGTCTTAGTCCATTTATATTGCTATAACGGAATACCTAAGGCTAGATAATTTATCAGGAAAAGAGTTTATTTGGCTCACAGTTCTGCAGGCTGTGCAAGTAGCAGAGCGCCAGCATCTGCTTAGCTTCTGGTGAGGGTCTCACCTGCTTTCAATCATGGCAGAAGGCAAAGGGCAGCTGGTGTATGTAGAGATCACACGGTGAGAGAAGAATCAGGAGAAGGGGGAAGATGAGAGACTCTTTTTAACAACCAGCTCTCATGGGAACAAATAGAGCTAGAATTCACTCTCCCCTTCCTCCCACCCCCAACCTGTCCCAGAAGGGGCATTAATGTACTCTTTAGAGGTCCACCCCATAACCCAAAGCCCTCCCATTAGGCACCACCAACACTGGAGATCAAATTTCAACTTGAGGTTTGAAGGGGACAAACATCCAAACTATAGCACTGGGTATACGGCCAACCCAGGAAGAATCTAGGAAAGAAATACAATATCCTCTTTCATCTCAGAATATAGAACCTGCCTGTAGATGAGCCTAAAGGAGTACAATGAGATATCTTGGGCTCATTTATTCAACAAGTGTTGCTGAGGGTTGACCAGTAGGCTCAAGGCATACAACTGTGAATGTGACAGATAGAAACCCTTTCCCCATAGAATTTATAGTTTAATAAAGAAGGAAGAATTGAAAGAAGGTGGCAACAACAAAATGTTATAAGCTCATCAGGGAAAAACCTAGGGCTTTCAAGGTCCATGGAAAGGCCCGCTGAAGATACACTGTCAGAACAGACATGTGAAGGTGAAACAAACACATCAAGCAGATGCCTGGATGCCAGTTGCTGACCAACACACTTGGCAGACAAGAGGACCTTGAGCAAAGGGGGATCTTTGCAGGTAAAATACCTGAAGATTTATTCTTTTGTCTCCAACAGTCAGGGAAGCCTGTGACACCCCTCCCATGCAACTGTGGAGACCATTTTATAGGATGCAGTGTTTTAAAATTTTTTTTCTTTCTCCCTCCCTCCCTCTTTCCTCCTTTCCTTTCTTCCTTCTTCCCTCCCTCCCTCCTTCCTATCTTCTCTCTCTTTAATTCCTTCCTTCTGTATCTTTCCTCCCTCCCTCCTTCCTAACTTCTCTCTCTTTAATTCCTTCCATTTCTTTCCTCCCTTCCTCTCTCCTTCCTATCTTTTTGCCTTCCTTCCCTCCCTCTCTCCTTCCATTCCTCCCTTCCTCCCTCCCTCCCTCCTATCTTCTCTCTCTTTAATTCCTTCCTTCTGTTTCTTCCTTCCTTCACTCTCTCCTTCCTATCTTTTCTCCCTCCTTCCTTCCTTCCTCCCTTCCGTTCTTCCTTCCTTCTTTCTTTCCTTCCTTTTTCTTTCTGTTTCTTTCTGAAAGCCATCATCTAAACTCATTAACCCCTGTGGAGACTCATCCTTCTGGCCTTTTGACATTTGCTCAGAACCGTACAGCAGCCAGAAACCTGGCAAAAGACTAGAGTTGGGGAAGTAACAGACTGAACTTTTGACACCTGATGTACCCAGCCCTCTGGTGAGAGGAGTTGATCACTATCGCCAGAAACAAACTCCAGTCGTACACTACATTTTTATTATATTTAGTAGCTGTCCATAGATACATTTTATTATGATTCTTAAGTATATTTGGCTCCTGCCTACTAGTGCTTGTGCTTAGTCTTCATAGAGCCCAATGCCCCATCCCTTCCTGGATCGTTAGGGACAAGCTCTGGGATGGCTGAGCGTGTGCAGAAGTCACTGTTCTGGTGACCAGAGAAGCAGCCCTCATTGTATATGGCACCCAAACTGGAGACCAGAAGTCCATTTCTCTTTCCATCACATGCCCTCAGCACAAGTGTCCCAAGGAGGAAAGTCCAGCAAAGTGGCTTCTCTCCTCCTCTTCTCCGTGACCTTTTCATTCTTGAGAATGAAACTTTGTCAGTTTCAGTGCTAAATTCAACATAAAGGAAGAAAATCCTACAATCTGTGGAGGTACAGCAAGATAGCTCTGGTGGCACTCACAACACACAGTGGGCCAGGTGAAAATAGACACAACCCATTTTATGATGACCTGTTAATCAAGAGGGGAAAAATAGGTCACATTGATGCTTCAAATTATAGTGGCTTATAGAGATTCAAATAACATATACATCAGAATTTTATGCCACAAAATAATAGCTTTCGCATAAGTTTGAAGTGCTGACACTGACATTTGTGGCAACATAAATGCTATTAGGGGACACAATCTTTGAGCCCTGGGGTGTGGCTTAATGCTCTCAGCACAAACTTTCAGTAATTTTGTGTCTTTGTGTGTGGATGAAAGGTAAATTTGGGCTATTATTTCTATAGCCCTATATTAATTCTGGCACACCTTGCACAAAATCTCATTATGTTACTTTTTTCAGAGTCAAAGTGCTTATGTTATAAAGAAGCTAAAATTTCACCTGTAGGAAAATTGGCACAATTTCTTGTTTTACCATCCTCAGTGCCAGCATAAAAAAGTGTACTTTCTGTTTGGGTAATTTTGCACAGCAGGAACTTTAAATTATTTACAGCTTTCCTTATCTGGAACCAGAAGAAACATACCATTTTCCATGCCACAATTTATACTGAAAAATGTTCTTAGAAAAAAGAATGGGGGTAAATTGCCCATGTGTTCAAGAGTCAGAGGAAGAACAAAAGAGTGTCAAAAATCAAGGGTCTCTTTTTCCTGCTATAATCAGGGTGGATATAAGGGACCCTGTCTAGCACCAAGACACTAGAAATTGCATTGTTCTCAGAGGCTTCTGCAAAATGGCTCCAAAACAAGCCTCTGTGAATGACCAAGAGTTTCAATGAAATGAAGAAAACCTGGGCATGAAATTGGAAGTAGCTCTGGACAGAGGCATGAGCCTCTGATACAGTTGTGCTGTGAAGATTGATCTGTGTCTTATGGGAAATGCTAGCCAAGGACTTGTGTTTTGGAAACTCAGTCCTTTTAATCCTTAGTTTTGGGGGCATTTGCATACCTAGAGAGACAAAGGGAGAGCCGAAGGAATCTCCCTTCTTCTCTTCTCAGCCCTGAAGCTTTCTCCAGCCTTTTAATCACCCTCCCTTCCTGTGTGCCTCGAGGCAGCCTCCAAATAGGGTTACTAAGCTTTGCCATATGTTAACCGGTCTCAGTCCCCAGTGCTGCTTAAGAATTTTACATCCTGGTTTTGCATTGATCTCCTGTCAGTTTAATTAGTGAGAATGGGTCCATTAAGGTTAAGTTTCTGGACCTGTGTGGCTTGAGACCTCATCTTATAAAGAAGGGAGAGGTGTCTAAGGGCCATTCTAATTCTATTAATTAATTGACTCAGTTCAGTCACACATAACAGCATAACGATAGCAGCCAATATTCATTGATCAGGCATCATGATGAGTATCATAGAAGGTTTGTCTGTCTTGGTCCTTACCTCAATTTCCCAATAAACTAGTGCAATTTCTAAAGCTAATTGAAAATCACATAGATAAGAAGGGGTGTTGCTAGTTGTAGTCAAACTAGATGCTCTGACTGCAGAAGCCACCCACACAACTGCCCTGTTCTACTGAATAGCAAGCAAGACGTCCTCTCTTGGAAGCTATTGTTTGACATAACTCATGCAGCACTCCTTCACTACCCACTTATCCTACTAATATCAGTTGCAATAAGACTATTAGTAACAGAGGGCATTTAGTAAGTACATTATAATTTGCAGAATGTTTTCTCATCTTAATTCTCTTTCTGAGACTCACAACAACCTCATGGGCAGGGAGACAAATGTTTCAGCCCTGTTTATGAGGAAATAGCCTAGTTCAGGAGGATATGCTGACAATTATTTGCCTACCGAGAAGGATAACTGAACAGGGCTCTCTGAATTCAAGGCCTGAGCTTACATCATGAGCCTGGCCCACTTCTCCTGTTCTAGAGTTTTGCTCCCAACAAATAGAATCATCTTTATTATAGTTGGGCAATAGTGTGTGCTTGCGCTCCAGGTCAGTGGAGCAAAGTGATGGGAAGCCAGGTAGCAAAAGCTGTCAGATCATATAGCTCATTTCTACTTGATTCTCAAACTCCAGTTAGAAGGCACTTTTGGGCTCATGGCAAAGAAGGCTTGAATTAAAAAAAAAAAAAAAAAGCCACTGGCAAATCGGGGCACAGGCTCCTAGGAGGAGCACTGAGCAATGCTCTAATCAGAAAAGGACCAATGCAGACAGCCAATTCCACTGAGCAAGCTGATGGCAGTTTGGGGACTGGCAAATGGAGAAGACAGGCAAAGAGGAACAGAAGGACATGGGCCACTGTTGGAGGTGGGGCAACAGGAACCTCTTTCTGACTGTCATTGTAATCAGAGAATCTTTGTCTAAATGACAGCAGCTTAGACTTGGGAAGCAATGAAGAAACCCAGGAGATAGCATCAAGAGCTTGGACCTTGCAGTCATCAGAATCCCACTGCAGCACTCACTGGCTCTACAATCATGGCTGAGGAACTTACTCCACTTTGCTTCAAGTTGTCCATCTGAAAAATTGGTACAATAATGATTATTCTTGAAATTTTTTCCAATTGTTTCCAGAATTCCATGTGTTAATATATACAAAGAGCCTATCAGAGTGCCTGGCACACATGGGGTCAGGGGGTTAATAAATATTGTTTTCTGTCTTTTTTCTCCTTTCTTCAGGACACAAATGCAACATGTGAGGGTCAGAACTTCATTCTAGGCCCAAGTAGGTGACTTATTCCAAATCCCATAGTTGGTACATTCAGAAACCTACTTAGTAGGAGTCCCTGGGAAGGCCAAAGGTGGGAGAATTGCAAGCAGCTGAAGGGACAGGGAGAAAGGGTACCAGAAAGAAGAAATGTCTCTTTCCTTTGATCAGTCTGTAGCTTCTGATCACCACTGGCTGCGGAAAAGCAATAGTTAAAATAATTAATCCACTTTCATAACCCCACATAGGAAGAAAAATCCTTCCTGGCCTGAAACACAGTCTGGACCCCTCTCTACAGGAAACTCCTACTAATAGGTGGTCCAGAAAGGATTCACCTTATTCAAGAGGATTAATAAAAAATAAACACCATAAGATCTATCTAAAGGTATTTCAAGAATAAGTAAGAGAAAATGGCAGGTCAAGAACACTCACCAGAAGAAAGATTTCATGAAACTCATAGAAACCGAGGCTAAAAATATCTTCAGAAAATGTATGAAATCTTAATTATCACAACAAAAAGCAAAACTAAAAAAATATATATAGGAATGCAGAAGCTCAGGGAAGAGATAATAAGAGAGTGTAGCAGAAACTGAAAGTAATACAATGAATCCTCAAAGTCATCGATAGATTCTTGGAAACTGTGACTTTAAGCAAAATGACCAGGTCCTTAAATAATGGCATCTTGCAATTCCTCAAGGATCTAGAACCAGAAATACCATTTGGCCCAGCAATTCCATTACTGGATATATACCCAAAGGATTATAAATCATTCCACTATGAAGACACATGCATACATATGTTTATTGCAGCACTGTTCACAATAGCAAAGACTTGGAACCAACCCAAATGCCCATCAATCATAGACTGGATAAAGAAAATGTGGCAGGTATACACCATGGAATACTATGCAGCCGTAAAAAAGGAATGTGGTTATGTCTTTTGCAGGCACATGGATGAAGCTGGAAGCCATCATTCTTAGCAAAGTAGTACAGGAACAGAAAACCACCACATGTTCTCACTTATAAGTGGGAATTGAACCATGAGAACACACGGACACAGGGAGGGGAACATCACACACTGGGGCCTGTCAGGGGGTGGGGGACAAGGGAAGGGAGAGGATTAGGACAAATACCTAACGCATGAGGGGCTTAAAACCTAGATGACGGGTTGATAAGTGCAGCAAACCACCATGGCATATGTATACCTGTGTAACAAACCTACGTGTTCTGCACATGTATCCCAGAACTTAAAGTAAAATTAAAAAAAAAGAAAATAATAATAATAATGTGATTTTGTTATAATGTTGATGAGAAAAAAACCTATTTTCTTTATATGTCATTTTGCTCAAAATCGCAGTTTCTAAGAACCAATTGATGACATTAAGGGAGGACTTCCTGTACAGAGTGGAGAGAAAACACAATGTGCATTCTCCTCGTGTTTGTGGGTATTAACAGAGGGGTTGGTTTGTGGGGGTGGTTCACCACCATCCTGGAAGCTGAACTGACTGCAGTGCTATTTAAACTATTTCAGGGCCTAGGAAAAGGACATGATCTTACTTTTCTAAAAATGACATAAACATAGTTTTGCTATCAAAGGTTAAAAAAAAAGGATGAAAAGCAAAAAGCACAGGCAAATCTCACTTAGTAAAAATATCCAGCAATACACTGACAAAGTAACACCAAGAGCTTTATTCCCAGAGGGCAAATTCCTTCAATACTTGGACATCTTTTAACAATAAGATAATACACATTATCGAGAAAAAAAGAAAAATTTATAAACCTCTCCTTAAATGCTGAAAAAGTTGATAAATTTAACAACTATTAATAAGAAAAAAGTAAGTACATAGTTTCTCATCAATAATGAAATATATCCAACATAACATATATCAAGTACATGCAATCTGTGAACTAATTGGTTCCTGATTTGAAAAAAATCAGCTATAAAAGCCATGTTTTGAATTAGTTGAATACATATTAAAACGAGCTGCATGTTATAATAGAATCATTATTAACTTTTTAATGCATGATAGTCATTTTGTGTATATGTAGAAGAATAATCTTATTTTTTGGAGATTTACGATTTCTGTATTTTTTTGACTAATTCAACAAATTTATATATATATGTGTGTGTATGTATATATTATTTTTGTATGTTTTAAAATGTTCATATTAAAATATTTTTAAAATGCACATCTTCATCCCAAAGTCACTTTAATGTTTCTTAGGAAAGCCCTGGAAGCATCCCCATAAATCAACAGGAAGACAAAATAATGCTAAATGTTTTCACTCTTATTTTTCTTAATCTGGAGCTAATATTCAATGCAATCAGAAGGGAGAGAGAAACAAAAGGATAAAACAACATTTTCATTATAGAAAAACATGAAAAACTGAAAGGAACTACTTGAAAAACAATTATAATAAAAGAATCCAGAAAGTGTCAGGATATGACTATGAAATACACAAACATCAATTGATGTCTTATACACAAGCAATGGGACATTCTAGTGAAAGAAACGGCACACTTGTAATATCAACAAAAACATGACATAACTTGGGGTAAACTTAGTAAGGAATGTTGAAGACCATGATGAAGAAAATGTTAAAGCACTATGAAGTATTACCACATGTAGACTTGGTCAAGGAAAAACATATTCTGCCCGAACAAGAAAAGACAACTTTATAGAATTGGCAAGTCTCCCTTCATTAATCTATACATTTAATACTATATCAATAAAGATATAATATCATTTTTAATGATGCTCTGCAAATTTTATTTTACTTTTTAAAATTTTATTTCAATAGTTTTTGAGGAACAGGTGGTTTTTGGTTACATGGATAAGTTCTTTAGTGGTGACTTCTGAGATTTTGGTGTACCTGTCACCTGAGCAGTGTACACTGTACCCAATGTGTAGTCTTTTATCTCTCACCCCCTCCTATCCTTTCTGTCAAGTCCCCAAAGTCCATGATATCATTCTTATGCCTTTGCATTCTCATAGCTTTTTGAAGAGAGGAATAAAGAAGCTTTCTGGAAACAAAAATATTCCTTTTCTTTTTTCAACTTTTATTTTGGAATCAGGGGGTACATGTGCAGGGTTGTTACAAAAATAGATTGCATGATGCTGAGGGTTTGAGTACAGATGAATCTGTCACCCAGGTAGTGAGTACAGTACCCAGTACCTAGTTTCTTTCATCCCTTCCTCAGTCTCTTCCTCCTTGTGTATTCCCCCAGGTCTCTAGTGCCCATTTTTTTTGACCATGTGTATCCAATGTTTAGCTCCACTTATAAGTGAGGACATGCAGCACTTGGGTTTTCTGTTTCTGTGTTAGTTCACTTAGGATACTGGTTTACAGATGCATCCATGTTACTGAAAAGGATATGATTTCGTTTTTTGTTTTTTTTTTCCCTCCCTGAACATGACCAATCTCATCTGGAAAAAAATTTCTTACATAAAAATACAATAATTAAATCAGTGATGTTGGTCTTAGCTAAGACATAAATGGAAGAGGCCCATAAATAGATCCAATCAGATCTAAATATTTAAAGATGCTCTTTTAAATTAGCAAGGAAAACAATAATTATTAATTAAGGGATACAAAGATGACTTGATTGTATTTGAAAAAATTAATAGTGGAAAACTAATCTTCAATAGCTCAATATATTAAAAAGAAAACAATACAGAAAACATTAAAAGAAAACAAAAGAATGCCGAATTCTTTTTAAAGTGTTCCACAAGACCTAGACTAATAAAAGTGACTAGATAGAGCTCTGAATTGGGAAAACCTTCACAAATTCAAAAGACAAATGACAATCTTGCAAAAAAAGTTGCATTTTTTTATCATGATCAATGGGTTAATTTTGCTAACAAAGCTATGAGAAAATATTTATAATAAAATGGAAAACAAGGAAAGGATATATATATATATATATATATATATATGCACACATACACACACACACATAGTGTCTGCCATTCCTCCAAGCACAAAGAGCTCCTAGACACATGAGAAATATTCCTTCTCACTCAAATTAAGATTCCTGCAGATTTAGACCACATCAGAATACTGTTGTTCATGTGTCAGATTGGCATGAATCAAAGATAACACAGCTCGTTGGAGAAGATGTAGGGACGGAGACACCCTTGTAGTATGGCTGGGATAGCGTATATTGTTTTAATACAGATGATGCCTTGGTGTTCATGTTTAGGCCTGGTGTTAGTTGTTTGAAATCCAGTCTCAGTGCACAATCGCCTTTGGCCTGATTAAAACTTGCCCTTACCATGTTGTTGTTTGTGATGAACTCACATATTTGTCATCCCACTGACCCCAGACCCGGCTCATCTCACAGCTGCTATGATAAAACCACATGGTGAATTGCTGCATTATGCCGTTATGCAAATGAAATTCCTCTTTTTTTTTTCTTTAAATTAGGCAACCCACAGGCCCCTCAGGAAGGCCTAAGGGAGCATGAAATGGACCTCACTAAAAACATAGTCCCTCATCAAAAAGTCAGGAAAAAACAGGTGCTGGAGAGGATGTGGAGAAAGAGGAACAGTTTTACACTGTTGGTGGGACTGTAAACTAGTTCAACCATTGTGGAAGTCAGTGTGGCAATTCCTCAGGGATCTAGAACTAGAAATACCATTTGACCCAGCAATCCCATTACTGGGTATACACCCAAAGGATTATAAATCATGCTGCTGTGAAGACACATGCACACATATGTTTATTGTGCCACTATTCACAATAGCAAAGACTTGGAACCAAGCCAAATGTCCAACAATGATAGACTGGGTTAAGAAAATGTGGCACATATACCCCATGGAATACTATGCAGCCATAAAAAAGGATGAGTTCATGTCCTTTGTAGGGACATGGATGAAGCTGGAAACCATCATTCTCAGCAAACTATCGCAAGGACAAAAAAACCAAACACCGCACGTTCTCTCTCATAGGTGGGAATTGAACAATGAGAACACATGGACACAGGAAGGGGAACATCACACACGGGGGCCTGTTGTGGGGTGGGGGGAGGGGGGAGGGATAGCATTAGGAGATATACCTAATGTTAAATGACGAGTTAATGGGTGCAGCACACCAACATGGCACATGTATACATATGTAACTAACCTGCACGTTGTGCACATGTACCCTAAAACTTAAAGTATAATAAAAATAAAAAAATAAATAAAGACATAGTCCCACCAGTGCCCCTGCCCCTCTACACTTGCTGGTTGAACTTCCTGTTGCCCTTGGACCACCCCATTCCTCCATCTCAGGCTTCTTAACCTCTCTGGGACCTGTAAGTAATAAATTTCTTCTGTTGCATGCATTTGGGTTTCACCTTCCCTCTGTGTCTCACCTGACTGACATAGCCAAACCTAACCCCCAGCCCAACTGGCAGGGCTTTCCTGAAGAGTGGCTATCTTGGCTCATGGCCCCTCTAGACAGAAAGACCTTAAGTCTAAATTAGAAAGGAATGATAACAATGAAAATTAAAACATGGAAATGGCCAATTGGTATATTTTTAAGGATACATTTACTAATATTTATTATAAATTTTAATTATACTTAAATTACATATGCTTGTATTTATGGTTATATGGTTATAATGTTCAAGACTATATCAATAATATTATTTATCTACAATATGTTAATATTTTCATGCGCGTCCGTGTGAAGAGACCACCAAACAGGCTTTGTGTGAGCAACATGGCTGTGTATTTCACTGGGTGCAGGCGGGCTGAGTCCGAAAAGAGAGTCAGCGAAGGGAGATAAGGGTGGCGCCGTTTTATAGGATTTGGGTAGGTAAAGGAAAATTACAGTCAAAGGGGGTTTGTTCTCTGGCGGGCAGGAGTGGGGGTCGCAAGGTGCTCGGTGGGGGTGCTTTTTGAGCCAGGATGAGCCAGGAAAAGGACTTTCACAAGGTAATGTCATCAGTTAAGGCAAGGACCGGCCATTTACACTTCTTTTGTGGTGGAATGTCATCAGTTAAGGTGGGGCAGGGCATATTCACTTCTTTTGTGATTCTTCAGTTACTTCAGGCCAACTGGGCATATACGTGCAAGTCACAGGGGATGCGATGGCTTGGCTTGGACTCAGAGGCCTGACATTCCTGCCTTCTTATATTAATAAGAAAAATAAAACAAAATAGTGTTGAAGTGTTGGGGTGGCGAAAATTTTTGGGGGTGGTATGGAGAGAGAATGGGCAATGTTTCTAAGGACTGCTTCAAGCAGGATTAGGGGTGGTGTGGGAACCTAGAGTGGGAGAGATTAAGCTGAAGGGAGGTCTTGTGGTAAGGGGTGATATTGTGGGGTTGTTAGGAGAAACATATGTCGTATAGAATGATTGGTGATGGCCTGGATACGGTCTTGTATGAATTGAAAAACTAAATGGAATAAGAGAAGGAGAAAAACAGGTATAAAAGGTCTAAGAATTGGGAGGACCTAGGACATCTGATTAGAGAGTGCCTAAAGAGATTCAGCATAGTCCTGCCAGCAAAGATTATTTATTTACTTCAAGAGTTTAGAGTGGCAGTTTGGGGATAGCACCAGGAGATATCAGCTGTGATGGCTTGGAGAAACAGTGTAAACTGGCAGTGTAAACAAGAGCAGGGCATGTATGAGTAGTTGAGAACGGTGAATAGGAGTATGATAGACAAAAGATAGTAGGGATGACAAGTTTTTTTGGGGCACAGTCTAAGTTGGTCTGGTGTCGAATGAGACTGGGGCCTAATAAAAAGGAGCGTCTATACAGGAGCTTAAATGGGCTGTATTCTGTAGCATTCCGAGGACAGGCCTAAATTCTGAGACGCAAAAGTGGTAAAAGTATTGTCCAGTCCTTTTTAAGTTGGTGGCTGAGCTTGGTGAGGTGTGTTTTTAAAAGACCTTTAGTCCGTTCTACTTTTCTTGAAGATGGAGGACCTTAAGGGATATAAAGGTTTCACTGAATACTAAGAGCCTGAAAAACTGCTTGGCTGATTTGACTAATAAAGGCTGGTCTGTTTTCAGACTGTATAGAGGTGGGAAGGCTAAACTGAGGAATTATGTCTGACAGGAGGGAAGAAATGCCTGTGGTGGCCTTCTCAGACCCTGTAGGAAAGGCCTTTACTTATTCAGTGAAAGTATCTATTTAGACTAAGAGGTATTTTAGTTTCCTGACTCGGGACATGTTGAGCAAAGCTAATTTGCCAGTCCTGGGTGGGGGCAAATCCTGGAGCTTGATGTGTAGGGAAGGGAGGGGGCCTGAATAATCCCTGAGGAGTAGTAGAATAGCAGATGGAACACTGAGAAGTTATTTCCTTGAGGATAGATTTCCACGATGGAAAGGAAATGAGAGGTTCTGAGAGGCGGGCTAGTGGCTTGTACTATAGCATAGCCTGCCTTTGCTGGTGTGTGGCAATTAGGCCTGGTGGAACTGCCATCAATAAATCAAGCGTGATCAGGGTGAGGAACAGGAAAGAAGGAAATATGGGGAAACGGGGTGAATATCAGGTGGATCAGAGAGATACAGTCATGGGGGTCATGTGTGGTATCAGGAATAATGTGAGAGGCCAGATTGAAGTCCACGCCAGGAACAATGGTAATTGTGGGAGACTCAACAAAGAGTGAGTATAGCTGAAGGAGCCGGGAAGCAGAAAGTATATGCGTCAGGTATGAGGAAGAAAATAGATTTTGGAAGTTATGAGAACTGTAGAGAGTGAGTTGAGCATAGTTTGTGATTTTGAGGGCCTCTAAAAGTATTAAAGCAGCGGCAGCCGCTGCACGCAGACACGAGGGGTAGGCTAAAACAGTAAGGTCAAGTTGTTTGCACAGAAAGGCTACAGGGTGCGGTCCTGGCTCTTGTGTAAGAATTCTGACTGCACTAACTATGCCTAGGAAGGAAAGGAGTTGTTGTTTTGTAAGAGATTGAGGTTTGGGAGATTAATAGGACACGATCAGCAGGGAAAGCACGTATGTTTTTATGAGAATTATGCCGAGATAGGTAACAGATGAGGATGAAATTTGGGCTTGACTGAAGTAATGGGGGCTGTCTATGAAGCCTTGTGGCAGTACAGCCTAGGTAATTTGCTGAGCCTAATAGGTGTCAGGGTCAGTCCAAGTGAAAGAAAAGAGAGGCTGGGACGAGGGGTGCAGGGGAATAGTGAAAAAAGCATCTTTAAGATCAAGCACGGAATAGTGAGTGGTGGAGGAAGGTATTGAGGATAGGAGAGTATATGGGTTGGGCACCACAGGGGGGATAGGCAAAACAATTTGGTTGATAAGGCACAGATCCTGAACTAACTTGTAAGGCTTGTCTGGTTTTAGGACAGGTAAAATGGGGGAATTGTAAGGAGAGTTTATAGGCTTTAAAAGGCCATGCTGTAGCAGGCGAGTGATAACAGGTTTAATCTTTTTAAAGCGTGCTGTGGGATGGGATATTGGCATTGAGTGGGGTAAGGGTGATTAGGTTTTAATGAGATGGTAAGGGGTGCATGATTGGTAGCCAAGGAGGGAGTAGAGGTATCTTATACTTGTGGGTTAAGGTGGGGGGATACAAGAGGAGGACGCAAAGGAGGCTTTGAATTGGGAAGAAGGGTGGCAATGAGATACAGCTGTAGTCCAGGAATAGTCAGGGAAGCAGATAATTTAGTTAAAGTGTCTCAGCCTAATAAGGGAACTGGGCAGGTGGGGATAATGAAAAAGGAGTGCTTAAAAGAGTATTGTCTAAGTTGGCACCAGAGTTGGGGAGTTTTAGGAGGTTTAGAAGCCTGGCCGTCAATACCCACAACAGTTATGGAGGCAAGGGAAACAGGTCCTTGAAAAGAAGATAATGTGGAGTGGGTAGCCTCCGTATTGATTAAGAAGGGGACGGGCTTACCTTCCACCGTGAGAGTTACCTGAAGCTCGGCGTCCGTGATGGTCTAGGGGGCTTCCAAGGTGATTGGGCAGTGTCATCTTCAGCCGCTAAGCCGAGAAGATCTGGGAAGGAGTCAGTCAGCCTTGGGCCAGAGTTCCAGGGGTTCTGGGAGTGGCTGTCAGGTGAGTTGAACAGTCCGATTTTCAGTGGGGTCCCACACAGATGGGACGTGGCTTAGGAGGAATCCCAGGCTGCGGGCATTCCTTGGCCCAGTGGCCAGATTTCTGGCATGTGTAGCAAGCTCCTGGGGGAGGAGGTTCTGGAGGAATACCTGGCCACTGCGGTTCAGGCATTTGGAAGTTCTTGTGTGCTGGAGATGTGGCTGGGGTTTGTCTCACAGTGGAGGCAAGGAATTGCAACTGTTTTCTGTTATTGTACACCTTGAAGGTGAGGTTAATTAAGTCCTGTTGTGGGGTTTGAGGGCCAGATTCCAATTTCTGGAGTTTTATTTAATGTCGGGAGCAGATTGGGTAATAAAATGTATATTGAGAATAAGACGCCCTTTTGACCTTTTAGGGTCTAGGGCTGTAAAGCATCTCAGGGTTGCTGCCGAACGAGCCATGAACGGGGCTGGATTTTTATATTTGATGAAAAAGAGCCTAAACACTATCTGATTTGGGATAAAGAAAAGGGAGCATTAACCTTGACTATGCCTTTAGCTCCAGCCACCTTTTTAAGAGTAAATTGCTGGGCAGGAGGGGGAGGGCTAGTCATGGAACGAAACTGTAAGCCGGACCAGGTGTGAAGAGGGGAGTTGATAAAAAGATTATAGGGTGGAGGAGCAGAGGCTGTGGAAGAATTGGGACCTAGCTCCGCCTGGAGAGGAGCAGCCTGGGGAGGAAGGGAGAGGTCAGATGGGTCTGTAGAAAAGGAAGATTAGAAAGACTCAGTGACGCTTGGGGTTGGTACTGAGGGGACAGGCAGGAGGGAAAGAAGGAAGATTTGGGACAAGTTGCACTGGGCACAGAGACTAGGAAGGGACTGATGTGTAAAAGAATGCCTGGACATCAGGCATCTCAGACCGTTTGCCTATTTTACGACAAGAATTATTTAGATTTTGCAGGATGGAAAAATTCAAAGTGCCATTTTCTGGCTACTTGGAACTACTGTCGAGTTTGTACTGGGGTCAAGTGGCATTGCAGAAGAAAATAAGGCATTTACGTTTTAGGTCAGGTGTGAGTTGAAGAGGTTTTAAGTTTTTGAGAACACAGGCTAAGGGAGTAGAAGGAGGAATGGAGGGTGGAAGTTTGCCCATAGTGAAGGAAGCAAGTCTAGAGAAAAGAGAGAATAGAGAAATGGAGGGAAGGGGTTCGGGGGTTCTTACCTTCCAGAAAAGTGGGAAAGGGGTTGGAGCGCAGAGATAAGAGGTCGGGGAGTGGAAATAAGGGATTGGGGTGCAGAGATACGAGGTTGGGCCATGGAAATAAGGGATTGGGGCACAGAGAGAGGTTGGGGTGCGGAAATAAGGGATTGGGACACAGAGATAAGAGGTTGGGGTGTGGAAATAAGGGATTGGGGCACAGACATAAGAGGTCAGGGTGCAGAAATAAGGGATTGGGGCACAGAGATAAGAGGTTGGGGCATGGAAATAAGGGATTGGGGCACAGAGATAAGAGGTTGGGGCATGGAAATAAGGGACTGGGGATTCTTGCCCCATAGAAAAGCGGGACTTGCCACTAAGGGTGAAGGAGAAGGGGTTGAGGGGTACTGCCCCTCTCCCAGAAAAGCAGAGAAGGGGTAGAGACAAGGAGAGAAGGGGTTGGGGTACTTGTCCCTTCCCCAGAAAAGCAGGACTTGCCGCTAAAGGTGAAGGACCAAGGCAGGCGTCCCTGCGTGGTCTGACACCCTTGAAATGTGGGTGTATAATCAGAGAGGCATCCCTGCAATGAATAAACACCAAGGGAAGGCTGCCTTCCCAGTGCGTGACCGGTGCCGGAGTTTTGGGTCCACAGATAAAACATGTCTCCTTTGTCTCTCCCAGAAAATGAAAGGAATTGAAATTAAGAGAAGGGAGAGATTGAAGAGTGGAAAGGAGAAAGTGGTTGAGGGACAGTGAGAGAGGTTGGAGAAGAGAGTAAGAAGAGGCCACTTACCTGATTTAAAATTGGTGAGATGTTCCTTGGGCTGGTTGGTCTGAGGACCTGAGGTCATAGGTAGATCTTTCTCAGGGAGCAAAGAACAGGAGTACAGGGGGTTGATCTCCCAAGGGAGGTCCCCCAATCTGAGTCACGGCACCAAATTTCATGCCCGTGCGTGTGAAGAGACCACCAAACAGGCTTTGTGTGAGCAACATGGCTGTGTATTTCACTGGGTGCAGGCGGGCTGAGTCCGAAAAGAGAGTCAGCGAAGGGAGATAAGGGTGGCGCCGTTTTATAGGATTTGGGTAGGTAAAGGAAAATTACAGTCAAAGGGGGTTTGTTCTCTGGCGGGCAGGAGTGGGGGTCGCAAGGTGCTCGGTGGGGGTGCTTTTTGAGCCAGGATGAGCCAGGAAAAGGACTTTCACAAGGTAATGTCATCAGTTAAGTCAAGGACCGGCCATTTACACTTCTGTTGTGGTGGAATGTCATCAGTTAAGGTGGGGCAGGGCATATTCACTTCTTTTGTGATTCTTCAGTTACTTCAGGCCATCTGGGCGTATACGTGCAAGTCACAGGGGATGCGATGGCTTGGCATGGGCTCAGAGGCCTGACAAATATCATATTTACAACCATTATAAAATTAAAGTGCAACTGTCCTTTGACTTGGAAATTTCTCTTCTAGTCTTTAATGTACAGGTATATTCACACATGTAAAATTTATGTATGGACAAGGCCTTGCAGGATTAAAAAAAAAAACTAGTAGAAAAAAATTTTTAAGTACTTATATTAGGAAATGTTTAAATCCATTATGACACATTCAGTTAGTAGCAGGTGTTGAGAGGGATGAGATAAGTCTTTGGCACTAACATTGAAACAGCTCCAAAATAGATATTCAGTGAAAAAAAAAATCAAGAGAAAGGGTGCTGTGCTTAGGAGGCTACTATGTGTAGGAATTTTCACTTCCACGGTCTTCTCAGGTAAGTATAGAATATCCATTTCTGGGGGAATCCTCAAGCAGTGGGTAACAGTGCTCACCTCTCAGGTAAAGTTGTGAAAAGGTGATTGGAGAGAAACTTACATCCAACTGCAGAACATTTTATCTAAATTTCTGTACCATTTGCACATATTACTTATTCAAATTATGAATGCAATTTGAAAGATAATGACATAATAGCAAACACTCAGCACTTATTATATGCCAGGCATTAGATGCATTGATTTGTATCATCCCCACAGCAGTGTTATGAGGTAGGTATAATTAATATGGATAATAAAAAAACAAAGCACAAGGCCTGCAACTCAAAAGTAGAGAAGCAGGACTAGAATTCTTCCAGCGTTTGCCTCAGAATCTCTGCTACATTGGATATGTTTGTGGAGGAAGGACCAGTGAAAAGGAATATTTCCATGGTAGATGATACAGATGAGAAGGATCAAGAGTAATGGAAAGGAAGTCCTAGAGGGCGTGTGAGGGTTGAGATCTAGGGATCAAAGATGCACGTTGTTCAAAGTCTCATGCTAAGTGCTCTTATCACAAAATACAGGTGTATCATGAAAATATTGTAGGTTCAGTTCAGACCACCACAATAAAGCGAATATTGTAGTAAAGCAAGTCATACACATGTATTGGTTTCCCAGTGCATACAAAAGTTATGTTCATCCCACACTGTAGCCTCTTAAGTGTGCAATATCATTATGTCTAAAAAATAATGTAGAAACCTTAACTAAAAGTATTTTATTGCTAAAAAATGCTAGTGATCATCTGAGCCTTCAGCACATGATATGGTTTATTTCTGTGTCCCCACCCAAATCTCATCTTGGATTGTAATCCCCATATGTCAAGGGAGGTGATTGAATCATGGGGGTGGTTCTTCTCCATGCTGTTCTCATAATAGTGAGTTAGTTCTCTTGAGATCTGATGGTTTTATAAGTGTCAGTTTCCCCTGCACTTCTCTCTCCTGCCACCTTGTGAAGAAGGTGGCTTCTTCCCCTTCTACCGTAATTCTTAAGTTTCCTGAGGCCTCCCAGCCATGTGAAACTGAGTCAATTAAACCTCTTTTATTTATAAATTACCCAGTCTCAGGAAGTATTTTTATAACAGTGTGAAAATGGACTAATACAGCAGGTCATATTTTTTTTTTTTCTGGTGGAATGTCCTCCTTTGATGCTGATGGCTGCTGACCAGTTAGGGTAATGATTGTTGAAGGCTGGGGTTGTTATGGCAATAGGACAACAGTGAAGTTTGCCACATCAATGGACTCTTCCTTTCATGAAAGATTTCTCTGTAGCACGCAATACTGTTTGCTAGCGTTGGACCCACAGTAGAACTTCTTGCAAATTTGGAGTCAGCTCTCTTAAACCCTGCCACAGCTCTATCAACTAAGTTTATATAATACTCCTTTGTTGTTATTTCAACAATGTTCACAGCGTCTAACCAGGAGTAGCTCCCTTCTCAAGAAACCACTTGAGTTATCAGATGAGGAGTTATTTTTACAGATGGGCAATGCAAGTGTTTATTAATTTGCCTAATTTCAATATTGTTGTGTCTCAGGGGATAGGAAAGCCTGAGGAGAGGAAGAGAGACAGGCAGCCAGTCAGGGGAGCAGTCAGAATGCACACCCCATTTATGGCTTAAGTTCACCGTGTTTTGTATAGATGTGGTTTGTGACTCCCCAAAACAATTACAGGAGTAACATCAAAGATCACTGACCACAGATCATCATAACAGATATAAAAATAATGAAAAAGTTTGAAGTATTTTGAGGCTTGCTAAAATACGGCACAGAGACCTGACGTAAGTGCATGCTGTTGGGAAAATGATGTCAATAGACTTGCTGGGTGCAAGTTTGCCAAAAATCTTTAATTTGTAAAAAACTCAATATCTGAAAAGTGCAGTAAAGTGAAGTGCAATAAAACAAGGTATGCTTATAATAATAAATAAAGCAAGTAGAAGAAAAATTTTAGAGGTGATGTATAGGTTTATCATTTACATTGTGGTGATGGTTTACAGGTCATACTTATCTCCAGACAAACCAAATGGTATACATTAAATATGTACAGCTTTTTGCATGCCATTCTTACCTGACTAGAGTGTTTCTAACCAAAGCATCCTCTTTGCTTGATAACAGAAGGACCTGGTAGACAGTAAGACAGTAGAATTATAAATCAGGAGATAAGTGTGTTCCAGAAGGCAAGTCATATAGAACAGAACCACAACCTAACACCTCTCTCCAACTAGCATGGCAAAACACAAAATACAGACAGTAACAAGTGTTGGTGGGGATGCGAAGAAATTGGAACACATATACACTGATGTTGGGAATGTAAAGTGGTGCATTTAGCCTGGTACATTTAGCATATGGCTAAACATACAGTTATAACACAACAATTCCACTCCTAGATGTATGCCCAAGAAAAATAAAAACATACATCCATATATGAAATCAGACAATATGTGGTCAGTCCTTTGTAACTGTCTGCTTTTACTCAGCAGAGTGTTTTCATATTGTCTGAATTAATGTATATGAAGGGTCCAGAATAGGAAAATCTATAGAGACATAGAGTAGATTAGTGGTTACCTGGGGCTGGGAATGGAAGCTAAGGGGTGAATGGGGAGTAAGTTTTTCATGGGGTCTGTCTTAGTTGCTTGGGCTTCTATAATAAAATACCATAGACTGGGTGGCTTAAACAACATAAATTTATTTCTCACAGCTCTGGAGGATTGGAAGTCCAATGCCCAGGCCAAAGTTCTAGCCAGTTTGGTTCCTGGTGAGGGCTCTTTTCCTGGCTTGCAGATGGTTGCCTTCTTACTGTGTCCCCCATGCAGAGAGAGAGAACGAGGGAGAGCAAACTCTCTGGTGTCTCTTCTTATAAGGGCACTAATCCCATCATGAAGGCCCCACTCCCTGATCTCATTAACCCTAATTACCCCCCAAAGGCCCTATCTCCTAATACCATCTCATTGGAGTTTAGGGCTTCAACATATGAATTTTGGAGGGCTGCAAATACTTAGTTTATAAGAGTTCATTTTTAGGGTGATGAAAATATTCTAAAAAGGAAGTGATAGTTGCACAATTCTGTGAATATCTAAAACTATTGAATTATATGCTTGCAATGGATGAATCATATGGTATGTGGATTTTATCTCCATAAGGCTATTTCTGATTTCTTTGTGAAATAAAAGGTGAGGTTGTTTCCTGAGAACCTGGGGGAAGATGATGCAAGAGAGATAAGATGTTGTGGGGATGAGAAGGGCCTTTGACCAGGATCCTGCAGGAGGATCACAGGACTGCAGGTTGAAGGGTTGGGTGAAACTGGCATCTGAGAGCTTGTTGTCATACCAATCCTTCAGATATGGTTTCTCCAGTGGCCTTTGGCAGACAAGGTATATGAATGTCCTCCTAGTTTTAAACAGATACTCAAAGAATACATATTTTTATTTTATTTAACAGTGTCTCTCTTTGCAATGGACTGAGCATATTTGCAGAGGTGACTGGATAGAGCCTTGCCCAAGGGCCCCCATTCCCTAATAAAACAGCCATCATCACCCCTACCAGCCCCAGTGTAACTGCGCACAATGACTTTACTCCTTCAGCCTACATTCCTTCCCTAGAGTAGTCATCATCATTACAAACACTCAGTGTGCCCAATTTTCGGCACATCATCGTTACAAACACACAGTGTGCCTAGAGCTGTGTTATCCCTTTTGAGTAGATTAAATTTTTTTTTGTTACAACGAGAAGAGTGTCATTATACCCCCATTATGGATAACAGACCAAGGCTCAGAGGCATTCGGTGACTTACTCAAGACTACAACTTGCAGGCTTTGAGCTTTGGGACTGAAGGGTACCTGATGACTAGGCTGGTAGGATTTCCACCACCCCATGCCACCTCTTCACACATTCAATAAGCACTTCCTGATCACCTCCCTGTGCCGGGTACTGAGCTCAGTGATGAGGATATAGGGATGGCCTCAAGGAATTGCAGAGACCTGGCCCTCTTGTGTGGAACCAGTCATGGCACGCCATATGCATAGGAGGCAGGATAGTTTAATGCAGGTTTTTGATTTGTGAGACATTTTGACACAAATTTTGATGCCACCATTTGACATTAGCTGGGTCAAGATGACTTTATCAACATCACTGTTCTTTAAAATGCCAAAAGCTCCTTGGAAGAGGCATACCTGAACCTGAATACATCCCTAACTCCCACTTTGGCTAAAATGTATTTCCATTTTTTTTTTTATTATAGCAATTTCTTCTATAATGTTTCTTTGTTTTTCCTGAAAAAGAATTGCTTTTGTAATCAGAAAATAAAGATTTTTTGAGAATTTGAAGAGTGGCATTCATTTCTAAGGCATGTTAGTCCAGTCACCCCAAATCATTCTTTTAAAGAGTTTTCATGATACTAAATATATCACAGAGCGTATGGAGAAAACATTTAGTCATCAAGTGGAAGATTTCCTGGCATATCTAGACTCAGAATAAAGAAACTTCCTTCTTATTCCCCAGGCCCAGGGGCTAAAATCTGTATATATTCTATCAAAAGGTAAGCATAATTGTGAAGCCTACACAAAGCAGAGATTTACAATGTCTACAGCTGATTTTTTCTCTTTTTTTTGGTTTTCAATTGTATTTTATTTTAGATGATATATTCACAAGGCACAGTGTTTATACAAATACAAAGGGAATGTAAAATTTTCCTCCAGTTCTCTCTTCCAGCCATCACCTCCCTTCTTTAGAGGCAACCAAAGTTACCACAATCCTGGCAGAGCTATTATACACATATATTAGCAAATAGGTATATGTGTGGGTGCATATCAGTACAGACACATAATATATCCATTCATTAACATAGATATAATGTAGGTATCTAATATGGACTACTAACATTGATTATTTTTTGCATGAATGATAACAACTATACACATTGATGCATGCTTTGCTTCTTTGCTTCCAGTCTTATCAGAAATTTACCATAATAAAAAATCTTCTACAAACTGATCTTATATAATCTAAGATGCCTTAATAATACACTTTTATTTTATGGGTCACTAAAAAGGAAAAAAAAAATGCCACCAATTAAATCATGTCACATCCATTACTCATCCCAATATCCAAAACACATCTTAAAGATTGATAAAATAGAGCATATTGTCATGCAAGGCTGTAGGATAAATCCCCAGAAGTGGAACTGTAAGTTCAAAATGTAGATACTTTGTTCTTGACTTTTGATTAGAATGCTTGGTTTATGGGTTAAGAAGGATACATTTTATCATGTTAAGGAAGTAGCTACCTAATCCTGTGTTATTGGAGATTGTTCTCATTGTTATTAATGTTTTTGCGGCATATGTGAAGATAATCATTCTTTTTAAATTTTTTGATTAATTAATGTTGTGAATTACATTTACAGATTTTCTAATTTTGAAAACCAACTTTGCGTTTCTTAAATAAACTATTCTTGGTTAAAATGTGTTGCTGGTTAACACAATTTTCAAAGGAAGAAAACATTGGTTCTATTACTAAGTAGCCAAATCTAATTAATAACTTGAAATAATTTAAGGTGATACCCACCCTCCTCAAGTGTCTCAAAAATCTCCCTGTACCCTCTCAGGAGATGATCTAGCTCCTATTTTATAGGAAAAAAATAATCAAATAGATATTCTATTTTATTTGTGAAATTACACATACAAACCTATCTACATCCCTTCTTCTCAGCTTCTGAGTTACAGTGAGTCCCTTCCTCTTATTTAAGGCCAAGTGCTTCCCTGTGCCTTGGCTCCCAAATTCCTCCCAGGTTCTCATGATACCGTCACTTATTTTCATTCTCCAATGGATCTTGCGTCTTGCAACTGGTCCTACTGAAGTGGTGTTGTTTGTCTAGAGAAATACTTGAGGTTCGTTGTCTCATGCTAAGGAAATTGAAGATGTGGACACACAAGGAGTTTATTTAAGAGTAGAAGTTTAGGCCAGGCGCAATAGCTCATGTTTGTAATCCCAGCACTTTGGGAGGCCGAGATGGGTGGATTACCCGAGGTCAGGAGTTCGAGACCAATGTGGCCAATATGGTGAAACCCCATCTCTACTAAAAATACAAAAAATTAGACGGGTGAACTGGCGGGCACCTATAATCCCAGCTACTCAGGAGGCTGAGGCAGGAGAATCGCTTGAGCCCAGGAGGCAGAGGTTGCAGCGAGCCAAGATCGTGCCATAGCACTCCAGCCTAGGTGATAAAGAGAGACTCTGTCTCAAAAAAAGAAAAAAAAAAGAAAAAAAAGAAAAAAAATAGAAGTTTAATAGGCGAAAGAAAGAAGAGAGAGCTTCCTTTTCAGAGGAAGAGAGCCTGAGCAGGTTTTTGGGTTTGGGGCGAGATGCAGTTGATTTTATAGATGAGCTTGGGGAAGCAGTGTCTCATTTACACAGGATCTAGAGGAGTGGTTGGATCAGGTGTGCCATTTACATAGCCTGGGAAGAGGCTGGCCAACCCACCCTAATCTTTTATTATGCAAAGGAGTCTTTACCTAGCTGGTGCCACTTTACCTGCACACTTGGCGACAAAGAAAAAGGCAAGAGGGAATCTCCATGTTGAATACACCTACCTGACTTCCAGGTATCCCTTTAATATTGGCAGAGCTGCCAACATTCATCTATGCAAGTCTCCAGCTTGCTTATCTTTGCTTGCAGCTTGATTTTTCAGGGTGCTTCTTGTTAGAAAAGAAATGATTTTGGGGCTGCTTTTTATTAAAAGGAAATTTCACCGAGACCTCATTTACCCTTAAACTGCCTACACAATTTCTTTTCAGCTCCTTTATCACTACCCCTTGGCTTTTGGACTTGAATGGAATTTTTATTTCCCATAAAAGAAACGCCTTCCCTCAACCCTACATTACTCCACACCTGAGTCTATATCTTTCGCCCTTTTATAGTTAACCTCTGGGAAAGAAAAGAAAATCATATTTTCTGTCTGTATTGTCTCACTTTCTGTTTAGTCATCAGTTCTCTGTGATCTGAATTCAACCCAACACTGCACTGAAATGTTCTTATTAATGTCATCGATAACCTCAAGTTTCCATCCTACTTAAACCTCTTGGTATTGTTCAATACTGTTGATTTCTTCTTGTGGCAGTGTCTGTTCTTGGCTCCGTAGCACCACATTATTTCAGGGTTCCTCTTTTTTTGTTGTTGTTAACTTTCATTTTAAGTTCAGGGGTACACATGCAGAATATGCAGGTTTGTTATACCCATAAAGTTGTGTCATGGGGCTTTGTTTTTTTTTTAATTATACTTTAAGTTTCAGGGTACATGTGCACAACGTGCAGGTTTGTTACATATGTATAGATGTGCCATATTGGTGTGCTGCACCCATTAACTCATCATTTAACATTAGGTATATCTCCTAAAGCTCTCCCTCCCCCCTCCCCCCACCCCACAACAGGCCCTGGTGTGTGAAGGTCCCCTTCCTGTGTCCATGTGTTCTCATTGTTCAATTCCCACCTATGAGTGAGAACACACGGTGTTTGGTTTTCTGTCCTTGCGATAGTTTGCTGAGAACGATGGTTTCCAGCTTCTTCCATGTCCCTACAAAGGACATGAACTCATCCTTTTTTATGGTTGCATAGTATTCCATGGTGTATATGTGCCACATTTTCTTAATCCAATCTGTCATTGTTGGACATTTGGGTTGGTTCCAAGTCTTTGCTATTGTGAATAGTGGCGCAATAAACATACATGTGCATGTGTCTTTATAGCAGCATGTTTTATAATCCTTTGGGTATATACCCAGTAATGGGATGGCTGGGTCAAATGGTATTTCTAGTTCTAGATCCCTGAGGAATCGCCACCCTGACTTCTACAATGGTTGAACTAGTTTACAGTCCCACCAACTGTGTAAAAGTGTTCCTATTTCTCCACATCCTCTCCAGCACCTGTTGTTTCCTGACTTTTTAATGATTGCCATTCTAACTGGTGTGAGATGGTATCTCATTGTGGTTTTGATTTGCATTTCTCTGATGGCCAGTGATGATGAGCATTTTTTCATGTCTTTTGGATGCATAAATGTCTTCTTTTGAGAAGTGTCTGTTCATATCCTTCGCCCACTTGTTGATGGGGTTGTTTGTTTTTTTCTTGTAAATTTGTTTGAGTTCATTGTAGATTCTGGATATTAGCCCTTTGTCAGATGAGTAGATTGCAAAAATTTTCTCCCATTCTGTAGGTTGCCTGTTCACCCTGATGGTAGTTTCTTTTGCTGTGCAGAAGCTCTTTAGTTTAATTAGATCCCATTTGTCAATTTTGGCTTTTGTTGCCATTGCTTTTGGTGTTTTAGACATGAAATCCTTGCCATGGGGCTTTGTTGTACAAATTATTTCATTACCCAGTCATTAAGCCTAGTACCCATTAGTTATTTTTCCTGATCCTCTCCTTCCTCCCATACTCTACTCTCAGGTAGGCCCCAGGGTGCATTGTTCCCCTCTATGTGTACCTATGTGTTCTCATCATTTTCCTCCCACTTATAAGTCAGAATATGCAGTATTTGGTTTCTGTGCCTGTGTTAGTGTGCTAAAGATAATGGCCTCCAGCTCCATCCATGTCTCTGCAAAGGACATGATCTTGTTCTTTTTTATGGCTGCATAGTATTCCATGGTGTATATGTACCACATTTTCTTTATCCAGTCTATCACTGATGGGCTGATTCCATGTCTTTGCTATTGTGAATAGTGCTGCAGTGAACATGCACATGCATGTATCTTTATAATAGAATGATTTATGTTCTTATGGGTATATACCCACAAATGGGATTGCTGGGTGAAATGATATTTCTGCCTCTAGGTCTCTGAGGAATCACCACACTCTTTTCCACAATGGTTGAACTAATTTACACCCCCACCAACAGTGTGTTTCTTTTTCTCTACAACCTCGCCAGCATATGTTATTTTTTGACTTTTTAATAATAGCCATTGACCGGAATGAGATGATATCTCATTGTGGTTTTGATTTGCATTTCTCTAATGATCAGTGATGTTGAGCTTTTTACCATATGATTATTGGCTGCATGTATGTCTTCTTTTGAGAAGTGTCTGTTCATGTCCTTTGCCCAATTTTTAATGGGATTTTTTTTTGTTTGTTTGTTTTTGGTTTTTTTTTGCTTGTCAGTTTGTTTAAGTTCCTTACAGATGCTGGATATTAGACCTTTGACAGATGAACAACTTGGAAAAATTTTCTCCCATTCTATAGGTTGTCTGTTTATTCTGAGGATAGTTTCTTTTGCTGTGCAGATGCTCTGTAGTTTAATTAGATCCCATTTGTCAATTTTGCTTTTGTTGGAATTGCTTTTGGTTTCTACATCATGAAATCTTTGCCCATGCCTATATCCTGAATTGCTTAAGTTTTCTTCTAGGGTTTTTATGGTTTTGGGTTTTAGATTTAAGTATTTAATCTATCTTGAGTTGATTTTTATATATGGTGTAAGAAAGAGATCCAGTTTCAATTTTCTGTCTATGGCAAGCCAGTTATTCCAGCACTATTTATTAAATACAGAATCTTTTCTCCACTGTTTGTTTTTGTCAGGTTTGCTGAAGATCAGATAGCTGTAGGTATGTGGTCTAATTTCTGTGCTCTCTATTTTGTTCCATTGGTCTATATCTCTGATCTTGTACTGGCACCATGCTGTTTTGGTTACTGTAGCCTTGTAGTATAATTTGAAGTCAGGTAGTGTGATGCCTGCAGCTTTGTTCTTTTCACTTAGGATTGCCTTGGCCACTTGGACTCTTTTTTGGCCCCATATGAATTTTAAAATAGTGTTTTTTTTCTAGTTTTGTGAAGAATCTCAGTGGTAGTTTAATGGGAATAGTATTGAATCTATAAATTGCTTTGGCTTTGAGAAGCATGACCATTTTCATCATATTGATTCTTCTATCCATGAACATGGAATATTTTTACTTTTGTTTGTGTCATCTCTGATTTCTTGGAGCAGTGGTTTGTAGATCTCATTGTAGAGGTCGTGGGTTTCCTCTTATGCCTTGGGTGGACTGACCTCTACTTCATTTGTAGTCTTGTCTTTAGCTGGCCATTAACCGTAGTTTCTAAAGGCCTGGACCAAGCTTTTCTTATTTTACTGTGTTCTCTTTCCCTAGGAACTGTCTCCCATGCCCACAGCTTCATTTACCACATGTAAACTGATGACTCATTACTCTATTTCTCCACCTATGGTCTTTCCTCTGAGCTCCAGACTCATATATCCAATTGCGAACTGGGCTTCTCCACTTGGAAGTTTTGTTGACATGTCAGACTTGACATGTCTGATCCTAAATCCATGATCCCAATGCCCCCCACCCCACCCCATGCTGATATGGTTCTCCACTGTTACCTTTCAAAATGGTAGAAGCCTCTTTACAGTTATGCAAGCCAAGCTTCTGGCATCTTTCTTAGAACCTCCCTTTCTGTGATAGTCATGAGCTGGAGCTGGCTAGTATTGGCTCATGATAGCTGATTGTTACACCTTCTGGAATTTTGTGGCTTATTGTTAAATAACAAATTATACAAATTTAATTATTAAAAGTTAAATGTTATTAACTTACAATTAAGTCAATTATACTAAAGCAAAGATAATATATATGAAGAAACATCACTTCCTAATTATTTTATTACATTTTCCTATCATCTATGCATTTGAGATTATTCATATCTATGGTGTTCATATGTAGAGATCCTAACAGTGCTGCTATGCATCTCTTCCCTTCTCTGCCCTCAGTGACCTTGCATCGATAGTTTGAAATTTACCATGGAGGAAGTATATTCACCATGAAAATTGGCAAATGTTACCAACCAGAGCTTTATTTATTGCTTTGTTACTTGTCTCGACTTAAGAAAAAATTGGAGAAAATGTTAAAAATGTAGATTAAACTTGTAAGTGTGTCATGTCTTTAGGCATTATGATGAGAACAGCACAAAAAGTTGAGGAAATGGACTTCTATAATTCAAAAATTATTAACCCATTCAGCAGCAAAATAGATCCTGTCATTGACCAATAAGTGAAGTTCTGACGTGGGTCTTCAGATTTCACTTTTGCCTCCCTTCTTAATACAAACAAAAATATCAACTAGTATTCATGTCAGAACTAAACTTCATTAGTTGTAACATCGGGTCTCTATAGATATGAATTCTGCCAACATGAATTAGAACATTAGAGTAGTGAAAATCAATTTGCTATGTGAAATTTATAATAAAGAATACTACTTTTGTTATTATTATTTGAAAATTGTGTGCTGCAGTCATTTATAAGAGTAAAGTTCACAATAAACTGTATGTATAATATATGGAGACAGATGTCACACACATACCTTCAGTTTTTGATAGTTTTTAAAATTTTACCGTGACACCATGGCTCACCAGCCCACCACATTTACTACCAAGACCTGTTGCTGTTAATCCTGCATACCTCTCAACCATACCCATCTCCTCTACCTCAGTCTAATTATGACCATCTACCAAATGCCAGACCCCTAAGTAGCCCCTCAAATCTATCTTCCTCCCTCCAGTCTTTTTGAACTTCAAATGTGATCATTCATCTTTTCTTTTTAATGAATATTTTATGAAGGACTGGCTGTATATCCTACTGTAGAGGCTGGTTATAAACAGCAATGGATAAAACACACAGAACTCTCTGTCTTTGTGGCATTTACACTCTGGAGAATTAGAAATTAGTAAGTGCTATAAAGTGAAATGGAGCAAGGGTGGGGGCTAGCAAGGGCGGGTAACAAGGTTGTAATGATCATAAATATTGCACAACAGTACCGCCACATATTACTGCCCCAGGGAATGGCTTCTGGCTCTACCTCTTAGTGTCAACTTAAATCCAGCTGTTCCATCCTGTTTGACCATGGTCGTAGGTCTCCCAAGCCCTACCCCATGTCAATTTCCCTCTTCCCTCATCCCAATTTCCACTGAGCCATGTTGACCCCAGGCTGGGAGAAAGCCCCAGGCTTATAGTTTGCTTGGGAAAATAATTTGAATAAAAATCTAGAGCTTTATTCTTATTTCAAGTGAAATTTTTTACCCAACAGTGAATGCTAGAGGGGAAATGTCGAGCATGAGCTCAAATGTCATTGAGAGTGCATATATTTTAAACTAAGGAGGTGGGGATACTTTGCACTGCATGATGACTGTATTACAAGGGTTACAACTTGTGCAAACGGGTCTTTATAAGCTACTCTTCCTGCTCTCGGTGGGTCAGCAATGGAATTGTCTTGGCCAGTGAGAAGGGCCTTTTCCTTCACGATGGCTGAGACGGTATTTTAGTTTTCTATTGCTGCTGTAACAAATTACCACCGACTTAATCACTTACTGCATAAATTTATTATCTCCCGGTTCTGTATATCAGTAGATTCCCAAGCCCAGCATGGCATGGCTGGACTCTCTGCTCGGGGCCTCACAAGGCCAAAATCAAGATACTGTCCAGCCTGGGCTCTTATTTGGAGGCTGTAGGGAAGAATTTCCCTCCAGGTTCACTCAGGTGTTAGAAGAGTTTAGTTCCATGCGGCCATAGGATGGAAGTCCCTGTTTTCCTTCTGACCATTGGCCAGGGTCACTCTCACTCTCTGGAAGCCTCTACATTCTTTGGCTCATGCCCTCCCCACCGTCAAAGTTAGCAATGGCCATCAGGTACTTCTCACACTTCAAATCTGACTTTCTCTTTTGCTTTCCTCTTCTGTTACTTTTGAGGGCTCTGGTGAACACATTGAGGCCACCAGGATAATCCAGTATAATCCTTCCATCTTAAGGTCATTTATTAGTAATCTTAATTACATCTGAAAGGTCTCCTTTGCCATGGAATGTAACATTCCTGGGCATAACACCAGTGGTCTAAGTGATTGGGGCCAATATTCTGTCTCCCACAGTCTTCCCTCAGGTCTATGTGATCCAGGTCCATCTCTCATACTTCCTAACATCCTCAAAACATACCTCATCCCATTACAGCATCAACTCAGAGTGCAAAATTTCATCAAAATCTCATCAGTTCAAAAGTATACCAAATCAGAGGCCAGGTATGGTGGCTCATGTACGTAATCCCAGAACTTTGAGAGGCCAAGGCAGGAGAATCCCATGAAGACAGGTCAACAAAAGTAGAAAAATTAGCCAGACATGGTGGCACACACGTGTAGTCCTAGCTATTCGGGAGGCTGAGATGGGAGGACTATTTGAGCTCAGCAGTTTGATGCTGCAGTGAGCCATGACCATGTCACTACACTCCAGCCTGGGCAACACAGTAAGACCCTGTCTCAAAAAAATGTTTTTTTAAGCACACCAAATCCTGTCATCTAAATCAGGTACAGATGTGTAAACCATTAAGTCCAGGTCTTGGGCACAATTATTCCCCCTCCATGGATCCGTGACACTAAAAAGAGAAGGTACCTGCCCCCAATATATAGTGAAAGAACAGGCATAGCTTAACAGCTATAGACATTTCCACTGGAAGTGGCAGAAAATGGAAAGTAAAAAGAAGTCACCAGCCCAAAGCAAGTTTGAAGTCCATCCAGGCAAACTGTATTAGGCTCCAAGGCCTGGGATGGGTCCCCCATGGCTCTCAGCTCTGCCCTCTGGGCTCTCAGTTTTGCCCTGAGTCATCATCCCCTTTTCAGTTGAAGAGTTTTATCAACCTGCTTCCTGCCAGTAGAATTTGGGGAGTCCAAAATGCCCCCTGTTATTTCATCCTTACTCTGTTCCTTTTGGTCCCCACTGGAAGTGCTTATGTTAGAATAAAAGCCTCCTTCCAACCAAGGAACACCAAAGAACCTCACAGTCCTCTGGAACTGCCACAGGGGTTCTTTCGCAGATCCCTCATCCTAACGTGCTATTATCTTGTAAAATTATGATTTTACATTTAGAATGTTTCCTTTTCTTTTGTAGCATTTTAATTCGTATATCAATGAGTAAAACCAGAACACTGGTGGAATGGTCTGCCTCTGTGATCCCAACCAAATCTCATCGACGGGGAAGCCTGGTGGGAGGTGATTGGATCACAGGGGCGGACTCCCCCATGCTGTTCTCATGACAGTGAGGGAGTTCTCATGAGATCTGATGGTTTTAAAAGTGACAGTTTCCCCTGTGCTCCCTCTGTTTCCTGCTGCCTTGTGAAGAAGGTGTCTGCTTCCCCTTCACCTTCCACCATGATTGTAAGTTTCCTGAGGCTTCCCCAGCCATGTGGAACTGTGAGTCAATTAAACTTCTTTCCTTTATAAATTACCCAGTCTCAGGTAGTTCTTTATAGCAGTGTGCAGACAAACTAATAACAACCAACGTTCATTTGTTATAAGTGAACTTGATCTCTAGGAATCTGATTTTAAGAAAATAATAGGGAAGGAATTCATTTGATTCTCTTTACCCTTGTGGTTACAGAATTTGGACACCAATGTAACCATAAACCCCTATAGTACATTTGCTATTTGTTTTCCACAACTCTGGATTATTTCAAATAATCGAAAAGAACATTACAAAATATCACTCACAATTCCACTTTGAGAACCATTTGTCAAAGAAATGATAAAATATCCCATATGTAAATTAAATAGACATGAAATAGATTTATTCATGGTTGGCCCTTGAATAGATATGCTCAAATCTGAAATGAGTCACAATAGAGCCATTCATTCAAACACAGCATGTCATAATAGACAAAAAAAATTGAGAGGCACCTAATATGAGGAAACTGCTATAAGAAAGAATAAAGCAATAAAAATTTAATGGGGAAATTAAGGGAGCAAGAAATTTAACAGGACAATGAGAAAAAAATTTACAAAAGAGAAGGTACTTCCCCCCAGTATCTTGCCTCCTATCTTGATAGGAGTTGAGTGATAGATATCATTGTTATAAGCAATATTTTAAAGGGAGCCTGTATTTTTTACTTTGACCCTTAATCAGAAATTCTTTGAGAGTGAAAAACATTGGAGAAGAAAATAATGGAAAGATTAATTAATAGAATATGAACCAAATAAAGGAAAAATATGGGAAAAAATTTTGGTATTTCAACAAACTAGTAATAAATTGCATATGTATGCATGTATACATTTAAATAGATATCTACACGCATACGTACGCACACACATGCACACACACACACACACAGACCCTCCAAAGGTTTGATTGTGTTATTTTCTAGTGCAATTGTGCTGAAATTTGCACTTGGCCACAAAACAACATAAAAGTCCATCATTTATTCCTCAAGAGATGATAGCAAGTTGGACATTCATTACTGCATTTCAATAATCTAAGAAGGCTTTCAAATTAGAGCCCTTAGGTCATCCTAAAGGTGTTAATTCCTGAGATGCTGACATTCAAGTGTGCAGAGGTTCCAGCTTTTGCGACAGATGACCATGGAAAATACTGCATCAATTAGGCTGGAGTGCAGACATTTATTGTCATCAGTATTCGAAAAGGTATTCTGAATTGCTTACTTATTGGTTTATGTGGGAAAAATTACCATTGACAGAGAATTTTATTTTTGCAGCCTTTCCCTTCCTATGCCTGTTAAGAAACTTCCTTTTGGCTGGCTGAGAGAGAGTCAATGGCCAAGAGCCCAGATACTGTGGATCAATTCACACGGGACAGGACAATGAATTAGTTGGGGAAGTGGAAAAGAAGAGACGGAAATAGTGCAAGCAGTATTAGGAGGAATTTGGGGGAGTTTGCAGAGAAAAATCAGAACTATCGTACTGCTTTATATATGATAGATACCAAGTATTGTGGGTTAAATTGTGGCCCCCAAAAGATCATAGTAATGGAACCTGAAAATGTGACCTTATTTGGAAAAAGGGTCTTTGCAGATGTAATTAAGAATATCCAGATGAGATCATCCTGGCTTAAGGGGGCCCTTAAATGAAAGACAAGAGAAGGGGAGAAAACAGACAGATGGGGGAGAAGAATATGTGAGGGCCGAGGCAGAGGTTAGAGTGAAGCATCTTCCAACCAAGGAACACCAAGGGCTTCCGGCAGCAACTGGAAGGTATGAGAAAAGGAGGGCATTGATCATCCCTCAGTGACTCCAGAAAGAACCAGCCCTGCCAACCCCTGACTTCAGACTTCTGGCCTCTAGAACTGTGAGGGAATAAATAGCTCTTGTTGTAAGACCAAGGTAATGATAAGCTGTTAAAACAGCCTGAGGAAATGAATGTACCATGTGTAGGGTGGAGAGTGGGATGGTTAGGTGCCAGGGGGTAGAGGGAGAAGGAGAGAGAAAGAGAGAAAGAAGTAACAAAGAGATGCAAGAGAGAGCTCACCTTTAAAGGAAACTTTAGTAAATACATTTTTTTTTCAGTGACAGACTGGGTGAGGAAAATATGGTACATATTTATCATGAGCCATATACATACATATCTACACATATATGTATACCATATACATATCTACACATACGTATATGTATACACATATGTATATGTGTAAATATGTATATATGTATGCCATATAAATATATATGTGTATATATGTATATATGTGTATGTGTCTATGTGTATACCATATACATATGCACCATGCAGCCATAAAAAATAATGAGATTATGTCCTTTGCAGGGAGATGGATGGAGCTGGAGGCCATTATCCTTAGCAAACTAATACAGGAACAGAAAACCAAATACGATGTCCTCACTTATAAGTGGGAGCTAAATGATGAGAACACATGGACACACAGAGGGGAACAACACACACTGGGGCAGAGGAGGGTAGAGGGTGGAGGTTGGGAAGAGGGAGACAATCAGGAAAAATAACTAATGGGTAATAATAGGCTGGGTGATAATAATACCTGGGTGATGAAGTAATTTGTAAAACAAACCCCAATGAGACAAGTTTACCTATGTAACAAACCTGCATGTGTACCCCTGAAATTAAAAGAAAAGTTACAAAAATTATATATATAATTATATTTAAAAACATATTGATATATTATAAAAATATGTATATATTTAGACATGTATACATATATATATTTTTAAAGTTTCTACTGTATACCTGGCTGTCCTAGGCACTTGGCTGTCATGGAGCTTATATTCTACTTTGAATGTCAAACTCTCCTAGGGTGAAAGTTCACCGGGGACCACCTGTGGTTCTGAATTCAGGTACTTTCCTGCCCCATTTCCCTCAGAGTGACCATCAGCCTAGAGGCAGCAAAACTGTGCTGTTGGACAGAGGAGCAGTTGCCCGAGGTGACCCAGGTGAGCCATGGAGGTTCGTGAGTCACTCAGCAGAGCTAGCAGAAAACTGTGAAAATGGGTCTGAGCTAGGCATGACAATTCCCTCAAGGACGCACTGTTCAGAACTGCACGCATCAGAAGGAAAACCAAAGACACAACATGTTACGTGAATTCCCCGAAATGAGAAAGGCTGAGTAACTTCCTTGAGAAACTGCCACCTGGAATTAGGAGTTAACCTAGTCTCCATGGACACCCAATTTCTTAAGGAATTTGAGTTGAGCCACTCCTGGATAGACAAAGGCGCCTCCCAGGCACTGAGGCTTGGTTTCCTCTTCCGGAATCACTGATTTGCCATTGGAATGTTATGAGCTCATGGAAGCAGGTGGCAGGGGAGGAGCGGAGGCCACTGGACAGCACAGCGGAGGTTGCAGTGAGCTGAGATCACGCCATTGCACTCCAGCCTAGGCAACAAGAGCGAAACTCCATCTCAAGGAAACAAACAAACAAACTCCAAAACCAACCAACCAACCAAACAAAAAACCAAAGGAGTCAAAAAGTGGAGCCCAGTTCCTAGAGAATTTGGATCATAAAGCTTTAGCTAATATGAGGAAACCCTGATGCTCTTATTTACCTCTGTGCATCTCAGCAGTCCTTGTCATGCTACTCCTGTTAATTTCTCTTCAGATGTAAAAACAGATTTTCCAAGATTTCCCCCACTTCTCTGCTTTCTTCTAAAAAACATGTATGTTTGGTGGTCTCCAGTTCTCTTTTGGAACTGTACTTCAGTTAATCTTGTTCATGGCAGATCTGAGAGCTCCTGCCTGTTGCCAATGACTGTGACTCGCTTGGCAGAAAGGAAAGCTGATCTCAGAGCGCTTCAGCTGCACCACAGATAATGTGCTCAAGTTAAAAGCAATGGAAAGGTCATAACATGTCATATCTGGAGCTGGAATGTTTCACAATTTATTGAGGATTACTTATTTTATTTTATTTTTTTCTCCATAAGCACAAATATTGCCAAGAAGAGTATGAGCTACAATTTTATGTCATGGATAAATTATTTCTTCCACATCGCAATTAATTTTTATTTAATTCATTTTCATTCATTAATTTATTCATTACACAAGTATTTCTTGAGTTCCTACTATGTGCCAAGCTCAACTGAGTTGGTTGATGGAAAATATGCCATCTTGTGCTTTTGGCCATGGACTCTGTAATTTAGTACTTTCTAGTTCTCTTCGCCCATTTCAGTAGATAGTCTCATTTAATTTTGTATTTATCACAAAGTGTATTGTTAAAATCTGAATTCACTTATATGTTTCTAAAGCAATAGTGATAATAGTTACTATAATCATAAGATGTCAAGCTGATTTAATATATTTAAAGATCAACTTGCTAACCAATTTCAATGCCAACATACTTTAAATCACTGATATAAAATGGTTGTAGGAGACAAGAAAAATTTAAAAAGAGGGATAGGAAACTTAGGTACACTGTGCCCATCAGTGACCTTGGGAACCTGTTATAAAATCTTTTACATTTTGAAAGGGTGAAATGAGTGGTTGGAGAGAGACATTTAAAAAAAAACATATGCAGGTATAACAACACATTTAGCAAACTAATTGGGGCCTGTTTGCAGTAATGAACCAACCTGTTGTCCATCACGAATGCACCAGTCAATGTTGACAATGGTGACATTGTGTGTTCCCAGGACTCAGAAGGTTGTGATGTGAAAATGATCCTCCAGTCAGCTCTGTTAGCCTTGATTCCAAATTGAACTCTTAGAGAAATATTTGGTTAGACCTGAGCTTTCAAAATAAAGCAAATGCACTTAAAAAAATCAAAATAACTTACAGACAATGGTTTTACAGAACCATGTGGATTAAGTGGATTTAACTGTAATTTTAGACAAAATAAGGTTAGTTTCAGGAGACTTCACATCAGGAGTTTTAAAAAGTTAAACAAAGCACACCAATGCAATGGAATTCCATGCTGGCTGCCTGGTGGTAAAACGAATAAGCAGCTTCCTAGATCAGCACAGTAATCAGTGGCCATTAGGCTAAAAGGAATCAAAAGATACAGAGTTCACCTAGAGTTTTTATCAGCGTTTAGTGGTTTTTGACTGAAATTACCTTATATTAGTAAAAAAAAAAAAAAAAAAAAAAAAGAAAAAAGAAAGAAAAGAAAAATCCAGATTTGCATTAGGTCTTCTAGTGGAAAATCAAAGCAAGTGTTGAACAATACAGGTCAGGAAGAAATAAAACAAAAAATCTACAAAACAAAAACAGGATCACTTTGCCGAAATAATTCAGATTAACCACAAATACCAGCGTCGCTGGGCAATTACTCCATTCCAGGCAGTGGCGGTTGGATCTTTATGCATGGCCAGATTTCTACTGAGTTTAATATTTCTCTAACAGCCACGTAAAATAGACATTCTTCAGCTAGGAGTTTGAAGGCTCCTTAGTGTAGCCTCGCAATTGCCCACCCAATCCTTTCTACCTCTGGGATGCACATGACCAGCAGGTAAGTAAGTCTCCTTCCTGGCCTTTCCTCTCCTTCCTTTTTCCTTTCTGTTTTTTCTCTCACCTGAGCACCTACCACCTTCACCAGGACGGTAAGCCCTTGGTTCACACTAAATCTGGACACCCCTCTCTCCTTAAGTCTGACTCCTCATGAAGGATGCGTACTAACTAGTTTCTTGTTGCTGCTGCCACAAATCACCACAAACTTTGTGGCTTAAAACAATACAAGTTTATTCTCCCGTAGTTTTTGGAGATCGGAAGTCTAAAATGAATCTTAGGGGGCTGAGATCAAGGAGTTGGCAGGCGTGGTTCCTTCTGGAGCTCTGGGGGAACCTGCTGCCTTGCCTTTTTCGGCTCCTGGAGACTACTGCCTGCATTCCTGGGCTTAGGCCCCCTTTGCATCACTCTGAGCGCTGCTTCTCTGGCCACATCTCCTACCGACCTCTGGCATCTGTTTTGTAAAGACCCTGGTGATTCCATGGGGCTTCCCTGCATAATCAGAGATCATCTCGCCAACAGCAGATCCTTAATTCAGTCACATCAGGCAGTCCTTTTCACTATATAACGTGACATATCCACAGGGGATTGGGGTGAAGGCATTTGCTGGGGGGGATTATTCCACCAACTACAGGGCCTCACCAAATGCTCCACCATGTGTCTACAGCATCCTCTTTGCTGTCTGGCTCTTATGACGGCAACCGTGTTACAGCATTTTTAGCTATTTGCTAAAAATTGACTCATTTGCCTGAGAAATCCCAGCCTTTGCCATCTGTGCGGTCCACTTGCTTGCCCTTGGATCTATTTCTGGGCTGTTTTATGCTCTGCTCCTTAACACAGTGGGGCTGGCCCCATAACCAGGCCTGCAGCCCCCATCTGCTGGTTTTGGGTTGGATTGGGGAAGTCAGGGGAAAGGAGAAGCTGGGACTTTCCTCAGCTTCCCTCTGTGCTGGATGGAGCCTCTGGCCCCAGATGCATGTTCTCTGTGGTTTCCCCTCCTGCTGGTAGTTCCATTCCTCCCCTTGTCCTCTCCATTTGTTTCTCCAGTCTCCTTGTGCTGCTAATCTCTGGGTTGCCTCCCTTTCCGCTGTGTGTGCTTTTAATTCTTTAAATACTTTTGCATTTAATTCTCCCAGTTATATTTCCTCTATTAAATTATCTGATGGGGATTTTGTTTTCCTGGCTAGGCCCCGAAAGATCCACCATTTCAGCAGCAGTGGGGAGGCAGAGATAAAAATGGCTTAGCCTTCTTCTCAGAGGTTAACAGTGTGGCTGAGGACACATCAGAGCAGTGTTGTGCGAAACATGATGAGGTAAGGGTGACAGGTGCCCATCAGCAGGATACCATGGGAGCTACAGATGGGTTCTCTAGAGAGACGTTAAGCCTAACATAGATTTGGTTTGGAAGGACGGAAAGAATTTCAAGGCAAAAAGGTGGGGAAAGGACATCTCAGGAGGTGGGAAGAAATCAGTAGACATGGAGGCAGGACCCTGGAGGGAGCCGCTGGGGATGAAAAGTGCCAGGTGTGGCTGCGGGGCCAGGTTCACACACTCGGGAGGGGTGGGACAGAGTGTCCTAGGGCCTCTGGAAAAAACTAATGTACACCAGCTGGCTTAAAACAACAGAAATCCAATCCTAGAACTTTGGGAGGCTGAGGCAGGTGGATCACGAGGTCAGGAGATCGAGACCATCCTGGCTAACACGGTGAAACCCTGTCTCTACTAAAAATACAAAAAATTAGCCAGGCGTGGTGGCAGGCACCTGTAGTCCCAGCTACTTGGGAGGCTGAGGCAGGAGAATGGCGTGAACCTGGGAGGCGGAGCTTGCAGTGAGCCAAGATCATGCCACTGCACTCCAGCCTGGGTGACAGAGCAAGACTCTGTCTCAAAACAAAACAAAACAAAACACAAAAACAAACAACAACAACAACAAAACCCAAACAAACAGAAATCCACTCTTTTGCAGTTGTAGAAGCTGGGAGTCTCTAGAAGTCATTGAAGTCCCATATTCATGAGCCGTAGGGCCATGCTGTCTCTGAAAACTCTTCCAGTTTCTGGGGGTGGCCAGTTATCCTTGGTGTCCCTGGCTTGTGGAAGCTTCACCCAAATCCCTGCCTCTGTCATCCATGGCCTACTTCCTGTGTGTATCTTATTGTCCAAATTTCCCTCTTGTAAGAACACCAGTTGTTGGATTTAGGACTCTTTGGATTTAGGACACCTTTGTCCAACAGAAAAACACCCTCCTTACATCTTCACCTAGCCAATGCTTACTTGTCTCATGCTAAAAAAGCATTAAGCAGAGAAAGACAGTGAAGAGCTGGGTATTGCAATTATCTTTATATGATTATCCATTCACCCACCCTCCAATTCTCTCCACTTAGGACTCCACTTAGACTCAACCCAAATCTACTCTGACCTCATCTTGATTACATCGGCAAAGACCCTATTTCCAGTTAAATTGCCTTATGTAGCCTGTGAATTTATGTTCACAGGTACCAGGGGTTAGGACTTGGACATATGTTTCTTGGGGACATAATTCTGCCCATAGTAGGCTGATTTATGAAAAGTCCCAAATGCCATGCTTAGACATGTGTTTGGTGCTAGGCTGTTACATTAGCTGAGTAATGACGTGAGGGTCATTTTCTCTACTGTTACACTGCCGTGAGCATTTAAACCAACCCCAATCTCCTTTATTAACAAAAACACAAACAAAACAGCAACTTTCCCAACCCCATGTGTCCCTCTGTCTCTCCTCCTTTTAGAAGCCAACTTGTCTACACTTGCTGTCCCCACTCTATACCTTGCATCTATTCCACCACCCACTGAAATCTACATTGTGTTCCCATTACTCTCATCTGCTCCCTCTGCTATCAGCCACCATCTTTCCTTCTATCTGCTGAAGGTGCTCCACTCTGCCAAATAGTGTCACTTAGCTGCCGCACCCCATCTGTAACTCAACTTCTCCAAAACTCAGTTATTCACTTCTCTATTTTTGAGTCCTCTGTGATAGCAATGAATGGCCTCACTACTGCCCTAGCTCCCAAACCAGAGCTCTAAAGTCAACCTCAACAACTTATTCTCACTCCTGCAATATCCCTAACTCTGCATAATTGCACTATCTCTCACTAAAATTGCTGCAACTATCTCCTAAACAATGCCCAGGCTGTCAGACTGGCTACTGTAAAATGCTTATAGCAGTCACAGAGCTCTTTCATGAATGGGAATCTAGTCATATGACTCTCCTGCTTGAAACCTCTCCGTGCCTCCAATTGCCTTCAGCACAGACTGGCTTCTCATGCTGCTGACCTGGCCCTGCAGGGCTGGACCCAGCTTGTTTCTATTCTTGTCATGCAACGTATATATTGCCTTACATGCACTACCTCAAGTACTATACTACACACATTTCTGAAGCCTAACTATGCTGCTGCTCGTCCCACAAAGCTTTCATCCAACAGAAAAACTCCCTCCCTACCTCTTCACCTAGCCAATGCTTACTTGTCTCATACTAAGGAAGCATGAAGCATGAAACAGAGAAAGCAAGTGAAAAGCTGAATATTGAAATTATCTTTCTATGATTATCTACCCCCCCATCCCCGTCCTCCAATTCTCTCCACTTAGGACAGAATCCAGGTGTCCTCTCTCTTGACACCTCAGGATGCAGGAGTGCAGGGCTAGCCCCCCACACTGAGCACTAGGAGAGGCCAGGAAATTCCCTAAATGATGGGAACATTTCAAATACTCATCAGTTCCCAAATGGACAGGGTAGAATTGGCAGTTAAAAAATCTCTTTGATTTCCAAGCCAAGAAGATGTATTTTACATAAATGACAGGAAATTTGTGCTCCTTTATATCAAAGCCTTGTGCAGTGCAGCATGGACTTGACCATCTGTGGGGGGACTGACTAACAGAAGCCACTTCTAAAAGCAAATCCCAATGAAATTTGCCAATTTGTATTTTGGGAGATACCAAAAATGTCAATGCTGAAAAGGGCCTTAGCCATCACCTAGGTCCAACTACTTTGCTCTCTATACGTAAGAGCAGGTGGATTCAGAGAGATCAGATGACTCACTTAAGGTGATTTAACTCATTGAGGGATGAGCAGACACAGGCAGTGAGTGTCCCAAGCCCCGTGCCAGTGTTCCTTTTATAGACACTTTCTATCATTTCTGATGATACTTTCCATTCCCATCATAGTGAAGAGAAAAGGTCAAAGGAGATTTAGAGTCTAATCCTGTTGAACTGCTCACCAGCTTTGTGATCCCAGGGAAGCAACTTGTCTAAGCCCAGACTTTCCATCTCTTCTATGAAGATATGGTTTAGCTGTGTCCTCACCCAAATCTCATGTTGAATTATCGTTCCCACAATTCCCATGTGTTGTGGAAGGGATCCAGTGGGAGGTAATTGAATCATGGGGCCAGGTCTTTCCCATGCTGTTGTCATGATAGTAAATAAGTCTCACAAGATCTGATGGTTTTATAAAGGGGTTCCCTGCACACGTGCTCTTGGCTGCCACCATGTAAGATGTGACTTTGCTCCTCCTTGCCTTCCACCATGATTGTGAGGCCTCCCCAGCCATTAAACCTCTTTCCTTTGCAAATTACCCAGTCTTGGGTATGACTTTATTAGTAGCTGGAGAACAGGCTAATACAATAAATTGGTACTGGGAGTGGGGTGCTGCTGTATAGATATGCAAAAATGTGGAAGCAACTTTGGGACTGAGTAACAGGCAGATGTTGGAACAGTTTGGAGAGCTCAGAGGAAGACAGGAAAATGTGGAAAACTTTGGAACTTCCTAGAGTCTTGGAGGGCTCAGAAGGTAGGAAGATGCGGGAAAGTTTGGAAATTCCTAGAGACTTGTTGAATAGCTTTGACCAAAATGCTGATAGTGATATGGACAATAAAGTCCAGTCTGAGGTGGTCTCAGATAGAGATGAGGAATTTGTTGGGAACTGGAGTAAAGGTCATGCTTGCTATGCAAAGAGACTGGTGGCATTTTGCCCCTGCCCTAGAGATCTGTGGAACTTTGAACTTGAGAGAGATGTTTCAGGGTATCTGGGGAAGAACTTTCTAAGTGTCAAAGAATTCAATAGGAAGAAGAGGATAAAAGTTTGGAAAATTTTCAGCCTGATGATGTGATAGAAAAGCAAACCCCATTTTCTGGGGAGAAATTCAAACCAGCTGTAGGAATTTGCATAAGTAAGGAGGAGCCAAATGTTAATCACCAAGACAATAGGGAAAATGTCTCCAGGACATGTCAGAGACCTTCATGGCAGCCCCTTCCATCACAGTCCTGGAGGCCTAGGAGGGAAAAATGGTTTCCTGGCAGGGCCCAGGGGCCCCTGCTATGTGCAGTCTAGGGTCTTGGTGCCCTGCATACAAGCTGCTCCAGCCATGGCTATAAGGGGCCAAGGTACAGCTTGGGCTGTGATTTTGGAGGGTGAAAGCCCCAACCCTCAGCAGCTTTCATGTTGTGTTGAGCCTGCAGGTGCACAGAAGCCAAGAATTGAGGTTTGAGAACCTCCACCCAGATTCCAGAGAATGCATGGGAATGCCTGGCTGCCCAGGCAAAAGTTTGCTGCAGGGGTGGATCCCTTATGGGAACCTCTGTTAGGGCAATGCAGAAGGGAAATGTGGGATCAGAGCCCCCACACAGAGTCCCTACCAGGGCATTGCCTAGTGGAGCTGTGAGAAGAGGGCCACTGTCCTCCAGACCCCAGAATGGTAGATCTGACCATTGACAGCTTGCACCATATACTAGAAAACCCACAGACACTCAATGCTAGCCATCTGGGGGACTGTACCCTGCAAAGCCATAGGGACAGAGCTGCCCAAGACCTTGGGAGCCCACCTCTTGCATCAGCATGATCTGGATGTGAGACGTGGAGTCAAAGGAGATCATTTTGGAACTTTAAGATTTGACTGCCCTGCTGGATTTTGGACTTACATGGGGCCTGTAGCCCTTTTGTTTTGGACAATTTCTCCCATTTGGAATGGGTGTATTTATTCAATGTCTGTATCCCCATTGCATCTAGGAAGTAACTAACTTGCTTTTGATTTTACAGGCTCAGAGGCAGAAGGGACTTGCCTTGTCTCAGATGAGACTTTGGACTGTGGACTTTCGAGTTAATGCTGGAATTAGTTAAGACTTTGGGAGACTGTTGGGAAGGCGTGATTGGTTTTGAAATGTGAAAACATGAGATTTGGGATGGGCCAGGGGAAGAATGATATGGTTTGACTCTCTCCCTACCCAAATCTCATCTTGAATTGCAGCTCCCATAATTCCTATGTGTCATAGGAGGGACCCAGTGGGAGGGAATTGAATCATGGGACCAGGTCTTTCCCATGCTGTTCTCATAATAGTAGATAAGTCTCATGAGATATGATGGTTTTATAAAGGGGAGTTCCCCTGCACGCGTGCTCTTGCCTGCCACCATGTAAGACATGACATTGCTCCTCCTTGCCTTTCACCATGATTGTGAGGCCTCCCCAGCCATGTGGAACTGTGAGTCCATTAAACCTCTTTCCTTTATAAATTACCCCGTCTTGGATATGTCTTTATTAGTAGCGTGAGAAGACTAATACACATGGGGTGTCATCCATCCTGTTTTTGTCCTTGTCTTTATAGCAGAATTTAATATTCTCAGATAATACAGCAAATGCACATTATGCTTTTACTAAATACCTCTTTAGTTAGCAGAAAATTTGCAGTGCAGATTAAGAAGTAGTTAGAACAACAGTGAAACTCTGCTTAAGAAACTGGTGGGATGCTGCCAAAGCAGCACTTCCTGGTACATTTATAGCCTTAAATGGTTTTATTTAATTTGAACAAATAAAATTATATGTAATATTTAGTCTTACTAAATAATAGTCTTGTATAATAAATACTTAAATATTTAAAGAAGACAAGTAAATTAGTTAAGCATTCAATTCAAGAAGCTAGATTAAAAAAAAAAAACAGTAGAAAGGAGACGACTTGGATTAAGAATAGTTAACAGAAACGCTGAGGTGGTTTTAATTACTGGGAAGCTCAATAGCATCAGTGGGGTACTGAATTAAGTAAGAAAATAAAAGCAATCTGAGGCTTAATATAAATAAAATGCTTTATGCCAAAGATGGTGATTGCTATGGAATATTCTGCATTATTCAGTTCAGCTCCAGGGCTTTAAAAGATTGGAATGAGAAGTATGGTGAGTTAATTATTCAGGAATTACTATGGAAACTGAATGTCTAACCTAGAAAAAAGAGCCTATGGAAGGATCTACAAAAGGATGGGTGAGACTCATCCTTTATTTGATAATTTAGAAATAATCATAATATACTTGTTTGGAAGTTATAAAAAGTCAAATTTCAAGTTGTTATAAGTAAAAGACATCGATCTAACAACTGGGAGTGTTCAAATGGAGCAGGGTGCCCTGTGAAGTTGCATCCTTTTGGTTCTTTCTGGAAAGAGTTCAAGAAGGTGGGATTATCTGTGAGTAATGGAGAGAAACTAAATGGGAGATCCCTTCCCTTGTGGGAGACTCAGGATCCTAAGAGTCTCTTGATCTAGAATAATAATATGATACTGTGGAGTCAATTCTAGTATTTAAAAGCTGTTTTCTACCCACAAAACTCTATTACACATAAAATTTAGAGAAATGTGATCTTATAATCATGTTCCTGGGGCAGTGTGAGCCACTCCAGATTACTTTCTTCCTAGAATTCATTATGATTAGCAGCTATCTTATTTATTATTTGCTTATCTGCTGCTTATATTATTAGATACTATTTGCTTATCTGCATATTGCCCTTGTTCTCCTTCCTGAGAACAGAGACCACTTTTTCTGAGATCTCTGTGTACTTGGTACCTAGTAATGGACTCGCACATAGTCAATGCTTGGTACATATTTGTTTAAAGAATGAGTCTAGAGTTCTTAACTTTCTAAATGGTCAATGTATCTGGTTCAAAGGATTCATAAACTCTTGAAATCTGTATCTAAATTGGGTCTGTTGGGGAAGAAAGTCCATAGATTCTATCAGACATTTAAACGGCCCCCAGATCCAAGCAGGGCTGAGACCATGAGTTCAGTAAGAGCAGGAAAAAACAAACAGGAGTTTACATTTTTTTCTCTAGAACATTGTGGAAAATTTAGATTTAGTGCAATTCCAGCTGAACTCCAATGTAGTTGCTCTGTTGGAAAAATCTTCATGTGACCTTTCTGGAAGTTGACAATTTGTATAGGATGTAAATCTGATGGTTCAGCTTTAATCACACTTGACTCAGCAAATTCCCTCTCCTACCCTATCAGATAATAGATTTATTCTAAATTTTTTTTTCAGTTTTGAGGAATATTTGTATTTCTTAATACCATGAAAAAAATTTCAGAGATCCCTGAAACACCCATCTCTCTCTCTCTTTTTTTTTTTTTAAAGCACCCACTGGTTTTAGCACAGTGCAGACTCCTTGGGTGGAATTACTGCTCAGAGAAGCACTCACACAAACACAGAAATATACATGCTTGTGCACACACACACTGGTGCACACACACAGAGACTCACTATATAGGAGTCTAAGGAGGAAAGTCCTCAAAGGAGGAAAGAAAGCGAGTTTGGACAGTTTAGACAGCTAATCTACATCGTTTAACTGGATCATTTTTATTCCTGTATGAGTAATTTACAATTGTCTCATTATGGTAGAGACTGTGGCAAGCTCCACTCTGTTAGGAGTTAAATATACACTTAAAATTAATCCCACTGGCAGCTGTGATTGGAATATAAAAATAAAAGTTGATAAGAAATCATGAAATAGCCTGGGCCTTGGCCTCTTTTCGACTTCAGGTGAGTTACTCTTACCTCTGCAGGTCTCTCATTCTCTGTCTTCCTTCGTATCCATTATTTGCATTCCCATAAAATCACAGAATATTGCAATGAAACCCCAGACCGTGATGGCAGCCCTGAAACTCTAGCTTCTTTATTCCCATCACCTGTCTCCCTCTTACAGGGCTAGTGGGCTCTTTGACAGATGACAATAAAATTGGTCAGGCGTGTATCACCATTCTTCCAGCCCTGTCTAGCTCTGAAATGCAAGTAGAAGAAGCCCCACTTGAGAATCTTCTGTGTGACCCCAGGTGCAGGAAAGAAAGAGTCGGCCCTACCTGTGAACACAGGTGAGGGGTGGGGGAAACCCTTTTCTTATGCAACGTGATGCTCATTCGAGAAGTGGTAAGAAGGTTCTAAATGAGAAAATACAGCCTCAAAATGTTCTTTCCATTTTGTCCTTTGACCTGGAGCTAGAAAATAAGTCAGAGAGACTTTTTTTTTTTCTTTATTTGGGGGCAGAGATGAAATGGAGGGAAAACACCTAGTTACTACTTCTGACTTCCAGAGATGCTTTTCAACTGGGTAAAAGAAGGAAATCTGTTTAAACCAAGAACTAATACTATGAATTTGTAGGGTAATTGCATGTTCATAGACCTTGTCCCCTGGAGCATCTGTTAATCTCTCTATATGTGGAGCATCTGGGATTTTCAGTAATTAAAAGAAAGTTTGGAGCCAGATATTTCCTTGAGGAGCCTGGAGAGGTTTGGGCTGCAGGTTCTGTGTAACCCCTGGCACTCAATGACATTTCCAGTACATTGGTTTAAATTGGGCATTGTAGATGTATTTGGTGGTGAGTACTGGCAACTTGAATGCAATAGGGATACATGAATGCAGGCAGGACGGAGGTACGTTTGTGGTTCTCAGGCACTCACACCCCAGCCGGGAGTGTGTTTCTCACACTTATTTGTGCTAGCATCCAGTGGCTGTGGAATTTGCACGTGTCCTGCACCGTCACTTGCTTTGGGCCTGGTCACTTCCTCCACAGCTGTCCTTTCCCCTGCCCCTGCCTGGGTCCTTCTCTGTGAGATCCACGTTGCATTCCTTGGCTTCACGCGGGGAAGCCCCCCGCCCCCAACCCTGTGCCTGAAGCTGCTCCTCCTTGACTTTGTGATCAAACAGGCTGTACTTCTTGTTGCCTTTTTTTTTGTCCACTTGGCCCAGCTTTTATATTTTCCTATCACCTCTGTGAATGAAATTCGTGGAGTCGTGATTTCCCAGGGGAAAACAACATTCCTCCCCCACTCCCTAGTACCACATTTGAAAGGGATTTTTTTTTTTTTTCTGCAGCTACAATCCATAGAATTTCTGTATTTGGACTTGACTTTTACAGCCTGTCTCTCTGCAGCCATTCATAGCTTCCTGGTATAAAAGGGGCAACAAGTGCTGACCACCTGGGTGGTCACTGAGCTCAGTACCACATGTATAAAGGGCATCAATACCGACCAGCAAAAACAGCCCATTGTGTGTGCAGGGTGGCCCTGAGGTGATCCCACCCTTGGGTGATGAGCAGGGCTCAGCTGCTCCCAACTTGAGGTAGCACCCAAGTTCATGATCATCCCGAGGGCTGCTCTTTGGATTCCACACCAGGCTGTGCCATGTAATTGCAGAGTTCAGGTAGATGCAAACACCCTCCCAAGCCATTGCTGCAGCCCATGTTAATTACTCTTCTTCTAGGAATTCAACAGAGCCAGGCTCCAGGGGTAGGAACTCTCACCCTGCCAGCTCCAGGCTCCTGTCAGAATCACCATTTGAGAGCGTTGGGTAAGGACCACAACAGCCCCTCCTCAGGTCTTCCCCGGGGCATTTCAAGTCTTCTCAGTGAACACAAATGAATTCCCTTCTTCGTACCTAAATAAGGCTGCTGATTGACCTGGCGCTAAAAAGGTGGACTAAGGCAAAGACGGCAAGAACGAGAATGGGAAACATTCTTTGGAGCCCCCTAACAGGAAACATATTTACTTTTTGCATTTCTGCAGACATTCAAAACAATTCCTGAACATTAAGAATCGTGCACCCATTTGGAATAATTGAAACTGAAATGTGAAAGGAATTACATTTCACTAATCCATTTACAATGGTATGAATTGCTTCTCATAGCCAACTGCCAGATGGGCTGCTTTATTTAATAACTTGAATGCTAAAGTTCCCCCAGGCAAAGAGACAGTTCTACCACCAACTGTGGAATTTTCTTTCCCTTTCTCCTTTTTCTTGAGGTGGCCTGGCTTTGGTCCAAAACTTCCTGAGCTCTCAGCCAACAGGAGTACCTTCTTGCCTCTCCCAAGTTCTATCCGCCCACGCTGCGCCTCGAGGGGACAAAAGGGGAAATAAAGAACATGTCCTGTTTTGTTCCCACCCCATGATGGCTCAATTTCTCATAATTTATAGAGATAAAATATGCGTGACGGCTACTCTCGAAGCGCAGGAACAGGAACTCTTAGGACTTTGTGTCAAATAGAATCATCAAAAAAAAAAACCTTTTGAATCAAGGGCACTTGGGGAAATGATGTCAGGAAGGCCATCTTGGTTGTGTAGCACAGCAAGGCTCAGGGAATTGCTTTTCCCAGGAATCAAAGCACTCGGAGGGCCCTCCAGGATGGTCCTGTTGTCTTCTTCTCAGAGACTCTAAGCTCTTCTTTAATCAGGTTTGGTACAGAGTCCAATTATTTGTCTGTTATGAAGGTTTGAGACTGCAGAGATGTCAGGAGAGAAAAACGGGTTAGGGCAGAGATTTTCCACGTGTAGGCTGTGGAATCTCTGAGACCCTTTCTGTGGGCCATGAGGTCAAAAGCACTTATATCATATAATCAAAAAGATTTTCTTAATATAATACTAAGGTGCTATTTGCCTTTTTTTTTTTTTTTTGCACTGTGTAGACATTTGCACTAATAATGCAAAAGTGATGCTAAGTGTATTAGTCAGAGTCCTCCAGAGAGAAATAATAGGATGGAGATACAGAAGAGTGGGATAATACATATATACATGATAGATAGATAGATAGATAGATAGATAGATAGATAGATAGATAATTTTAAGGAATCAGCTATGTACTTGTGGGAATTAACAAATCTGAAATCTGCAGGGTATACCATCAGGTTAGAGACTCAGGGAAAAGTTGATGTTTTAGTCTGGAGCCCAAAGGCGGTCTGCAGGCTGAATTTCCTCTTCCTCCAGAGAGCTTAGTTTTTTCTTTTAAGACCTTCAACTGATTGGATAAGACCCACCCACATTATGAAGAATAATCTGCTTTACTCAAAATCTATGGATTTAAATGTTAATCGCATCTTTTGTGTGTGTGTGTGTGTGTGTGTGAGATGGAGTTTCGCTCTTGTTGCCCAGGCTGGAGTTCAATGGTGCAACTTCGGCTCACTGCAACCTCCGCCTCCTGGGTTCAAGTGATTCTCCTGCCTCAGCCTTTGGAGTAGCTGGGATTACAGGCACCCACCATCGTGCCTGGCTAATTTTTTGTATTTTTAGTAGAGATGGGGTTTCACTATGTTGGCCAGGCAGGTCTCTAATTCCTGACCTCAGGTGATCCACTCGCCTTGGCCTCCCAAAATGCTGGGATTACAGGCTTGAGCCTGTAATCACATCCATCCTAATCTCATTTTAAAAGTACCCACACAGAAACATCTAGATCAGTATTTGATCAAACAATTGAGCACCATAGTGTACTCAAGTTGACATAAAATTAACCATCACGGTAGGTAAAACTTCTGGTGCTTCAGGATAAATGAAGGCCATGGATTCAAACTTAATAGTAGTCATTGAATTCTTCTTGATGAAATAATCTGAAATAATTTTATTAAACCTCAAACCCTGAGTTTGTCTTTTTTTAAGTTTAAAAATTAATTTTAATGTCATCACCTTTCTCTGTTACCATATTTGTATAATTATTTTCATATTCGCAAGCATAGCATTCATACATTTTGATATCCTTTTTCATTTAATTGTTAATTAATTATTTTCATTGGTATATAAAGATTGTACATATTTTAGAGGTGCATGTAATATTTTGATACCTGTATACAATGTGAGATGATTAAATCAGGGAAATCGGGATATCAATCACCTCAAACATATATCATTTTTTGTGTTAGGATCATTACAAATCTTCTTTTCTAGGTATTTTGAAGTACACAGTACATTATTATTAGCTATAGTCATCCTACTCTGCTATTGAACTTTAGAGCTTATTCCTTCTGTCTACCTGTATTTTTGTACCCCTCAACCAACTTCTCTTGATCCCTTCTCCCCACCTGCTCCTTTCCAAGCAGCTGGTAACCATAATTTCCCACTGGGAAGATTTCCATTCACCACCATCCTTCCGGGGTGTCCCAGCAAGGGGTCGTGGTGCTGCAAGTGTGCACTTCTGGATGGTGCCCACACATGGTGCAGAACCATCTGTAAACCAAGCCCGAGTCTTCCCTTCCTCTGTCACCTGATCATAGGGAACTTCCCATGAGGCCACGGTGCAGGCTGGAAGAGAGAAGGCAGTATAGCAGGAGTGGGGACCATGGCCATTGGGGTCACTTCTTCGTGTAACTTACTCATGTTTTCAGGGCCTGCTTGGGCCCAGTCACGTACAGACCACTCCTGTCTGATGATGGACAGCTCCTGTGCATGCCCAACTTTACGGCGTGGTGGGTCATGTGCATGCCCAACTTTATGACCCAGTCTGTGATGGGGACCCCAGGTCACATGGTAACCTGGTAGCCCATGGTAAAGTGTTTAGTTTCTATCAAGGCCCAGTTGCAGGCCAAGAGCTGTCTCAAAAAGAGAATGGTTATCTGTGGAGGATGGCAGAGCCTTCCTCCAAAATCCGAGAGGCCTCCACTGCAATTCACCTATAGGGAATGCCTGAAGCTCCACACTGTTTTCCTCTCTGCCACTGACACCTCCAGCACCATTGGATCTGCTGGGTCATATGGTCCAGGTGGCAGGGCAGCTTGAACAACAGCCTGGGCCTGTTGCAGAGCCTTCTTTTCTGAGCCCCACTCAAAACTAACAGCTTTTTCTGGATCACTTTATGAATGAACTGGAGAAACACCCAACCATCTTCCCTCCAAAATCCAAATTGACCCACTAGGTGTTGTCCTTCTGTTTTGGTTGTAGGAGGGGCCAGATGCAGCAACTTATCCTTCACATTAGAAGGGATGTTTCAACAGGCCCAATACCACTGGACCCTTGAAAATTTCACTAAGGTAGAAGGCCCCTGAATCTTAAATGGATTTCACTCTCACCCTCTGACATGCAAATGTCTTACCAATAATTCCAGAACAATTTCTACTTCTTGCTCACTAGGTCCAATCAGCATAAAGTCATCAATGTAACACACCAGTATGACATCTTGTGGAAGGAAAGGCAATCAAGTTCCCTGCAAACAAACTTGTGACATAGGACTAGAGAGACGATAGGCCCTTGAGGTAGGACAGTGAAGGTGTATTGCTGGCCCTGCCAGCTGAAAGAAAACTGCCTCCTGTGAGCCTTATGGACAGGGATGAGGCAACAAAGGCATTTGCCAGATCAATAGCTGCATACCATGTACAAGGAGATGTGTTGATTTTCTCAAGCAATGAAACTACATTTGGTACAGCAGCTGCAATTGGAGTCACCACCTGGTTAAGCTTATGAAAGTCCACTGTCATTCTCCAAAATCCATCTGTCTTCTGCACAGGCCAAGCAGAAGAGTTGAATGGGGATTTGATGGAAATGACCACCCCTGCATCTTTCAAGTCCTTAATGGTAGCACTAATCTCTGTAACACCTTCAGGGGTGCAATATTGTTTTTGATTTACTATTTTCCTAGGTAGAGGGAGCTCTAACAGCTTCCATTTGGCCTTTCCTGCCATAGAAGCCCTGATTCCACAGGTCAGGTAACCAATGTAGGGATTCTGCCATCTGCTAAGTGTGCATCTATTCTAATTATGCATCCAGCATGGGGGAAATGACCACATGTGGGTCTGGAGACCTCCTGGACATACCGTAAGTCAGAACTGAGCCAAAACTCCATTAATGACTTGATCTCAATAAACCCTACCCTAATTGAATGGCCCCAGTGATGTTTTAGGTTCAGAGGCAGTGTCCAGTAGGTCCTTGAAAAATCTGATTATTTCCTTTCCCACAATGCACAGTCATTCTGGCTAAATGCCAGAGGTCCCTTTGGGGAAGCATCAGAGAAACTTTAACGGTATACATTTTCAGTAGTGTACCAGTGTCCTTCTTCAGGGAGACCTGGTCTCCCTTTCACGCAAGGGGCTCTGCATCTATAAACTGGCTCAAGTCCAGAAATTGGTTGAGGGCTCATGATTCTGTTTTTATGATTTGAGTTAGACTTTTATTCACCTGCCCTGAAAGTTTTCTGCTTATACAGACCAAGTAAGAATGTAGTAGACTTCCCATTTATTTCATTTCTAGGAACACCATGATTAACTCCAATGTCATAGGCCAACATGAGTCAGACCTCTGATTGCTGAATTGCCTCTGCTGTCCATTACAGTAACTGCACCCTCCTTGCCTTTGGGGATTGAGTGCTGCCACTTGACCTCTGCCACCCCAGGATCCAATTATCCCCATTGCATTTAAGTTTTCCAATTGAGTAATCGTGGTTCCCACGGTAGGATCTGGCATACAGGGAACAGCAATCATAGAGCTCTTCAGGGATGCTGGGACTTCCATACAAACCTGTTTCTCAAGGAGTTGGTGAAACATCTGTTTTCTGGATCCACCAGTGTGGGTGAGTGGGTTTTAAGTGACAAACCCACTCTAGGATTCCAGTCTGCCTAAGCCTTTGAGTCCCTGCCTCTATATTAGCCCAAGGGAGATCAGACGTCTCCAACTCATTCAGGGCACACCATCTTTTGGTCCATGTTTCAGCCAACCAACCAAACAATTATTGCCTGTTTAAACTCCCTGAGCTGCAACATTAAATGCAGAATCCCTGCTTAATGAGCCCCTATTAACACAACTTTCCCGATCCAACTTTATGTTCCTTCCATCATTTTCCAACATTCTTAATATGCATTCCCACATGTGTTTTCCAGATTTCTGCTTGCATAAATTAGAAAATTCAAATAATGTTTTTGACTGTACCACACCTCCCATGTGTCACCCTGTGTATCTGACCTTTAGGGTCCAGCTGGGACTTCAGCATAGTTAAAGGTCTGGAAGCAGAGGGATGGTGGGGCTGGGTCTCGAGGAGAATCAGCATTGTCTTGCCTGAGGGGAGGCCATGACCATTTCCTCAGGCAATGCAGGGTTTTGCCTCTCAAACAGGTGGAGAGGCCTACATCCCCCAGGATGCCACTGCCATTGAGGGTGAAGAGGCCACTTTCCCGGGAAAACAAGATTCATCAGAATTTAGGAGATCAGTGTCCCGAGCTTTATCAGGGTCTTCCCACATGGCCCCATCCCAGCTCACAGGGTCCTATTCTTTCCCAATCAATGCCATGATTTTAATAGTAGACCCCTGGCAAGACTAAGAGTTCACTTTTCATTGTAAGTCAGCCAATCTCAGGATGAGGGCTTGTGTTTGATTTTCAGCAATGTTAACCCTGTGGCTACAGAAGAGGAGATTCTCCTTCAGGGCACATTTGGAAGCTTTTGGGCTATTTATGTACATCTGGAGCAGAGAGTTGGAATCTCTGAGCTCATCCTTCTTTCATCACTTTGTCCAGTGATGTTAGGAGCAACCAATTGATGTCATTATATTGTGTGGTTTCCCACAAATGCTCAAAAGTGTCATCTACAGAGTCAATGAGTTCTTTGCTTCATAAGGTGGTGAATTAGGAGTATTAAAATTATTTGTTTTGTGTATCTCTATTAACAGTTCATGCCATGGACTATCAGTGCTATCTGAACTATTGGTACAATCTTTCGCATTTTTAGGTCTAGTCAGATTAGAGAGCAAAGTTGAGAAACTCCAAAACCAATTAAGAAAATTCATTCTTAAAATTCTGTTTCTTTTTTTTTATTATTATACTTTAAGTTTTAGGGTACATGTGCACATTGTGCAGGTTAGTTACATATGTATACATGTGCCATGCTGGTGCGCTGCACCCACTAACTCGTCATATAGCATTAGGTATATCTCCCAGTGCTATCCCTCCCCCCTCCCCCCACCCCACTACAGTCCCCAGAGTGTGATGTTCCCCTTCCTGTGTCCATGTGATCTCATTGTTCAATTCCCACCTATGAGTGAGAATATGCAGTGTTTGGTTTTTTGTTCTTGCGATAGTTTACTGAGAATGATGATTTCCAATTTCATCCATGTCCCTACAAAGGACATGAACTCATCATTTTTTATGGCTGCATAGTATTCCATGGTGTATATGTGCCACATTTTCTTAATCCAGTCTATCATTGTTGGACATTTGGGTTGGTTCCAAGTCTTTGCTATTGTGAATAGTGGCGCAATAAACATACATGTGCATGTGTCTTTATAGCAGCATGATTTATAATCCTTTGGGTATATACCCAGTAATGGGATGGCTGGGTCAAATGGTATTTCTAGTTCTAGATCCCTGAGGAATCGCCACACTGACTTCCACAATGGTTGAACTAGTTTACAGTCCCACCAACAGTGTAAAAGTGTTCCTATTTCTCCACATCCTCTCCAGCACCTGTTGTTTCCTGACTTTTTAATGATTGCCATTCTAACTGGTGTGAGATGATATCTCATTGTGGTTTTGATTTGCATTTCTCTGATGGCCAGTGATGATGAGCATTTTTTCATGTGTTTTTTTGGCTGCATAAATGTCTTCTTTTGAGAAGTGTCTGTTCATGTCCTTCGCCCACTTGTTGATGGGCTTGTTTGTTTTTTTCTTGTAAATTTGTTTGAGTTCATTGTAGATTCTGGATATTAGCCCTTTGTCAGATGAGTAGGTTGCGAAAATTTTCTCCCATGTTGTAGGTTGCCTGTTCACTCTGATGGTAGTTTCTTTTGCTGTGCAGAAGCTCTTGAGTTTAATTAGATCCCATTTGTCAATTTTGTCCTTTGTTGCCATTGCTTTTGGTGTTTTAGACATGAAGTCCTTGCCCATGCCTACGTCCTGAATGGTAATGCCTAGGGTTTCTTCTAGGGTTTTTATGGGTTTAGGTCGAA